>NC_000021.9:39581595-40249161 GCF_000001405.40 Homo sapiens | reverse complement strand
GCCCTGCTTCAGATGACAAAACTGATGTTCATTGGTATGATTTGGCTGTGCCCCCATCCAAATCTCTACTAGAATTGTATCTCCTAGAATTTCCATGTGCTGTGGGAGGGACCCAGTGGGAGATAATTGAATCATGGGGGTCAGTCTTTCCTGTGCTATTCGTGTGATGGTGAATAAGTCTCATGAGATCTGATGGGTTTATCAGGGGTTTCTGCTTTTACTTCATCTTCATTTTTCTCTTGCCGCCACCATGTAAGAAGTGGCTTTCGCCTCCTGCCGTGATTCTGAGGCCTCCTCAGCCATGTGGAACTGTAAGTCCAATCCAACCTCTTTTTCTTCCCAGTCTCAGGTATGTCTTCATCAGCAGTGTGGAAACAGACTAATACAGTAAATTGGTACCTGTAGAGTGGGGCACTGCTGAAAAGATACCTGAAAATATGGAAGCAACTTTGGAACTGGGTAACCGGCAGAGGTTGGAACAGTTTGGAGGGCTCAGAAGAATACAGAAAAATGTGGGAAAGTTTGGAACTTCCTAGAGACTTGAATGGCTTTGCCCAAAATGCTGATAGTGATATGGACAATAACGTCAGGCTGAGGTGGTCTCAGATGGAAATGAGGAACTTGTTGGGAACTGGAGCAAAGGTGACACTTATAATATTTTAGCAAAGAGACTGGCAGCATTTTGCCCCTGTCCTAGAGATTTGTGGAACTTTGAACTTGAGAAAGATGGTTTAGGGTATCTGGTGGAAGAAATTTCTAAGCAGCAAAGCATTCAAAAGATGACTTGGGTGCTGTTAAAGGCATTTCATTTTATAAGGGAAGCAGAGCATAAAAGTTTGGAAAATTTGCAGCCTGACAATGTGATAGAAAAGAAAATGCCATCTTCTGAGGAGAAATTTGCATAAGTAACAAGGAGCCAAATGTTAATTCCCAGGATAATGGGGAAAATGTCTCCAGGGCATGTCAGAGGTCTTCATAGCAGCCGTTCTTATCACAGACCTGGAGGCATAGGAGGAAAAAATGGTTTCATGGGCCAACACCAGGGTGCCCATGCTGTGTGCAGCCTAGGGAGTTGGTGCCCTGCATCCCAGCCACTCCAGCCATGACTAAAAGGGGCGAAGGGACAGCTCAGGCCATGGCTTCAGAGGGTGCAAGCCCCAAGCCTTGGCAGCTTCCATGTGGTGTTGAGCCTGTGGGTGCACAGAAGTCAAGAATTGAGGTTTGGGAATGTCCTCCTAGGTTTCAGGAGATGTATGGAAATGCCTGGATGCCCAGGCAAAAGTTCGCTGCAGGGGCATGGTCCTCATGGAGAATCTCTGCTAGGGCAGTGTCAAAGGGAAATGTGGGGTCAGAGGCCCCACACAGAGTCCCTACTGGGGCACCACCTAGTGGAACTGTGAGAAGAGGGCTACTGTCCTCCAGACCCCAGAATGGTAGATCCACTGACAGTTTGCATCATGTGCCTACAAAAGTCACAGACATTCAACACCAGCCCATGAAAGCAGCTGGAATGAAGGTTGTACCCTGGAAAGCCTCAGGGGTGGAACTGCCCAAGACCATGGGAATGCATCTGTTGCATCAGCATGACCTGGATGCAAGACATGGAGTCAAAGGAGATCATTTTGGAACTTTAAGATTTGACTGCCCTGCTGGATTGTGGGCTTTCATGGGGCCTGTAGCCCCTTTGTTTTGGCTAATTTCTCCCATTTGGAATGGCTATATTTCCCCAATGCCTGTACCCCCATTGTATCTAGGAAGTAGCTAGGCTTTGATTGCACAGGCTCATAGGCAGAAGGGACTTGCCTTGTCTCAGATGAGACTTTGGACTGTGAACTTTGGGTTAATACTGAAATGAGTTAAGACTTTGGGGGACTGTTGGGAAGGCATGATTGTTTTTGAAATGTGAGGACATGAGATTTTGGAGGGGCCAAGGGTAGAATGATATGGTTTGGCTGTGCCCCCCCACCAAATCTCAACTTGAATTGTATCTCCCAGAATTCCCATGTGTTGTGGGAGGGTCTTAGCTGGAGGTAATTAAATCATGGGGGTCAGCGTTTCACATGCTATTCTCATGATAGTGAATACATCTCACAATATCTGATGGGTTTATCAGGGATTTGCGCTTTTGCTTCCTCTTCATTTTTCTCTTGCTGCCACCATGTAAGAAGTGCCTTTCCCTGCGCCCCATGATGCTGAGACCTCCCCAGCCATATGGAGCTATAAATCCAATTCAACCTCTTTTTCTTCCCAGCCTCAGGTATGTCTTTATCAGCAGTGTGAAAATGGACTAATACATTCATCAAGGTTAAAGATTGACCCAAGGCCACATATAGGTGACCAGCTGTCTCAGTTTCCCTGGGACTCTCTCAGTCTCCACATTGAAAGTCCTGCATCCTGGGGACTCCTCACACAGCAGGAAATTAAAAAGCTGAGATTTAAACTTGGGCCCTCTCCAGGCTATCCACTGTGGGCTTCTGCCTGATTTCTAGCACTGTTCTTTACAGTAGTATGGACTTCACCTTCATTGCTGTTGGATACTTCTTCACCGTGTTAGTCATGAGTAGTGCACATCTACCCACCCCAAGATCCTGCTCTCCTGGGGCCTCTTTTTTTTTTTCTTTGATATAGAGTCTCTCTCTGTTGCCCAGGCTGGAGTGCAGTGGCGAGATCTCAGCTCAGTGCAGCCTCCACCTCCCAGGTTCCAACAGTTCTCCTGCCTCAGCCTCTTGAGTAGCTGAGACTACAGGCATGCACCACCACACCTAGCTAATTTTTTTTTTTTTTTTTTTTTTTTTTTTTTTTTTTTTAGTACGGACTGGGTTTCATCATGTTGGCCAGGCTGGTCTTGAACTTTTGACCTCATTTGATTCACCTGCCTTGGCTTCCCAAAGTGCTGGGATTACAGGTGTGAGCCACCATGCCAGAGCCTCTTTTCTGCTTCTTTCTGGACGTATAGGAAGTGAGTATGGGATTCTTGCCCATGTTCACTCAGGCTCTCTGAACAGGCTTCTTGAGGATGTTTTTTAAAATCTCCTTTGGCTTTTATTTGAGAGTCTAGATTCAGGCAACACCTCATTTGATGCCATAGAATGAGTGTTCCCATGAGCTGAGCAGAGGAGGTGGGGTTTATAGAGAGAAAAGGCCTGAGGAAAGCAGATACAGAGAACAAAAATCTGATGGGTAGTTTAAAAGTGACTGTCCTTAAAGGGCTAAAACAGAAGGGACTTCCCTATCCTGCCAGCTTAGGTAAGCTTGGCCCCTTCTGATCCATTGCTGTGGAGCTCCTAGTTTTTAAGGAACAGGAACCTGGATCTTATCAGCAATCTACCATCCCCGTTCCTCCTCCTGGCTAGATAAGTATGAAAGCGTCATTGATTTGTCCAGTTTCAGAATAATGAAAAGCACAAAAGCCCATGGCAGACCAGAGGTGTAATGTCCATGGCTCAGGGAGGCTCACACACAATCTCTTCCTCATTTGTTAATTCCTGGCATAAAGGAAAAAGAGAGACTATGAGCTCCACCCACCTAAGCGAGCCTCCCTGCCAGCACCAACCCTGAAAGGGTGAAAAGCAGAGATTCATGTCATCAAAACACTTGCAAAATTCCCCTGACTTGCTGCTTGATAGGCCTCCCTTCAGGGAGAGGTGCAGGTGGAGGCATCTTCAGAAGCCATCCCAGCCCCGGGAACCTCATGCGAAATCACCCAGCAAGCTATGATGGACTGGGCTACCCTCTCAGCTTTCCTTTTTTCTCATGTGTCAGAGAGGAGCTAGGGTAAATCCTGAAAACATGAAACAGTTCCCAGACACGAGGACTTGCCCTTGTTAGGATAACAGGCCCCTTTTTGTCCTAAAGAGGTCCTCCCACTCAGAGGGATGAGCAAACTCAGGGCTGCTGGCTGCCTCTCCAGACCAAATGCACAGCTTTGATTTAAGGACTTGCACCTTAATCACCCATCATGTGTCATTACCCCAACAGGCGGCAGCAGCCGTAAGACACAAGTGCCAATAAATTGTGCTGAAAGTTACTGGAGTGATTCTTTGTTTATTTTCTCTCACAGCTATTCTGTGACACTTGGGCTGGCATTGGAACAACATGGTTGCCACATGTAAGGAAGGGGTTCAAGGTGACTGGGGGAAGCAGGAGCATCCCTCCCTCCCTCCCTCGATTTTCTTCCTGTAGATTCCCAGTGCCTCGCTCAGCTCTCTAGGAAGTCAAGCCCTTGGCAGTCGGCGGAAATGAGCACTGTCTCATTAGCTAATTGCCAGTACAGATTTTCAAGTACTTCTGCATGCAAATCATAACAGCACTGAGCTTTCTTGCTTTTTAAAACTCCTCTTTCACCCATCCCACCCCCTGGCTTCTGGAGGAAAATGAGGTCTGTTACAAACTGCACATCAGATTACTTCTGGGGCTTTTCTGGCTCACGTTTCCCACCCTCGCCGCCCCAACCTGAGCAGAGCTCCTAACTACCTACCTACCACTGCTGTGAGGGACCATGAAGCAGAAGGTGCTACTTAGCTTTGGTCCAGAACACCTTCAGCAGCTTTCCTCGTGCGCCCCATCCCTTCAGGATTCATCTCAGACCTCTTAGATCTGCATCACAGAAAACAAAATGCAAACCAGGCACAGGGACTTAAGAAAATGATTGATTAAATGGAGAGTAGTCTACTGCTGCACAATTGTGACTTTTTTTTTTTTTTTTTTTCCGGAGACGGAGTCTCATTCTGTCACCCAGGCTGGAGTGCAGTGGCACAATCTGGGCTCACTGAAACCTCCTTCTCCTGGGTTCAAGCGATTCTCCTGCCTCAGCCTCCCAAGTAGTTGGGATTATAGGTGTCCACCACCATGCCCAGCTAATTTTTGTATTTTTAGTAGAGATGGGGTTTCTCCATGTTGGCCAGTCTGGTCTCGAACTCCTGACCTCAAGTGATCCACCCGCCTTGGCCTCCCAAAGTGTTGGGATTA
The DNA here is from genome assembly GCF_000001405.40 of Homo sapiens. Lineage (NCBI taxonomy): Eukaryota > Metazoa > Chordata > Mammalia > Primates > Hominidae > Homo > Homo sapiens. The sequence goes on along the minus strand of NC_000021.9, from coordinate 40,244,193 downwards.
CAGGCGTGAACCACTCTTCCCGGTCACAATTGTGAATTTTAATAACAGTTTGGCTCCAATCAGTATGATAAAAGTCATAAGATATTAGTTCACCGTGACAGAATGGTCCATTTCCACATGGCAGTAGACCAGTTTAAAAATGGTCTCCTCCTTGTGTTGTCTAAATGGGGAAGGAACAACCCATTTGGGCATCAAGGTGCATTTATTTTCCACTTGTCTTTAGCTGTGCTTTCTGGGGTTGACAGGACTGAAATGAACATCACAGATGGGAAATGACCCCGTCACCGTCAGAGGTCCCTCCCTCTGATGCCTGTGTGGATCACTGCCCCGGTAGACCGTCTCCATGACACTGGGGGAAATTAATGTGATGACAAGCAATGGTGGCTGCTGGCAAGGGTGTTCCATTCCTCTTTCTTTGCATTATCCTTTTCTCCTCCAGAAATGCTCACCGAATTCAGCAATCACACCTGGGCATTCTCTGAAGTCATGGAATACAGTGCTGAAACAATGTGTGGAGGAGCAAAAAATCTAGGATTTTAGAAGGCTGCCATGTCACAGGCAGGGCTGGCTTTATGGGGGAGCAAACGGTGCAGTCACACAGGGCCCCACACTCAGAAAAAACCGATGCTTTTATTTATTTACTGCTGTCATCATCTTGCAAATCTTAGTTTTTGAATGAGAAGCTTCACATTTCCATTTTGCACTGATTATGTCTCCTGTACAGGTAATATGTGTGAAAATATTCTTGTTAAAAGTGCTCATTTCTTTCCTTTTTTCACTACCTTTCACTATTGAAAAAGAAAAAGAAATGCATTTAAGAAGACAGTCTGTGCTTTTTTACCAAAGCAAAACAATCCAATCAAGGAAATGCTCAATCCATCCCCTCCCACAAAGACTGAAATTTTATTTTTAAAAAAATCACTTTATTATTTTTTTCCTTTTTCTTTATGATTGTACATCTGCTTTAATTCTAAATTGCAAAATGTAACAGGAGTATTGCAGGGAGACCTCTTCTCCTGAGCTTTCATGTTCCAAAGTCAGTCTAAATACATGAGAACATTCACTGTAACAGAATCCCAGGGGTGGTCCCAAAGCACAGACCAGATCACTCAGCTGTGAGGTGGGAGACTCAGATATCATTAGCTGTAAATAGAAAACAGGAAGCAAAGCCCCAGACACAGGGGAGTCTTATGTTACTAGAATAAAATGGGTAATAAGGGGTCACCTTCAAGGACAGAAGTTGTTGAGAGAAGGACCTGGTCGTGGCTGGAAGAGCTGTACGTGAGGTGGAAATGAGTGGTGGGAAACAGATCCAGAAAAGTCCTGTGCCAGTGAGGATAGAGGGTTCTGCTCAGTACGCAGCAACCTGCTTCTTAGCTGCTTAAACAAAGAGTTGTTTATCACTCACACAATATGCCCACTGTGGGGTTGGGGGCAGGGGGATCTGCTTATTGTGGGCTCAGGATCCCAGACTGACAAAACAAGCACCATTTCAAAGTTGCATGTCACAGTGTCAATAAGAGTGGCCTGGATGGTGCCATCATAACAAGGCTTCCAGCCTGGAAGCCACACATGGCACTTCTGCTCACAACTCATTCACTGAAGGCTACACATGGTGCTTATGCTCACAGCTTATTTGCTGGAAGCTCATGTAGTACTTCTGCTCACAGCTCATTGGCTGGAAGACACACATGGTACCACATGGTACTTCTGCTCACATTTCCTGGGTCAGAAGACACATATGGCACTTCTGCTGACAGCTCATTGGTTGGAAGATACACATGGCACTTCTACTCACAGCTCATTGGCTAAAGCCAGTCATATGGCCCCATCCAACCACAAGGGACCAGGCAGAACAAGTTTCCCAGGTGCTCAGAAGGTAGATGAGCGGAAACATGTGACAGACAGCACTCACGATCACCACAGAGCCTAAAACATTACTTTATTTACTTGATTATTTTGACCGTTCATCCATTTGTTCATTCATTCCTTCAGGAGTCCATCTAACAAAGTCATTTTCTTTCTTTTAAAAAAAAAAAAAAAACTTTTAGGTTCAGGGGTACACATGCAGGTTTCTTCCATAGGTAAACACATATCACTGGGGTTTGTTGTACAGATTATTTTATCACCCAGGTATTAAGCTCAGTACCCAATGGTTGTCTTTTCTGCTCCTTTCCCTCCTCCCACCCTCCCCACTCAAGTAGAACCCAGTGTCTGTTGTTTCCTTCTTTGTGTTTATAAGTTCTCATCATTTAGCTCCCACTTATAAGTGATAACATGTGGCATGTGGTTTTCTGTTCTTGCATTAGTTTGCTAAAGATAATGGCCTTCAACTCCATCGATGTCCCTACAAAAGACGTGATCTCATTCTTTTTTATGGCCGCATGGTATTCCATGGTGTATATATACGGCAGTTTCTTTATTCAATCTGTCATTGATGGGCATTTAGGTGGATTCCACATCTTTTCTATTCTTAATAGTGCTTCAGTGAACATTTGCTTGCATGTGTCTTTATGGTAGAATGATTTATATTCCTCTGGATACATACCCAGTAATGGGATTGCTGGGTTGAATGGTAGTTCTGCTTTTTAGCTTTTTGAGGAATCACCATACCATATTGCTTTCCACAATGATTGAACTAATTTACACTCCCACCAACAGTGTATGAATGTTCAGTTTTCTCTGCAACCTTACCGGCACCTGTTATTTTTTTTAGACTTTTTAATAATAGCTATTCTGACTGGTATGAGATGGTATATCATTGTCGTCTTGATTTGCATTTCTCTAGTGATTGGTGATATTGAGCTTTTTTCATATATTTGTTGGCTACATGTTTGTCTTCTTTTGAAAAGCATCTGTTCATATCCTTTGCCCAATTTTTAATGGGGTTGTTTGTTTTTCCCTTGTAAATTTGTTTACATTCCTATAGATACTAAATATTAGACCTTTGTCAGTTGCATAGTTTTCAAATATTTTCTCACATTCTGTAGGTTGTCTCTTTACTCTGTTGATAGTTTCTTTTGCTGTGCTGAAGCTCTTCAGTTTAATTAGATCCTACTTGTCAATTTTTGCTTTTGTTGTGATTGCTTTTAGAGTCTTTGTCATGAAATATTTGCCTGTTCCTAGGTCCAGGATGGTATTGCCTAGGTTGTCTTCCAGGGCTTTTACAGTTTTGGGTTTTACATTTAAATCTTTAATCCATCTGGAGTTGATTTTTGCGTGTGGTGTAAGGAAGGGGTCCAGTTTCAATCTTCTGCGTACGGTTAGCCAGTTCTCCCAGCACCATTACCATTAGTCATTTTCTGTGGGTAAGATGTGATAGATCTTGATAGAATCATCAGGATCTCTGCACCCAAGAAGCTTAGATATGGTGGGGAAGCTACAAATACCTGTTACAAGGGGATCAGTGGCACTCGTCACAAATGGCATGCATGCCTGTCAGGCAATTTGTTATTGGAATGTAGAGGAGGAATCCAATATTTTCACACAGGGCAATCAATGGATACTGCACAAAGGAGGGGGCATTGGAGCTATGTAGTAAAAACTATGCAGTTTCAGTAAGCAGAGGAAAGGACGGGAATGGGGAAGAAATTTCTGACATTGGGAACAGCCTGAACAAAAACGTGAAGGCTGGAAAATATAAGGTAATTTAGGTAGAAAAGGCTCACATGTAATTCACTGTCATCTTGTGGAAGACACAGAATGCTATTAAAGGCAGACAAAGTGTAATCCAAGATGTATTTGCAGAAAAGTAATGAATATCTATCTATCTGTATGCAAGATACATTAGAATGGGTAGAGTTAGAATAGAAAAGGAGGCAAAAAAAAAAAAAAAAAAAAAAAACCAGTGAGGAAGCTACTGCAGTAGCTAGATAAGAGGGGATGAAGGCCTACTGAACAAAGGTAGAATGGGAATAGAAAGGAAAGGTGGAGGTCCCTGTGGGACAGGCAGGTAGATGTGGCCAGCCTTCACCTGCCTGGCTTGAATGTTAATCGGGAGGGCTTCCTCCTGTGGTTGTATAGATCGGTGCTGCCCAAAGTGGGGTCTGGGGACCCACCGCATCTGCATTGCAGGGGGCCCAGGGGCAGATCTTGTGAGAAATGCAAATTCCCCTGGGTTGTACCCTGGCAATTTGTGTTCCAACAAGATCTCTGGGTGTTTTGTGTGCACATGAAGGTCTGAGCAGCTATGGTAGAGGCGATGTGCAGTGAATCTAGCCTCCCTATCCAGTGTTCCTGCCAGGACCTGATGGAAGTATAACTGAGATGCTCGCCTGGAGAGGCCCCTGCGTATGTACCCCCTGGAATGGGCAGGTGTTAGACAAGCATGGAATACATTAAAAAGTAACCATCCTAAAGCATTCAGGGTTACTGTATAAAATATTTCCAGCCCGGTTTTCTAAGTCTTTTGCATACAACTTTTGAGTGCTTTGGGAACTCTTTCTGAGGCTGGATTAAGTTTCTACTGCTGTAACCTATGCCACTTCTGAGGGAAGAAGCCATATTGAGCCTCATCTGTCCTTCTAAATCAAGTGACTTTGGAAGTTTCCTATAAAATTCTAGGCACTTATGTTCAATTACTTTATCATATCTTCCCAGCATAGAAAAACTTCCTAACCCAGATGATCTCATTCACCTTATGCTGGAAAAAGCATTACATTTTATTTCCTCTCTTATAAAATTACTTTCTTTATCTCTTGAAAACTTAGAAGGAGCCTCTTCTTTCATCGTTGCTTTTTTTGATTTCTTCTTGCACAGTAAAGTGATTAACTCAAATTTAAGAAGGCAGGTATCCAAAAATAGCATATACAAAACAGGCCTACTTCTCTATCTTGTGATCTAAAGCAATGTTGTTATAGGTTATTATTTCCTTTTCCTAAGAAACTTGTGATATCAAAATTATATTTCCAGCATGTACTATCATTATTTCTTCTCACTTTGAAAAAAAAGGAAAAACTAATTTTCCTGTTCTTTGCTAGGGCCCGATTCATCTTTAAGTATCCGGGTATTTAAGGTTTTGACATCCTGAAACGCTGTGCATTCTTCTCTGCAGAAAAGACCTTTGGAGCAGACTTTCTAGAGATAGGGAGAAATGATGGTAATCCATCATAATGGCCTGATTCCACTCTGGACACATAACTGTTCTCCATCTCTGAAGCCATTCCTAGGGAAAGTTTAAAAGATCATAAGTTAGACGGTGAATGATACACATGATGCTCAAATTAGAATCTACTTTTTTTCAGAGTGGCATTGACGCTGCCTCTCAAGCAAAGAGAAGCAGGATCATCACCTTATATGGGGACTTATATCACTGTCAGATTCAGATGAGAAGGGCACAGTCATTCTCACCTGAAAGTGGTAGGATTCTAGAAAATTACGGAAAGTCTTTTAATTCCTCCCGAGTACTGCACTGTCACCTCTGGGAGCTGTCACCAAAAAGAATAGTTGCATGTCATTTAAGGCCATGTCAAGCCGGTACTTAGACATGGTTTAGGCATGGAAAAGGAAAGAGATGCTTCTGGATGGTGTTGCTTATTTAGGCAACACACAAATTAGTCATTTTCTTTTCCCCCAGCTGCTATGGCACATGTGAGAGAAGACGCAATGCTTTCCACTCAGAGCGCTTGGTTGTCTCTGTCTTCCTCCTTCTGAGAGGACACCTAGGCCAACATACCTGCTAGGTGGAGTTTAGCGGTGAACACCTCTATCCCCTCTCCTACTCGCTGTTAGGCCCAGATGTCCCCAAAAGCTATCCAGCTCTACCACCTCCCTGGTTTTAAAACACAGAGCCTTTGGCTGTGGATTATTGTGTAAAGAGGAGATTCTCATGAGCCAAAGTCTGGCCCATTTTCAGTTCCTCCACCTGGAGTGCCACATCCTGAGTATGCTTGTCCAAATATGTCCAAGGGTCGTTTTCACTGGAGATGAGAGAGCTAACTAAGAATGCAGATTCCCATTCCACTTTCCAGACCACAGAATCAGACTTGGGGGCTGGAGTCTTATATTTCTATTCCTGGAGGCACCCAGTTGATTCTTTGGAGTATTATGGTTTAAAAAATCCTCAGATTCTACCCCAGGGAGGGCCATCTTTCCTTCATTTCCTCCCACATATCCCCATATCTGATTCAATTTTTCTCCCAATCTTCCACAAGCTCTTTGGTAGACAGAAAACTATACACCCCCTCCCCAGGATGTCTGTAGCCCAACCCACGGAATCTGTGAATGTATTACTTTACATGACAAAATGCCTTTGCAGATGTGATTAAGGGAAAGATCTTGAGATGGAGAGATGACCCTGGATTAGCCAGGCAGGCCCAGTGTCATCACCAGGATCTTCATAACAGAGAGGCAAGAGGCCATGAACCAAGGAATTTAGGCAGCCCTTAAGAGACTTGGAAGACAGTGTGGCTATTCCTCAAGGATCTAGAACCAGAAATACCATTTGACCCAGCAATCCCATTACTAGGTACATACCCAAAGGATTATAAGTTATTCTACTATAAAGACACATGCACATGTATGTTTATTGCAGCACTGTTCACAATAGCAAAGACTTGGAACCAACCCAAATGCCCATCAGTAATAGACTTGATAAAGAAAATGTGGCACATATACACCATGGAATACTATGCAGCCATAAAAAAGGATGAGTTTATATCCTTTGCAGGGACATGGATGAAGCTGGAAACCATCATTCTCAGCAAACTAACACAAGAACAGAAAACCAAACACCACGTGTTCTCACTCATCAGTGGGAGCTGAACAATGAGAACACATGGACACAGGGAGGGGAACATCACACACCAGGGCCTGTCAGAGGGTGGGGGCCTAGGGGAGGGATAGCATTAGGAGATATACCTAATGTAGATGACAGGTTGATGGGTGCAGCAAACCACCATGGCATGTATATACCTATGTAACAAACCTGCATGTTCTCCACATGTACCCCAGAACTTAAAGTATAATAATAATAATAAACTTCTTTAGTGCCTCCAGAAGGAATACAGCCCTGCTGACACCCTTGAGTTCAGACTTCTCATCTCCAAAACTGTAAGAGAATAAATGTGCATTATTTCAAGAGTGAGAACTTATTCCAGCAGCCACAGGAAATGTCTACAACCTCCTAGCTTTGTTGCAGTGTTTGTTCAGCAAACCTGGACTGAACAGTCTCCACAGAATTGTTGAAGAGCTAGCGCTGGGATGTGTGATGGGCACTAGACACCTACCTTTCAGGAGTTGACGGGAGAGTTGGAAGACAGTTGTTCAGTCATTGTCAGAAGTAATAAAGCTGTCCATGGCTTCTCGCACTGTTCTCCTCATGTGCCTTGCCTGGTGACATTGGCAGCCTCCTCTCAGACACTAGTAAGATGAAACATCTTTGTTTCGGTTATCTGAGTGTAATTAGGTAGACACTGACTGCTTACTGTAGATCAGTCATGGTCCCAAGCTGTTTATCCATATTAACTCATTTAATAATTATTCCTCCACAATGATTTCAGTACTATTATTAACCTCATTTTAAAGATGAGGGAACTAATGCCTAGGGCTCAGTTGACCCCAGGCTTCTATGAAGCAGAGCCAGGTTGTGAGTCTGGGCAGCCTGACCCCTGGTGTCACTCAAAACCCGTCATGTGCTCTGTGTCTGAGGGCTGGGTGTTTCTTTCCTTTGACTACAGCACCTGAGATCTAGCTCCTTACCCCATGTATTTGTACCCTGGAAGTAACACCCTACAGAACTGGAAGTTCTGTACAGATTTTGGAAGGATAAACTAGCCCACATCCACGGAGACCCACCAGATAGAGAAGAGCCAGAAGCCCTGGGCTATGGTGACCTTACAACACGGTGAGCGTGAGCCAGAGCTCCGATGCTCTTCAGAGTGGGCACTTTGAGAAGCATATTTTGACTTATTCATTAATCAAATGTTGATTAAGTTTCCTCTTTGGGCCACACCCTGGGCTCAGTGCTTGGCATATCATACAAAGCAAGGCAACCTGCTACCTATACACAGAAAGCAGTTTCTAGAATGCAGGCAAGAAACATGGGCAGCTAAGTTCAAGGTTTAGAATTCTTCTTTAATACATGCAGCTGCATCGGCAGAAACAAGTTTATATATTTAAGTGTGCAGATGGAAGCAAGTGTACAGAGGAAATTTATTTCCAACCCACAGTGTTTCCACCCTCGATATGGTACTTGATAATACAGCCACATTGTACTTCATCACCTGGGGCTTTGGCAACTTTTGTTTTAGCAAAACAACCTTACTTTTGAATAATAGAAAAATTATCCATGCAACAGTGAGCTTTTTTTCTTAGTCCCGTTGATGATACAAACATACGTTTATTGCATCTAATGTGACGGAGCTCTCTCAGTAATGATGATGGCTGTTGGTGCAGTGTAAAGGGACCTGATTTTTTTTTTTTTCTGAAAAGGAATGCAAGCCTGGTGATGCATCATCATTAACTTCCTAGCTGCAATGTCCTTGGGAGTGAGGCCAAATTTGCTTGCAGATGAATACAGTTGAAGAAGTGTCGAATCAGGTGATCCTAAGGGGTGGAGAAGATACATTTTGAATGGAAGGCAGTGTTTGGCCCTCATGGGTGTGGTGCCATTTTCTTTCTTCCGAATGGTCCTTGAGAACTAAATTCTGTTTTCCATTATTTCAGCTGAGCTCTCTTGCTGAAGGGGGACAGGGTGATTAAAGAGCTCAGAAAGAGCCCTACACAGACCGAAGTAGCAGCTCTCTTAGTCTTAATTATCGGCCTTTATGTAACATTCTTCAAATTAAACATACAGCGAAAGAAAATAAATGCCTCCATATTTTGAAAACCTGACAGCTTCCTCTCTTGTGTTTTCCTACTTCATAAGGCAAAATGTGTTTCTTGTAGAGGCTAGTACAGATGGTTACTCTGGACCATACGGTTAACTGATATGAAACCACTGTCTGTTTTGAGTCTCATCTTTGTATTTTATGGTCACCATCTGGCCCCCTGACCATATCCCAATGCCTCAGTAGGGCTGAAGGTGGATAACTCCATTGTAATGTATCACTATTTTCATAGAATAATATAAACATTTGCTCTGCTAATTTTTGTTTCTTGCATGTAGTGTAGTAGATTCTTTAATTACACAGGCAAATAAATTACTCCTAATACTATTGCATTTCTGAAGAGGCTAGTTTCATACAAACGAGGAAGAGCTGATAGTGATAGTGATTTTTATTAACAAGGTCTGCTATCATTGCAGACATAGGGCAACTAAGTCATAATGCCCTGATATGCTTACGAAGATCTGGAGCTAGACGGAGACCAAGAAGCCTCCTGTGACCTGCCTCTACCCTGGGCTTCGGGGATACATATTTTACTCACATTATATTTTTAGGAAAAACAACCCAGGGGAATCATTCAGGGTACATGAAGTTCTATCAGCAAAAAAAGAAAAAAAGAAACATATCCACCCAAAGAATTGGCAACTGGATGCATTTAAATGTACCAGGAAGGAATGACAGAGACCATGTGACTGCAGAAAAGTGAGAGAAGAGAGAACTGGATCAAGAACATCATAGAATAGGCAAAGACAGAGAGGAGAAGCAGGAAACAGAATGCTGAGGCTACAATAGACAGGAGTTAGAATGGTCACAGAATTTTCATATTCCTTATTTCCCAAAAGTTCAAGAACCAGCCACATCTTGACTCAACATTACCAAGTATGGAAAAGCACGTAATAGCTTACAATGATCTTTTCTTACAAGTGCCAGGCCCAGTGGGAACTGCTTTGCTTATGTAATCTCATTTATCCTTGCATCAGCCTCTGAAGTGGACATGACCATGATTTCCATTTTACAGGCAAAGCAACTGTGTGGCTCAGAGATGTTAAACTACTTGTCCAAAGTTGCAGAACTGTTCTGTACCAGAGACGAGTTGACTTCTGCGCTATGTAGATCTTCACAACTTGGATGGTCTTAGTAGAATTACTCAAATTTACCTTGACCCAGGCACCATGTTGTCCAAAAAGTAATTCCATGCCTCAAGAGTAAAGTGAAAACCAAATCACTGTTTTAAGACCGATATAATATTCTGAGAATGCAGCCATGTTCCGTGCTAGCCAGCTCTTCAGGTTCACTCTGTGACAAGAGCTGTTGTACATTCCCAGCATGGGCCTTCTGGTTAAGAAGGACTGCAGGCATCATTAGCCTGGGAACTGAGATTTGCACAGACTGGCTGAATGAACTGAGTCATTCAACAGCCAAAGCGAGGCAGGAAGGAGTGTGCAGACCTTACCTGAGGCTGTCAGATGTTGATACAGCCTGGAGCCATCTTAACATGCAAGAACTATTACTGAGCCATGAAAAAGAAGTGAATTGGAGTGATACCAGGTCATGTGGAATTGCTATGAGTTATTGCTGCTTGGGAAAGTAAATGCCGAGTTGTGTGTAGTAGATACCGTTCTGTCAAATGAACTATAACCAAAAAATTGCGTATGTGTGTACATGCGTGTGTATGATTGCAGAGAAAAATATGAAAGGGCATACACCAGGTTATTAATAAAGACTAGAGGGCAGGGATGAGCATGAGGGAGTGTGTCCATGTGGAGGAGAAGGACAGAAAGGTGGACATAGGGGCAAAAAGTCTCTAATTATATCAACAGCATACGTAATGTGTTTCCACTTGTGCAATATTACGTGTTGTGTGTGTGTGTATCATACATAAGAACATATTGAAGCATGGTCAGTAGAAATTTGACCAAAATTGCCTCAGACTGGTTGGTTGAATTTTTAGTGACCTTTATTTTCTTCATCAGATTTAAGTATATTTGTTTAGGTGAGTTTTTTGGAGCCTGCAGATGCTTTTGAGTGAAGAAAAAAATATATTTAAAATATTACTTGGACTTTAATATGGTCATTTATTAAAGTTATAAATGTAAAAACCCTCTTTTTCAGTTCAACTTATAAATTTTGTTATTCTATGTATGTATCTCGTAAATTTAAACAAGTACTCTTAAGGGATTTTAAAAAAAACTTTTAGGTTCGGGAGTACATGTGCAGGTTTGTTATACAGGTAAACTGTCGTCACGGGGGTTTGGTGTACAGATTACTTCATCACCCAGATAATAAGCATAATACCCAATAGGTGTTTTTTCTGATCCTCTCCGTTATCTCACGTGAAGAGATTTTTGATTAATGTTTAGACCCATTTATAAACATAGTTCATTTTCTTCTTTATATATTAAACTACATTTATAAATTATACATATTTAATTTCCTTTTTAAATACTCCAATTATCTAACAGAACTGTTCTGGGCATCTTAATAACTTATAAATAAATAAACAACATGAATAACTTAGTATTATTATGACTCCTTAAATATCACCCTACTAGGTTTAATCTCAGTAAAAGTCCTGCTTAGTATCACCTGTCTAAATTGATTACTTAATTATATATTTAAATTAGAATTACAAATATGATAAATACTAATATGCTATATCTCATAAAAATTACAGCTAAACTGCACAGATTTCTTACCATAAAAATAGTAATGCTTGGGGCTTCTTCTCTAAAACATCTCTGTATGGAATTCTAACTCTTTCTGGAGGTAGAAGACACTTATCTACTGAGAAAACATGAAATGTCAAACAGCTTGGGCAGTAGCTTTCCGGGCACCTTTAGGGATATTTTCCTAGTGGACTGAGGTTTCTTAATAACCAGAGAAGTCCCTTGTAGAGACACTGACTAGCATCTTGTTTGTAAAATTCAATCCCTGTCTGTTCTAAGGTGTATCAAAGGGCTGTATCAAAGCTTTTCCTATGGGTCTATCATACCCCATGCTCCGTAGATTCATACATTTATTATCTGTCTCTTATGGCAACTCACAAAAGCCAGCCATCCCATAACAGGTGGCTAAGCCTCTTGATTTAACTCAACAAGTCCATTTTTGGCTTCTTCATATTTGAATTTTTCTCTTGTTTCTCCTGTCTTCAGGGCTGCAACTAGAAATAGAATTCAATCTTAGTGCATAATGAGTGACGTCATCTGCCTGTAGTTACAGTTCTAGGTCTGCCAATGCAGAAGTAGTGGAATTCCATTCTGTAAACATGCACTGTTTATAAAATCCAAAAAAAATTACTATATTCATTGTGGGGTAAACAATGATATTTTTCAAGTAGATATATGGGAACATTTAGATGATTCCTAGAATGTAAGATAAATATTAATCACCTAAAATGCCAAGGGTGGTGTCCAGACCAGTTTCTCATTGTGCTGCTCAAATATATATCAGATTGGTAAATAAAATATTTGATCACAAAAGAGGAGGCATTAACTTTTAATTTCAGCTCTGACACATGAAGAGCTTGTAGGCCATCATTCTCATCTTTACAACAAGAAAAAGCTGGAGGCCAGGCTGGGTGGCTCACTCCTGTAATCCCAGCACTTTGGGAGGCCAAGACAGGAGGATCACTTGAGCCCAGGAGTTCCAGACCAGCCTGGGAAACATGACAAGACCTTGTCTCTACAAAAAATAGAACAGTCAGCTGGGCATGGTCGTGTGCTCCTGTAACCCCAGCTACTTGGGAGGCTGACGTGGGAGGATCACTTGAGTGCAGGAGGTAGAGGCTACAGTGAGCCGTGATCATGCCACTGTATTCCAGCCTGAGCAACAAAGCAAGACACTGTCTAAAAAAAAAAGAAATAAAAGAAAAGCCTGGAAAAACTGAAAATCAACAAGTTTTCTTACAGAGAACTGAATTGACAGAGATAAACTCTCACCCGGAAATCTAGGGAGATAGGTGTCACAGCGAGATACAACAACAGAGATTGGCTTACCTGGAACAGAAGCTGCTGGGCCAGTGAAGTAGCAAGAACAAGCAAATGGCAATTTTGGTACAGTGTTGGTGGCTGAGTGTGGACTGGAGTGAGAGTGAGGAGCTCCTAAAGGCCACCGTCTTGGGGTCGTCCTCACACTTTCACAGACTTTCTCTCTAGGAACCTTACCAGATTCTCACAGTGAAGATCAAACCTTCTCCATAACAAAGGTCTACTCTCCACGGAAAATTTAAAAAAAAAAAAAAAAAACCTCTTCCAGAACCACATTCTGAAATTTTGTCTCACCTGCAAGAAATAAATTCCTTCCCACTCCAGCCCTCTCCAGCCTACCTATATGATCTAAGTTGTGAAAAAAAAAAAAAAGCATAATCGAGAGTCAAGGCTTCAGAGAAATGGATTGGGCATGCTGCAGCCAGAGAACAGAGCAGGGATGCCGGGTGGGGGTTGTGGGGACATCTGTGTACCTGGAAGAGAGGCAGACACTTGGAAGGACACGGCCCTGAAACACAGGCCCAAAAAACACTGAGATTTAATCATAAGTATGGAACACTCCCCAACCCTCACAACTTATGACCACAAAAAAATCAAACTGCCAGCCAATAGCAGAAAGATAGCTGTAAAATCCTCTAATATCTGGGAATTAACACAACACACTCTTCAGTTATCCCATGAGTCAGAGCAGAAGTCTCAAGAAAAATTGAACAATATTTTTAACTAAGTAAAAATAAAAATACTTATTAAAATGTGTGGTTTGCAGCAAAAGCAGTGTTTAGAGTAAAATGTATAGCAATAAATCCATATATTCAAAAAGAAGAAAGATCTCAGATCAAAAACCTAAGTCTACACCTGAGAAAACTAGAGAAAGAAATAAAAGAGGGGCCACTATGACTGGTCCCATCGACTTTAAAAGGTCAGTGCTCACAGATTTGATTATTCAGATAAAATTGGCCAATTCCAGAAGTTAAGCAAAGAGAAACTGATAAACTGAATAGTCCGATTTCTATTAAAATAATTGAATAAATAATTTTAAACCTTTCAAAAACAAAAACAGAGCACAATGTTCAGATTGCTTCACTGGTAATTCTAACAAACATTTAAAGAAGAACTAATACCAATGCTCCACAGTCTTACAGAAAACAAAAGCAGATAGAACACTTCTTCACCCATTCCATTAGTCTAGCATTATTCTAATATGAGAAATAAAAACATTGCAAGAAAAGAAAACTTTGTACCATTATTTCTTATGAACATATGATGACAAGTATAGAAAAAGATGCTCGCTATTATTTATCATTAGGAATATGCAAGTTAAAATGACCTTGAAATAGTACTGTGCATCTATTAGAATAGTTAAAATCCAAAGATCTGATAGTATCAATTGCTGACAAGGATATTAAGTAATAGCAACTCTCATTCATTGCTGGTGGGCATGCAGAAGTATAGAGCCAGCTCGACAGTTTCTTACAAAACTAAATACAGTGTTGTCTTAGGATCCAGCAATTGTACACCTGGGTGTTTGCCCAACTGATGTAAAAATGTATGTCCACATAAAAATCTGCATATCAATGTTTATAACAGCTTTGTTCGTAATTGCCAAAAATTTGGAACCAATCAAGCTGTGCTTCAACTGATGAATAAATACAAACTTTTGTTTGGTACATCTCTCGACAGTAGAATATTATTCAGCTATAAAGTAGAATGATGAGTCAAACCACTAAAATTAAGTGCATATTAAGGGAAAGAAGCCAGTCTAAGAAGGCTGGATACTCTATGACTCCATTTTTATGACATTCTGAAAAAGGCAAAACAATAGAGTTCAGAAGCAGATCAGTGGTTGTTAGGGATTTGGGGAAAGGAGAGGACTGAACAGGTGAAGCATGCAGGACATTTTTAGGGAGTTGAGGATATTATGTATGATAATGCAACCATGAATATGTAACACCATGTATTTGTCAAAACCACAGAGCCTTCCAGCAAAAAGAATGAATCTTAATGTAGGTGAATTAAAATGTAATTAAAATTTTCAAAAAAAGCATTTAAGAGGTCATGGGACCCCAGGATGAAATGGAGACTGTGCAAATCAATCTAATTGTATTACAAATGAGTTAAATAACTTTACTAATTGGATGCTGACCTAAGTAACTTTGGAGATGAATGGAAGCTGTATGACTAAAGGCAAAAAGAACTATACCTAAACATTGCACTCTGGTTGACAAAGTTGTTTCTAACAGGGACTTACTTCTGAAACTACTATACATCTAAACTGTAATTAAACAATTAGGGCCCTGGGTGGCAGATCATGGGAGTTGGGTTTCTCACCATGAAGTGGGAGTTTACAAACAAGCTAGGGAAGAGGCTAGAATGAGCTGTGTGGTACCTGATTAGACTTAGAGACATCAGTACGAACTCATGTTTAGCTGAATAGAGATACAATGGATACATACAGGAATATTCATAGATGTGTGTATATACATGTGTTAGTATACACACATTTTTTTTTCTGTCAGCTAAGAGAACCTGGAAGCAAGGAACAATGCCACAGTAGCAATAAACACAACTGTCCCCAAATCTTGGTTTCTAATAGGATTTTCCAATAAAATGAACCAGGACTCCTTTGAGAACGCTAATTCTAAGACTGGTAAGGGAATATAAAAGAACTTGGAACTTCCAAGCACTTGGAACTTCTTGTAGAGTTAGAAAATAAAGAAGTACCAAGAAAAAAAAAAAAAAGAAAAGAGGTGGAGGGGGAAAGAAAGGATAAAATAAACAAGCAATGATGGTGATACATCAATAGGATGTGGGAGCCACCTGAAGGAGTTCCCAGTGGTTAAATCTGGAATCATTTGAGCAACAGAACAAATAAGGCGGTATTGGATTATAACCCAAAGTTTAAAATAAATACACCCTGATAAGTGTATCAGTGTAAAATAAGTGATAAGTGTAAAATAAGCCCACACTGATATAAATGATTGAATAAATGGTAACAATAGCCAAATTTTCCTGACGAAAGAATTCCAAGTAATTTATGTAGATATACCACCTCAAGAAGATGAAGCATAACTCTCACTCCTTATGTGTGGGCTTTGCAGAGCGACTTCCTTCCAGAAAGGACGACATGGAAAGAGAAGCTTTCCAGTGGAGAAACCTGGCAGGCACCACCTTAGCCAGGTGGCCAAGGTCAACAGCGACACTGATAAGCCCTGTTGATAGCATTTACCCTTGATATGATGTGATGAGAATGGTACTTTACCTCCGTAGTTTGCCCCTTCAAAACTCTCATAACCTCAGCCTAAAAATGAGAAAAACAACAGACAAGCCCCAACTGAGAGGTATTCTACATAATTCCTGACCAGCATTCCTCAAGACTGACAGTCATCAAGAACACAGAAAGTCTGAGAAACTGCTACAGAGGAGCTTAAGAAGACATGATGGCAGAATGTAGAATGGGATCCTGGATGGGATCTTGAAACAAACCAGGGACATTAGGTAGCAGGTAGGGTCATCTGAACAATGTATGCACTTAGTTAACAATGCATTAATAGTCATTCAATAATTGTAACAAACGTGCCACACTAATGTAAGGTGTAAATAATGGAGGAACTGGATGTGGAGATGTGAAGTATATGGGGACTTCCTGTGTTATTATCTCAACTTTTCTATAAATCTAAATGTATTCTAAAATGTTGCTTATTACTTTGAAAAACCAAATAGAAGAGCAGGTATCCTCCCAGGTGTACCAGTAAGGGTAGCAGTGGGGGAAAGGGGTGGTACTCTGTAGCTACAGACCTCAAAATACCTGTATGATCTTAAGACAGAGTCATCACATTTCAAATTCTGAGAAATATCATGGGAAGAACTTGAGACAGCTGCTAGGCCTTTAGAAAACAATTTACCCCAAATGTTGTCTACTATTGGTAAAGTAGCATTTCCTATCAGCCTCAGTCTTGTGACAGGCCACAAAAATGACCCTTTTCCAAAGAGTTGGTTAACATGCCATAAGATGCCTGCCCTGTTCTATCTTCAGGAAGGTGGCAGCTGGGAGGCTGAGTCATTGTGCTGTGATTCTCACAGGATGCACCTGTCTTCTGGAAAAGCTCGAAGCCTTCCAAATGCTTTAGTGCTGAATTCTCAGGAATGTGGCTTCAGAATGGGCCAGAGTCAACCATGACACATTTTATCCCAGCATCAGTCTTTGATCCTTAAATGATTTTTTTTTCCTCCTAGAGCCTAAGAAACTACTAAAGAAAATGTGGTACATATATCATGAAATACTATGCAGCTATAAAGCAGAATGAGATCATGTCCTTTGCAGGGACATGGATGGAGCTGGAGACCATTATCCTTAGCAAACTAACGGAGGGACAGAAAACAAATACTACATGTTCTCACTTACAAGTGGGAACTATATGAGGAGAACGCATGGACACAGAGAGAGTAACAAGACACACTGGAGCCTTTTGGAGGGTGGATGGTGGGAGGAGGGAGAGAATCAGGAAAAGTAACTAACGGGTACTAGGCTTAATACCTGGATAATGAAATAATTTGTACAACAAACCCCCGTGACACAAGTTTACCTGCATAATAAATGTGCACTTGTACCCCTGAACTTAAAATAAAAATTTTAAAAAATGTTAAATAATTGCTGAAGTATAAACAACATAAATGGCAAATTAACTTTTGGATTGGTTAAAGATCTATATTGCTGTTCTTGAAAGAGGTCTCTAAACATTAGAGAATGACTTTGGGTTCATTTGTTACAGCCTGACACAATGAGGTCTTTGTGGAGGGCTGCATGGGTTTGGGACATTTTGTTGCCACCAGGCCTCCTCACTTAGCTCTTGTCCGTATCTATATTTCTTTCATTTCGTAGCCAAATAGAAAATATCATTTTAATATAGAATCTCTTCTGCTGCTTGATATCTCTCCCGACATTAAAATAGCACCCCTAAAGAAATGCAAGGAAGTGAACTGAGCTATTATCAACTCAGTGTTCAAGGGAGAAATTTCTGTTTCAATCCAAGAAAATCCGAGAACCCACTGAATTACAAAGAATTGTCTACCAAGTAATAAATAAAACTATGTGTTCCACATTTGTGTCCGCACATTGTCACCAAACTTTCTGTGCATCTTATCTATGTTCCTTATTGCAGAGTTCACTACCATTTGGGGAGAAAGTCAAGAGCACAGGTTCTGAGGGCCAGACTGTCTGGCTTTGTATCCCAGCTCTGCGATGTACTAACTCCATCTCTTCCAGCCTTAGTTTCTCCAATTGTACAACAGGGATCATAAGAGAACACATCTCATTGGATAGATAAGTGGACGTGCAAGAGTTAATGCATGTAAAGCAGTTCGTAAATAAGTGCTATTTATATGTAGAAAGTCTTTATCAAACCCATAAGGGAATAGATATTTTCATGTTGGAATCATTGCCTTTCAGTGTGAAAATATATCAATGTAGTGATGGTTCTGGGATCTTGGTCAATGGTGGAGCATCACCAACACACTTGTGTCTGATTCCAAGAAGGTGTTGGAGGACAGGGGGACTTTCTCTGCCCTCTACTTTCTTCTCCCCTTAGTTCACACAAATCGAGGCTCTGAGGCCTGGGGAAAAGTATTGTTACCTTTGTGTTCTCTCCATGGTCCCAACAAAGATCGTGTGGACCCCAGCGGTAATAGGTAGGGATAGGGAAGCAACTGGCCTCCGGGAATATAGAGACGTTTATCAACAAGGTCTGCACTATCTCAGGATGGATGGCGGGGCCTCTTAATCCCTCAACCTCCTGGATGAGGGATCCAGGAGGGCACTGTTGAGTCCACACACAAAGAAGGGTGGAGGAGAAGATGTCATGGCTTCTTTCATATCTGGCAGGATTTTAGCCGTTTTGAAGATAGAGAAGGCTTAAAGGTTGAAGGTGGGAAAATTACAAATTGTAGAGTATTTGAGTGGGAATGAATGTGGGTAAGGGGTTTTGAGAGGCTGTGCCTGAGATCGCTGGGGGAAGAGGCTGGGATGGCAATGAGCTTCTAAACACAAGGCAGATGTCATGGGCTTGGTCCAAAGGGCAAGGTGCAGCCGTGAAATGATGGTCAAGGTCAAGTGGTTGGGGCAGGTCTTGTAAACAGAAATGAAGGCAGGCAGTAAAGAGAAGGGAAATACAAGTACGCATATGTGTACACTCATCTATCATTCACAGGCTTACCTTGTTGGCAGGAGGATCTGAGTCTGAGAATGGGCAGTGTCTTTCATGCAGTTGGCCTGGCCAATCTCCTGTGAACAGGGATGTTTCAGTGTTTACCAGTACACAACCTGAGTGTATGGTGTGTGTACCTCGTGTGAGTGTCATGTGCTTCACCTTGTAGCATGCACAGTACCTCCTTGAAAAGGTAGTTTCTAATTCAAACCAACTTACATTTTTATCAAGAGTCCATAGAGCCAACTACATGTGGGATTGAATGTTCAGGTGACCGACAATTCAATTTAGGACAAAACATGGACTTGTTATCTTTTTTGAAGTGTCCTTTTTAACTTGAATATTCACTGGCATATAAATATGAAACGTAAGATGTAGCCTTAGAGATGGTTGTCCCAATAGCTGTCATTTGAGAGGATGCAGTGTCTCTGATACTCATTTTAGAAAATATGAAAGCAAATTTTTATGTTTATTTTTGACTATTGTAAAATCTTCAAATGCAGATTTAAGATGTCATTTATTGCCAATTGTTGATTTTTGCTCATTTGTGCATCAATATTAGTTTATGGAATTGAATTCTCTTTTTGCAACGTTATTGATAATTTTAGTGTATATAGTAGAAGGCTGCATTTCCCAAGCAGTCTTTCCCCATCATAGAGCTCTTCCCATCAGTGTCATTGCCTCTAGCCAGACTTCTTATGTTTCTGATGAAATGTGAAAGATAAGCATATTCCTGCAAGGAAACCGTAATTGTTTTCAAAGAGGAGCAAACATCTTTCTTTCATTTCTTCTCAACATTCACTTAAACAATTGACTAAGAACAAAACTACCAGAGATGTGTAAATACCAGAGACATTTAAATATTAAATATGATATCCATTTATCACCAGATTTATTCTCATTTGCAATTTAACCAGATCTTGTTTGAAATAGTGTTGGTGTTCAATGATGCATGAGTGATAATCAACCAGTTAATGAAAGATTATACTGCTTTGATTTCTTGGGGGAGAAAAATAGACTGAATCATAGGATATTTAAAGAGTTCAAAAATTCTTTTTCAGTTAAAAAATCCCCATTTTTATACCTAGCCGAAGGTTTTCTCAATTCCCTAGTACATACATTGTTATGACACTGTGGGTTATTTTGAGAAATTCATTTTGCTTCATCCTGATTTCATTCATTCTTCACTTCTCTGAAATCTAGGAAATGCAAGTGCATTCCCCAGGGACCCACAGCATGTGGGGTGGGGTAGGGGTTTCCAGAAGCTCTCCATCCTTCCTGATGGAGGCAACCATCACATGGGCCTATCTGGGCAGGTGGGAAATATGAGAGGGCATTTTTGAGCACCCTCTCTGTTTTAGAGAGGCCATTAAATGTGTTCACATAAGTGTTGTCATTCTCATACTCAGAAACCATTCTAACCTTCATAAGTGAATGAGAGCAACTTTTTATTAATGTTGTAACTTTTAACAATTTCACATTGAAATATAGCCTAGGCATTTTATTAGATCATGTTAACAACCGCTATTGATGACTTAAAAGACAAAAAAATCTATTTAGATAGATACATGGATGTGTCTGAGCATGTGTGTTTCTAATTATAATGTGTATATATGATATGACTGTAGAAAAAAAAGGTAACTTAGATTTTCGTTAAAGATGTTTAAAAATACTCTTCTGGTTCTGAGAAAAGCTGTCTTCCTATTGGAGCTTTTTTTACCTGTGTTTAGGAAGCCCATATGTCATGCTGCAAGAAAAGAATGTGTTTAAGAGCTGAAAATGGCATTTCCCTTAGGATAGTAGCAGCTGGAATGAAAGCGGTGATGATGGCAAGTTCAACGTGGCTCAGAAATGACTTGAATGGGGGCTCTCAGGCTCAAGTGATGGGCTGGTCTCTGGGTTGCAGGACTAAGGACCATGTTCAGGTGTTACCTGGGGTTCAGGGCCCTGCAGCCTGGGGACCTCCTCAAAGCTGCTCTGAGGGTGAGTCTCAGGAGGCAACTCCAATCCTGCACCTTCCTCTTGGCTCCCACATCGGGAGCAGGGACTGAGGGCAGGCTGCTGGGCAGGTCTCCTGGTGTCAGGAGGGGAAAGAGAGGCCACACCGGACACACCTGAGAAGGGAACAAAGGTTGGTAGGGATGCTGGAGGGGAGCGTGGTCATGGGTAAAAGAATATTGAGCAAAGAACATTTCCAGGGATTAAAGTTTATTATATTTGCAGATTTGGCCCTCATTCTAAGAAACTTCCATTAGACTTTAGATCTTTAATACAGATCAGTATAGATTTCAAACTTTAAAATTGTCTCAATTATATAGAAGGACACTTCTCAAGATTTTTGATCCTAGGACCACTTTATAATCTTAAAAATTCTTGAAGATTCCAAAGGGCTTTTGTTTCTGTGGGTTGGATCTATCAATATTTGCTGTACTAGAGATTACACTGAGATATTTTTTTAAATGACAACTATGACATATTATCATAAATATACTTCTTAATAAACTATTTTTAGAAATTGGTGAGAAGAGGATGAATTATTTTACATTTTTTGAAAATCTCTGAAGTCTGGCTTGTAGCTGCTTCTGCATTCAATCTACTGTGATGTGTTATGTTCGTTGAAGCATATGAAGAAAATACAATTCGCACAGAGGTGTAGTTGGACAGGGAAGCTTAATAGCATTTTCAGATCATCATGGCTATTGCTCTTTGATACTCTACCAAAATTTGGCAAGCGGTGGTTTTTAAAGATTAATTCCCATGCAGAACCAAAAACCATATCAACAGCCTTTTCCTACCCTATTGCATTAAAATATATCAGTGTTTCTGGATCTTTTACACATGCATGATTTTATAACACCATGCATTGGTTTTTGGAAAGTATTTATTCACTTAGTAATGTAGACGTTCCAAATGTTGATGCACTCCATTATACAATACTTTTGAAAATCACATTTATAATATCACTACTAATGTCATCCAAAATATCTTTAAATATTGGGAAGGTGTGTTAAGCATGTGGTGAAGAATCCAAGTTTTCTAAAATCGAATTAAGACTTAAAAGCTCAAATTTTACCACTGGCAACAAACACTCTCAGTTGTTTCCCTTGAAGTGACAGGCTCACTTCATTCCTTTTGAGAAAATGTTTGTCAAATACCCAGACAAAAATAGTTTATCAGTTTTTCTTTCAAGTAGAAATGTGTTCCATGAAAATCACAGCTGATCAGCTCATATTCAGTCCCACACTGGAGCTTTTCTTGAGCACCCAACACACAGGTGCTTTGTATGTTTCTGCCATTCTGTCACACAGAATGTTAAAAACGCACACCCTCAATGGTTGAGATGGAATGAAATGAAATGATTTCCACTGCTTAGTCAAGGACATGCTGAAGTGAAGCTGCCACGTTTGTTTTTGTTGCGAGTGTTGACGGACAATTGTGAAGACCACAACGGCCGTGAGAAGAGTTTGGTGCCACTGCCTTGAATCCTATTAAGGCCCCAGCAGATTTGCCCACTGTTGCTTTTGTACTGTTGGCTAAAAAGGCAAATAATTTTTTAGTGTTATTCTGAAAATAGCTCTGATCTCACAGATCCTTTGAAAAAGTATCAGGGATCCCAGGTGTTGTTGGACTGTACCTGAGATCAGTTGATACAAAACAATCTTATGATTACTATTTATATGTATATTATATATAATATGTATTATTTTATATTATGCATATCATATATATTTTATGTTATTTATATAATAATCCTATTACGTATGTATATTATATATTTATATATTATACATATATGTATTATACACGTACACATTATTATACATATAAATATACATATGAAATAATTTTTCAGGTTATCTAGATCTTGGATCTGAGTAATCCAATCAGGTGTCTGATTGTAATGCCCTCTGCAGGCTGGGTAGTGTGGTGGTGGCATGGGTGGGACAGGTAGTGTAGTTCTGGGAGAGATCCGTCTATTATTCATGGTTTCACTCTACTCAACTCTTTGAGGCTCTCAACTCTTTTTCATCCTGTTTGACACTCCACAACTCTTGCATAATAATAAACAGAGGTACTATAGTCAGGCAAAAATGAATTTAAATCCTTACTTTGCTTCTCACTAGCCATGTGAATTGTAGCAGGTTTCTGAGCACCTCTGAGCCTCAGTTTCTGCATCTGTGAAATGGAGATAATACAAAGCTACCTCCTAGGATGGTTCAGAGATTAATGAAATTAAAACCTCCATTGATGGAGTGACCTCAGACAACACGTTGTAAAAGTAAGCTTGTGCAGCCTCGTGGCCCAGTGAGCACAGTGATGAGCGCAGAAGGATAAATGACCACCTTTTGGTTGGGTGCTAGGGTGAGCCTGCTGCATTTCCTACCGCTTTTCACACATGCACAATACCTCTATCCACCTTGGAATACAAGGAAATAAATTGTGTCCTGCATCTGTTTCTTCAGTCACAGTTAAGCTGTGAACTCTCATGGGGAGTCTCATATAGCTATTCTAATACATCCTCATCACTGTGTGGCACCAAAATTGTGGAGACTTTTTATTAAAGATTATACAGTGTTAGAGTTTATCATAGCAGAGTTTGCATAACATCAAATTTCTTTATAGTCTATTTATGTACCATGGAGGAAAACCATTTTAATTAAAAAGTGGGATAAGCTAATTTATCTCTTGAATACCAAATGTCTTAACCTCAAAACCCAGGCTAAGGTTATTCTTACAAATACAGAATGTTTTCAGAGGAGACAAAATAGTGAATTCAGTGAATATTTTGTTGTACAGTCCATTCTGTATTTTCCTTCTACATTTTATTTATTAAGTCAGACATGTATATTCACTTTAAATGAAACTCTTCTAATGCTTGACTTGGCTACGTTTGGAAATAGCCACTCGAGGTTGGTTCATGGAGAAAGAGGTAGCTGGCCACACACAGACAATGACTCTCCCTCAAGTGTACACAAGGTGCTCACATCTTCCCAAAGCCTGCTTCCAGGACCCCAGGCCACAGTGGATGTGAGAGAGACAGGATGTCATGTTGAAAGGCAGTTTTATATTGCTAAGGCTCCCATAACACAGTTAAAACCAAAGATCAAATCTAACCTGGCAAAACGTTGAAAACAGTTTACAGCTGTTTGTTAGAAAAAGTTAAGCCATTAACTCCTTAGATAGCCTTGATTCCCGTTTTCTTTTTGTCCACAGCTATTTAGTATCTTTTATGGAAGTATAGAATATTTATGTCTGAACTGCACCAAACATATTCAAAAATGCTATTTGGTGTATATATAACAAAAGTAAACATATGTAAGATTTCTACCTGTTGGCATTTGTATTAATTTACAAACATTTATGAAGTAGAATGCTACTCAAAAAAATTCATTTAACTTCACTTGTTGGTTATTGGTTTTATTAATAAACATATAGAGAAACAAAATAAATGATAATATGGAATATTGGCAGAGATGCACAAATATTTACATTCTGATATATCATTTGGCAGGAAAATTTTTTAAAGCAATTTGACAAAATATATCAAAAGCCAAAGACAGTTAATGTCTTTTGACTCATTAATTTCACCCTTAATTATCTATACCAAAGAAATAAAAGTTATAGACAAATATTTATGTAGAAAGAGTCAAGACAGAACTTTAAAATAATAAAAAATTGTTTCTCTCTAAATAGCTTAATGAAGTGACTGCTTCTGTGAATGGTGGTGCATCAGCCTAATTCAATATTATGTGGTAATTTTAAATTATGGGTTTAAATAAGTTTTCTTAATATAGGAGGCAGTCGTATAATATAGCTGCATTTTTAAAAAGCAGGATTTGACCACCATGATCAAGTAGGCTTTATCTCCAGGATGCAAGGTTGATTCAACATACACAATCAATAAATGTGATTTATCACATAAACATAACTAAAGACAAAAGCCACAGGATTATCTCAATAGATGCAGGAAAGGCTTTTGATAAAATTCAACACTCATTCCATTTCAAAACTCTCAATAAACTAGGTATTGAAGGAACATACCTTAAAATAATAAGAGCTATATATGACAAACCCACAGCCAATATCATATGGAATGGGCAAAAGCTGGAAGCATTCACCTTAAAAACCGGCACAAGACGAGGATGCCCTCTCTCACTGCTCCTGTTCAACATACTATTGAAAGTCCTAGCTAGAGCAATCAGGAAAGAGAAGGAAATAAAGGGCATCCAAATAGGAAGAGAGGAAGTCAAACCAGATGACATGATTCTATATGTAGAGAACTTCATAGTCTCAGCCCAAAAGATTCTTCAGCTGATAAACAACTTCAGCAAAGTTTCAGGATACAAAATCAATGTACAAAAATCACTAATTCCTATATACCAACAACAGCCAAACTAAGAGCCAAATTAGAAAGGCAATCCCATTCACAGCCACAAAAAGAATAACATTTCTAAAAATACCAGCTAACCAGGGAGGTGAAAGATCTCTACAACAAGAATTACAGAACACTACTGAAAGAAATCAGGGAAGACACAAACAAGTGAAAAAAAAAATCCCAAGCTCATGTATAGGAAGAATCAATATCATTAAAATGGTACTGCCAAAATCAATTCACAGATTCAGTGCTATAGCTATCAAACTACAAATGACATTCTTCACAGAACTAGAAAAAAATTTTTGAAATTCATATGGAACCAAAAAAAGGGCCTGAAAGCCAAAGCAATCTTAAGCAAAAAGAACAAAGCTGGAAGCATCGCGTTACCCAACTTCAAACTCTACTACAGGGTTACAGCAACCAAAATACCATGGTAATGGTACAAAAACAGGCTCATCGTCCAATGGAACACAATAGAGAGCCCAGAAATAAGGTCACACATCTACAATCATCTTAGCATTGATAAAGCTGACAAAAACAAGCAGTGGGGAAAAGACTCCCTATTCAAGAAATGGTGCTAGGATAACTGGCTGACCATATGCAGAAGATTGAAGCTGGACCCCTTTCTTACAACATGTACAAAAATCAACTCAAGAAAGATTAAAGACGTAAAACCCAAAACCATAAAAACCCTGGAAGACAACCTAGGCAATACCATCCTGGACACAGGAATGGCAAAGATTTCATGAAAAAGATACCAAAAGCAATTGCAACACAAGCAAAATTTGACAAGTGGAAGCTAATTAAACTTCAGAGCTTCTGCATAGCAAAAGAAATGATCAACAGAGTAAACAACCTACAGAATGGGAGAAAATATTTGAAAACTATGCATCTGGTAAAGGTCTAATAATCAGGAACTTAAGCAAATTTACAAGAAAAAAACAAACCACCCCATTAAAAAGTGGGCAAAGGACGTGAACAGACACTTCTCAAAAGAAGACATATATGTGGCCAACAAGCATATAAAAAAATCTCGATATCACTGATCATTAGAGAAATGCAAATCAAAACCACAATGAGATATCATCTCACACCAGTCAGAATGACTTTAATAATTTTATTATTAAAAAGTATAAAAATAACACATGCTGGAGAGGTTGTGGAGAAAAAGGAATGCTTATACACTATTGGTGGAAGTGTAAATTAGTTCAGTCATTGTGGAAGACTTGAGTGGGGAGAGTCAGAGGAGGGAGAGGAGCAGAAAAGACAACTATTGGGTACTGGGCTTAATACCTGAGCAGTGAAATAATCTATACAACAAACCCCCATAACACAAGTTTACCTATGTAACTAAACCTTCACATGTACCCCAAACCTAAAATAAAAGTTAAAAAAAGCAGGACGTTTGAAAAGTATATGTATACATATATGTAGTATTATGTTGACAAGGCTCAGAAATCATATCTTTTTAGATAGAAGAAAATGTGCTTGTTAAAATGGTTGCTTCTCTCAGTATTACAATTATGAATGATATCTTTCTATGCTTTTTTATACTTTTCTGCATTTTTCAAACCTTCTGCATTAAGCTTCTATTCATTTGCAATCAGAAAAATATAATCAAGAAATGTAATACAATAATAAGATATATACATAGTCTTCTGAGACTTCAAATATAAAATAATCTTGAAATGATGAAAATCTTTGTCATGGCATTTTTGAGAAAGGGATAACAGATATTCTCTTTTAGAAAGCCAGGTTGTGTTTTAGAGTTTGAGGAGAGAAATCTGTCCACTGGTCCCTTTTCTGGCCTGGGAATGGAATCATTAGTTGTGTTCAGTTTTTCAGACACAGCCATCTTTGTTTTCTACTTAGGGTGACCGACTTTGAAAAATAATGCAAATGACATGAGATTCTCGGCCAAGAAAAGACATTGGTCACTTAGCCCTGCCAAGGTGTCCTGTCTGTTCCATCACATTCTAACAGGGCAGCAGCTCCAGGGGGGAGGTAGGGCAGTGGCTGCCTTCTCATGGGGGCACTGGTTGGCTGCGGGAGGGGCCTCCTGGCCTTACTGCTGGGTGTTACCTGTGCTGCTGTGACAACAGTCTCATCTGCCAGGTGCAAAATCTGCTCTATGATGAACAATTTAAGTGATATTCCTTGTGGTTGCATAAATCTAGTTTAAACAGTATTGACATTTTCCTATACTCACAGTTCTCACTTTGGTTTTGTAACTGATGATGCATTAATAGGTGTTGATTATAGATATCCATGTAGATAAGCCTATGATTTCTATCAAGATTCTAAAATAGACGGACTTTGCCTCTAGAGGTTTTTAAAAGCTTTTTTTATAAAGCAACCAGTTTAATATAAATTTCATAAAAAAATGGATCATTGGCTGGGTGTAGTTGTTCATGCCTGAAATCCCAGAGCTTTGGGAGGCCGAGGTGGAAGGATCACTTGAGGCCATAAGTTAAAGACCAGCCTGGGCAACATATTGAAACTCTGTTTCTAAAAAAAAAAAAATTTTTTTTTTAAATTAGGCAGGCATGCTGACACATGACTGTAGTCTTAGCTACTTGGGCAGACGGCTGAGGTGGGAGGATCACTTGAGCCCAGGAGTTTGAGGTTGCAGTGAGCTATGATCTTGCACACCAGCCTGGGTGACAGAGAGATCCTGTCTCTAAAACAAATACAAAACAAAAAGGGCTCATTTGTTTTATAGGAGGCCAAAAGAAATCATTGCATGTCTTGACTTGCTTAGCACTTATTCTGAAGAAGAAATATTGGCGTGAAATGCATGTTTATAACTGGGTCCTTCCCATAGTAGTCTTGAGCACAAATACCAAAGTTGTTTTTTTTTTTTTTTAAAGGAGAAGAAAAGGAGCAGTTTCACCTTTTTTATACAGAATGTAGACAAAATGGCAGTCATTTATGATTGATTTGTTCTACCTACTTAGCATGCAGGGACTCCCCAGTGTGGTTTTTAAATTAATTAGTTAATTTTTTTCTTTCATTAGTTTTAATGGTACAAGTGGTTTTTGGTTACGTGGATGAATCGTGTAGTGGTGAAGTCTAGGATTTTAGTGCACGCATCACCCAAATAGTATACATTTACCCAACTGCTAGTTTTTCATTCCTCACCTCCCTCCCCACTTCTGAGTCTCCAATGTCCATTACACCACTCTGAATGCCTTGGCATACCTATAGCTTAGCTCCCACTTATAAGTGAGAGCATGAGTACCTGGTTTTTAATTCCTGAGTTACTTCACTTAGAATAACGGCCCCCAGTTTCATCCAAGTTGCTATAAAAGTCATTATATTTTTTTTTATGGCTGGGTTGCATTTCATGGTATATATATCACAATTTTTTCTTTTTGTTTTTTTTTAGTTGAGTCTTGCTTTTATGATTTTTTTCCTTTCCAACTGTTATTTTAGGCTCAGAGGGTACACGTACAGGTTTTTTACATGGGTAAGTTGTGTATGAACCACATTTTCTTTATCCATTCATGGATTGATGAGGACTCAGGTTGATTCCATATCTTTTTTTTTTTTTTTTTTTTTTTTTTTTTTTTTTTTTTTTTGAGACGGAGTCTCGCTCTGTCGCCCAGGCCGGACTGCGGACTGCAGTGGCGCAATCTCGGCTCACTGCAAGCTCCGCTTCCCGGGTTCACGCCATTCTCCTGCCTCAGCCTCCCGAGTAGCTGGGACTACAGGCGCCCGCCACCGCGCCCGGCTAATTTTTTGTACTTTTAGTAGAGACGGGGTTTCACCTTGTTAGCCAGGATGGTCTCGATCTCCTGACCTCGTGATCCACCCGCCTCGGCCTCCCAAAGTGCTGGGATTACAGGCGTGAGGATTCCATATCTTTACAGTTGTGAATTGTGCTGTGATAAACATGTGTACAGGTGTCTTTTTGATATACTGATTGCTTCAAGAACTTAGGAACTCTGGAGTTTGATGCATATATATTTACAATTGTTACATCTTCTTGTTTAATTGGTCATTTTATCATTATATAGTGACCTTTGTCTTTTTCTTGTTGTTTTTTGTTTTGTTTTTTTTTTTTTTTTTGCTGTTGTTGCTTTGAAGTCCGTTTTATTTGATATCAGAATCGCTACTCCTTGTTTTTGGCTTCCATTTGCTGGAAATCTCTTTTTCCACCCTTTACCTGTAGTCTATAAGAATCCTTACATGTTCAGTGGTGTTTCCCAAAGACAGCGGTGTAGGCTGCTACTCACAGCTTCTTTCAAAGCTGTTTACGGTCCTGTGTTCCTTCTTGGAAAAAAGTTCACAGTGTGAATCTCTACACACTATTTTATCTTTCCAAGTGGAAAAGGAATGCTAACAATGCCTATATTCCATCATCTTGGAAAAACAAAACAACAAGAAAAACCCAATGTAAATATTATCAGCACAGAATCTTTCTTTATAGGCTCCAAAATATACCAGATGCACACTTCATATTTTATCTTGATTACATATGCCACTCTTTAGAGTCTCAGCTAACTATGACTGAGTAAGAATGTCTTAGAACACAGGCTCCCACGTCCATGAGTGCATTAAATATTCTTATTTCCAAAGTGGCCAGGCTGGCTGATAGCTATGACTAGTTGGAGAGAAAGCAGCATTTATAGCCTAAGTGGGCTGGGCAACAAACTACCTGAAATCCTTAGGAGCAAGAATAGAAGGGATGCCTTGTTCTCTACACCCAGGTATCACTCATTGCCTGATGTCTCGCTTCGTGTGTTTGCTGGGTTTCCGTCTGTCTAGGAAAGGAAGCTCTATGGGGGCAATGACTCCAATGAGTTTGTCTCCCTTTATTCCTCACCATGTAGGTGTGGATTTGAGTGGACTCCAAATGGCTGGGCCAAGGGCCTTGGATACCAAACACAGCAGAAGATGCGGAAAGGATGAGGGACCCAGGGGTTCTGTCTTTGGGGGAAGAGCCCTGTTCCCTGGACATTGCCTCCTTATATCCCTGCACTAGAATATCGTAAAATTCCCCTAGTCAAAACCCATGATCCTGCATGTCTTGGAGAGGCTGCCTCAAGGATTCCTCCTTGACTCCACTTATTTTCATGGAGAAGGAACCCCTCCATCCCTGGCATCCTTAACAGATTCCCTTCTAGCTTCTCACCCACTCCATCTCCAAGCCAGGTTTCCCTTCGCTTCTAGAAATAATCTGCAGTGGCTGCCTAAGATGTTTTCTGCGTGGAACCCAAATAAAAATGTAATAATTTAAATTAGAATTTTCTACAATCATGTGTTGCTCATGTCTGCATTATGGATACCCAGGTCACATGTAGGTAAGCAATTAGCAATTATGGTGGAAACAAGACTTCCTAACAGGTATTTTGGTGGAAACTTGAAAGCTGTTTCTAAAGCTGTTTATTCATGCAAACCTCATTACAGTCCTGACAGTAAACCTATGTGTGCACAGGGAGGCAGGAGGCTGTGAGGCAGCAGCAGGATCCTTCACCCCATGGCTCACTCACAGTGCACTCTTTAACCAGGTCTTATTATGTCCATGCTTCTGGGGTGATTAAAATATGCCCTAGAAGCCTTGATACCCAAAATAAAGCAAAACGTGGAATATGAAGTTTAAAAATGTGAAATAATAAGTAAAAGTTTTGTGAAATACATTTTTCTATACTGTTCAAATGATCTTGAAGATGGCATCCGTTTCTTAGGTCTGCCATGCAAAATGACCACGATGGAGTGGCTTAAAACAACAGACGTTTCTTCTCTCACAGACATCTGAAATCAAGAAGTCAGCAGGGCTGGTGCCTTCTGGAGGCTCTGAGGGCACATCAGTTCCTCACCTCTCCCAGCCTCCAGAGGCTTCCTCAACCCTTCACACTGCTGAGCCTGTGGCTGCCTCACTCCAGTCTCTGCCTCCACCTTCACATGGCTTCTTTTTTGTGTCTCTGTGCCTTCTCCTTTTCTGTCTCTTATATGACATTCTTCAGTGGATTTAGGACCCACCCTAATGAAGGATGACCTTATCTAGAGGTTCTTACTTTCTTTAACTCTGCAAAGACTGTATTTCCAAGTAAGGTCATATTCTGAGATTCCAGGGGTTGGGATGTTGATATATTTTTGAAGGACCACAATTCAACCCACTAAAGGGATGAAAATTAAACTGAAAAATATCAACCCCTAAAAAACCTGCTTTATTGCCAACCATATAAATTGCTCTTTGTCACAATATACAACAGAGGCCTCACAAACCTTGGTGTTCTTGGTGTGAGAATGGTGAAAAACAAGATAGAAAGCAGCCTGAAATATGCACAGGGGTGTGTCATCTCGTTACTGGGAAAGGATGTACTGTCCAAGCGACAACTAGACTGCAGAGGTAAGGCTGAGACCAGGGCTGCCATGGTGTTTAGATTGAACATGAAGTTAGAATTCTTAAGTATCAAAACTAAATTCATGTTCAATCTAAACCCCATGGCTATGCCTCTCAAGGTGAGGCCTCTGTGTTGTTCTCTATGCCTTGAGCACCCTTCCTTCTTTGCAATAAAAAAAGTTGCAGAATTGACTGGGCACAGTGGCTCACGCCTATAATCCCAGCACTTTGGGAGGCCGAGGCAGGCAGATCATGAGGTCAGGAATTCGAGATCAGCCTGGCCAACACAGAGAAACCCTGTCTCTACTAAAAATAAAAAAATTAGCCAGGCGTGGTGGTGCACGCCTATAATCCCAGCTACTTGGGAGGCTGAGGCAGGAGAAATGCTTGAACCTGGGAGGCGGAAGCTGCAGAGAGCAGAGATTGGGCCACTGAACTCCAGCCTGGGCAACAGAGCAAGACTCCCTCCCACCCCCCACACCAAAAAAAAAAAAGCTTCAGAATTTCAGTCTCCCACAACAAAACCCACACACACACAAATTTGTGTAGCAGCTACTATTTGCCAACAATTAGGGTCTACACAATTAAGACATCATCTTTAACCTCAAGCAGTTTACAATCCAGAGGGCAATGATGGAGGAGAATAATGAGGTGTGGATAAAAGTGCCTATTAGCAGAGTATGCAGTGGAAAGTGTGATAACACTTCTAGATAGAAGGCAGTTGGTCCATAGGTATTTTGGTGAGAATCTACATGTCTGATGCATCATGGGCTGTACCAAGGACAAGTCACTGCCTTTGGAAATGTTTGACTCATGCCCTGATGGATAGGTGGATAGGTCTACACATCAAAAATGCATGCCTGGCTACACATTTATGAGAACAACAAAAATTTTTTAAAAATTATAACGCCACATGCTGGCAAAGATGTGGAGAAACTGGATCTCTCATGCATTGCTGGTGGGTATGTAATATGGTGCAGACATTCTGGAAAACTCTTTGGCAGTTTCTCATAAAACTAAACATGCACTTACCATGTGGTCCAGCAATTGTTCTCTTAAGCATTTATCCCAAAGAAATATGAATTTATGTTCACAAAAAGTTATATAAAAATATCCATAGCAGCTTTCTTTATAGTAGCTAAATTCTGGACAAACAGCAACAACAACAACAACAAAATGAATGTTTCTCACAGGTGAATGGTTGAAAAATCTATGGTCCATCCATAGTTTGGAATGCTGCTATTCAGCAATCAAAAGAAATGAACTGTTGACACACACAATAACCTAGATGAGTCTGAAGGGCATTACGCTTAGTGAAAAAAAGCCAACTTCAAAAAGTTATCTTTATAAAGCATTCTCAAAACGATAAAACAGCAGAGGTGGAGAATACCTTAGTGGATACTAGTAGACAGGTACAATGGGTAGGATGGGGCCAGGTGCAAACACAGACAGATAGGAATAAGGAATTCTTCTGTGGTGTGGAATAGTTCCTCATTTGATGGTGGTGGTGGGTACATGGACCTGTAATGGGATAAAGTTAAACGGAAGTATACACCTACAGAGCTACACGAGCACATACACACAAATGAATGTGGGTTAAAAATAATGAAGGTGGCCAGGTGCAGTGGCTCATGCCTGTAAACCCAGCACTTTGAGAGGCTGAGGAGGATGGACCACCTGAGGTCAGGAGTTCGAGACCAGCCTGGCCAACATGGTGGAACCCTATCTCCACTAAAAATACAAAAATTAGCCAAGCATGGTGGCACATGCCTGTAATCCCAGCTACTGGGGAGGCTGAGGCAGGAGAATCATTTGAACTTGGGAGGCAGAGGTTGCAGTGAGCCAAGATCGTGCCACTGCACTCTAGCCTGGGTGACAGAGCGAGAATCCATCTTAAAGAACAAATAAATGAATAAAAGATGAAGGCATCTAGTCTACTGGATAATGTTAACTGGGAATGTTCCCATGTGGGTTTCCTGGCTCTGATATTGCACCACAGCTATGGAAATTCACAACATGGCCAGAAGCTAAAGGACACACAGGACTCTACTATTTTTGCAACTTCCTAGGAGTCTGTATTGCAAAACTTTAGCTTTGTAAAAGTAAATGCCAAAAGATATATATGTGCAATAAATGTGAATATATACATTAAAAAGTTGTGGGAGTTTGGAGAAGGGAGAGCCCCTTGTAGGGGTGAGGTCAGGGAGGGCTCCATAGAGGAGGTAGGACGTGAGTTTAACCTGGAAGGTGGAATGAAATCCAACTTGAAGAACTGGAGGTAATTTTCAGAATGGCAAAACAGTGCCAGCCAGTCATACCTGGAAAAGGAAAACCATGTTCTCAGACCTCAAAATAGGGAATGGGGGAGGTGGAGAAACATACAAGGTATGTTTGAGTGCTGGGGTGGAATGTCTGGGTAAAGAAGGAGTTAGTGGGTAACTGGAAACATAGGTTGCAGCAAGATTATAAAACGTCTTAACTTTTAAGCTGTGAAAACTGAGCTTAATCTGTAAATAGCAGGAAGACATTGTAAATTGCAAGTGAGAGGATATCATACTGGAAGTTGCATGTGAGGAAGCTGAGTCTGGCAGAGCCCTAGGATAGACTGGAGTGGAAAAGGAAGATGAATGAGCGATGAGTTATAATGCCATTTCACAGCCCAGCACAGGCATCCTGATTATGGCTTGCAGTAAGCTGATGGTCACGGGCCTAGAGGGGACAAGTCTAATTTAAATGATGCTATGAACCTTGACCAAGAAGGACCAGGCCACTGATTGCCTTGGGGACCTGGAATCCATCCAAGGAGGAGCCTGGGACAGGAATAGGGACAGGGAGAAAGCTTGGAAGGAAAGGTGCCACATTTCATCTGTCTCATGTTGATTGTAAGGGGATGGTGTGCCTTCCAAATGGAAGTACCTGGCTGACCTCCAGAGATGGGAGACAGCAGCTCAGGAGAGAGTGGTCAGGGCTTTATAAGAAATAATCGAGACAGCCCAAGCAGGTCAGATCAGCAAGGGTAAGAGTGGAAAAGAGAGCAGAAGAGGAAGAACAGAAATGTAGGAGTCTTGTGTGTGCAGGCATCGCCATGCAACGTCTATGAAATGAGTAGTTTCTCACTTCATCCAGTCTTCTTCTTGGCATTTTGCTCAAAGCCTGGCATTATACTGGACAGGTCCAGGGTTGGCCACACACCCTGCATAACCTTCTCACTCATCCTCCCCCACTGCTTCCTTAACAACCTCCTGTCACTCACTGTCATCAAGGCGGAAGCATGTGCACTTCACTTCATCAACCATGGCAACCAGCTCTGAGAGTCCCAAGTGGAAGACGATGAGGGGAGAATCACTCATTGTCCTCGTGGCTACAGGCAGCCTCTCTGAGCCCACAGAACCTCACCCCTACAATTAATCCTGAATGCGAG
Source organism: Homo sapiens (assembly GCF_000001405.40). Lineage (NCBI taxonomy): Eukaryota > Metazoa > Chordata > Mammalia > Primates > Hominidae > Homo > Homo sapiens. Next base: position 40,209,036 of record NC_000021.9, on the reverse strand, counting down.
TTCTCAAAATAGTGCCCGCTCATTTAGCTGTCAGCTGTCTTGCTCTTAGAGCTTCTGAAAAGAAATCACAATAGCTCAGACCTCATCTTTGAGGGGCTGTTTGTTTTGAGGGCTTTTTCCTTAGTTGCATGCTTCCTATTGCCAGCAAAAATTTCTTAATCTTCCTAGAGGATCAGATTGGCCTGTTTTAGATTTTTAAATGAAAGGTTAAGAGGAGGGAGGAGTAGGGCAGTGAAAGCCGCAGCTGCCTCTCCATATTTCTGTTTCGCAACCCAAGGGGATTTTGTGTAGGGCTAAATGGAACCCCCTACGGATAACAGTTATGTCAGGAGATCTTTCTGCATGTTCTCGTCATACTCAAAATGTTCCTTCACATGTAAGTTAGAGAGGACATGTTACTTCTTTCCCCAGCTGTTTCCTGGTGAGTAAGAACTCCTGACCATGTGAGAATATGAGAGCATGCAGCACTCCAAGATCCTTGGGGAAAACAATGAAAGCAACAGCTCAGTGAGCCATTCTCCATGCTCAACCGAAAACCCTTTGAGATTCGCTGCCACTTTCTGTGACAATGGAATTGTGGCCCGGTTTAGCCCAGAAATGTGTTGCCCAGGCTGGAGTGCAATGGCGCAATCTCAGCTCACTGCAGTGTCTGCTTCCCAGGCTCGAGCTATTCTCATGCCTCAGCCTCCCAGGTAGCTGGGATTACAGGCACCCACCACCACACCCAGCTAATTTTTTGCATTTTTAGTAGAGATCAGGTTTCACCATGTTGGCCAGGCTAGTCTCAAACTCTTGACCTCAGGTGATCCACCCACCTCAGCCTCCCAAAGTGCTGGGATTACAGATAAGAGCCACCATGCCTGGCCAGTGCTGCTCAAATTTGAACCAGGAATATTTGTTGATGGGAACATACACTAAATCTATTACTCCATGGATTCCATTTTTATTCCATTGATAATGTATTATAGGTATTATTAGGAACTAACTTGTGTCTCCCCCTAAAATTCGCATGTTGAAGCCGCAACTCCTGCTGTGACTGTATTTGAAGATAGAGGCTTAAAGAGGTGATTAAGGTAAAATTAGGTCCTAAGGGTAGTTCTCATCTAATCTGACTGGTGTCCTTCTAAGAAGAGGTTAGCGTGTAGCCACACACATGGAGGAGTGACCGTGTGAGGACCCCAGGTGAAGATGGTTATCTGCAAGCCACGGAGAGAGGCCTCAGGAGGAATCAACCCTGTCAACAACTTGGTCTTGGACCTCGAGCCTCCAGGACTGTGAGATAATAAAGTCCTATTATTGAGGCCAATCCATGATAATTTATTATGGCAGACCTAGCAAATGAACACAGATCTATCTTTCTGAGACTTTACATTATAGTTTTTGTGTTTTAGGGGCTGAATAATATGCCACTTATAGATGTGTAATTACTTTTTAAGTAACTGTGAACATTTATGTTGTGCCTAAAGGCTCCTATAATCAATAAGATTGCAATGAGCCATCCTTATACATAAACTATGCACATTTATCTAATTAATTTCCTAGGATAAAATACAAGAAAAGGAATTACAGGGTCAAAAGATCTGCTCACACAACATATTTTTACACCTGGCCAAACTGGCTTCCCAGAAGACTGTACCATCAGACATTTCCATTGCAAGACTAGAGTGCCAGCACCCCAGTCCCCACCTCCTACCAAACTGGACACTTTCAGTCATCTGCTCTGCAATGGCAAGAAAATTTCACAGAAATTAAAGAAATTATAGAAAGAATTTGAATATCTTGGTATTTTAATATTGAAATTTCCATTTGTTTAATGAATTCTCTATCCTTTTTCACTTTTTCTGGGATTGTTTTTAGTATTTATAAATTTATGTTATTGCATAATAATACTTTTTTACTATAGTTACAATTTTTTTTCGGTTTGACTTTTTAAAAATTTTGTTTTCCATATTTATTTGTTTGCATGTTTATTGCCATACAGAATCTTTAGCAGGATGCATTGTCAAATCTGCTAAGCACTATCTTTGTGGTTTCTATCCTGGGGTATCATGCATGCAATGTCTTTCTTTTCTTGAAATGGAAAATAAATCACCTAAATTTTCTTTAAATTGTTTTTGTTTTGTTTTGAGACAAAGTCTTGTTCTGCTGCCCAGGCTGGAATGCAGTGGCATGAACAGAGTTCACTGCAGCCTTGACCTGTTGGGCCCAAGGGGTCCTCCCACCTCAGTCCCCCAGCTAGCTGGGACTACAGTCATGTGCTACCATGCTCAGTTATTTATTATTTTATTTTTGTAGAGATGGGGTCTTGCTATGTTGCCCAGGCTTCTTTTGAACATTTTTTTTTTTTTTTGGCAAATCCCAGGAAAAGCAAGGATTAGAAATGTTTACTACCACATTATTGGGATTTTTAAAAAATAAAAGCAGAGTTTTAACTTACTTGATATAACACATCCAAATAGCTATGTGGAAATGGCCCAGGAAATATGGTTGATGCTGGAGGCACCCATTCCTCTCACTGGGTCTCAATGTGTGCCCTCCTCCACCACCTACCCAGCTGTACCATTGTACCTCAGGAACATGTAGAATGTGCAGCCTCTGGAGTCCCCCCTAGACCCACTGAGTCAGCTCCACAGGTCGGGCCTACCCCCGTGTGCTAACATGCCCTCCAGAGGATGCTCACAGCCTCTGCTCTGCTACCCAGAGCTGCCTCCTTGACCCCTGGCCTCAGGTGCTTTTCCCCAGCAGTTTCCAGTGGATTCATCCTCACATCCTGTTCCTGTCATTAGGGACACACCTACTGGGATGAAGGTATTCTGGTGACAGCTCATTTGCTATTCACACAGGCACACACAGACTCACACGGGTGTTCAAAGGTCTCTTTACCTAGACGCACTGACATTACTATCCTTAGAACTGGGTGGAGTTCAGAGAGATACAGTTAGAGCACAGGTTACACGTTGTGTCAGATTTCACAGTTCCCTCTGCTTTGGGCATCCCAGGCTCTCTAAGAGGAAGCAGGTGCTGCTGCCAATGCCAAAAAGCCTCTGTGGGTGAGATAGTTCCATGTCGAATATAAAAGGCCAAATGTGGTAAAACCTCCAATACTTATTGCATAAATCCTCCCTAAATGGGATGGAGAGAGCAGTGCAACAATCTTTCTTCAGGAGAAACTATAGGTGATGCTTTTAAACATTATTTACTATCCTTGAATGTTTTTGAAACATGCTTAAATATCTTATATGCCTGTTTTATATGTGCATATGGGGAAATATACAATATAATATTCACCGAGGCAAAGAATTGGGGACATGATCAAGGAGATATTTTTAATACTTCAACAGATCATTTTTTGTGGCTCTTTAGCTTGGGACCTTGTGCTGTGAGAGGCACAAGTTTCTGTGTTCAAGAGAACACTTTTTTTTTTTTTTTTTTTTGAGATAGAGTCTTGCTCTGTCACCCAAGCTGGAGTGCAATGGTGCAATCTCAGCTCACTGCAACCTCCATCTCCCGGGTTTAAGCGATTCTCCTGCCTCAGCCTCCTGAGTAGCTGGGATTACAGGCTACCATCACCATGCCCAGTTAATTTTTGTATTTTTAGTAGAGATGGGGTTTTGCCATGTTGGCCGGTCTGGTCTCGAACTCCTGACCTCAGATGATCTGCCTGCCTTGGCCTCCCAAAGTGCTGGGATTACAGGCATGAGCCACTGCACCAGGCCCAAGAGTACACTTACTTGCATGAAGGAGCAGTGAATGAAACCTGCTAAGGCCCCCAGCATGCACTGCTTGGCAGCACTCATCTTCCTTGGAGCTGAATCTTCTAGCAGGTTTCTGCTTCATTTAGAGCCGTCAATACCTCAATTAGTGTCTGTTCGTCTCCCCTGGGAGGGACCTTTACACATGTCTCTTCATGAGCCTCTGAACTTTAAAAACCCCCTGAGAGTTGCTGGGTCATAAAATACCTCCTGATTAACAGTGCTGTTTGCCAACAATTCCTTGCTCCTTCCATTTCCCCCTTCTTAAAGATGTATCAACTGACATAAACAGAAGACACAGAAGGGGTGCAGCCTGCCAACAGTTACATGGAATGTATTCCTGCAAATGTGCCATGCATCTGTTTACCCATTTCACTGCTGGATGCAGGGCTCATAAGCCCATAACACAAAGCAGGAAAAAGCACTGGTTTTAGTTGCACATGTGACTGTGTGTGTGCATGTGCAGACACACTTGCTTGTGTTGGCATTTACTCGAAAGCTAGGATACGACCTCCATCTCTTTGTATCATTAATACTACAGTTCAGTTACATGAGAAGAATCTCGCCCCCACTTTGAATTATGAAAGTAAAGGCGCTGGTTCTGGCTTCCACAGGCTGGGTGTATTCCTTATTCTTTCAGAAGAGGTGCTTTTCTATCTGCAAAACCATTGGTGTTATTTTGTATCTCCATAGCCTCTCTAAGTCAGTTGTCCCTTCCACAAACCTATAAAATAGGCCAAGGTTATAGAGACCATCTGAGAACTTTAAGGTTTTCCTTTATGAGAACGTTCTTAAATAAGTAAGAAATATATAGTTGTATATTTATTTTCTAATAAACATAATAAAAATGCATCATCTTGGCTTTCACACAAAATTTGGGAGAAAGGTTTCAAGATAATTAAAAGTCTTTAGGAGCCATTGCCCTCTAGTCTTCCAGCAGACACCCAGGCAGGTATGAACATAAACACACATCCACATCCACGCAAACACATGCACACAGGCACACACAAAAGAATGAATGTACATGCATAGAATTGCACACGTGCTCACACAGGCACATTCATGGGTACATGTGTGTGCACACACGCACACAAATATGGGCCCTACAATTAATCTGTAGCAGCAATCTCTTTGAAAACACCACTGGGAACCCTATTCTTGGAAAGTAAGCAGACCATCACCCCATTCTCTTCAAAACAAGTTAACAAAAGTTAGCACTTAAAACACCCCTGTTTTCCTTTTATCTTTTACCTATGTTGTTAATATTCTACGTGATATGATGGACACAACCGTTATATTATTTATCAAATTCATTAATATTTCATTTAAAACCTACATAAGTGAAATTTACTTTTAAACATATTTTATTTATTGCTCAACCTTTATAAAAACCACATTAAATATTTAAAATTTTTAAATCTGTATGATCCCATTATCTTAACACTTTTTTTCTTACAATCCTTGCCTATACATATATATGAAAAGCTCTTTAGCCGTACAGGAATGTACAATGTAATTAGAAAACCAAGTCATGAACACAAATATTAACTAGAAAAAAAACTAACCTTATAAGCACTTTATAATCTACAAAGGTCTTTGCATGTATTTAATTGTGTTGCTTCTCTCTATTGAGGTGGGCATCACCCTTGCACCCATTTGATAGATGATTCAGAACATAAATACCCACCTAATTTTATAGCTTATCAATTGGCAGAGCCAAAAAACCTCAAAGTTAGCTCTGCTGATTCCAAAGCCTGAGCTGCTTCTGCAATATGCACGCAGGGTACTAGAAAACAAGGCTCTGGGTGACGGGTAGGGGAGGGATGCCACAAAGAACAGATGTAAAGCAGCCCCCAGGTGGGGGATGATTCAGACAGGTTGTGGGACCCCAGAGTGTGCATTTCTAGCATGTTCCCAGGTGATGCTGGTTCAGGGCTGTATAATAACTCTGTGTATAAAAGGAAAGAAACAACAGGTACTATACATGTATGGTAGATATCTGCAAACATAAGGTGGAAGGAAAGAAGCCAGACACAAATGAATGCAGAAAGGTTGATGGTATTTTACATACAGTTCAAAAGCAGCCAAGGATGTACCAAGTTGTTCATGCATCCATACCCAGGTGGGAAACAGATGGGCTGCATGGTTTAAAATTCTGGCTCCGCTCCTCTCTACCTGTGTGATCTTGAACAAGCCATTTAGCCTCTCTGTGCCTCAATTTTTATACTCATATTTACAAAACCTCCTTCCTAGGATTGCTGTAGGTATTAAAAGCTAATACATTTCTCAGCAGAGAACTTAATGCATATTAGCTATAATTATCATCCTCATTATTACACCAGATGTTTTTAAAAGGGCATTTATGTCCTTGATACTAGCATAGTCAAATGAAAAAGGAATGAAATAAATGATACAATCCAGATAACCAAATAAAAAAACCATATGGGCATCACATGCAAGCCAATGGAATCATGCCACTAATGCTTGAATGAAGAGGCACAGTGGAAAATGAATATTAACACAGATGAAGATCACATGGTCAGAGTGGTTTCAAGGAAAAGGTGAAACTTTAGGAATCAGAAATATGGTGGAGATTATAACGTTGAAGGAAGGATCAAAATACTGGGCGTTGGCCCATTTTGGACAAGAATCTTCAGGTAGAGGAGATCCCTGGGACACCCTAAAGAGCTATTAGCTTGTAATCTCTACAGCAACCCTAGGAGGGGGTGCTGTAATTATAGGTACAGAAATTGAGGCACAGAGAGGCCGAAGGACTTGTTCAAGGAGATAACCAGCCCAGCTTCCAGAAGACACAGCACACTGAACGGCTGGGAGCCACAGGCAGTGTGCTGTGCAGTGGGTGATGGAGACAAGACATGGTAGAATTCACCACCCCATTGAGTGCTAATGGGGATGATGATTTATCTTCTCTGTTTCTCCATGAAAAACAGCTGTACATAAAGCAGCTGCTCAAAAGTTAGAACATGGCTTCAGACATGACAACTCTGTGTCTGTCCCCAAGCCACATGGAAACTGCTTGCCTTCTGGGAAATGCATCTGAATATAAGAGTGAAGGGTGGCGGGGGTGGAATCCACCCCCCAGCTCCCACACAGGGTTGTTGGCAGGCTATTGGCCCAAGACTTGTCCTTCTCATGGTCCTCTCCATAGGCCACATGGGTATCCTGGTGATATCATGGCAGGCTTCCCTGGAGCAAGTGATCAGACAGAAAGAGAGAGAACTGGGGCACCCAAGTAGAAGGTAGAAGCTACAGTCCTTTTATAATCTGGTCTCAGAGTGATAAAATGTGGAGAGTTTGAATTCCAGGAGATGAGATTACCACAGGTCACCTTAAAAACTGGCTAACCCATGGCTCATAATATATTTTTGCTGCAATTAATATCCTGGACAGCACTTACCCAATTTTTCAGGATGACATGATCTATTTTCTTCCTTGTTTCTTTATTTTTTTACTATCATTGATGGCAGGAAATCAAAATCTATTTACTATTTTCCTTTTTCTACATAATTATTAAGAAGTTTTCTGCTGAGTACAATGGCTCATGCTTATAATCCCAGCAATTTGGGAGGCCGAAGCAGGCGGATCACCTGAGATTGGGAGTTTGAAACCAACCTGACCAACATGGAGAAACCCCGTCTCTACTAAAAATACAAAATCAGCCAGGCATGGTGGAGCATGCCTGTAATCCCAGCTACTTGGGAAGCTGAGGCAGGAGAATTGCTTGAACCAGGGAGGCAGAGGTTGCAGCGAGCTGAGATCATGCCACTGCACTCCAGCTTGGTCAACAAGAGTGAAACTCCGTCTAATAAATAAATAAATAAGAAGCTTTCTTATTGGGCAAAATATAGTACCTATGTACAGAACCAGACAGATGGAAAAAAAAAAAGAAAGAAATGGCCAGCCTGCCTCCATGCGAGTTAGAGGAAAATACTGTTTTTGATATCTTTTGGTTAATATTCATACTTGTCTTAAAAAATAAATCAACTTTCTTCCAATAATGTGACTTGAAATAACTTCAGAGTGAATGTAATATGAACCCTAAATGTTCTTCGTCTTTCCCCTGACACATTCAATCATGTCATAAGGGCCTGGAAAAGCTGCCAGGAAGTGGAGATGTTGTCATTCTTGTTCAAGCTTAGCATCAAATATGACCCACTCCAGCTTGGAAACATGAATTTGATTAACGGTTATAATCTAAGTAACTTCATTATGTAAGCATAATAACCCAGCTGAGGAGATATTTTAGTATGTGCTAAGAATTTGTTAATTCCTGGCTGGAAAAATCATTTTCTTTATAAGGATTAGAGCTGCCCAGTAGGCAGCCTCACTTGCCGAAATCTTATGAACAATAAGTATTTGGACAGGAGAAATTTTTGATTCTGCAGCAGGGATAATCACACTTGGTGTTTCTGTGGGGCCATTCTTCCAACACCCTCAGAGGGTTCCTCTAACATAATCTCATTAATCCTCATTACAGCCTTAGGAGGCGGCAGGTCTCATTGTTCTTACAGATGAGGAAACGGAGATGAAACTGAGAGGCAGAGACCACAAACAGGGAAAATACTGCTTGGCCTTTGAATGGCTTGAGAAGAAACAGGCAAAAAGACTCAAGCCATTTTCTCTAGCAAAGTTCTACAGACTCTAAAAAATAATGTTTTGTACACCAGTGTTCACAATAGCCAAAAGGTGAAAGCAACACAAGTGTCCGTTGACAGATGACTGGATTAAAAAAATGCTGTGTACACATATCTTGAAATATAATTCAGGCTTAGAAAAGAAGGAAATTCAGACACAGGCTACAGCTTGACTGAACCTTGAGGAGATTATGCTAAGTAAAATGAGCCAGATACAAAAAGACAAATACTGTATGATTCTTCTTATAGGAGGTCCCCAGAGAAGTCAAATTCATAGAGACGGAAAGTAGAATGGTGACTGCCAGGGCCTGGGGGCCAGGAAAAGGAGAGAATAGGGATTGTTTAAGAGTTGCCAAGTTTCAGGTTGGGAAGAAGAAAAAGTTTGGGGGATGAATTGTAGTGAAGGCTGTACAGCAATGTGCCTTGCAGCTGAGAAAATGGAAATTTCAAGGACTTTATGGGGAGTCTCCTGTAAATGGACTCAGGCCCCAGAATGAGGGGCTTCCAAGGGTGTTCTGATTTGAAGACAGACTAAGAATGTACTTTGTCCACTGAAAGTGACCAAAATGACCAATTTTTTGTTATGTGTATTTTACCAAAAAAAAAAAAAAAAGAATCCTGAGGACAGCAAGTATTCGCTGTGACTGGGAAGATACTACTGTGGGTGTTTTTTGTTTTTTGTTTTTTTAATTTTACTTTAAGTTCCAGAATACATGTGCAGAATGTGCAGGTTTGTTACATAGGTATATATGTGCCATGGTGGTTTGCTGCACCCATCAACCTGTCATCTAGGTTTTAAGCCCTGCATGCATTAGATATTTGTCCTAATGCTCTCCCTCCCCTTGCCCCACCCACCGACAGGCCCCGGTGCGTGTTGTTCCCCTCCCTGTGTCCACGTATTCTCATTGATCAACTCCCACTTATAAGTGAGAATAGTCAGAATGGCTATTATTAAAAAGTCAGGAACAACATATGCTGGCGAGGCTGTGGAGAAATAGGAATGCTTTTACACTGTGGGTGGGAGTGTAAATTAGTTCAACCATTGTGGAAAACAGTGTGGTGATTCCTCAAGGATCTAAAACCAGAAATACCATTTGACCCAGCAATCCCATTACTGGTTATATACCCAAAGGATTATAACTCATTCTACAATAAAGACACATGCACACTTATGTTTATTGCTGCAGTATTTACAATAGCAAAGACTTGGAAACAACCCAAATGCCCATTAATGATAGACTGGATAAAGAAAATGTGGCATGTATACATGATGGAATACTATGCAGCCATAAAAAAGAATGAGATCTTATCCTTTCCAGGGGATGAAGCTGGAAGTCATCATTCTCAGCATACTGTGGGTGTTTTTATGGCTCCCAGGTGATGTAAGGAATAGGGACCACAGGTTTAATGAAAGATAATCGTGATGTATTGAGTGGCTTGGGAAGATGTTGATTGCAAGTGGATTAGTCACTTCCCTCATTAAGGCTTGCCTCTGTACCCATTGCCTTCATGATGGGCAGAGTGGGCTCCCTACTTCAGATTCCAGATTGTGGTTACTCATATCTAAGTCTTATCCAAGAGACTGCCCTCTCCTCAGCTCTTCTTATTCCCCTCCTGCTCAAGGTACCTGGGCTGTTTCTTTCTACTGGAAGCAGTAGAGGCTGCCTAGGAAGTGGAGTACTGTCCTGACATTCAGGGACAGCATCATCGGTACAAGACCAGTCCAGTCCCACAAGCCAAAGATTATCTGCAGCCGCCATCTTGAATTCTTAACAATTTTGTCTTTGAAATTGTGTTTTGCAAGTGAAGTCCAGTGTGACAATGGAGCATGAACAGGGTATGTGGAGCCACAGCTCCCATGTCATCCCACCTCCCACTGCCTCTCCAGAATAGGTTTTCAGCTGTTCACTTTCCTGCCCCCTGGAGCCCCAGGCTCCCCTTTCCTGCAACTGCCCAGCAATGGCTATGGTCATCCAGTCCATGGGGATCTGGGTAAGTATGTGGAGAAGGTCAGAGACAGCCTCCTGTAACATTTCTGGGTGTGGCACCCCTCCCTGCTTCTAGGTGGCAGTACCAGAGAGTTTACAGAGGATGACCGGGCAGGGTGGGTCTCCAGGTCACTGAAGGTCACCTATTCGACTGAGAGAGGCCTGACTACACGTCCCCACCCTGGCCTGGGTATGATGATGGTGGGGATCCAGGCATGTGGTGGGGCACATGAGTGTGCATGCCAAGTCACAGGGCTGTTACTGGGAGTTAGGGAGGGTCAGCACTTGACCAGCCAGTATCACCATGCCAGAGGAAGTGGGATATTAAATAAAAAATAAAGGCCATCATGACAGAGGGAGAGAGGGAGACCACAGAAGGAAGGAAAAAGCTTTATATTTTAGAACTTTAATGGCACCTTTTTCCTGCTTTTTGAACAAAAGCCTCCATATTTTCATTTTGCTCTGGGTCCTGCAAATTGTGTAGCCAGTCTCGTCTGCTTAATTCTACAAATATGCAATAGGCTTGCGGGAGATGTTTGGGTCTTGCCTTGCAGCTGAGAAAGTGGAAATTTCAAGGACTTTATGAGGAGTCTCCTGTAAATGGACTCAGGCCCCAGACTGAGGGGCTTCCAAGGGTGTTCAGGCTTGAAGACAGTCAGGCTGTCAGATACCCCTGTGGTCAGACACTCTGCACCCTTGGCCTCCTCCGCTACTATAAGGGAAAGAGGCTTTGCACTTGGAATCAGAAGACCTGGATTCTCCTTCTAGATCTTCCATTTACTAGTTGTATGACTTTAGGCTAATTACTTAGTTTCCCCATCCTAGGTAATTATAGGTAAATGGAATTAAGAATCCCTTCTCCACTGAGAAACACATGTGTTGCTGCAAGCTCATGATATGAAAATGATCTGAGACGTGAAAGGACAGAAGGACAGATGCGTTATTAACTAACTGTGCTGCTACTACCATTTAGCTTTCCAGACCCTGGAGGAAGGAAGGAGGAAAGAGAAGGGAAGAGAGGGGATGGGAAAGATTCATCACTTTAGGGATTAATGAAGATCATTTTACTGTATTACTTTTATGGTAATATTGATTTTTTAATAAACTTACTAAATAAAATAGAACTTTGCATTAGGGATAGGAGAGAGGCAAGGGGAATAGGTCTAGTCATTTCCAGTCTTAAACCCCCTAGTTCTCTGTTTCCTTACTTAGAAATTAAGGAGAGGCTGGGCGCGGTGGCTCACGCCTGTAATCCCAGCACTTTGGGAGGCCGAGGTGGGTGGATCGCAAGGTCAGGAGATCGAGACCATCCTGGCTAACAAGGTGAAACCCTCTCTCTACTAAAAATACAAAAAATTAGCTGGGCGTGGTTGTGGGCGCCTGTAGTCCCAGCTACTCGGGAGGCTGAGGCAGGAGAATGGTGTGAACCCGGGAGGCGGAGCTTGCAGTGAGCCAAGATTGCGACACTGCACTCCAGCCTGGGCCACAGAGCAAGACTCCGTCTCAAAAAAGAAAAAAAGAAAGAAAGAAAGAAATTAAGGAGAAAGGGGAGAAGATGTCAAGTAGAAATTAATTCCAAAATTCTCTTATATTCTAATCTTTATTTTTGCCCATTTAAAGGCGGTGTTTGGTGTCTGGTTTCTATTTGACCATCTGCATAGACCTTTGTTAATATAGATGCAAATCCAATTAATCTGCTGGAAATGTTTTGTCTATGTGTCTCACTTCTATTTATAGCATAATTTAGAATCAACTTAAAATAGTACTCATGTGTCTTGGGTCATTTCCATGGCTAGTGTTTTTATTCCATCATGTCGTATGGCTGAAATACTTATGCAGTATATGGAAAAGTTCTTAGCACACAGTCAACACTCATAAAAATTAGCTATTGTTGTTATTATGGCACTGTGAAGGAGAAAACAGAAAAAAGCAGGAGACAGAAATAGAGGGAGGATGAAACAGAAGAAAGAGAGGGGAAAGTGAAGAAGGAAGGAAGGGAAAAATGAAGAAAAAATTGGGAGGGAGGAACAGAAGGATAGAGGGAAAGAAATAAAGAAAAAAGGAGAAGGAGGGGAAATGGCAATTAGTGGGGGAAAAGACCTTGGGGATCATCGGATTGAGTTGTTTCAATCCAGGCTGTATATTTTAGGATCGTCTGGGAAACTTAAATAAATCCATGCATAACCCCCACCCCCAGGGACTCTGAGCCAACGTGCGGTGGGGCCTGAGCACTGGCCTATTTTAAAGGCTTCTAGGTGATTCCGAGATACAGGCCAGGTTGAGAGCCCGTGATCCCATTCAGCTCCTCTATGACTCAGGTGAGAAAGCCAAAACCCAGGACGGCCAAGGGTCCTGCCCAGTCCCAGCGGCAGGAGGTTGGAGTCAGATTCTCTGCTCCCAGGCCCCTTCCTCACCTTTCCTTTTGGTAAGACATATGTGAGGGGCACCACTCTACCCCAGGCACCACCTAACCCCACATCACCTCTGCAGGCCAGGGTGCGGCAGTTCCTTTACCTGGGACACCAGGAGGCCAGTGGGTCTGCACCCTGAGCTGCAGAATCCAGGCAGGTGGCTGCCATCTTACAGCTCGACCTTTGAGACCCACGCTGATGTATGTGTTTACCCAAGGTAGTTTTAAAATAGAATAATAAAAAAAATGTATTCAGTAAATCTTGATAACAAAGAAAACACATTTTGATTCAACACTGTGCATTAAAGTGTGAACTGTGGAATCCAGGCAGTAGATACATGGCTGATTGGCTTCCTGTATGTTTGAAATTTTTTCATAATAAAAATTTGGGAGGACTGGTTTAAAAGGGACTTGAAAAAATAGCTTTAAAATGTGTTTATGTCCCAGAGCATCTCCTTCTTTTGACCTCCCACCCGGGAACCCTGTAATTCCTGCCTCAGTTTCCCATCTTGGGCATTGGGCCAGGTTTATGCTGCCTCGTTCTTGGCTCCACACCCTCCTCTGCCATATCTGCTCTGAATGCCTGGAGGGACTGAGAAACTTCCCAGGATACAGACTTCCTGTGTTAAAACACTGGAAGTCCTGGACACCCTGGGACAGTTGGCCATCTCCTATGTTTGGGGTGATCATGACGATGATGGTTTTCAAATAGGACCGATCAGAGTCAGATCCTGATGGACTCCTGTATTTGGGCATTTGACACCCTTTCTTCTCTATAAAATGAAAGTATTGAGCCAGATGCTTGTGACAGGAATCTTGTCTCATTCGGGATTATCCAGGCTGTTTGGTACTTTCTCCTGTTTTCTTTTCAGTTGTTTTCTTTTCAATCTGTTTTCTTTTCAGCAGAACCAGGTAGGAACAAAAACCATAAAAATGTATAAGGATTAATTTTGCATTATTGATAGAGTCATTAAAAGACTTGAGAGTAAAGTTTGGAACCAGTCTTTAATATCAGTGATTTATTGATAGAATTTTTCATTCTCTCTGTATCCTAGGGTTAAAAAATTAAGATATTCATCAATTTATCACTGAATTACTTGTCAAAACGTACAGTGACAAACTGTTCATATTTTAATTATTTAATTAATAAATAAGGGTTTACTTTCATTGATAAAGTTAATTATTGCTCTTAGCTTAATCTTACTATCTTCTCAGTATCTCTTGTACGATGGGAACACCCTTTAAAATTATTAATATAGTGAAACACTCTCCTAAGTATTATTCTGGTAAATGTTTAACAATTAGCTATTGAGGGGGAGAGGATGGAGAAAGCCGTGATTTCTAGCACTCGCCAATTTCAGTGGTATAAATACTACCACCATTGCCAATTTCAAGCTAAATGGGAAAGAGACATGACTGCACTGCCAAGCTGGGCAGAGATGTGCACAATCAGATCTCCCTGGCCAATGACAGCAGCTCCACTACACCACTGCATCTTTATGCTGCAAAAAAGTAGGTCAGAGGGATGCTCCCTTATATCATAAGAACACAGATTTACTGAGCATTAAGGATGCTGTTAGATAATATTATAGTTTATGAAGCAAATTTATAAATTGATATGATGTAAAACAGCACCTTCCTCAATGGGTAATTTTGCAAGAGAGGCACGCAGCACACAACCTTTGGACAAAGCCTTCTTGGGTCTGGATCTCCCTTGGCCCTGCTAGCAGGGTTTGCCCACAGCCTCTCCTTGGTACCAATCCCTGTTAAATTACCCCATCCATTTGTTATGCTTCAGAAATCCTCGCAAAAAGGGCTGCTGTACAGACATGTTGTCATCTCTAGGCATCCATAACTGTGACAAGTGAAAAGGTCATGCCTTCAAACATTAGCATTGCAAAGAAGCCATGGTAATGATTCATTTTTTCCTTTCCACCATTACTTTAAAGGGCTGAAAATACTTGAGCTGGATAGGAGAACATGGGCTAGTCAGAGCATTTCTCTCTAAGTGCTGAATTTAATAACCAGAACAAAAATACCCATTTTAGTAGGGCACTCTTTCAAAGTAGAAATCTAAATAAAACTGAGGAGTATTGTGTGCAGATTAAGATGGGCAAGTCATAAACAAACCAGAGGTCTATGGTTTGGCCAAGGTACTTCTCTCATCAAATGCGATAAAACTTGTGATTATTTTTTTAAAAAAGGAAAAGAGAAGAAAACAAACAAGTCCTCAAAACAATGCTGCAGTTTTTGGAGAACAGTTCTTCCAGTTGGTGGTTTTAAAGTACTAGGGAATTACATTCTGGGTCAACACCAGCCTTGGAGCTCCTAGAATAGGACAGAAACCCTTACTTCAGAATTGGCTTGCTCTCATTGGAATATAGTCAGTGAGTGTTAAACTACCCTGGATTTGGGAGGTGATGATGGTGACTTACCAAGTTCTCAAAGGAAAACTGTCTGTTTTTATGTCTTACCATTTTATACATTTCCTTTTTACAAACACTGCAAAATAGGAAATCCTGACCATAGCCTTGAGATGCCCAGGAGACTGGGAGGCATTAAACATGGATTGATTTTCAGTTTTGCAACAAGAGTTTCTATATTTTATTCTAAGGATGAGGGTGTTGCAGGAATCAGGACACTCATCAGGAATTGGGGCGTGGGGGTTGATGGTAGTGGACAGGGGTCACCTTTCAAAGCTAAATTATATGTGGGTGTCATGGTTTCTGATTCACATTCCCCAGTCGTGAGAGAAAGAATGAGGAGTAAATATTTTCTTGTTCATAGGCCTGTAATTTATTTATTCACAGTTTTGTAATTTAGGTTACTTTTGTTGGCTTTGAGATCTCTAATTATCTTGAGTTAGCCTCTTTCCCGTATGAGAAAAAATCTTGATTAGTGGATTGAGGCCAAACAGAAAGTGCCACCACCTTCAGTTCCTCTGTGATGGCAGATCCATGGTGAGCCTGGGGTTTCTACAGCCAGTAAGCCTCCAGCTGTCGAGGAACATGCCAGCTCACCTTTTTATAGGTGCACCCAATCTCTACTCTTTGAGTTCCCCTGTTGAATTCAAATGGTTGAACTTAAATTGTTGAACTCAAATGGTTGAAAGGGAATGTTCTTGTTCCCTCACCATAAATGCTGAATCTTAACACCTCCTCTTATTCCCTCTTCTCTCTCCAATCTCCGGCCACAAGAGTGCAAAATGGTGCTGCCACTTGGTCAAACAGTGTGGCAGTTTCTCAAAATGTTAAACATGAAATTGCCATATAACCCAGTAGTTCCACTTCTAGGAATCTCTCCTGGAAAAAAATGAAAACATTTGTTCACACAACAGCTTATACAGGAATATTTATAGTATAATTACTCATAATAGCCCCAAAGTAGAAACAACCCCAGTGTGCATCAGTGGGTGAGTGGATTTAAAAAAATGCAGTATATCCGTGTGCTGCAATATCATTTAGCAATAAAAAGGAACAAAGTACTGTGCTATGACATGGATGAACCTTGACAACATTATGCTTAGTGAAAAAAATCCAGAAAGCTAGATACTAAAGAATACATGCTATATGATTCCATTTATAAAAAATGATCTAAAAAGGTAATACGGGTATTGTGTTAGTCTGTTCTTTTAAAGACATACCAGAGACTGGGTAATTTATAAAGGAAGGAGGCTTAACTGAGTCACAGTCCTATGCGACTAGGGAAGCCTCAGGAAACTTACAATCATGGTGAAAGGGGAAGCAAACATATGCTTCTTCACATGGCGGCAGGAAGGGGAAGTGCAGAGTAAAGGGCGGAAAGCCCCTCATAAAACCATTAGCTCTTGTGAGACCTCACTCACTATCACGAGACCAGCATGGAGGTAACCACCCCTATGATTCAATTATCTCCCACCAGGCCTCTCCCATGACACTATGGGAGACGAATTGTATTTATGGAAACTACAATTCAAGATGAGAGTTGGGTGGGGACACAGCCAAACCATATCAGGGAGAGAAGGTAGATTAGTGATTGCTTAGAACTTGAGGGGGAAAAGAGAAATGACTGCAAATGGGCAGGAGAAATCTTTTGGGGTAATGTAAATGCTTTAAGATTTGATTCAGTGATGATTATACAACTGTGTATATTTGTATACAGGTTATAATGGTATATATGTATATGTACTGGATAATATAAATATATTTGTAATGGGTTGAATAGTATCCCCAAAAATTAATGTCCCCTTAGAACCTTGGAATATGACCTTATATGGAAATAGAGTCTTTGCAAATATAATTCGTTAAGAAGAGATCATACTGCATTAGGGTAGGTCCTAAATCCAGTGACTGGTATCCTCATAAGAAGTCCATGTGAAAAGACACAGAAACATTCAAAGAAGAATGTAAATTATGTGAAGATAAGGCAGAAGCTGAAGTTTTGCCGCCACAAGCCAAGGAATGCCTGGGGCCACCAGAAGCTGGAAGAGGCAAGGAAGGGTCTTCCTCTAGAGCTCTTAGAGGGAGCATGGCTCTGTTGTCGACTTGATTTTGGAATTCCAGCCTCCAGAACTGTGAGAGAAGAAATTTCTGTTATTATAAGCCACATAGATTCTAGTAATTTGTTACAGGCACTCTAGGAAGCGAATGCAATATTAAGTGTACAACTGAATTGCACACTTAAAACAGGTGAATTTTATGGTATGGATATTATACCACAATAAAGCTATTAATAAAAATAAACATTTTTATTTATTTTATAGGCTAGGGGAAGGGGGGGATCAGAACCAAAGGCTGGGGACAGTACAGCCAGTTTTGCTGCATCTCAGAAATGCCAGAAAAGGAATTTCACAACAGTTGTGAGCAACTGTCCTTGATATGCAGGACTCTTGGCACCTCTTTCTTGAGTCACCAATTTGCCTACTTTCCATCTTATTACACGGTCAGTGCTGTGGGGCACATCTCTGCCACATGGCTGCTGACTCTAGAGAAACTCCCAAATGTAGGTTCTTCTGTGGGTGTTCAGGCTACGGAACTGGTAGTATTTTGACGTTTCATTATATGTCTCAAACCTCTCTAGTAAGCCATGGGAAAAGACATGACCCAGTATGTGCCAGTCTTAGAAGAAGCCACAGTGTTTCTATGGTCAAGTACCTTGGAAGTCTTACGAGGCAAGCAATCAAGTACGTAGTCTGAGCTTGACCTCAGAAATGGGGGAAGGGAGCTTCTTCCTGTGATTGGGGAAATGAGATAAAAAGCAAATAAAAAGGTTGTTATGTTTTGATGAATTTTCAAACCTTTCTAGTCCTTTTTGTTAACATCTTGTTCCTTTATCATATTTTTAAAATATCTTTAAACATTCTTGCATAGTTATTTTGCAGTCTGTATCTGACAACTGTATCATCTGAAGTCCTGGGAGGCTGGTTCTCAATCATGGTGTTAGTTTTCTCATGTGTTCTTTAGTTTCAGTTTGTGAGCTCACGGCCAGCAGGGCTTTATCTGGGTGCATTTCAGTGGGCCTGGACAGAGGACACATTCTTCTAGAGTATGTTAGCTTTTGCTAGGCTCCTCAGGCCATTATCAAATTACGGTCACCTTCATGTTAAAGCTTTAGCATGAATTTGACTACAGACCTATGTAGAGTCAGGCCAGTTTTATAAATTCTCAGGGGAGAGATTGTTTTTCTACATATATAACACAAGCTGAGGCAGCTTTCTTCTCTCTTTGCCTTTGTGGATTTTTATTTATTGTTATTATTATTTTGGTTATATACTTTCTGTCAAGATAGAACCCTTTGAGGAGCCTGGCTTTGGAGGTCTCATATTTAATGTCATGCCTCTCAGGTAGTCAAAGCACCGCCATTATATATTACCTCTGGCTTTTCACTATCAGCTTTTGTGTTTGGTCTCTGGTTTTTCTCTCACTTTCTGATAAGCTTAGTATGCATTTTAAAAGGTGTTTGTCATATGCAGTCTACAATTTATAAGTGGCTTGTGGAATTGGGGTGGGATCTTTTGTCATCTATTGCCAAGAAAAGAAGTCTATGTATTAGACTTCTTTTAATTTTGATGTGGGAAAAGGAAACTTGAGAAGCTTCACAAATAAAGGGTTCCCTTTTCTCAGTAAATTGGAGACGAGATTCTCTGCTATAAGTTATGGAAGAAGGACAGGTTTGAGGTCTCCAGTGACTGATAAAGGTTTGCAAGGTTTATAACAACTGTGGGAGATGGGCATTGTGAAAAGTGGTTACAAGGACTGGTTAGCAGCAACAAGGGATTCACCTAAAGTTGACTAAAAGTGGAAGTTTTATCCCCATTGTTTATAATGATAGTTAGAAACCAGTAACATCATTGTATTAGTCCGTTTTCATGCTGCTGATACAGACATGCCTGAGACTGGGCTGTTTACAAAAGAAAGAGGTTTAATGGACTTACAGTTCCATGTGGCTGGGGAGGCCTCATGACCATGATGGAAGGCGAGGAGGAGCAAGTCACATCCTACATGGTTGGCAGCAGGCAAAGAGAGAGCACTTGTGCAGAGAAAATCCCATTTTTAAAACCATCAGATCTCATAAGACTTACTCACTATCATGAGAACAGCATGGGAAAGATCCGCCTCCATGACTCAATTACCCCCCACCAGGTTCCTCCCATGAAACATGGGAATGAATTATGGGCATACAATTCCAGATGAGATTTGGGTGGGGACACAGCCAACCCATATCAATCATTCTGGGTGTGCTAAGGGACATAGGCCATAGCCCTCAACAGGGTTGGAAGAGCAACGTGCCGTGGATATGAAACGGCATGGCAATTTCTGCTGAGGGCTCACTTACTCAAGTTTCATTTTTCTGGTGCCTTTCCTTTATTTTGCTCGAGATTCTCATGCAGCAGTTTCTTGAATAAATTTCATTTTGAAGAAATATCTCTTGAAGCATGGTTTACCTGAGTGTTTTGCCAGGGAAAATCAAGAACCCTGCTTTGCTGAACAAGTTGTGTCCCTTTTGCTTTTTCAGTTCCTGCGATGATAACATCCTATCCAAATACTACCCTGGCCACGCAGGGGCAGAAAAAGGAGATGAGCTGCACGGCGCATGGTGAGAAGCCCATTATAGTCCGCTGGGAGAAGGAGGACCGAATCATTAACCCTGAGATGGCCCGTTATCTTGTGTCCACCAAGGAGGTGGGAGAAGAGGTGATTTCTACTCTGCAGGTAAAAGCATGGCAAATACAACACAATGGAATGAACTTTATTGGAAGAATAAGTCTTTCCTTTCACAGAAGCGGGTGCAGATAAGTAGCAGATAATCTTTCGGAATTTATTTACGAAGCACTATTTCTCTCCCCTTTCACACAGCGAGATTAGTGAAGTAGCCTTCAAAAATAGTGCTTCAGCCTAAGTGTTATTAAGAATAGGGTTATTATGAACGCAGCAGGGAACCCAAATGTAGTAAAAAAAAAAAAAAAAAGTGAGAAATAAGGTTTTTAAATGACAGTTAATCCTTCAGGAATGATGGCCTATGCTGTGTGCATGTTTTAACTTCCTGCAAAAAGAAAAATGAGATGGGCTTTGGGACAAAAATATTATCATAAAAACTATCTTGCTTCTTTGGAAAAATCCACAATAAAAAAAAAATCTGTCGTTAAAAGAGGATCACAAAAGCTAGAGAAAAGGACTGTGAGCAGTGAACTGGTTTGTGCTGTTGTCATGCGGTTGGAGGATGATACTGTAGCACACACAGGGTGGGGAGGTGGGGAAGCCCTGTGTTTGAAATGCTTATATTGGCTCTCAGACAAGGGTCCATTCCTGGAATCCTCCTAGAAAAGGAATCTGATGCGAGTCTTGCGGGCCCCCAGCCCTGCCTGCAGTATTTAATCTGTCTCTTTAGGCATGGTTGCTTTGGATACCATGAAAAAAAAAATGTATATGTGGGATATATGTCAAGCTGACCACGACATCTTATATAAATTACACATCCAATTTAATGAGCTACACCTGACATGGATAATGTACGTGAATCCTATCCATCCGCCTACTTTCAATTACACTGAAATAATTTGTCCTCAGAGGGATACGTGCATGTGTGTGATTTAGTATGTGAGTCTGGAGGAATGGGGGTTTTGTGAGTGTGTGTGTGTGTGTGTGAGTGTACCTATGTGTGTGCTTGGCATGGCAGGAGAACTGAAAGAGTGGAGAGAGAGAGCTTTACGGCTCAAAGTCATTTTGCCTACTGAAAAAGATGAATTTCTTTCTGCTTTACACATAGATTTTGCCAACTGTGAGAGAAGATTCTGGTTTCTTTTCCTGCCATGCTATTAATTCTTATGGGGAGGACCGTGGAATAATTCAGCTCACAGTGCAAGGTAGGAAGACGATAGCGTAAGAGAATAAACACAGTCATTTCAGGATGGGAGCTGTATGCTCAGCCTCAGGCATCTCTGTGTCCTCAACTTGCCATGTAACACTTCCTAATTCCCAGGAAATTTTGAATATGTATAATGTCAGTGCTAAAGCAGAATTTTGCAGTGCCTGGGATTATGTCAAAGTAAAGCCCCCAAACAGGGAACGAAGCCCTTAGAGGAACCAGTCAAGATGACAAGCCCATGACAGTCAAGCCACATGCACACAAGTACAGCGGTGGAATTTCTTTGCTCAATTTTAGGAATCCATGTACTAGATGACCAGAATGAAAGGGAAGTTTAACATTTGGGGCCAAAATATGTTTTGAGTTAGAGATCCAAACTAGAATCGTGACATTTTATATCCTCCAGGCTTGGTCCAGTTCTTAAGGGCTATGAAAATTGGAAGTCTTGGGAAAGTGGAATTTCTCTTCCCTAAAATGTGATTAGGAAAAAGAAAATGCTTCCAAATAAAAAGCTTCTGTTCTTGTCTAATGCAGACAAATCGTTTGTGAGTCACGCTCAGCATTTCCACTAGCGTTTTATGTCAGAGCTCTGTTTGAACTAACTCGTAGTCTTTCTGTTGATGGCACAGAGCCCCCAGACCCTCCCGAAATTGAGATCAAAGATGTCAAAGCACGCACAATTACGCTCAGGTGGACCATGGGGTTTGATGGAAACAGTCCCATCACAGGCTACGATATTGAATGCAAAAATAAATCAGGTAAGTTCTTTACTTCCTCCAGCTTCCCTTCCACCTCAGAAAGTTCTTTTATTTTTCTCCTTATTAATGTGTTTTACCTGTAAGCGCACAGCTCAGCTCACAGGAGCTCAGAGGGCACCACTTCCCCCAGTCTCCTTGCTGGAAGCACATCCTGGCTTTCTGCTGTGGGAGTGGAGTTTCGTGTTGAGGCTCAGCTCTGCTTCTTTCTTTTTTAGCCAGCCCAGACTTCAGTCTTGCTTCCTGCTGGACTCCTTGATATTGCAGCTTCCTGTTGGCATGTGGGCAGTGGCTGATGGAGACAGGCCCCCACCATGACCTTTTCTATTTCACCTGCTCCCTTCACTTCCCGTTTCCCGAGCTGGGTGACTTTTGTAGAGCCTGAGCCCATGTCCTGCACCCAGAGCGTTGAGCTCAAGCTGTGCTTGGTGTTGGTCGGATAAACTGTGCAGTGGTGGTTGGTGCAGAAAAAGGAAAATTCACTCTGGAGCAACCTCCTGGAAATGCTCAGGGACCATCGGCGACACTGGCTGCTGCACCCAGGACCACTCGGCCCAGAGCCCATAAATAAAACTGACCCTGCTGCCAGGGCCGCTGCAGGTGTGCCCATTCATTGCCTTCAAGGAACAATGCCCGGGCCATTTTGAACTTTATGATGCATTGGGCGAGGGTAGAATACCACCACAGTGGCCTCTAGTCAGAATTTTTACTGTGTCTCATAAAAGATATGAGGAATTCGAGCACCACCAGCATGGGAAGGGTTAATAAAATCCTTCTAGGCCGCAAAAGCAGCTTTATTTTTCACTTCCTGGATACCGCACGTTATTTCAGATTACCCAGTTGTGACCCATCTAATATCTTTGGCACTAAAGCTGTAGTAAAAAATCAAGCTCAAGGCAGCTGGGAACCACAGGTCAGGAGTGAGGAAATGTTTCAGCAAGAGCAAGCCAGGAACAGAGCCAGGAAATGGTGACTGCAAAGGCAAGCCGAGGGGTGACTCTTCGGGAATTCAGGAGAACAGAATTTGAAGATTGAGAAGATATGGATCAAAACAAAAAATAGTGTTTTGAAAAGTAGTATCTGTGACTGCTGGGTTGGAAATGCACATGAGGAAAGATGGAATGGCTCAGGTCATCGGCCTCTGAGTTGCAACTGGGGGCCTAGAAGTGAGGTGTCACTTACACAAAGTCTGAGGAAGGGCCTTCCGGGGTTGATTGGACTGCAAGTCTCACCGTAGCCAAGAAATGCTGCAGAGCCAGGGCCCTGGGCTCAGGGGTGAGGCACAGTGACCTGGGGGGCTCACCCAAGACAGTGCTGAGCTGAACAAGCATCTTTTGGGGACTAGGACCAACAGGTTTCCCAAGGGCCCAGGGAGGAGAGGCTGACCTTGCCTTTCTTACAAGTTCATGTATACAGGTCTTGAAGTGAAGCAAATGCTTCTTAGGTGAGGCAGGCACATTTGAGCAGAAACTGTCCTGGAACTTAGTGACAGTGATGAGAGCTCAGACAGATGCAGTGAGCACCGTGGGGACAGGGACAGCCCTTTATCTCACTGGCTGCGCACTGGCTATGGGGCTGCAGGCTGCCCATGCTGTTGGTGCGGGAGCACACAGGAGACCTCTCCTACTGGAGCAGCCCAGGACCTCCCCTGTCCTCATGGAGGAGCGGGCATTGCCGGATGCTGGTGGCAGGCCTGGGCTCAGTGATTTGGGACCCAGCCTGTGTGGGATTCGCTGCTGGGCCTGCGTTGCACCAGCTCTGCACCCTCGCTTGCGCATCTCACCTGTGAAGTGGGCACTGCTGCATCCACCTCAAAGGACTGGCAAGGAGACCACAAAGGCCACCAGCTGCCCTCTGCCTGGAGTCCTCCCTTCCCTGAGCCACCCAGTTACTACCCCCTCCATAGATCTCAATTCTCAGGTGCTCACCCAGCTCCTTCTCCCTTTCAATCTGGGCAGGTGGCATTATGGGTCACTATATATGTATCTCTATGATTACTGACAAATATGCTGATTAATGCATTTCACCTCCACCACGCTAGAGGCTCCTTGGGGGCTCCCTGCACCTAGTAGGTCTATTTTCACCCAGCTCATTTCTCCAACACCCAGCACCGCACCCAACATGTGGAGACACTCAATGGAAATTGGTGAACTCTAAGAAGGGAAGACATTGAAAACGCCTTCCTCGTTGTCTGGAGCATACTCAACATCTAATAGGTGGTAGCTTGTAGATTGCTCCAGCATGCAGGAAAATACTTAGGAGTAAAATGCCTCTAAAACCCTCTGTGTTAAACTACTTACTCAGCATCTAAGTGTCCTCACTATCTCCCTACTCTTACCCAGGAGTTTCCCAAAGGCAGGGACTCTGGTTCTCTGTGTCCTGGGATCCCCAGCACCCAGCACAATGTCAAGTGAAGAGCATACTGTAAATGTTTATTGCATTAATTTACATGCAATTGAAATCTAAGAATCATTATTATCAACAGCATCTTTAAATGTATAAATTGATCATGGTTTATATAACCAAAGCAGGAAAGCTCCTTGTCTATAAAGCTGAGTACAGGCGGGATTGAGGGATACTCTTTTCCATCCTTCATGCCCTACTTCAACCAGAGACAGGGCCAGTGGTGTGGCTAAGATGTTTATGTAGCCCTGGAGCAAGTCATTTTAAGGGGCAGCATGGGTCCCAGGAGAAAAGCCCACAGGACAAGCAGATCCAAGTCCATGACCAAGGTCTCTACCAGGACCCTACAGAACTTCAATTACTTTCAGTTTGGAAGCCCTGGGAGGAAGGAGCTGTGCTGAGAGTAGATAGCACCTGTACTCACTGCTGTACGAGTTGTGTTAGTCAGATTTTTCATGTATTAGTTTCTTCCTCCAGAAATTTTTGGTGTATAAAAATTACAACCATAATTTAAGTGAGTGTAGTTTTAGACTGAGTACATAGAAAACTGATCCTTCAAGTATTAATAACAGCCTAAATGTCACTTCTTCCAGGAAGCCTTCCCTGACTACCTATTCCCCTTCACTATTCATAGCATGTCTTGGAACACTTGGTGGGCTTGTGACTATTAATTTACTATCTGCACCCCACTGAACAGTTGTCCCCCTATGGGCCATAGTGAGCCCTGAGGGCTGGAATTGTCTCTGACAAACCTTATGCTATGTCCCTGTGCCCCTCATAGTGCCTGACATGTATACGAGACTCATAATAACCATTAGTCAAATTGTTGACTCTCAACATCTGTTTTAGGCAACGGTGAAATTATCCCCCCAAAAGTTTTCCTTTCCTTTTCATTAATTTTCAAAGAAAGCAGCATATAACCAATGTATTAAAGTACTTCACATTCGTAACAGAAAGAACTTCTGCAAGTGACCATTCACTCTATGCTTGAACAATCCGAGAAACAGAAACTCACTAACCCAGGGAGCACAGCTCTGCCTTTGGCCAGCTGTGACTGCTACAAGTTCTTACATTTATTGCACCAAAATAGACCTTCCTGGATCCAGTGTCTCTCCTCCCACCTCTTAACCCTTTGGCCAAATGACAGTCCTCCCAGGATTTGACAACAGATGACTTTCCTTGGTTTACTCTTTTCCAGGAAACACTGAACACCCCAAGTCCTTGTTATTGTATCTCCTGTCATCATCTCCTGCCCCCCTAACTCTGGTCATGCCCAGTGGCAGCACCAGAGGCGTCATCTGAGCGGGCACAGGCACAGTGAAGCTGTCCCTTCCTTATCTGGAACATTCTTCTTCTCCCATAGGTGGCAATTACACAGGTTGCCTTGGTTGCCATATTTTCTGATTCCCAGGGACTACTGCTTCTCCCCTACAAGGACCCAAGGCCACCTTTAACATCCCTTCGAGCATATTGTCTGGGGACCTCCAGCAGATTCGTCTGCAGTTTGTTGCCTCCCTTTATTCCCTTCCTTGGAAGGCAGCCTGCCCTTCAGAGTCTGTTCCTGTGGGGGCCATCTCCTGTCCGCAGGTTCTCTTGTTGCCTCTCCTGTCCACGGTTTCTCTGGTAACCCCCCCCGTCCACGGTTTCTCTGGTAGCCCCCTCCTGTCCACGGTTTCTCTGGTAGCCCCCTCCTGTCCACGGTTTCTCTGGTGGCCCGTTCTGTCCACGGTTTCTCTGGTAACCCCCCCCGTCCACGGTTTCTCTGGTAACCCCCTCCTGTCCACGGTTTCTCTGGTGGCCCGTTCTGTCCACGGTTTCTCTGGTAACCCCCCCCGTCCACGGTTTCTCTGGTAGCCCCCTCCTGTCCACGGTTTCTCTGGTGGCCCGTTCTGTCCACGGTTTCTCTGGTAACCCCCCCCGTCCACGGTTTCTCTGGTACCCCCCTCCTGTCCACGGTTTCTCTGGTACCCCCCCCCGTCCACGGTTTCTCTGGTAGCCCCCCCGTCCACGGTTTCTCTGGTAACCCCCCCCCGTCCACGGTTTCTCTGGTAACCCCCCCCTGTCCACGGTTTCTCTGGTAACCCCCTCCTGTCCACGGTTTCTCTGGTGGCCCGTTCTGTCCACGGTTTCTCTGCTGGCCCCTCCTGTCCACAGTTTCTCTGGTACCTCCCTCCTGTCCACGGTTTCTCTGTTGGCCTCTGCTGTCCACAGTTTCTCCGGTGCCTCCGTCCTGTCCACAGTTTCTCTTGTCCCTCCCTCCTGTCCGTGGTGGCTCACAGGTCTCTGACCAGGTTTCAGCACCATGGCAAGCTCTGTCACACCCTGAAAGGTAACCAGGAAACACAGACTCTGACACAGAAGGTGCACACCCCAACCCCTCTCCTCTCTTGGTCTTCCCACCCCTAGTTCACCCTGAGGACTGTTATCCTTGAGAAGAATAAGACAGAGAACAAGGGGCTCTCCTGTGTCCCCACACCTCCTCCTATTCACCAACATGAAGGGCCCGCTCCCTCTCCCAGCTACCTCTCCATTGTTAAACCTTTCATGTAATTCACCTCCAGAACTTTCAGTCACCTTCACTCATTCTGGTCTTTAGCCTCTAACAGCACTTCTTCATACCAAGTCCACTCTCTTATATTAGTCCTTGTTGCTCTTGCATCCACTGGATTTGGGGTATCTGACCCCCAAGGCGAGCTCCCCAGCAAGCACCCAGCGCAGTCTCACTGGCTCCTGTCAGCTCTTCACTCCTTCCTCACCTCACAGAGGCTGCAGTGGGACTCTGAACTGCCCCATCCTCCTACACCACCAGTCTCCCTGGAGCAAGCCATGGCATCCCGCCCACTCTTTCGTGAATGCTTCTGACATCTTCCTAAACCAGGCTGCAACTCCGAGCCTATACAGCCCTCTCAGTCTTCCTACAAACCCACAGATGGTACAGTCATTCTTGGCCAAAGTTTTCTTCTCTTACATTTGACCAAACGATTTCTGTGCATTGTCAAGTCAATAATTTGCCAGAAGGTCTTCTTCTAGGCATACGAGATTTTCAGCAGGTGCCCGGAAATATCAAAATCCTGTCTTATTAGGTGTTTTCAGAGAGTATGTGGAGGTCATGCATTACAGAAAAATGACCTTGAACTTGGAGATAACACAGGCGAGGCCAAATCCCAGCCCTTCTTGTTACCAGCTATGTAACAGGGCTTGAGTTTCTTGACTTTCACTAAGGAAATAAAAACCTTACCTTGACAGGATGTTGTACAATTTTAATCAAATGAAGCAGTCTGTCCAAACTATACATCGGAATGACCAAGATAGGGAGCCTTTTTAAAAGCACAGGTTTCTGGGCACCATTCCCCAGAGACTCTGGTTTGGTAGGTCTGAAAGCAGAATTATCAAAAAGCCCCAAGGTGTTTCCAATGTGCCCACAGATTTGGGGCCACAGAAGTCACGTTTGAAAATGCCCAGCACATTGACCTGATGGGAGGAGGAAACTGAAAATTGAGATATAAATATAACTAGGAAGAATGCACCATTGACCCAATAAAAAAGTTCTTAGGCGTAAAACACAAACAGAAATGTATGCATGGACATCCAAGATCTGAAAAGTGGCAAGTGTGACTGGGGAGAGTCTGGGAAGGCCACGGACAGGAGGGTGAGGATGGGCTTTGTAACGGGTCCCCCAGCCCATTGGAGGGAGTTAGTGGTAGTTGCTACAGACAGGGTGCAAACGCAGCATCAGAGAGGATTTATAAGTCACACTGGGAGACTGTTGAACAAGGTGACATCACTGAGATAGGGGCTGAGCTAAAGGAACCTATAGGGCATGGATGTGGAGGTGCCCAGTGACCACCAAGAGGGGACTGTCCCCACCCTACCCAGGTCCACCATATGCCTTGGATTGGTGTAAGGGACTGCAGTCATGGACACTCATATGCCTCTCCAGGCTGCCTGCCAACTCCCAGACAAGAGCCTCCAGTGAAGATGGCTGTATCTTCATTGGCCCCGTCAGTTTCAGAAACTTCAATGTTGCCTGGGCAGAGGCATCAACCACCACAACTGCCTACTTCCTCCAGGGGCTACTTAGCAAATGTCTCTGCATCTTGTGGCACCTGGCATTCCTCCTCATCCTCCTAAACATCTCTGCAGAAGGTCTGGCTTTCTCTCTGTGGGACAAGCCTCATAGGTGTGTGCCGTTTCATTGATATAAAATTTCCTCTCCTCATTTGTCTTCCATTGAATCCCATTCTTCCCCTTGTCAATTTTTTTCCAACTCTTTGTATTTCATGTTTTTCCACCTCTAATCTTCTTGACCCCAAATATGCTTTTTCCTTCTAACTGCAATATTCATTGTCAGATTCTATTAGGCTTCATTCTCTGAGAAGTTACAGTATCCAAAAGCAGTCTTTAAGCCACATATTTTTTCTTCAATTCCAGAAAATCTCTTGCATTTATGTTTAACTCTGGACAGAGAAGTCCCCTAAACTGCCATACTCACCCTTAGTGTGACAAAGTGATTGGCCCCATTCCCAAGACTCAGAGGTCCATGTATTTGTGGTTTATTTGTTCCTCTATTAAACATTCATGTACTATTTGTCTACTATGAGCCAGGCACTGTGCTAGCACTAGGGATAAAAGACTGGGTATGGCCAGCATGGCCTCTGCCCTCCTGGAGCTTAAAGTCTAGCAGGGAACACAGATTCAGATTATCCATGGAAGACTTACTTGTGTGGTGAGCACCACCAAGGCAGACCCTGAGGAGGGTGGGAATATGTAGGCACCATCTCTGTCTACTGTCTTGGGCCCTCCTTTTTTCATCCCCAGCCAATACCAGCTGTCGACCACACACCTACAGTCAACAACTGCCCAAACTCTTTTGATATAAGAACCACGTATTGACATTCTCATCCTTGCTTGAAGCCTGAAAACCACCAGATACAAAATGTCACAGATTCAGTGATAACATTTCACACAAAGTAGGTGCTGCTGTTATAATTAGCTGT
Source organism: Homo sapiens (assembly GCF_000001405.40). Taxonomy (NCBI): domain Eukaryota; kingdom Metazoa; phylum Chordata; class Mammalia; order Primates; family Hominidae; genus Homo; species Homo sapiens. Next base: position 40,179,733 of record NC_000021.9, on the reverse strand, counting down.
GGTTGAAAAATAATTCCTACAACCAAGGATTTGGCACTAAATGATTTCAAAAAATAGAACTGAAAAAATATGTTTGGTAATCAGGATTTATTCTGGAACTTGAGATTGGTTTGTATGGGATTATCTTGTTTTTACCACACTCTATTTGGGGAGGAAAGGATCTGATATGGCTTGAAGTTTTGCTGGTTTTCAAATGCCAGGGATTTTGGGGGGGCCCAGGGGTACTATCCAAACCATAGTTCATTGTACTGTCCTATACAATGAGTGCTTACAGTGGCCATCGTCCATTCCACTAACCTGAGCTTCCACCACTGGAATTTGCCTTCTGAGATCTCCCCCAGTCGGCTGATCTGTGCTTCCTCCATCACCCCTCCCTGAACTCAGCTGGCTTGTTGCCCCATGTCCCTCGCAGCGTGAATAATGTGTGTGGGATGTCACATCCCCTCTGATGGCCAACTCTGCCAGAAAGCTGGGAACATTGCATTCAGAAATCACTTTGAGTGTAATTTTTCTTTCTTTCCGTCTTTTTTTTTTTTTTTTTTTTTTTTTGGTTTTTAATTCCTACTTGTGAACTTTCAAAGGCAGAGGAAAAAAACTCACGTCTCTATCTCTTCTTTTTTGAAAAACAAAACCCAAAAGACTCCTGGGATTCTGCTCAGAGAACCAAAGATGTTTCCCCTCAGCTGAACTCGGCCACCATCATTGATATCCACCCTTCCTCCACCTACAGCATCCGCATGTACGCCAAGAACCGGATTGGCAAGAGCGAGCCCAGCAACGAGCTCACCATCACGGCGGACGAGGCAGGTACGTGGGACCGGGCGGAACCTTGCTCCAGAGGAGCCCGGGAGCTAACTCTTGAGGGCTCAGATGCTTAAATGCAGAAGCAGACCTTTGCCCGTGCTAGGCGGAGGTCTTTGATGCGTGCTCTCCGTAGTTCTGTGCCCTATAAAAAACGCAGACAGCGCTCTGCATCTTACTTTGAAGGCACTGCTCTTCAAATAGGATTTAGTTCAAGTTTCCCATACCCAAGACTTAAAAGAAAGACGTATGAGGCTAACAATCTGGTGAGATTCAAAGAATCATGCCGTTTTACAATTCCTTTGTTTGGACACATGGAATCCAGGTTGACAGGAGAACCGTGAGTGTGTTTCTTTCCTGAGACCCTGTGAAGTCCAGTGTGGGAGGAAGCAGTAATGCTTAACTAGGAATCTGCAAGCATGCTTACTGTGCGGGAGATGTGGGAAGGGGAACAGATTATTTTATTGACTAGAAACATCAATATTTAAAAATAATGTTTTTGCTCTTTTTTCTATTACAAACAACATTATATTTAGTGTTGCAAATTCAGAAGATAGAGATAAGCATTGTGGAGAAGGCAAAACAGCTTCCATCATTTTCCCACTGAGAGCTAACCCAGGAACAGGCAGTGATAACTGGCTAAATAATTTCATCACCCACACACGCACATGCACACAGGCACGCACCAGTGTATTCACACCCCTTAACACACTGCGAGCCACTCATGTTTCCGGGGGGGTGAAATTAACAGGTGTGCAGAGAACTGAGCAATCAGGCAATGGTCCATGAATGCTGATTGTCAGCCCGCCTCCTGGCAGGAGGAGAGGAAGCCACTGCGCTTGGGTTTCATCCACAAGGATTGCATGCCTGGCCCATTTATTGTAGGGAAAGGGTGTCCAGCTCCCAAACCTACCTCTTCTTTTCCTGCCCACCATCAGAGCAATCAGCCACTCCCTACTGCAGGGAAGATGGCAGCTTAGTCTCAAGTCCCTGTTTCTCCATCACCAAGATTAAGGTGATTGCCACACCCAGATGGCTAACAGAAGACCGGAGGTTTGTTGCAACTTTCAAGAGAGGTTGATCTTGGCTTCCTTCCCACCACCTCATCTCTGCTACCCTCATTAACAGCATCCCAAATATAAATGGAGCTTATGTATCTCTTAAGTACTTTTCTACAATTTGTAATGATATCTCTCACTATGTGTTTAACAAATCTCATATTGCCAAACGGGTCAATTATTTTCGAGTTTTCATTAGTATAAACACCACTACAATGAACATCCTGGTGGTATGTCTTTTGCTATCTCCAAGATCATTTTCTTAGATTAAATCCTAAGAAGTCAGATGGCTGGATCAATCAAATGCAACATTTTCACCCTTCTGATATCTGTAATCAGTGTTGTCTTCAAGAGAATAGGTTAAAATGTACAACTCTTCCTGAACTGCAGAGGAATGCCCATTTTTCAATGCTGGAAGATGTCAGTTCTTGAAAATTGTTTTCAAGAGTGAGTGACAGAAGATCTTTAGGCTGAAGTGCCTGAGAGTGAGCCATTTCTGAGACTTGGATTCTCTGTATGATTTCTCATCTGCAAAATGGACATTATGATGCCTTTCTGCTCCTTACACAGACATATCTGATCACTGAAAAAAACTCAAGCTCTGAAAATACTTTGCATGTCTCAGAAATAAGTGGGAAATAAGTGTTAATCTGCTTCTGCAAAAAATAGAATTGTATTTAATTATGTATGTAAACAACCCACTAACTTCCTCAGATCCCTGAGATTTCATTATGCTGGGTACTTAGGGAGAATAAGCTGTCCCCATCCTTCAGCCCAAAATGTCATCTCTGACTTCCTGCTCAATCTTCTCCTTCTCTCTCAAGCCCTTTTCTAATCTCGCCCCATCCCAGCCACCTCCTCGGGAAAACAGCATTTTTCCGGTGGTGCATTTTGCACCTGCTTTTCTGATTGCCATTATTAATGCTGCTGTTGTTGCTTTTTTCTTCGTTTCCTCTGTGACCTCTGCTGCGGCTGGCAGTTGCCATGGAAGCAGCTCTCTCCCTGCCAGAAGGCCAGGTGAAGAGCCTCTGGGGTGCTGGTCTGCAGGGCAGCTGCCTGGCATGTCTGCAGACAGATGCAGATGCTGCCTCTTTGGCTCCCAGGCTGGCCTTTTGTATTGTATCTGGGTGTGCTGGCTGTGGCAGCCCCACACAGCCCCTCTCCTTTAATATTCAGAGGAGCTAAGGGGAAGGGAAGGAAAGGAGCAGGTTCTAGAAATGAAAAGCTACAGCAGATAACTTGTCTTTGTCTTGGTTCATAGGTTTGCATGACTGAAATTAAAAAGTCAATTTCCCATGTGTGACTTACCTAGAATGGGGTGCTCTGGCCAAAGGCATCCTCATTAGAGTATTGAGCAGGGGCTGTAGACACTGCTGCCCCTTCCCAGCAGGTAAACCCAAAGGCACATCTTTTTAGGAGCTGTAGCTGTCTTGAGGTGACCTTGTCCCACTGTTCCCTTATTCCTCATATGGGAGCCTCCGGAAGCTGTCAGCCCACTCACTTTTACTGTAATCTAGTACCCAAGTCTTGGGCACACGAGGATGCCCCCCAATGCTACTACTTTGCAATGACACTTAGTGACTCCCCAGAGCCCAATGCCCAGCACTCACCTGCCTTTGCATGCTCCCAGACCCCTATTGTTGTGCTTCTTCCCCTGTCTTGAAGGCACTACAAGTTCCATGTCTCCTTTTCTGTGCCCTTCCTTGAAAAGTCAAGTTCAAGAATGCCTTCCTCCCTGGTGCAATGCCTTTTTCCATCTCCCATGTGTAGTTAGGGACTACTCAGCTCAGGACAGAGGAGGGATTTTGCTGACAGTAGCCTTTGAGGTGTATCATCATGTCTTCATGGACCCTGCTGTCCATGATGATATACCACCTGATGTGGAGGGGCTGTGGCCCCCTCCACATCAGGGGGCATATGTGCTTACAATTCTGTCCCTTGTGTGTGTCTGGCATAAGGGAGATGAAAGTATGAGATGAACGTTTATAAACATTACCCACAGTATTGCCTTTAGAATGGGTGTCACAATGAGCAGAGTATGTGTGTGTGCGTGTGTGTGTGTGTGCGTGTGTGTGTGTGTGTGTGTGTGTGTGTATGTGTGTGTTGAGAAAATATATGCTGGATTAAACCCACAGTGAAATTCTGAAGGGTGCCCTGGTCTGAATGTTCATGCCTTCCCTTTCAAATGAATATCCTGAAACCTAATTCCTAATGCAATAATATTAAGAAGTGGGGCCTTTAGGAAGTGAGGGTGGACCCATCATTAATAGCATCAGTATGCCCTTATACAATAGGCCCAAGGCCCAATAAGATCACTTACCCCTTCTGCCCCGGGAGGACATGGGAAGAAGGCACTATCTATGAACCAGAAGAATGAGCCCTGACCAGACACCAAATCTGGCATCTTGATCTTGGAATTGTCAGCCTCTAGAAATAAATTTCTGTAAGAAATAAACTTCTGAGCCAGGCACGGTAGTTCACGCCTATAATCCCAACACTTTGGGAGGCTGAGGCAGGGGGATCACTTGAGGTCAGGAGTTCGAGACCAGCCTGGCCGACATGGCTAAACTCCGTCTCTACTAAAAATACAAAAAAAAATTAGCCATGCATTGTGGCACATGCCTGTAATCCCAGCTACTTGGGAGGCTGAGACAGGAGAATCGCTTGAACCCTGGAGGCGGAGGTTGCAGTGAGCCAAGGTCGTGCCACTGCACTCCAGCCTGGGCAACAGAGTGAGACTCCTTGTCAAAAAAAGAAACAGAAATAAATAAACTTCTGTGGTGTATAAGTCATGCAGTTTAGAGTACTTTGTTATAGCAGCCCCAAAAGACTAAGACAAGGACTTCATGCAGAAAAGTAGAGAAAGGTGAAAGATAGGACAGGAAGGCTGAGAGGAAAGAAGATGGGGAAAGAATACAGCCCCCATCAGAGCTCCAGTGACCACCCATGAAATGGCTGCATCTGGAGCTTGAGGTGCCCTCCCCGCATCCTGATGGAATAGGGCATGTCCCAGGCCATAAGCTGCAGCCCACGACAGACCAGGCCTGTGGATGTGAGTCGGCTCAGTGTTGTGCGAAACTTTTAAATTCGATGTTAATTTTTAAAATCTGGAAATTTCAGCTGAAAATCTAAATTTTGAGTTCCTCTTGAGTTCCTGCTTGGCAGCAATGAGCTGGAGTTAAGCATGGAGTGGCCATCCCAGAGGCTGACCATACCCCCTCAGTGAGCCATAGTTCCCATCCTCCATTCATTGAAGGATCAGCAAACTACAGTCGGTGAGCCAAACTTCACCTACAGACCTTGAACTAAGCATAGTTTTTTCATCTTTAAAAAAAAAAAAAAAGAATAACATGGGCCCATAAAGCCCAAAATTTGTACTATCTGAGTCTTTACAGAAATGTTTATGGATCTCTGATGAAGTCTGGCCACCATGGGAATTTGAGTTTTAGATTTCTGCTGTATCTACTGCAAAGCTTAGTGAGGAAGGGATTGCTGCCACTGGCATAGTGTCCCTACCTAATGTTGGGAAATCTCATTGCTCCAACCCCAAACTACTCAGTTTATTTGCATGTGTTGCATGTGAAAGTGCATAAAGCGTTATCATACCACTTTAATACACTCGACCTCAGAGAATAGCCATGAAGCCAAGACCACACCATTCAGCGCAGTCTTCATGGCTTCCCCAACCACCCCTAGCACCAGCAGCCCCCACAACAAAGGAGCAGTCAAGAGAATAAGTGACACAGTCGGAGTTAATGAGATGAGCTGTTAATGGACCCGAAGTGTGTCTCTTTGACACGGATCAGCCACGTGACACATGACATTCACAGCTAACCCTTGCTACAGACCAACTTCCCCATTAGCAGCTGCCCCCTGCAGGTCATGAGTCACTTAGTGCCTTGTGACCGAGTTTGGGATGGCTGCCCCCTTCATTATTTTCACTATAAATCTGTGCATAGAACATGCAGCTTCAATTAGTGGGTGCTCATTGAAACACCACTGAATTTGACAGACCATCAGAGAATAGAAGGTGTGGATTATGGAAGGGTCATGATGCAGAGTCACTGGGTTTCCAATGAATCTGGCACTGAGTTAAGTCCTTGCCTCATCTTTCCTCCCATTCCGGGGCAGCAGCTGTGATCTGGAAGAAGAGTTTCCTATGTGCTGAGCTGGGGTGGAGGGGAGAGGATGGAATGAGGGCAGAAGGAATAAAAGTCAGGAGCATGTGAAGCAAACACAGGGCTAGCAGTGCTCATTAGTGCAGAGGGCGGCATCAATGTGTTCTTCAGTAAGAGTCAAATGCACAGCATTCACTCAGCGAGAAGAGCCGAGCACACCCCATGACCAACCAGGCCCTCAGCGATCTGCCTCTGTAGATTTTTGTCATTCTCCTCCATCCTGGGTTTGAAGAAACTTTGGGAATTAAATCTAAAGAAAGTTATCGGCCTTCTTGCTGTCCCTCATACACATTGTGTATACCCCTGTCTGCTATCCTGAAAGGTTCTGGAACAGTTCTGGAATGTTCTGAAATGTTCTTCGTCTCTTCCCTTACCACTTTCAAATATTATTCTCCAAGAATCCAATCCTGGCCACCCTATTAAAATTCAACCCACTGCCCACTCCACTGGGTCCCCTGCCTCCCTTACCACTCTCCTTCTAGCAGTCGCTTGTATCAGCACCCAGTGTACTGTATAAGTTGTTGATTTATTTTGCTTATGGTCTGCTTTGATCCCATCCCACCAGGGCAGGTGGAGTTGCTTGTTCTGCTCACTCACTGCTGTATCCCAGGCACCTAGATTGGTGTTTAGCACATAGGATGTGCTAATTAAATAAGTAGGTTAAATAAATCAGCCATTTATTTAATAAGTAGTTATTACATGACTTCAGCCTTTCCCCATCTGGGCACCAGCTATTCTTTGTCGTATTTTGATTTTTACTAAATACTGTCTTGGTTCCCTTTGTCCAACACAGAGCATGCCTCTCGCCCACCCACCCAACTCCTGTAGAAGACAAACGTGTGTTTGTAGAATTATGCAGCTGCTCCTCACTACTTTTTAAAAATTTATATATTTTTTTCTGCTTTTGTATCCCAGTCTTTGCCTAGTTTAGGACCTGGCACATAGAAGGCAAATCTCCCAATCAGAACCAGAGGCAAAAATGTGGGACTGGTTCTCACTGGGGTGATTGAGCCCATATCAATTAATGATGAGGCCCCAAGATGCTGGCTAAAGCCAAGATATTGAGACAGGGAGGAGAGTATTTTGGAGCAGAATGGAGCACCGAGGCTTGAGTCTCAGCTCTGGGAGGGACACAGGAGCTGCTGGGCAGTGGGAGGTTGTCCAGCTGGGGAGGGACAGAAGCAGAGACAGCGTAGCCAGGAAGGATCAGGACAGGGAAGCAAAGCGGAGATCCATGCGTTTGGCAATCAGGAGGTGCCTGTCATCCCTGTGTTTTCAGCCAAACAGAATGAATTGTCCTGACTTTTACCTTTGCAAACATAATACAAATTATAAAGATAGTCTTCGCTTATTACTGCTTTACAGATCGAAGAGTTTTGGATTTCTTAGAAATGCAGAGTTTATTTTGTAAAATCACTTGTTTTTTGTGAGATGGAGTCTTGCTCTGTTGCCCAGACTGGAGTGCAATGGCACAATCTCAGCTCACTACAACCTCCGCCTCCTGGGTTCAAGCGGTTATCCTGCCTCAGCCTCCCCAGTAGCTGGGATTATGGGCATGTACCACTGCACCCAGCAAATTTGTGTATTTTTAGTAGAGACCATGTTTCACCATGTTGGCAAGGCTGGTCTTGAGCTCCTGACCTCAGGTCATCTGCCCACTTTGGCTTCCAAAGTGGGGAAGCCAATTCTGCTTTTTCTATATATTACATTTGAAACCATGTAAGTAAATTCTTAAATTTCCAATGTCAACACAATTTTCAAATTTAGTTAAATAAATGGATATACCTAATTTTTGACCCTTAATACATTTTGCATTGGAAACTCAATCGGCTTTGGACTGTAATTTTATAGGCATCATTGGCAATGAGATGATAACCTATGAAAAAATTACAGCTCAGGAGTTATACAGAAAGCAATAAAATTCTTAAAGAAGGGAAATTTTTTATAATTTAAAAAATTTTTAAAGTAATGTTTTAGAAACATAGTAGAAAATTTAGTGCCCTTTGTAAAACACAAGCAAACAAAAAACCTTCCTAATGATATTGGACATAGCCCTATTGTGTGTTTGTACAAATTAAATTATTTTGGTTTGTCTGGACTGTTTTCATCACTTTTTTTTTTTTTTTAGGAGGAGGGATCCAAATGCTTTCACTTCAGGGAACAGGCAGAACAATAAATACATTACTGACAAATCATGGCAGCATTGGTAGGCTAAGTAATAAAGCTGTTACATTCTTAAAAACAGTTAAGTCTGTCCTGGATACAAGAACTGTACCCCCTCTCCTCTTCAGTGGGGACCTTCATAAAATACCAGACCTGGGCCTGGCATGGTGGCTCACACCTGTAATCCCAGCACTTTGGGAGGCTGAGGCGGGCGGATCACTTGAGGCCAGGAGTTCGAGACCAGCCTGGGCAACATGGCGAAACCCCATCTCTACTAAAAATGCAAAAGTCAGCCAGGCGTGGTGGCACACACCTGTAATCCCAACTACTTGGGAGATTGAAGCAGGAGAATAGCTTGAACCTGGGCGGTAGAGGTTGCAGTGAGTCGAGATAGTGCCACTGCATTCTAGCCTGGGCGACAGAGTGAGACCCTGTCTCAAGAAAAATAAAATAAATACCAGACCAGATTGGAAAAGTAAGTTACTCCCAATTCATGATTACATTATGATATGTATGCTATCTGATAGAATTGGGGACATTCTTGTAAACACTATGCTGGCACCTTTGGTTTAATTATGAATATATCTCAACTGGAAAATCAAGGTTGCAACTCTTGTGTGCCATCTTCCTGAGAGGACCACACCAAAGGCCATGCCCCAGGGAGCCCAGAGGATTCAGGATGAGACAGTGCTCCTGACATTGCCTCCAATTCCTAACAAACTGGCTTCTTGTCAAATTCAGTTAAGTGTAACTAAATTAAAGTAACCCAGCCTCAGTATAGCTGTCAGACTCAAAAATCATTTTTCAAGGATTTTTATGGAAAACCGTGTGCTTTTCAATGAGCACAGAATTATCTGTGTGTGAGGGAAATCCATTCCATGAGTTTTTATTGAATTTGAGGTCCAAAGTTTCCTGCCTAAGAGCTTGACCCCATGTGCAAGAAATTGGGTGCAGAGGCTCAACAATAATCATCACCATTAGCTGGAAGCCATTCTCTCCCTCGGCTCCTGTTCTGGACTTTAACTTCAGTTCTAGCAGAGCCTTTGCATTTTTGGAACTAATAGATCTGAGAGGCTGTAGCACTCCAGACTGCCAGCTGTCCCTGGACCTGCTGAGGAGAGGGATGCATGCTCAGCATTTCAGCATCTACAAATTGCTTTACCCATTCAAAGCAAGGACTCACTCTGGGCTTAGTTCCTGGTGCCATGTAGAGTCTGCTGGGTGACCAGAGACATGCAAAGACAGACACGCAAACATATATGCACACTACAGGGACAGGTCCCCAGGCCTAGGCAGGTGTCAGCTGCAGCGGGAGGCTCACAGGCATGGGCGGCAAACCCTGATGGAGGGAGAAGAAAGCCCCAGGGAAAAGGCTCGGCTCTACCCAGGGGTCCCGTGTGTTTTGGACATGGCTGGGACACAGGGTGCATAGGGAGTGCGCGGAACGAAAGCGTGGAGAGGACGGCGAGGTGCCTTCTGGGAGCAGAAAATTACTAGGGTGGGTGAACAGTGTGAATTGTGCTCTGGGGCCATGTCCCTTTTAAAAGAGTACAATAGAGACCAGAATTAATGTTTAGGAACTAAATAGAAACTGTCACCAGGCATAGAAGTGGGGTGGGAGTGGGGTATCAGAGTGAGAGATAGGGATCCCCATAAGGACGATGGTGGAGAAAGCATAGGACAGGGGCCATTTGGATCAGATGTCAGGGACAGCATCAGCAAGTGTGTGAAGGAGGGGTGCAGGGAACAAACAGCCCAGAGACCTAACCCCCACCTCCTCTCTCTCCAGCTCTTGTCTTTTAACACCTTTGTTTTAATTATAAGTACATCTTAACTGGAAAATCGAGGCCGCAATGTCCCCATTTCCTTTCAAACTCATATTTCTAAACCATAACAAACCACATATGCTGGAGAATCGGCTTCGTTTCTTGGCATTCTTATAGTATCATTCTCTCCCAGTCCCGCCAGCCCTGACCTGCGGAATCAGCTTCCTGCTTGGTCCTCAGTGCGAGGACGGAGCTGTGGAGTCCCATTATCCTCTTGGAGTAGCAATCCCTGCATCTTAGAGCACTGACTCCTGGGGAGGGGCACCTTGATAGAGCGCCTTAGTGCCCTAAGACACAGGGTGCACCCTTTTCTATAGACCATAGCCATTTTCCAAGACTTTGTTTTGTTCCAAAGCCCATAACTCTCTCCTTCATGTTCCCATTCTGATTTCCTGCTTGGCTTATTGTCATATTGTTGAGAAAAGCAACAATCAGGTTTCAACCCGCTTCTTTCAACCAGTAAGTTTACCTGTGTCTGCCCTCACCTGGCTTCCCTCAACCAGTAAGCCTACCTAAGGCCTCCCGTCGCTCTGCCCTCCTCCCATCCCAGAGGTATTTGTTCCTTTGCCCCACTCACTCCATAGCCTGTATCTTCTGCCCTCTTCAGTTTCTGCCAGGACATTCATTATTCCTTCAAGTTTACCTTTTGTTGTTGTTGTTAAATTTCTCCCATTTGCTTCCCCCTATTTACAAACACTTAATGATAATTATATTATGATTATGATTTCTTATATTTACTGAGCACATTGTTTTCATAACAACCCTATGATACAAATTCCATTGGCCCATTATATATAGAGAGAAATGGAGTCACAGACAAGCTAAGTAACCCGCAGAAAAAGCACACAGCCAACAAGTGATAGAACCAGAATGTGAACTTGGACAGAAAAAACTCAAATGGCCCATCAACTTAGCAACTACATCATGCTACTACTCAGAACTTCCTCTTCCTTTATAAAAAAGGAAGGGAGCTTTCCCTTAGTCATGCGCTTCCCCAAATCTACCCTTTATCTATAAGATAGCTTTACTTTTCCCATTACTTCCAAACTCCCCAAAATGAGTTCATATCCACTACTTCAGCTTTCTTATCTCCCGTGTGCCATACAACCTTTTGCAAATGTCCACAGAACTGGCTTTCTGTAGTTCTGCAGTGATCTAAAAATTGTCAATCCAAAAACATTTTTTAATCTAAAGGATTCTTTCCCTCTGATCTCTGTGTCGTCATTTGCTTCTGCTTCTCAGAAGACACCTGTTTTCCTGCTGCCTTGCATTGCAACCTTCTTTCAGTGTGTGTATCTCATAGCTCTGATTACATTCTGAACTCTTGGTTGGCAAAATGTTTTACATCTCTTAGTTCTACACCATGTACCTAGTAGGTAGCACATTTCCAACACATGCCTATCAGCTCTAACTGGGATGTAATTGGAATTGTCTCTCATTGGCTCCCTGTAATTGAGATTGTCTCTCATTGGCCCCCTGTAATTGGGATTGTCTCTCATTGGCCCACTGACTTATTGCACACTCAGCAGAAATAGGTTGCTTTAAATTGCACACTTTTGTTTCCTCTTTAACATTGCTTCAGCACTCTGTGGCTAGAGCCCCTGGTTCACAAGGGTTTTTTTGTTGTTTTTTGTTTGTTTATGTTTTGAGATGGAGTCTCACTCTGTCGCCCAGGCTGGAGTGCAGTGGCGCAATCTCGGCTTACTGCAACGTCTGCCTCCTGGATTCAAGCAATTCTACCTCAGCCTCCCGAGTAGCTGGGACTACAGGTGCATGCCACCACACCCAGCTAATTTTTTGTATTTTAGTAGAGATGGGGTTTCATCGTGTTAGCCAGGATGGTCTCAATCTCCTGATCTCGTGATTGCCCGCGTCGGCCTCCCAGAGTGCTGGGATTACAGGCGTGAGCCACCGTGCCCGGCCACAAGGGTTTTTAATTGAAGAACAAAAGCCATGAAAGACACCCAAAGGCAGAAGAATCTTGATTATTTTTGCCCGAAGTCATTCTAATCAATTGAGAAACCCCAATACCACATCACTAAGCAAAGCTTCCAGCGGGGAGAGAAGGACCTTCAATACACACCATAGACAGCATTTCATAAGGGAAATTTTGTTTTGCAACTTTCTGTTGTACCCCTTGTTCAAAATTGGGATTGATTCACGAGGTTGTCAAAGACATGGTGAGAAGGAATACCATGATAGGTCCCCAAGATTCATGTTTCCAAAGAGCAAATAAACAAAGGCCTAGAGTTGGACACAGTAATTCTACAAAATTGACATTTCCCATGACCGCTAAAAACTTCTTTCTCTGTGCCAAACATAGGGATGGGTTGTCCTCGGGGACCACCTTTGGCTGTGTAGGCTTCGATCTGCTCCGGAAAGCGTCTCTAACCTGCCTGTGGGTTTTTGGTCCTTACAGCTCCTGATGGTCCACCTCAGGAAGTTCACCTGGAGCCTATATCATCTCAGAGCATCAGGGTCACATGGAAGGTAAACTCAGCAAACATTTGTATTCTCGGTGCTTTCCCCCCAGGGCGAGCCCTTCACTCCTGTTCAGTGTTATGACACCAAGACTCTCGAATTTTACAAAACTTTTATTTTTTCAAAATTAAGTTGAAAGCCCTTTTCTTAAAATGCAGTATTTGTATCCACATTTTGAATACTTTTACAGCAAATTCTGTGTCTCAGAGAATAAAGTGGTTGTATCTTTTTTTTTTTTCTTCCTTGAATCTTGATCAAGGTCTAAGCAGTGGTCTCTACAGAAATAGTAAAATTGATGTCCCTGACTGCATGCTCTCATTTCATCCCAGCAAAAATGTTTTCAAATTGCTTTTTTTAAATGGCAAAGCATGCGGTGGCAGACAGTCCACCGAGGTGGCAGAAAACAGGCCAAGTCCTCACTGTGCCACTAACTAGATGTGTTCTCAAGAAAGCCCCTAAATTTTCTTGCCAGTGAAGTGAGCTGTTGAATCCACTGACTCCCAGGGCAGTGCTACCCCATGTGTGGCCCATAGAGGCAGACTGGCTGCTGGTTACTTTAGTGTTTGTTGGAAGTAGCTGGGAGAGAAAGAAAGCTTGAGCCACAGTGTAAACAATTGCATCACTAAGCACATCGTTTCATTCAACAGCCATGGTTTCCATAGCAAATTTTCTCAAGTAAGGAAGCAGTGTTGATTCTGGAGCAAGCTCATCACCAACCACCACTGTTCCATGGCCTTCAGGTCAGTAGCATGGCCCTGACCTGGTGGGCCATGGCATTAGTCATCCTCCTGAATGTGCTCTTGGAGATGGCTCTGTCTTAGGCCAAATTCCGTTTCATCCAGAACGTTATTATCGAATCAAAAGTTCTGTAACATTGCATTAACTATCCCCGCTCTGAATTTCTCTCATGGCATGTGATTTTTTTTCTTGTCTCTTTCCTCACCGTTTTTTTTCTGTGGCGTCACTGGGAGAAGAGGGCAGCCAACAACTACAATAAGGTCTTCACATCACACACCTCTTCTAACCATTGCATCTGTTTGTTTGTTTGATTGTTTGTTTGTTTTCCTTCTAGTATGGGTTCTTTCATAAGATGACCAGCCTCTGTAACAAAAATGGATTTTCATTGTTGGGGCGGATACCACCTTTGGTATTACGGGCGTTAATGCAGCGAGCCCCTTTGTGTCAGCGTTTCTCAACCGCAGCCAATGAGTTGTGTTTCCAGCGGGCAGCGTGATATGACTGTTTAGCTGCATAGAAAGTGCAGGCCGAGGAGTGTGGGAGGTGGTGTCATTGGTCTTTGTAAGCACATCCACCCCCTGCGAGCATCACACACATTGTAGAATAAAGACGCTCAGCAAGCCATAACCCCACACGCATTCCCGCCACTCTACAAATGGAATGCTGACTCACTCTGTCTTGAATTGAAGACTGTGAAGTTTTACCCACTAGCTTTACACATTCTCTCGTGTTTTGCCCTGAAAAAGACCAGGTATTACTGTGGCCTCAAAAGCTTTTTGGATCTTTTGGGTCCTGCATGAGAGAGGTGTCTGTCCACAGAGGATCTAGCTCTTATAACTAAAAATGGAAACTTCTGAGGCTTTAAAAGGCATTGTATCCTTTCTCTCTCTGTAGAAAGCAGCCACAAAAGTCAGTGCATTGCAGTTAAATTTCTCTTTAGTGCCAAAGGGTGAAATGTTGTGGGACTATTAAAAGGAAGCCTGGCTCTCATTAGATTGTGAATCGACTGAATACATTGTTCATGGAGGAGTGCAATCTATCTCTGTAGTGGGCCTTTGTGGCATGGCCTGTCAGCAGGCAGACTTGCCGGTGATCTAACTGACTAATGAGGTTGGGGCTGCCCTGTCACCAGCTTAGCATTTCACATCGGCCTGTTTATATAATGAGCTTTTAAAGGACACCACTGATTCAATCGAATTGGACACTATTACACGAAATCTTAAGTATATGTAAAGGACAATATGTTACATATAACATGCCTTTATTTATGGCATAAAATTCAGAATATCTGTTTTGTGTAAGGAGAAAGAAAGAAGGAGAAATAGCGTTAGCCCCAAAGAGGGAGCCCCACATCTGTCAGCCACGGTGGACATATGCAGTCGTGGGAAGTCTAAGGTGGAAGCTCATTCATGGTCACGGACACTGATCAGAAGTAAAAGATGCATTCAGTACAGAGACACAGGGTAAAGGAGGAAATAGCTCTGGGGTTTTGGTGGGAAAATAGCCATTTAGACTCTAAGCCTTTGAAAGGTAAGGGGCACTTTGGTGGCCTTTCTGTAACACTGGAGATAGATATTACATTTATTTAATTATCATTGAATAAGCACTGCTTCTGTAATGACACCCTCTATTGATCAAAATAAGCAACTTTCCACTTTTATTTCATTTTATTTTATTTATTTATTTTGAGACAGAGTCTCACTCTGTCGCCCAGGCTGGAGTGCAATGACACGATCTTTGCTCAGTGCAACCTGTGTCTCCCGAGTTCAAGCAATTCTCCTGCCTCAGCCTCCCAAGTAGCTGGGATTACAGGCATGTGCCACCACACCCAGCTACTTTTTTTGTATTTTTAATAGAGACAGGGGTTTTCACCATGTTGGCCAGGCTGGTCTTGAACTCCTGACTTCACGTGATCCACCCACCTTGGCCTCCCAAACTGCTGGGATTACAGGCGTGAGCTACCACACCTGGCACCCTTTTTATCTTAGTTATTTCTTTCACCAAAGAAGAGCTTCTAATTTTAAAATCTTTCATGTCCAGCAAAGGTTGCTCAGGACCTAGTGAATGCAGCCATCCTACATCAGCTGCAGCACCTGGATTCAGGCCCCTTATCTTGCCTCGCCTTCCCAGGGATACCTACCCAAGCAGCAGTCCACAAGTGTCATCGTCTCTCCTGTCAGTGTTCAGGCAGTTTGTAACATGCTTACCTCTCCTGTCCATTCCTGCTCATTTGAGGCTCAGATTGTGCATGACTGCCCCCATGAAGATGGGAATCCCCAGAGTGCAATTAGAGTTTCACCCTCTATGTTACCCATTGCTCTTGGCGATGGCTCAGGGAGGTTCCCACCCAGTGGCTTCTGCAGTCTGTTTCATGTGCATCCCCTCCACTGTTCTGGGAGCTCCTTGGCAGCAGGAAGAGAGGCTTACTCAGTTCTGATCCCTCATGGCTGGCATGTGTTCCATGAATGAATGAATGGGTAAGTGAAGGAGAGGTGAGTGTATATGTGAGCTGGGAATGAAGAGGCCTAGAAGACAAGTGTTCCATATCACAATTGCCTGTGAAGCATTACGTGTTTCCAAGACTGCCATGGAGATGGCATCCCCGCTATCAGGATCTCCAGAGAGCAAACATGCTGAGCTCAGGTCTAACTCATGATACAGTGAAATGCCCTAGACTATACAACGGCAGGCACCCAAAGATGTGAACCACACTCAGTACACCAGGCGACCAACCACTTTTCATATGAGTTTCTACTATGGTAATTTTCAATATAGTTTATTGAAAAGTAAAGGGCAGTAGTGGTCCAATTTGTGATAAGTTTCATGGGAAATGGACATCTTCACATCCCAAATATAAGCCCATAGAAAGATATTCAAGAGGAATATCTTTCTATAGGCTATATTATGATGTCTATATTATGCAAGATGAAGTCTCAGAAAGGGCTCTTAAATACTTTTACAAATATTAAGCTAATTAAAGTGCTACCCCATGCCTTGACAGAAATCCAAAAGACAATGTAAGCAGTTCTGAATAAAATTAAAAGTAAATGACAATAAAGTTTCATTTGACATTCTTGGAGAAACAAAAGGATTTGTGTAAGCAAATACAATTTAATTCATGGCAGGTTTTGTTTCTGATTCAAAATCAGAAAGAATATTTAAAGCTATGGATAATTGATAACATATTTGATGAAGTACCTGAACATTGTACAACTAAGGAATTCTTTGGTTTTTCAGAAAATTCCAATTTTTAGTTTATCTCCTAAAGTGTCTCTTTTAGCAGTGCCTGTCACCTTCTCTCCTAATCAGTCTCAGAATCAGCTGACCCTCTTTGGATGCAAATTAAGGACAATGTGATTACCAGCTACTTGTGTGCATGCTTGTGTGTGTGTGTGTGTGTGTGTGTGTGTGTGTGTGTTTGCCATGGTCACTCATAAAATAAAACATTCATTATTTAGAATATTTAATGATTATATACATCTCAAAACATTTATCCAGAGAATGCAATTTAAGACAGAGTTTTTTTCCTATTGATATAAAATTTGTGTTGTTGTTTTATTTTTGCATTAAATAAGAAATCTTTGCAGAACCACAGGCTGTCCCCAAAATATGAAATGGTCAATTGCTTAAATATTTCTGTGCTGAGAACAATTATCAAAGTGATTACTTGCAATAAAAATCCTGAGAATAATTTTACCATTTGGCCCTCAGTATTGTACTATCTGCGTGAAAATTTTACTGAGAATAAGCAAAATTCTCATTTAGAATTAAGAAAGAGAGGTATGATTTCTGTAAAATACTAAGTTGAATATTCAGAGATTTAATTAAATTTCAGTAATCTGAAGAATATTTTTAACCAGAATATCACATCTCCACTATACCCAATAATTCCAGCTAATTGAGGCATCATTACAACCTATTAAGTTTCAGAGTTGAGCTCTTACAACAGGAAAATGACTCAGTCTGTCATTTAAAAACAAAACTGCCTTATTTCCAGTGACCTCCGTAGTCATCGTTTAATAAACTGCAGGCTCCACTTGCCTTCTGCACTAAAATCCCTCTACCCCAGGGAAGTGCAAGGTACCTTGGAAAAGGCAGTCTTGGAGGCACCTTCCAGCACTAGTATTTCCTGGCCAACTGGGACAGCTGTCCTTAGAGATATTTGCTCCCCGCCAGGCACAATGCTAAACTTCTGCATGCATTATCTCATTTGATCTGTGAGCTGGGAACACCCAGTTTTGTGCAGAGGGAGATCCTGAAGTCAAAGGAACTTACCCAAGTTCTGAAGGCTGGTGACTGTCAGATTGAGGACTTCCACCCAGGCTGCCTGGTTCTGCCTCCTGGGTTTCTGAGCAGTCAACCAGTTAATTACTAGGAAGTGCCAAGATTGTAGTTCGTGCATAATAATGCTCAATAAATATTAACTCCCTTTACTATTCCTTGCAAACTCATGTTATAAATTATACCCAACCCCATAAAAATTAAAGATATATGAAATTTACATTCTTACGTAGTATCCTTTTCTTTCCAAATTGTAAACTTAAGCTTAGAGTAACTTTCATAGTGAGTAGACACCCTTTTTTCCTATATCAACTGAAATTCAAAAAGGTTGCCTTGAAATAAACTTTACTTAATTCTTCAACTATCACTTTAATCTTTAGGCTATGAAAAATGACAAAAGTTTGCATTTGCTTTTAGGAACTAATCCATTGGTTCTAGCATTGGTTTTATAATAGCCTTATTGAAATTCCTGAACACCAACATGTCTTACAAATACTTAAAGAATTTTTAGCCCTTCTCATATTAACGAGTCTAACCTCCTTCCTTGATAACAAGAAAAGAAAAAAAAATTTCAAAATCTCTGGTCATCCGTATAAAGTAAGATTGTTCTTTCTCAACTTTTTTAGGTGGACTAGACTCTAGGTTCCGTGAGGGTTGAGGACATGTCTTGTGTGTTCACTGTACCCTCAGCAGGAGTGCAATTAATATGCGTTAAATTAATGCATAAACCATTTACCATTGTTTACTTTTATCATAAAAGGTTCATATCAAGAGGTGGTGCTTTTAAAAAAAAAACTGTGGACTTTCTAGAAAGCCCTAGGTGACTAAATTTGCATCTTTTTGGTGTATATGTAAACTATGCATGTTTCTTTAATGAAGCCATGGTGTTTATTTATACCATTTGGAATGTATTCTGCATCTCTCCGTCTATACATTGGGTTACTCCTCTCGGTTTAGCCATGTGATGGGCCTTCTTCAAGGACTCCAGTTCTCTGTCCCAGGACAGAGCTGCCAGCCTGCATGCACAAAGGGTCCGGCAGGTCTCCTCAACTAAGCAGGCAGTTCCCTTGGTTTCCAGCCTAGAGCGCAGCCAGGAAAATGCTGGCTGCATTTGCAAGAGCTACTCGCAGCCACAGGGGTGGAATCTAGGTCTGATGCTCAGGCAGGCTGGGAAGAGACACTATCTGGGACTGTCAGCCTAAGAGGCAATTCTTGATTCAAACCCCACTGAAAAAGCTGTACCTCTCCAGCAGAGTGGCCTTGACAGGACACAAATTGAACTTGGACTAAGGCTTAGGACCAAGGCCGTCTGCCGTCGAGCCAGAAATCCTGTTGGATGGTTTCTTCTAAGAGTTTCACGTTGAGTCTGGATGAACACAAAAAATCTAAGTGTAGGCACTTTGATTTTTTGTATAACGGTTAGGTTATAAGCTGTAAAGTTGCAATATAACTTTAGAAGGCAAGTATTGTATTTGCCTGATTTAAAGAGCATATTATCAGAAATGCAAATAAGGTTGCAACTAAAGGGGTATTTTGGACATCTATTGACGCTCATCCTTAGGTGTTTTCTTAGTGCATCAACATTACATTTTTACAATTGGACCAGGTCCTGAAGTTGTGACACTAGGTCAAAAATTGTGTATGGTCAGAATGATATTGAAAATGACTTAAATTGTCTAATAAGCACACTATGCATAATATTCACTAGGAAGCTTTACAGTAACATATATATACAAACATGTAATATTCATAGTGAAAACTGAAAAGTACATGTAAAAATATAAGTTGACACTATTTCATCACATTTTAAAGTAACATTAGCGTAAGTTAAATCCATTTCCAACAAGTAAATTATATATAATTAGAATACAGTGTAAAAAGTACTGGATTAAATTTCAGAAAATTAGATACGACACCCATCTCTACACCTAACAAAATGACCTTAAGTCACTTGATTTGTCATTATTGGAACTTGAACCCTTTTCTCTAGTTCTGAGTTGTGTGTTTTATTCATTATGTCATAACCAAGAAAGTAGCAGTGCATTTTAATGATGAATTCTCCTCTCTCCTCACCTCCCAGTGCTGACTTGATAGCCATAGAGGATAACGGATGTGGGCCCACTCTGGAATCCATAAGGTGGTCCCTTGATTAACAACCCCGATTTGGATCCCTATCCTAGATGCTGATTCCGCCCACCCCACCAATGGCTCTGGACAGCACTGCCATTTCTGATGGCAAATATCTCCCAATAAATGTAAATGTGGTGAAATTTTCCCAACAAAAAATAGAAGTTTATTTTCAGTAACCTAATAATAGATGGATAGGGTCGGGCACAGTGGCACATGCCTGTAATCCCAGCATTTTGGGAAGCCAAGGCGGGCAGATCACTTAACATCACGAGTTCGAGACCAGCCTGGCCAACATGGTGAAACCCTATCTCTATTAAAAATACAAAAATTAGCCAGGCATGATGGATCATGCCTATAGTCGCAGCTACTCATGAGGTTGAGGCAGAATAATTCCTTGAACGCTAGGAGACAGAGGCTGCAGTGAGCCAAGATTGCTCAACTGTACTCTAGCCTGAGTGGCAGAGCAAGACTCGTCTCAAAAATTTAATTAATTAATTTTTAAAAATAGATGGGTAGGTAGTAATTTAATAAAAGTATTCAGAAGACCATCTTAGACAGTTTTATCAGTTCTCATATAATCCTAACTCTGCTTTTCACAGAGAACAAATTGGAAAATCAAGCTAAAGTTAATATGGCATTGAGCATTATGAATGCATGGATGCCATCCGTACAGGGAGTGCATAGGTGGATATACACTGTTTAATGTGCTGTATTTCCTCAGACAGCAGTCCTTAAGCCATCTCGCTGATGACATTTCCCATCTTTTCAGAGAAATCAAGTGAGATACATAAGTTAGTAAACAGGGCACAGATGTTAGAATGAAAAAGGAAAACATATATCCAATCAAGAATTACATAGACATCATCAAATGGCATCTGCTATGTCATGGACCCCTCTCCTAAGGCAAGGGAAGAAACATGACATTAGTTTTATTGTTATTATTATGGCAACTCGGCTGGACGAAGTTGGTTAGGGTCCATCACAGGAAGAACCCCAGCCAGGAGGGCACAGCTATTTTCCAGACTATTTTCAAGGTAGCATGAAGCAAGACAGAAAAACACAATGTGTGCCTTCAAACGTATTTCACTAGTTCAAATACATTTAAGTTAATGCACTAAGATGTAACAAACTATTTCAAGATAGCCCATAACATTTTTAAAGCCAAACTCTTCATTGTATTAAAAATGCTGAAAGCTACTTCAAATTCTTTCAATTCCTGTAATAAACTCTTCCTGTTCTTTTGAAAAATTTAAGTTGAGACCAAAAATAAAAGTACTTTGTGCTTTGAGTAATTATAGATGTATAAGAAATAAAACCATTTTACCTTCTTGTTTTGCCTGCCAGTAACAATTTGAAGTTGGAAACAGGGTTTGTTTTTCTGTAAATAACAGAAGAATTTAGGTGGCAGATCCTTAGTGAATTTAGGAAACAAGACTTCCCACTGAAGGAGAGTGTGATTCAGGGAGTGCCTGTGTTGCTCCCGTGGGCCCGTGTGGAATCTGTGGCACGTGTTGCATCTGGACTTGTGGAGTATTTCCCCTCAACATAAGCCAGAGTGTTCACAGGGGCCCTTGGTCTGAATGCTTCTAGCACATTCCTAACAGGGAACATACAGTAGCCTATTGGACAACTGTTTCTTTTCTTTTTTTCTTTTCTTTTGTTTTTTTGTTTTTGTTTTTGTTTTGAGACAGGGTCTCACTCTACCACCCAGGCTGAATGCAGTGTAGTGGCACCATCCTGGCTCACTGCAGCCTTGACCTTCCAGGCTCATGTGATCCTCCTACCTCAGCCTCCTGAGTAGCTGGGACTACAAGTGCATACCACCATCACCATGCCCAGTTAACTTTTTGATTTTTGTAGAGACAAGGTCTCACTATGTTGCCCAGGCTGGTCTCAAATTCCTGACCTGCAGCGGTCCTCCTGCCTCGGCCTCCTAATGTGCTGTGATTACAGGCATGAGCCACTGTGCCTTGCCCAGACAACTTTTTCAATATTCTCCTCGCAAATACCTATTCATGCATGTTGATGTCTAAAATTCTCTTTAGTCAAGGCTAAAGCTTTTCATTACCCAAAAATAGATAAGAGGCTAGGCATGGTGGCTCACACCTATAATCCTAGCACTTTCAAAGGCTGAATTGGGAGGATTGCTTGAGCCCACGGGTTTAAGACCAGCCTGGGCAACATAGTGAGACCTCATCTCTATCAAAAGAAAAAAAATAGCTGGGTGTGGTGGTGTGTGCCTGTGGTCCCAGCTGCTCAGGAGGCTGAAGTGGGAGAATCACTTGAGCCTGGGAGGTCGAGGCTGCAGTCAGCTGAGATGGCATCAATGCACTCCAGCCTGGGTGACAAGGCGAGACTGTCTCAGGAAAAAAAAAAAAAAGAAAAAAGAAAAGGAAAGAGAGACAAAGCCTAGCTCTAGAGAAAGAATGCCATCCTCCTCTTAATCCCTACTGAGCTATAGAGGGCAGATATTGAATCCAGGACTGGAGCTCCATTGTTACTGCAGACATTACTATTCCTTGTCTTCTGATAGAACACAAGTTAGAACTATCCATTGGAGCATGGATAAAAGGAGAGTAACGAACTCTAACCAACACTGGGCAGAGCCCAGGCCTTTCTCCAATGCTCCTTTCTTAGTAGTGCCTCTCCTGTCAACCTTTCTCCCCTCTCTCCTTCCCACCCTGCCTTGGACCTGCAGCACACCCAGTAAGTTCTACCTCACATGCTGGTTCTGTCCACAGCACTGTCCTGTACGAGTCTGCAAACTGTTTCTCTAATGGGCCAGAGAGCAGATATTTTCAGCTTTGTAGGCCCTGCAGTCTCGGTCTTAACTGCTCAATTCTGCTGCATAGGCACAGCTGCAGTCCATGCGTGGATGAGTGAAGACAGCTGGGATCCAGTAAAACTTCACCTAGGAAAGGTGAAATTTGAAGTTCACATAATTTTCACATGACAAAATATTCTTCCTCTTTTGATTTTTTTCAATCATTTAAAAATGTAAGCCACAACAAGAAACCGTTGTTAGCTAAGAGCCACATAAAAACAAGCAGCCAAACAGATCTGGAGGAGGGACCAGTTTGTCAACCCTTATTTCCTGGATTGAGATGATCTCTCGAGAGGGAGCCACATCCAACTGAGAGAGTCTCATCTGAGACAAGGCTAGCCCCTCCCGCCATATATGATATATGCTAAATCATCACTCTCCAGTTCAAAGATCCACAGATCTTTGGGGCAGGGGCACAATCCCTCCAACCTCTTTGCTAATGCATAACAGAAGTGACCTTTGCTCCAGTTCCCAATAAGTTCCTCATCTCGTCTTAGAACTCCTCAGCCTGGACTTCTTTGCCTATATCACTACCACCATTGTGATCATAACAATTTAACAAGTCTCTGGGAAGTTCCAGACTTTCCCTCATCTTCCTGTCTTCTTCTGAGCCCTCAACACTCTTCCAACCTCAGCTCATTACCCAGTTCCAAAGTTGCTTCCATATTTTCAGGTAGCTTTATAGCAGTGCCCCACTCAAAAATGGCTTCTGGTTCATTGGTTCTTTTGGCACAGATGTAAAGCACTCAGGAATTCCTTCCAGTTATAAAATTAAAGCTCACCTTTCAGTGGGCAGGCTCCTTCTGAGACCTGGATCTTCTCTGGTTCTTCTGAACAGATACTTAGCAAAAATGACAAAGGCTGCAACAACCCGGCGTGTGACTGATGCCGCTTACTCCTTTACAAGCCCCTTTCTCTCTCTCTCTCTCTCTCTCTCTCTCTCTCTCTCTCTCTCTCTCTCTCTCTGTCTTAGTTTGACTGTCACAGCTTCCACCTGCCTCCTGGCAGTGCCGTTCCCATCTGTGTGTCCCTTCCAGCCCAGGGTCACTCTCACCCGCTACTGGCTCTCAGCCTCATCCCTGTGGATTCCAGGACTCAGTTTGTCTCCATACTTACCCTCTCCTCCTACATCACTTAAGGGTTCTCTTAGTTATTCTTTAATTTATATTATTAAATATAATATAAATTATATTATATATAGGGTGGGAGGGAAATGGAGGCAGTTCCAGTTTAAGGACCTACAGGGTAGACAGAGGCTGCCCTGTGTGCATGTCAGAGCACTGGCTGGGGCGACTCCTGGCTTGGCTCCCTGCCTTGGCCTCCAGCTTCCCACGCCCTGCCCTCCCCAGTGGAAAGGGCCTGTTTCGTTCCAAGGAAGATTCTTCTTCACCCTCCTTTCCTGCCTTTTCTCATCAAGACATCCAGGATGCCTCCAGAGCATGCAGACCCAGTGGTTTGTTGGGGTGAGAGGTGGATGTGGATGTGCCTTCATCTCACTCAGCTCCACCCCTGCCCGACTGACCTCTTTACCAGCGGTGTTGGATCATGATTGGCCCTCCCCTGGCGCTGTCTTACAGAGCTTCCAGAATCAGACACTGTCTTCTCCCATCCCGCAAAACTACTTCCGAGCATTTTTCATGGCCCCATGACCATGCCTTTGAAATCCTGCCTCTTGTGCTTGTTTATCAGATTGGAGTCGGGGTGCCCCTCCCTCCCTTATCTCTGTGGCCTTTCTCGGGCCCCTGCCCTGCCCTCCTTGGCCACACTGCCGTTACAGGGCCTCCATTACCTGCAGAGGGGCTACTCTGGGTTGGGCCCTCCAGGCGTGTGTGGTGGGCCAAAGCCCTTTGGGTTCACTCAGCCACCGCTAAATAGTTGGGGCCCAGCCTCAGGCTCACAGACTAGCATACCCCCTCTTTTGCATCAGAGTGCACCCTCTAGGTCCCCATTGTTGGGCGCGGGAGCTAGGTGGGGGTATTCCCAGAGGCCAGCCCTCAGAGTTGATTCATAGGAAGCAAAGCCCGAATGCCCTTGTGTGGTCCTTGGCAGAGAGCACTGATAGGCCTCTGTGGCTGGTAGGAAATGTTAACTGTGGTTAGCAGGTGGTGTGATGTATGAGGAACAACAGAATTCAAAAAGGGAGTGTCCCAAAAAGAGGAGCTATGTCACAGGTGTTTGTTGGCTGGATGAATAAAGCGGAAGCTGTCCTACACTTTAGAAATGGAATAAATGGAGTTTTGCTTTGCAGTAGTTAACCTCAATTCCATGTCATAAAATTATCAATCTATTTCTAGCATTCTGCATTTGTGTCTCAAGGCAAAGCCCACATATACCTTGGCCACTCTTTCCTCCTCAGCTGCCAAGTCTGACTAGAATATGGCAGCTGCAGCCTGCAAGTAACATTCTTGGCTCTCAAGACAGTGCCTATTTCAAATAATCTGTCATTTATCATTTATTTCTCAAACTGAAATTGCACAGCCCCTTTGTTCTAAGCACTGTCTCATTATCAGGTCATGTGGCCCTTTTCTATTTCATGAAATGTGGACATCTCATCCTTTCCTAGCTCCTCAAAAGATAATGACTTTGGGGGAGCCAGTCACGTGGCCATACATCTACCCATTATGAGACCTAGGACACAGATACTGTATTTAATACAGTGCAACTCTAAGGAGAGATATATGAACAAAAATATCATTTGAGACCGGAAGCAGTGGTTCACTGCTGGTAATCCCAGCACTTTGGGAGGCTGAGTTGGGCAGATTATTTAAGCTCAGGAGTTGGAGACCAGCCTGGGCAACATGGCAAAAACCCATCTCTACAAAAAAAGTTCAAAAATTTGCCGGGTATGGTGACATGTCTGTGATCCCAGGTACTCAGGAGGCTGAAGTGGAAGGATTATTTGAGCCTGGGGTGGTTGAGGCTGCAGTGAGCCATGATCCCACCACTGCACTCCAGCATGGGTGACAGAGTGAGACCCTGTGAAAAAGAAAGAAAAATAAAAGAAAAAGAGGGAAGGAAGGAAAGGAAGGGAGGAAGGAAGGAAAGGAAGGGAGGAAGGAAGGAAGGAAGGAAGAAGAAAGGAGAGGAAAGAAAGGAGAGAGGAGAGGAAAGGAATTATTTGAGGCAATAATGTAAGAGGTCTCCTCGACCTGACATAGCCCCCTCAAAATCCATTGTCCATGGACCAAGATAGCCAGCTGGTTCTCACACCACCCCTATACCTATTGTAAAGCAGAATCCCTTTAGTGCTGAGTAAGGTAGATCTTTAAATTACTCCCAAGACCAGGAAGGTCTAACAGTTTTATGTGCATTTATTCCCTTTTGTTTGGCCAAGAACCAGGAAAATGGGCTACTGGCTAACCTGAGAAATGGGGGAATGCATAGTTGCTGCTTTTTAACTAAATAGTCTCTCCCAGCAAAGCCAAATCTAAATCACTGAGTGACTCCCAGTGATAACAACAGTGATTCTCAGACTCAGGGAGCACTGGTATCCCCTGGAGGGCTTTTTAAAACACACCTCACCAGGCTCCACCCCCAGAGTTTATTCCTGATTCAGGAACTCTGAGTGGGTCCCCAGTTCTTGCAGCTCTAACAGTTTTCCAGGTGATGTGGATGTTGCTGGTAGCGCACCATACCACTACATACAGGCTCCATAGGTTCTGTCCCGTAGATATGTCCCTAGCTTCATCTGTGCTTGTACCGTCCCCCACCCCTGTGATCACCATGGATACCTCACCCCAGAGTCACTTGAGCCTCTCTCCATTCCTGGGTGTCTTCTGTCCTTGCACCTGGGTGCAGCTGTGTATGCCAATTGCTTTGGCGACAGCATTGTACCCTCCAAGGCAATGTCCAGTCACCCTTTAGCTCAGGTGAAGTATGCTCTTCTCTGGCAATCCTTCTGACCACGATTTGCCCCTCCATAGTACTCTGGGCAAACCTTCAGCACTGCAAGTATCAGGCAGTATTCTGAGCACTGATTCACTCAAAGGTGTCCCTGGTTGTGCCATGCCTTGTGTAGAACAGATGCCCAGTTAAGGTTTGTTCAATGTGATGCACCCATTCACTGAGCAAGCTTATGGAATGGCTACTGTTTATGTTGGAAAGCAGGTAAGGGGAGGCTGCAGAAAACGCACAAAGATGAAAAAGACTGTCCACCCAACTTGTCACATAAGGGAAATGAGGATAGATTACATTTTAAGTGGATTTGGAGGAATCTATAAAGAAAATGTTCAATTCATTTCCCAACTAAATTATTCAGCATGCCTGAGAAAGGCAGCATTCTTCAAACGTGAAATTCTGCAGTGAGGCTCTTAGCAGACTCCAGCCAACAGGTGAATTCTGCACATCCAGCAGAGGCCATTTCCTTTCAATGGGAAGGGGGCAGGAGGCATGAGGGAAACAGAACATGGCTGGTGGTCTTCAGCACAAGAGATGCCTGTTCTAATCATTCACATCCAGGCAGGTGCAGTGAGCATTTGCACGTCTACTGTTTTACTGTCCCTTTAAAGGATGATGCATCTGCCACAGGCGGCTTGCAGCCGACTGATTGAGAAGGACATATAAAATAAGTCACTTGCACACCGTGCAAATACATTGACATGGTGCGACTGTTGTCATGGAGATCAAAAGAGAAGGTTTCTTAAAGGAAGTGGAGGTTGGGAGGGATTTGGAAGCTGGAGAAAGGGCATCTGGGAGGATGAAAGGAGGCTGTTGAGGAGGACTACAGGAGAAAAAAACCTGCCAGGCTAGGAAGGGGGAGAGAGCATTCCACAGATGGCAGATAAATGAAAGAAATGAGAAGAAATCAGGATCATTACTGAATCCAAAGGCAAATGAATGGGGGAGTAAAGTTCAACATGGGAAAAACAATCTTTGTGTGAGAAACCTAACAAGGAGCAGGCATGACCTTCTCTTAGATTTGCACTGCGTTCAAGGGGATTTGAGAAGAGGCAAACAGAAAGCACTCACTTAGGAAAGAAGTCGGTTGTTTGTAAATACGTCCTCAAGGATTTCTTTAACTTAAACACATTTCTAAATTTCAACATTTTCCCTGTGGAAAGGGCCTTGTTTTATTGAGTTCTTAAATAGGAGTAGAAGGGAGCCCTTAGTTTTTTGTTTTTTTTGTGTTTTTTTTTTTCCATATGCTTACGTTTCAAAGGACTCCTTTAATTTGTCTTAAGATGACTGGTTACCAGGTGAGATTTGCTGTAAATCTGCAGGTCCATCATCATAAAAACATGTAACCCACCGGCTGGCTGAGTAAGTGAGCAAATTCTCTTTCTGGAATCCTTCTTTTAAGAAGGAAAAAAATGAATGACAGTGTCCAAATAAATTGGCTCATCAGAAGCTATTTTCATCCCTGGTGGGGCCTGGGCAATGAAGCTCAACCCCTCCAAATCCTGCCTCAACCTGTCATCCTTCTGTGTAGGCCAGCAGGCTAAGTCCCAGTGCGGAAGCCAACTCTCAGCTTGAATCCACACTTCCCGGCTGTCACACTAGACTGCTGAGTTCTCCACTTCTGTAGTGGCTAAGCCAGGCCTCTCTTCAACAGCTAAACCATGTGTCTGCAGTCAAGGAATTTCTTCTGACTTCATACCCTTGCTATCAGTCCTTTACCCAGTTAGATTATAAACCTGTACCTGTGATCATTCTTACCCACCTCTTTTTTTTGCATCTCATGTGTGTTCAAAACCATTCTCTTCTCCATCTGCAAGAATATCTTCTGAGAACATCCACAGTGTTGAAGCCCCGATTTAGACAGGGGGAAATAACAAGTGAGATTTCATTCTGTAGGGTTCTTTGCATTCTAGAGCTTGCAATGACATTCTTTGAAACCACGTTTCATTGAGAATGGTGGCCACTAGAGGAGGTAGAAGTGATCAGTGAATGCCAGTGGAGACCAGGGAGGGAGAAGGCTTCTTGGTGGGAGTGGTCTAGGGAAGAGCCCTGGTGAGCTGGAAGCTGAGCTGGCCTGCAGAGAAGGAGTAGTGGGGGTATTCTTTGAAAGAAGAAGGAAGAACATTTTTTGACAACAGCTTTTATAAGGTGGGAATATGTAAGACAGTTGGGATCCCCACCCTTTTTCAGGCAGTCAGAGAGGAACGCAGGTGAGCAAGCAACACCCAGGAGGCATTAGTCTTGAGAGATGAGGCAGCGATCAGATCTCACAACAGGTACTACTGAGATCGGGAGACAGAGATCAAAGAGGCATGGTCAAAGTGGTTTCCTAGGAAATTTGTCTTCTCCAATATTATGCAACTCAGATTCAAAATATGTTTCCAGATCCCTACCTGATTTCTTGTTTTCCTTTTCTTCTTACCCCACCATTAACCTCATTCACTGAGTTTCATGAAAGTGAACCATTATTTCCACCCATGTATCAATTGTTCTACAGTGCTAATTAACAACCTTAATACAGTGTTCTAAAGATCATTTCCCTATAAGGATATATTCTCTATACCCCAGAAAACCATCTCCCTTTGTTCCTAGTAGACACATGCTCCAAGCAAAGATGTCTAAAGCATCATTCAAAACAATTTTCCAGTTAAGGATCTTATGCACTAATTTGCCTTGGGAATATGAAGCCCACTGCCAGACAAATGGATTCACGTGTCTCCACTAAGCACACCTTCCACTCCTACTGACTCATCCATAACTCAGAGTGAGCCTCTAGTGTCATTTTCGAAAACCTGAACCACAGGCCATAACATTTCTTACACTTAATATACAAAATCCCTACATTTATGGATTTTTTTCAGAGGTTGTTTTAAAATACATCCACAAGGATTTCTTTAATTTAAATGCATTTCTAAATTTCAATCTGACTAGTCTATCTACAAATTAATAAAGTAACTTAAACTTTCCCTGATAAAGAATTTTTGCTTGCTTTTATGCATAAAAATATACAATTTTCTCTTCATGTGATCTATTAAATTTTCCTCTGATTAGAAATGCCATGTATACTATTACTTTACAAAACTAACAAACTTTGCAAAAGGGTGAAAAGTTCTCTGAGGCTCTATGAGCGGTTAATACCAAATACAACTTTGGAGAATTCCTACCCTGTACTTGCCTTGAGATAGTTGTTTTAACATATTTGACCTTTTGTTTCTTCATGTGTAAAGAAGCATACTTATACTGTGTGGGGTTTTTTAGGGAAAGAAAATGAAATAATATACATAAAGCACCAATTACAATGGGAAAAAACAGTGTTCAATAAGTGGAAGTGGAGGTGGTAGAGGTAGTAGTAGTTGTGGTCATTGTGGTGGCATTCATGTTGGTGTGGGATAGTAATGGAATGATGGATGGTTGTGGTGATAGTGATATTGGTGTTGGGATAGTGATGGAATAATGGATGGTTGTCGTTATAGTGATGTTGGCACTGGGATTGTGATGGAGTGATGGATGTTGTGGTGACAGTGGTGTTGGTGTTGGGATTGTGATGGAGTGATGGATGGTGGTGGTGACAGTGGTGTTGGTGTTGGGATAGTGATGGAGCGATGGATGTTGTGACAGTGGTGTTGGTGTTGGGATAGTGAAGAAGTAATGGATGGTGGTGGTGATAGTGATGGTGGTGTTGGGATAGTGATGGAGCGATGGATGGTGGTGGTGATAGTGACGGTGGTGTTGGGATAGTGATGGAGCGATGGATGGTGGTGGTGACAGTGGTGTTGGTGTTGGGATAGTGATGGAGTGATGGATGTTGTGGTGACAGTGGTGTTGGTGTTGGGATAGTGATGGAGTGATGGATGTTGTGGTGACAGTGCTGTTGGTGTTGGGATAGTGATGGAGTATTGGATGTTGTGGTGACAGTGGTATTGGTGTTGGGATAGTGATGGAGTGATGGATGTTGTGGTGACAGTGGTGTTGGTGTTGGGATAGTGAAGAAGTAATGGATGGTGGTGGTGATAGTGATGGTGGTATTGGGATAGTGATGAAGTGACGGATGGTGGTGGTGATAGTGATATTGGTGTTGGGATAGTGATGGAGTGATGGATGGTTGTGGTGATAGTGATATTGGTGTTGGGATAGTGATGGAATGATGGATGGTTGTGGTGATGGCAATGTTGGTGTTGGAATAGTGATGGAGTGATGGATATTTGCGGTGGTAGTGATGTTAATATTGGAATAGTAATGGAGTGATGGATGGTTGTGGTGATAGTTGTGTTGGTGTTGGGATAGTGATTGAGTGATGGATGGTGGTGGTGATAGTGTTGTTGGTTTTGGGATAGTGATAAAGTGAAGCATCTTTTTAGTGACAGTGATGGTGGTAACATCAAGGATGATGATGGAAGTAGTGGAGGTTAAAGTGTGGTTTGTTGGTGAAGTTTGTGATAAATATGGTGGTAAAGTTGGAAGAAGTGATAGAGGTGCTTCTACCATTAGGTTAATTTTATGGCAGTGATGTTGATACTGGTGGTTGTAATGTTGGTGATGTCAGTGGTAGAGATGCTATTGCTGGTGGTGGTGGTGTTCACAGTATTTTTGACAGAGATGAAGCTGGTGGTGATGATGGTGGTAAAGATGGTAGTAGTGATGGTGGTGGCTTGGCTGTGTGGGGGACCTGAGGGAGTGGCATTGATGTTGGCAGTGGTGACAGTGACCTGCAGAGGTGGTAAGCATTGATTGGTGGTGGTGGTCATCATGGTGGAGGTGCCAGTTAGTGTTGTAATTGAAATAGAAAGATAACCTAGAGATGAGTTAGCACACTACCTTTGTAAAAAACAGCTTTATTGAGATACAGTTAGCATGCCATAGCATTCCCTATTTTAAGTGTATGATTCAGTGGTATTTCATATGTTTACAGAGATGTGCAGCCGTAGCCATAATTGTAAACATTTGCATCACCCCACAGAGAAAGCTTGCAACCACTGGCTGCTGCTCCCATCCTCTCCCACTACCTTTTAAGTCTGTTTTTAAACCTTATAGTTTGGGGACCTGCAAGCTATGAAACTGAAAGTATATGTTCCCTTTATAAGAAACACATCTCACTTCTTCCTCAGGTGCAACAATTTATTCTGCATGAAAACTATAGATCATATTAGCACCCTGAAAAAAAAAGATGTAAAAACACTACTACCATCAAATAACGCATAACTCTACTCCATATATTTCATTTCAAAATTGGAATATTAAGAAAAATAGAGGAGAGCTCTCTTGTTTGTTCCTTGTGATATAATCCCTTAACTTACCCTATGATATTGCACATCTGGAAGAATAATAATCAAAAAAGCCCTATCTCATTAACAGCCAATTGAAACATGGACTTAAAAAATAAGATGGTCATCTACTTCTGGGACTTGAGTTCAATAAATAAACTTAGAAACAGAGAAACTATATTGTGAAGGTGTCTAACATAGCATTTGTGGTAGTAAATAAACCTGGAAACAATAATATCCCCAACAATTAAAAAAAGGTTAAATAAAATAAAACATCAATATGATGGAATATGATATTTAAAGACTATGAAGTAAAGATGGGAATATAATCATAATAGCATATTAAATGAAGAAGAAAAACTCAGACACTAAATTGTACAGGCTACAAACACAGCTATGTGGGGCAAAACACTTTACTTTAGATAAATAGACTGAAATGCATCAAAATGTGAATAGAATTGCATTGGATAGAAATGGTGGTTGTTTACTTTTATTATAAAACAAAATGAGATAATTATTCCACACAATATTTTGCAGAAGTATCAACTAAGAAAAAATAAGCTTTATTTTAGAACCACAGGACTGAAATGTAGTTCTTCTAAGAAAAATGTAAAGAATTTTCTTTTTCTTTTTAACAAAATATTGAAATGGAACAGAACAAAAACACCTGCGTTGTCTATTATAGTTAAGCTAGTTAGGATGGGTTTTCACCCATGGAGAGGAAACAAGGGAAGATTTCTCCTTTCTACCTGTACAAACAGATCACAGGCAGGATTAATCCCCCCAAACTGGAGGAACTACATGTCAGCAAGCAGGTCCCTTCATTCTTGTGGAGGATTTAGCTAAATTGGTGGCTCTATGAAAACACTTTCTCACAGGCATTTGACTTTACTGTCTACTCTTCTTGACCTGACTCCACAGCCCCCATACTGTGAATCCAACTTGCTGTCTTAGGGAGGCTTAAAGCCTCACCGGGAGCCAGTTGAACAATTAGAATATTTAATGGATGTAAATCTCATTTAAAAAATAATATTATTTTATTTGGGTCACTATATCTAACATTAAAACACTAGGTAAAATAGGGGAAATCTCTTTGTTGGTAAATTTGACTTATAGGTGACGTTTACAGGGAAATTCATTTGATTAATTAATTAGGTCACATAAATGTAATTCAGTGGTTGCAGCAAAACAATTTTCACATAGAGTAATTGAATTTTCAAAACATAGAATCTTGAAATCTATTTCTAAACAGTGAGAAAAGCCATAGCTCATCAATGCAAAAGCCAGCACATCTGTGGATTCAGAGGAGCATAGACATTTGTTTATAATAAAAAAGGTATGAGCTCTTCCACCAGGGTCTAACTCCGAGCCAACAGATACAAATAAATAAATGGTTTACGCGACTGTTTCACTGACACCTGCTGGCACCATGAATATACTAAATTAGATTGGCTGTTGGGAAAAGCAAGTGGAGTCCAAGAAAACCATAAATGGAGAAACTTGCTGTGAAAAACAAAAATGATTTTACTGCTCTTGGATAAGTCAGACTTACTACTAATGACAGGCTGAGGCATGGAATCCCCTGGGAAGTTATTATTAGGCAATCCATAAGTGTTTGCTGAATCCATCAATGCTGTTCATCAGCTCGAAACCTTCTTCTGACTTCTCATTGTCTGCCCTCCCCCGGTCACATTTGGCAGGTTTTCAAGGTCTTGCTCCACTCTGTCCGTTCCCTCCTGACTTACCGCTGGGCAGGTGTGCACCCTTTGCAGGCTCCACTCACCCCATCCTCCTTCTACTTCTCTGAGCCGTGCCCCGCCACCTCCCCCCCTCCGTCAAGCCCACCTGGGCTCTGAGTCTTCCCACCACTTCAGACCACCCATACTCACACTTTCTAGATGCCTGCTGGCCTTCACTTTCTTACCATGCATTTCCACACTTCATAGTTCTCTACAGGTTCTTAAGTGCTTATTTCCTCTCTGCAGGTCGATTATAAACACTTTCAGGACGGAGAAAGCTTTCAGAGGCTTGAGAGATCCAGATCCATAGTTTGTACTTAAATGTATGTGTGTACGTGTATATGTATATACATACATATGTACATGTATACATACATACACATGTATGTGTGTATGTATACATACACGCATACACATAAACACACATATCTGTTGACTGCCTGAAAGTCTACAAAACCTTTATTCCCTAGAGCCTCATCTTGGTGGCATTCGCATATCTTTTTTTACTTTTTGAGACTGAGTCTTGTTCTGTCACCCAGGCTGGAGTGCAGTGGGGCAATCTCAGCTCACTGCAACCTCCGCCTCCCGGGTTCAAGTGATTCTCCCATTTTAGCCTCCCAGGTAGCTGGGACTACAGACACCCACCACCATGCCTGGCTAATTTTTGTATTTTTAGCAGAGACGGGGTTTCACCATGTTGGCCAGGCTGTTCTTGAACTCCTGACCTCAAGTGATCCGCCCACCTCAGCCTCCCAAAGTGGTGGGATTACAGGTGTGAGCCACCGCGCCCAGCCTTATACCATCCTTGAAAAGGCTCTGGTTTCTAAATGAGTCCTACGCATCAGCCTAAATCCTACTTTGACCTGGTGGACCATCTTCACATCAGCAGGGTGGAGTTAGCACCAGCCTCTCTCTTGCCCCACATTTAATCACCCCCAAATCATTCCAGAATGATTCGGGGCTTCATGAAAGAGATTACCTTCCTATTGGGTGTGCACTCACCTTCCCATGCCAGTTTTCAACCTGGAAACACTGTGATTCTGGGATATTTCCTTAGAATGTAAGCTCCATGAGGACGGGGGTCTTTTCTTTTGTCTTCTTACATTTCCAAACTCAATTCTATTCCCTGGTGCCTGGAACAAGGCCTGGCACACAGCAGCGAGCCCGAGAGTTCTTGCTGGGTGCAGGCCTGAGGGTCAGTCTCACCCGGTCGTAAGCGTACCTGGAGACGCCACAAACATGATCTGTATTTTGACACTTTCTCGCCAGTTAGACAAGTCAACCAGTACATCATGAAGGACAGAATGAGAGCGCAGGCTCTGGGGCCCAACACCCATGTTCAGATTCCGCTCCTGCCATGCATACTCAGGTGACCTCCTGTGTCCATTGACGGTCCAGTGGCTCAGAGGGGCTGGGAGGGCCGGATGCATTCACAGGTAAAGGAAGGGTGCCTGGCACAGACCAAGTTGCACTGTACGTGGGTTTGCGGCTGCTACCGGACCACCGCCCCAGCATCGTGGCGATGACTCCACTTTATTTCTGCTTTCCTACGTGGGTGTGGGCGTTGATTTCGCTCTTGTCCTACCT
Source organism: Homo sapiens (assembly GCF_000001405.40). Taxonomy (NCBI): domain Eukaryota; kingdom Metazoa; phylum Chordata; class Mammalia; order Primates; family Hominidae; genus Homo; species Homo sapiens. The sequence continues at coordinate 40,144,769 of NC_000021.9, read as the reverse complement.
CAAGACTTCTTTAGTGTGTTCTTTTCTCTCCTGTTTAGGCTCCCAAGAAACATTTGCAAAATGGGATTATCCGTGGCTACCAAATAGGTTACCGAGAGTACAGCACTGGGGGTAACTTCCAATTCAACATTATCAGTGTCGACACCAGCGGGGACAGTGAGGTTTACACCCTGGACAACCTGAATAAGTTCACTCAGTACGGCCTGGTGGTGCAGGCCTGTAACCGGGCCGGCACGGGGCCTTCTTCTCAGGAAATCATCACCACCACTCTCGAGGATGGTAGGTTCGGCCGGGGCCTGGTCGTGGCTTTTCCCTCCGCAAAGGTTCCCTCGGGTCTGCCCCGGGGCTCCCCCAACCTCGCACTCCCCCGCCCCACGACTTTGCAGTGACCTGCAGGGCCTGGGGTCTCGGGTGGAAAAGCCTTCCCTCGTGACCTCGCCCACCCCGCTGATCTGCCCGCCCTGGGGCAGGGCTGGACTGCAAAGCCAGCAAGTCCCTCCCTTTTCAGACTCTTCCTCATTCATTTCAGGTACAAGAATTGGGCTTTTCTGGAGTGAAAACAAGGCTCTCTCTATTACTGCAGAAGTCTCACGAGAATGCAGAAATGCTATTTGCTAAAAAACTTTCTCCCAAATGTTAAGAAGGTTTTTTAAAATTTATTTTATTTTTCATTGTTTCCTATTTTCAAGCATTCTGAGTACAGAGAAAAGGAATTTTCAGATTGCACAGTGATCGATCGCCCCCTAGCGGCCGAGATAAATTAATTAGCCCTTCCACCATGTCACTGAGAATAACCCAGAAGCTCAAATTTCCAGTAGTGCTTGAAAATAGAGAACCCTGGTATCCAGAGGCACAGTGTTTTAGGCAGGAAGTTAAGATATGGGGTTATTTGTAGCAATAAGTGGTAGCTTTGAAGGCAGGAAGCTGGCACTACATTTACCTCTTGTGCAGTTAGTCATTTGATCATAGATTTTTTTTTGAGACGGAGTCCGGCTCTCTCTCCCAGGCTGGAGTGCAGTGGCGCGATCTTGGCTCGCTGCAAGCTCCGCCTCCCGGGTTCACGCCATTCTCCTGCCTCAGCCTCCCGAGTAGCTGGGACTGCAGGCACCCGCCACCACGCCTGGCTAATTTTTTGTATTATTAGTAGAGACGGGTTTTCACCGTGTTAGCCAGGATGGTCTCGATCTCCTGACCTCGTGATCTGCCCGCCTCGGCCTCCAAAAGTGCTGGGATTAGAGGCGTGAGCCACCGCGCCCGGCCCTTGATCACAGGTTTGCGGAGGCAGATAGGACTTGCACCTGTAATATCTGACAATTTTTGCGAGGAGAGGAGTCTTCAATGACTTGCAGCCTGAACACTGGAATTGTCTATCTTCATAATTGCAATAGTCGTTAAATATGCCTTTGTTTTTGCTTCAATGCTCATTTTTCATTAAGATGCGTGTCTCAGCCAGTATTTTGCACCGCCCCAGCGCCAACATTTAAGGTTTACAAAAGCTCAGTACTAAAAATATTTTCAATATTCTTCTGACCTGTCTATGGTCTCTCTTCCCTCTAGAGAAAGGGATGAGGATGAGACAGGAGAAATCTATGATTATGTTTCTACTTTTTAGCACTTTACAATGGTTCAGCTTCCAATTTATATGCCAGATATTACTAAATACAGAGGTACCGTACTCTATAAAGTAAATGCAACTTAAAGAAGTAACTTCCAAGAGTAAGGGGAAAATAAATCAGACAAACAATGATTTTCTACTCAGGCAATAAAATTAAGAAGGGTACACGACTCAAGTCCCAACAACTGTCCTAAAAGTAAAGAAACTAAGTTGGAAAGAGAGACTATGGAATCCATTAGAATATATGCATTGACTCATGATATTTTACTGAGCACTGAGTTATCATAAGATTTTTCCAGGGAAGTGATCTTTGTTATTTTTTCTTTCATTTTGGGGTTGAGTGCAATTTTTTGCTTGCATATTGAAATATTAAAATACGTTGCTTTTTCGGTTATTGCTTTGCTCATAAACCACCCACAGTTATTACAGATTCTAATTATTTGATTTCAGTGCCCAGTTACCCCCCCGAAAATGTCCAAGCCATAGCAACATCACCAGAAAGCATATCAATATCCTGGTCCACACTTTCCAAGGAAGCCTTGAATGGAATTCTCCAGGGGTTCAGAGTCATTTACTGGGCCAACCTCATGGACGGAGGTAAGAGGACTAAACTAGGACTTTGGGTTTGCCTCCAGAGAATGCATGATGGAATTTGCAGACCCCTCCTAGTTCCTAACAAGGGGCTCAGGATATGGCGGGCACCTCTTTATCAATAGACACTTTCCCCTTTTCTGTCATCCCTCATCTGACATTTGAACAGGTCTCTTTGTTTAAAACATCACACACCTTCGAAACCCAAGTTGAAGCCTAGGCGGGGGCGGCACTTGGGAAATTTCAACATGGATGTATTTTCCTAATTATGTCTATGTCAAGGCTCTGCAGGCAGCACCAAAACCTCCATCTCTATCTAGAACATTCTGTGTGATATGTATTCTAAAATGTTGGCCTCTTCCTACTTCCCAAATAGAACTCCGCGGGGAAACGTTAAATTTCCTGTAGTTGTGCTGTAAGTGGGTGTGGGAAGAGTGCCCAGGCACATGGAGGGGGGCACTCAGGAGGGGGCCAGGAAGTTCAGGGCCCTCCCGTTTTGTCTCCTGTTTCTCTTTCTCCTCTTCCTTCCCCTTCTCCTCCTCTCTCTTTTCCTTGTTCTTTATCGTGTGTGTGTGTGTGTGTGTGTGTATTTCAAGTGGTAGGGCAAAATGTTCCTGTTTGTTTAGGGCAAGGCTTTGAATAAACGACTTTCTCAAGTGGACATAAGATTGGGGCCACAAGTTTCTTGCAGCAACACCTCAGTGTCTTCGCCCTCAGGCTGCGAGTGGTGCCCACCAGGCTGGGCCGGGCTGCGTGAGTGTGCTGGGGCAGAGCGAGGCTGCAGCCCCCAGCAGGAAAGGCCTCTGGAAGCCTGCTCACTGTCTCTGTCCCAAGCCTGGGGGGCCCACACCTGCCTCCTCCCCTGCCCTCCATTTCCAGCCCCCTCCTGCACCCCCCGTCACTGGACAGTACCTTCCCTCTTGTTTGGGGTTTCTTTTCTTTTTTTGAGACAGGGTCTCCCTCTGTCACCCAGGCTGGAGTGCAGTGGCACGATCTCAGCTCACTGCAACTCTCCACCTCCCCGGGCCCAAGCAATTCTCCTGCCTCAGCCTCCCAAGTAGCTAGGATTGCAGGCGTGCACCACCACACCTGGCTAATTTTCAGTATTTTTAGTAGAGATGGGGTTTCGCCAGCTTGGCCAGGCTGGTCTTGAACTCCTGGCCTCAAGTGATCTGCCCACCTTGGCCTCCCAAAGTGCTGGGATTACAGGCGTGACCCACCACGCCCAGCCTGGGGCTTCTTTCAACCCCTCTGACTGGGTGTGATCCCTGATGAGTGCTCACCTCTAATTTTGGGCAAATGCGGTCAAGGACCTATCCCTTCCCTGCTCAGGACCACCTGGATCTGTTCTACCAGGCAGACCCCTGTCCCCATGCAGGTAAACATAGGGCTCCACAGGTGGCAGCAGCCTCCACGGTTGGTGCAACAGTAAAGGCAAGAAGACACATGAGCAGCACAAGCATTACTGGCTCAGCGAGCATAGGCCTTTGAGCCTTAGCTCTGCATGTCCCTAACTGTGTCCCTAACATGTGTTTCTCAGGACTGAGAGCAGACCTCATGCCTTTGTTGCCACATGTAGTACCTGGAGCACTACCAGCCATGGGAGGCAATCTAGAAGGACCCCCCCCCGCCCTCCTTGGTCCTGCAGTAGACACATTTGCCAAACACCCACTCGACACTGAGCTCATGGGAAACACCAAGGTTGCTGTGTCTGTCCCTGTGGAGGTTCCAGACCAGTGACCGAGGGAGATGCTAATGAATACAGAACCACAGACCCAAGAAGGGACAGCCCCACAGAAGGGCAGATTTAAGTAGATGATTCTGTAACACCTTCACCCCTCCCACCTAAACACAAGTTTTAAAACACCCCAGAGTAAAGAGCAATGAAAATTTGCAAAAGTCATCTATTTTTATGGACAAAATACCATAGGATATCATTACATATGTTTCTTCTGATTTCTACTCCTTATATTGAGTGGATGAAATTAAATACCCTTAATGTTCTTTGAAAGGCAGTGTTATGCTAAGATGTCTTTTCTGTTCTTATTGGAAATATTTCAGAATCCAGTGGTGACTTCATCCACATCACCCATATTTTCTAAGCTCACTCACATTTGCTAGCATTGCCTGCTGGTATCTTCATTCTAAAATGAAAGATGTGGCTTCATACCTTTAAAGCTTTGAAAACTTGAATATTCAAAAACATAATTCTTTAAACAAAGAAATGCTTGGGAGTGTGCATGCAGCTTTTTAAAGATACTTTCACTCATGGGATTAAAATCAAAGTGATGAGATAAATGTGCGATGTAGAAGTCTGCACTTCATTTCCGAAAGATAAGCAAGAAACCTTCAGAAACATGAACCTGCCTGCGAATGGTCACTCTTCCTGCTACCTGAGAGATTTCGTTTATGAGGCAGGTCAGTTCACGGGGCTACTGGACACTTTTGCACAAACTCCCCAGACTGCAGCCTCCGGGACTGGCTGGATTCCCACAGACACTGAGCAGGAAGTGACTGCTGACCGACACCACATACACGTGCGCACACACCACACATACATGCACCCCACATACACCACACACCACACATACCACACACACACCTCACAAACATCACATACCACACCACACCCACACATATCCCACACTCACCACACACACCACACCTCACACACCCCACATGCACACACAACACACATACACACACCCCACATACACCACACATACCACACCACGCATACCACACACACACACCACACATACACCACATATCACACCACACACACATCCCTCATATACCACACGCCACATGACACACACCCCTCATACACATACACAAACTGCATGTACATCACCCACCACATGACACACACTCCATATACACCACATACCACACCACACGTACACAAACACCACATACACCTATGAAAGGAAAATATCTTTTTGGCCCCCAAAATCACTAAGGAAAAGTCAAGCTGGAAACTGCTCAGGGCCAACCTGCCTCCCATTCTATTCAAAGTCACCCCTCTGCTCACTGAGATAGATGCATATTTGATGGCCTCCTTTGGAAAGGCTGATCAGAAACTCAGAAGAACGCAACCCTTCCCCTCTCACCTACCTGTGACCTGTAAGTCCCCTCCCCGCTTCCTGTCTTCTTGCCTTTGCTTCAGGTTGTCCTGCCTTCCAGACCGAACCAATATACTTCTTACCTATATTGATTGATGTCTCACGTCTCCCTAAAATGTATAAAACCAAACTGTGCCCCGACCACCCTGGGCACGTGTTGTCAGGACCTCCTGAAGCTGTGTTGTGGGTACGTCCTCAACCTTCGCAAAATAAACTTTCTAAATTAACTGAGACCTGTCTCAGGTTTTCAGGGTCCACATACCACACCACACACACCCCACATACACCATGTACCACACCACATGTACACACCACACATACACACACCACACACCACACCACACATCCCACATACTCATGCATACACACACCACACATACATACACACACACACAACACACACTACACACACACTACACACACACCACACATACACCACACACCATAACCCCAGGCACATCTCACATACACCACACACCACACCACACACACCCCATATACACCATGTACCACACCACACATACACACCACACACACCACACTTACACACCACACACACCCCACATATACATGCACACACACCACACATACACCCCACATACACCACACACCACACCACACGTACACACACCACACATACCACACATACACATACCCCCCATACACTGCACACTATGCCACACATACAGCCCACATATACTGCACACCACATACATACACACCACACACACCACACATACACCACACACCACACCACACATACACCACATATCACACCACACACACCCCCCACACACACGTACCCCACATACACCACACACTCACCACACACACCTCACCTACACCACATACCACACCACACACACCCCGTATATGTCACACACCACACATACACAAACCCCACATACACCACACACACTCCGCATACATATGCACACACACACACCACACACACCCCCAATACACCACACACTACACCACACATACACACACACCACACCACGCACACCCCACACGCACCCCCCACATACACCACTCACCACACCACACATCACACAACACATGTAACACACCCCATGCTACTCACAACATATACCTCATACACACAGCACACACATACACCATACACACACACCACGCACACAGGTACACACACACCATGCACATCGCATACCACAAACACCACACACACCCCCCACACATTCACACAGGCTGAGAGGGGCAAATATTGTTACTACCACTGTAATTAGCAATAGCCCGAATACTTTCCAAAATACGTCTAAGAAAGAATTCTGTTGTTAATGTGGTCAGATGAAATAAAACTGGTTAGTATATTTGATAGGGAAGGTTAAATAAACAATATTTTGATGAATTTTCTGATTTTTTTTTCATGGTCAGAAAGTTAAATCATGGTTAAGGCCTGAAAGAAACAATTTATTTGAGATTGCTAGGAAAGTTGTATCCTTTGAAAAGTTACCATTTTCCTCTGAATTTTTGCTAACTTCCATCTCATCCATCTTTCTTCATGGAAAAAATGGTACATTCTGAAAGGAAGCAACAATTAGGTGCCAACTGGAGTGTGTGGGCAGCTGAGGCTTGCTTCAGAAGCTATTCCCGCACCTATTGTTTTCTGCCTTAAAACCCTCTGAGGATGAGGCAAGATATAAATACACAAAACTATTTTGTTTAAAACAAAATTTTTAATAGAAAAAATCTGATTTCTAAATTTATTTTATATATTTTTTTAATTTTATTTCACTCATGACCTCAACTGAACAATACACTTCAGTTAATGTGTGTGTGTGTGTGTGTGTGTGTGTGTGTGTGTGTGTGTGTGTGTGTGTATTAAACAGCCCTACAGAGGCATGAAAGCTAGACTGTAGAAACTCATGTTTAAAAAGAAAAAGCGTTAAAAAGAATGGCAAACTAAACACTCAGTTTTGTATCTGGCTTTCTTCTTTTTCATTCTTTGCTTTTTATTTCTTCCATATCTGCTAGTCACCTAGTATCTGTCATCAGGAAAATAGCCTTCCTTCACAGCCTATGAGGCGTTCTAGCAGATAGAGCCAACTGTGGCTCAGGTAGTTTTAGAAATCTTAAAATTGGGATTTTGACTGCCTTTGTCTTCATGGTTCATGATAAATTAGTTAATCAAAATAACTTGAACCCCCCCCCCAATGTTAATTCTAATTAGTATATTAACCATTAGCATTTTTAATCATTTTGTTTTAAGTGTTTGCTTTTTTTTTTTTTTTTTTTTCCTTGAGACAGAGTCTCGCTCTGTCGCCCAGGCTGGAGTGCAGTGGTGCGATCTCGACTCACTGCAAGCTCCACCTCCCAGGTTCACGCCGTTCTCTTGCCTCAGCCTCCCCGAGTACCTGGGACTACAGGTGCCCACCACCACGCCAGGCTAATTTTTTGTATTTTTAGTAGAGATGGGGTTTCACCGTGTTAGCCAGGATGGTCTCGATGTCTTGACCTCGTGATCCACCCGCCTTGGCCTCCCGAAGTGCTGGGATTACAGGCATGAGCCACTGCACCGGGCCAAGTGTTTGCTTTCTTTAAGAAGATCAGAGAGGCCAGGTTGTCCTTCTCCCTCCCCACCAGGCTCCTCTTCCTCATTCTGTCTGATTCAAGAGTTGCATTCTGATTCAAGTATTTGCCGGAGGGTCACAGCTTTCTCCTATATTGTGAAATGATCCTACTTTTTCTGTGAGGTGGACACCCTGCACTCTTGGGAAAAAAAGACCTTCATCAGAGTCTCATAACCAGCTACCAGCACCCTGCCCTGATCAGCCCCTCCCCTCAGCTGTATTTTTATTGATTGCGTGTGTATATATCTGTAGGGAGGTACGTGTGTGATCTTTGACAGTGAAGTTTCTAAATCTGAAAAGATCTTAATGAGTTCTATATTTAAAGTTTGTCCATTAGCATATGAGTTTTTAATTAGTTTGTTTAAAGACAGGGTCTGGCTCTATCCTTCAGGCTGGAGTGCAGTGGCACAATCACAGCTCACTGCAGCCTCCAGTTCCTGGGCTCCACCGATCCTCTCACCTTGAGCTACTTGGGAGGCTGGGACCACAGGCATGAGCCATCATGTCTGGTTACATTTGGGTTTTTATCCTAATCCAAAAGACTTATGTTAAATATATTCAGGAAAAGGAATATAATTGAATATGGAAAGACCCGTCCTTCAGAGATGAGAATTTCCAATCCATCTGGGACAACCAAGTATTGATATTTTGACTACCTGGTGACCACACATGCTCACACAGTCTCCTCATTTTCGTAAGCCCTCCGTTGAGATTTCCAAATTGTGACCTTTAACAGCTGGCACCCTGCTGGCCTCCCTAGAAGACAGGAGTCCAAAGGCCTGTCTTTGGGCCATCCTCGCCCTGCTCCCTCCCCAGCAAAGCCCCAGCCTACAGAACTGTCTGCTTCTGGTGCTCCCAGGCCTTTGGCTCCCACTGGGGCCTGGACTGTGGGAGCCACATGGAGCCCCTTTACCCCTCTTCTTGCAACTCCTAGAAGGCACAGGGGCTCTCTGGCATGTGAGGGACAGGCCTCAGCCATCCCATGCAGTATTTGCCATGCTCCTTTAATGCTGTATCCGTTCCACATTGATCTTTTTGGTGACAAAAAAAAGATGAACAAAAGATGTTCCACAGTCATCGTAATCACAAAATACATGGCTATTCATTTGTGAACCTCCATGCAATATCCTGGACACACAAAATACGTGGCTATTCATTTGTGAACTTCTGTGCAATATCCTGGACACACAAGAGAAAAGAAAAACAATGAGCAGGAAGGAAAACCAAGACAGGCAAAAAGCAAAAGCCCGTTTAATCTGGCCGACACGACGGCTCGTGGGTGCCTCCATTTTCAGCCCATTTTCTGCTTTTTCCCAGAGCGACTGAGGAGAGCAGCTGAGATCCGCGGCCTGTGCCCTCAGCCACTGTGCTGGGCTCCTTGATCCTCTCTGTCCCTCGACTTCCTTGTCTGTAAAATGAATGGGTTGCAAAAGTAATTGAATAACTCTGCTGGTTGTATAAGTTACTATCTGTACTTAGAATAGCATAGCGCTGGCACCTAGGCAGGCATGCATATCACATCCACTCCCTATATGGAGGCCAGGGAGAGTGAGAGGGATTGACAAGCAGCTGGATTGTCAGTTGACGAGCAGGTCTGCCAAATCAGAGCTGTTCAACAAGGAACTCCCCAGACCTGCTGGTCTCTTGGGGTAACCGGCCTGCTCTGGGTACCAATGTGTCGCTGACAGCCCCTTCCCCTAGGGGAACAGTTCTCAGGCCCTTCTCATGCTCTGAAGGCGACTCATTTCAAAACCCATCAGCCAAACACCAAGGAAGTACTTAGCACAACATTCGTAAGTTTTCTCAAATTGCCGTGTATCATATGCTGGAGTTGAGAGCGCATAGTGTTCCATCTGTGAATGTTATTAGTTGATCCCACTCCTGAAAGTGAAGCATTTTTAGCTGACACCAAGTTTCTGACACATGGGCATGTCACTTCAGGATTGAAGCTGAGAGGAGTTCACTCCAGGTAAAAAGAGGGGTTGGCTGAGCCACTCAGTTTAGCTCAGGTGTATTTTTTTCTTATTTAAATATGTTATCTTTTCAGCTTTATTAAGGTATAGTTGACAAATAAAAATTGCATATATTTCAGACATGCAGCTTGTTTTGATGTATGTATCCAATGTGAAATGCTCGCCACAATCAAGCAAATTAACAGCGGGTCCACCATCTCACATAGTTGCCATTTTCTTCCTCCACCCCCAAATGATACAAAGTTTCAGTTATGCAAGATGAATAAGTTCTGGAGATCTAATGTACAAAGTGGTGACTATAGTTAAAGACACTGTCTTATAGACTTGAAACTTGCTGAAGAGGGTAGATCAGATATTTGGGATGAAGTTAGGTACTTAAAAATACATGTATGTTAAAGTAGAGCTTGTTTAAAATAACAATAAAACCCCTCAGCTTGCAGAAGCTTCCTAATGAATAGTCGGCAGTGGGGCTGCCAAGTGTGCAGCGTGTGTGTGTCGCCCTAAGTGTGCTGCTAGGGGTGCAGGGGACATTGCTCATTAGCACCTGCTGAAGGGTGAGTGGCAGCCCTGGTGCTGGCCTTGGGTTGATAACACTTAACTTGGAGCGAATTACTTCGTTTTCCAGACCAACGTTCTGCCTTGTGTTCTGGAGCAGTTTGGTGTGAATGTTCTTTTCCAAAGGGCCACGTGACACCATGAGCTCACAGGATGACTGTGCACAGTCCCTTTGAGAATTCTCGTGTCCAGATGATGGCTGGACGGGTGATGGCATGGCACAGGGACAGTCAGTGGGGACAGTGCGGAAAAACGAGCAGAAATGGGCTCAGAAGTGGGATTTTGTTTTCTTGTTCTTGTCCTCCAGAGCTGGGTGAGATTAAAAACATCACCACCACACAGCCTTCACTGGAGCTGGACGGGCTGGAAAAGTACACCAACTACAGCATCCAGGTGCTGGCCTTCACCCGCGCAGGAGACGGGGTCAGGAGTGAGCAGATCTTCACCCGGACCAAAGAGGATGGTGAGAGACGGGTGGGCGGTGGGTCCCAGCAGTTGCTGGAAGGGCTGGGTCACAGAGAGCTCACTTGCCTTTACCCTGCAGTTCATCAGGCTATTCTCAGTGCAAACCTTTGCTGCCCTCCCAAAATATCCCAGTGCAATTCAGACCATTAACTTCCTCTCTTGCCTTTGCTTGATGTGTCTAATCCATTGCTTCTTCTTCCTCTATATTTTTTCTTCTTTCTTTTCTTTTTTTTTGTTTTTTGTTTTTTTTGGCCAAGTATTATTGTAAATAGAAACTCATTTTATCCTAGAGCTGTAATACTTGTCATACATGTTTTGTATCTTGTTAGAATAATTTTAGTAGCTATTCAGCTATTAGTGTAAACTCTGATTAAATCCATCCTTCCACTTCTTGAAAATTATGTACAGACTGAAGTTCTATTATTCTTTGCCAGCTGAATCACTTTAGAATAAGTCCTTAATTTGAGAACTTCATGTTAATTTTTTTTAATTCTTGCAAGAATTCATGGTGATTTAGTAAAAATTTAAATTGCTGCTCATTTTGTTCTACAACAATAATTCTTGCTGTTCCTTACAATTTGGATTGGGTTGTGACTATTACCCAAACGTACAAAAACCATACAACAAAGGTTCTGTATTATTTTAAGGGAAACTCTGAGGGGCCTTGGCCAAGCCTGTTTAAGGAACAGATAAGTTCTGATAAATACTACCGTGGTAGTGAGAAAAGTAGCCTCCACCTTAATAAAGGAAGGAGCAACTGATGTCAAATTGATGCCCACATAGAACCTTCCCAAAATATTCCAGCACAGAAGTATACATTGAGATGAGACATTAGCAGATCTAAATGCTGTGCTGGATTGTCTCTGCAACTTTTGTCTTCTTGCCGGGACTCTGTTCCCCAAGCAGTACAGGGGCGGGAAAGCTGTTGGCCATTGCTGGTCACCTCCTGTGTATGGGCAGGTTTGATGTCTATGCTATCTCCCCCACTACTAGAGTATCAAAAATGCTGTTATTCCATCCCATATCTGCTCTGATGGAAGCAAAGAACACCTGCTCAGGGGCCATGATACGCTCTTCTCTTCAGCCTTTCTGCCCCTGACAATGACTCCCTGTTATTCTGAGCCTGCCATCTTCCACGTCACTCTCTGCTCTCACCTTGGCAAGCCAGGCCTTGCTCCTCCGAGCAGCCCCAGGCATCCACTCTCACCTGGTGTTTTTGCTGCCTCTGTAGCCCTTCTCACATTGTAATGTCTACACCCAAACTAATCCTCATTTGCTTTAGTTTTTTTCTAAAATGCACAGGTAGTCCTTCCAGGGAATGTGCAGGTGTCAGCCAGTTCTGCTCTAAGAAATTGGATTATTTAGGGAATCTAAGGTTCAAATGTAATGCCATTAGGAAGTCACACATCAATAGAGATATCTAGAAAGCTAAGTCCTGAGTGAAGGCAGCCATAAGTTAATTTTTTAAAAATGTAACAGACAAACAGCTGTGCAAATGCTGGCTCTGTCACCTGCTGCCCGTGGGTCTTTGGGCACCTTACCTAAGTGTCTCTGAACTGGATTGTCCTCAGGGACAATCTGCTGTAGCCATCAGACTGCACAGAACCAGTGTATGAGAGCTGAAGTGGTGTCTGAAAACACCTGCTTGCCACAGAGTGGGATGCTTCCTGACCCTCAATATTTGATTATTTGCTCTCCACTCCTTCAGAGTAGGGGTGAAATACTCCTTTTTACATTGCTAGGCAATAATGCAAATGTCACTGGAATTATTATTTAAAGAGCAAATTGATCATCCACAAAATGTTTTGCATCTGCATTTTTGGAAGAATGTACAGAAATCCAATAAGAAGGGAAGGCTCTTCACAGATCCTTATTAACTCACAATTTTAGATCAATTTTTAATTAATATTGGAGTTTTAAGAATCATGGAGTTCTGTCTCAAAACTTGACCCCAAGGCCCAAGGTCTAATTTGTCAATCAATTATGCTTTGCTTTTGTCTCCAGTGCTGATAGTGTATGGAGCTGGGATTGACTATCGAAAACCCTGCCTTGGGTACCCCAGTTACCCCAAGGAAGATGCCATGAATCCCACTTTTGCTGGTGGTATGGGACAAGGACTATGCAGAACTGAGTGTCAATATTTCTTTAGGATAAGTCTGCATTTTCAAAAAGAAGTGGAGTGGTGGATCGCTTGAGGCCAGGAGTTCGAGACCAGCCTGGCCAACATGGTGAAACCCTGTCTCTACTAAAAATGCAAAATTAGCCAGGTGTGGTGGTGGGCACCTCTAATCCCAGCTACTCGGGAGGCTGAGGCAGGAGAATCACTTGAACCCAGGTGGCAGAGGCTGCAGTGAGCTGAGATCGTGCAACTGCACTCCAGCCTGGGTGACGGATCGAGACTCTGTCTCAAAAAGAAAAAAGAGGTGGAGTGAAGATTGGGTGGAAGAAGAGAAGAACTAGAATAATATCACTTCATCTCCCAGGTTCACATGAAAAATTCAATAATTTAGAAACGGTGAAGAATTGTGTCAACCACTTTTGTAGACTCAATACCTAATATAATTAGGCATTTCAGCAGTTTACAGAATTAAATGCTATTTTATTTATCTGATTGGAAGAAGGGACAAAGGACAATTCAGAGAACAAATGCCCAGTCAAATTGATTACAGATCGTATTTATACTTCAATGAGAAAGCTTTGTAATTTTGAAGTTTGGATTACACTTACAATTTCAATTAAATTGTGTAAAAATACAGATAGATTTCCAGTAAAATAATAATTACCAACATTTGCTCAGTTCTTTCTCAATAAGATACTATTTTAGGCTCAGGTTGAAGTTTCAGCGTTTATCAACGTTCTTGCAAGCGAAGAAAGATAGCTACATTAACAGCGAGCATCCGATTCAGTTGTCTATGCCAGACACACGTCCTGTACCAGTCTTCCTAATCTAGGGAGCCTGGAGGCTTAAACTGTGTTATTAGGTCACTGGTCATACTAAAAAGAGAAACTTAACCCTAATAAAGGCAAAATTGTACTTTTGCAAGGGATTATTTGCAATAGAAATATTTGTTTAGAGGACAAGTCTGTGCTTGTTCTCTACAGGTAGTTTCTCTACCACTATCTAAAGATTCTTGGGCTCATAGTCATATTCACAGTTCCATGGACACATTCTCATGTCTGTGGTCATAATCTCAGGGCCATGGACATAGTCTCTTATCCATAACTATAGTCTCCGGTGCATGGACATATTCTCATGTCTGTGGTCGGAGCCTCAGGGCCATGGATATCATCTCTCATCCGTAAATAGAGTCTCAGGTACATGGACATATTCTCATGCCTGTAGTCAGAGTCTCAGGGCCATGGATATCATCTTTTATCCATAAATATAGACTCAGGTGCATGGACATATTTTTTGGGGTCTGTGACTACTGCTCACAGTTCACGTTCTCTTTCCAGGACTGCTCTATCAGTGAGAACTTGTACCCCATTATTGCTGCAGAAACACGAAGGACGACTTGGTGATCTGGCTTTTCTGTTTTTGAGCACAACAGCAACTAAACCTGACTTCTAAAAACAGTTGTGAAATCCTGATGCCATTTTATTTGCCAATACTATAATACGAGTCAAGCCGTAAGGAAAGAGAACACAAACAAAATGCAATCTATTAATCTTCCAATTGCTGTTTTCACTCTGAAGGCAAAAGCTAGTTTCAGCCTTGATCCCTTTACACAAGAGTAAACTTTGCATATGTATCAATAGAGATAGTTAAGTTCAAATATTTACTGAACACATCACTAATGCACCTAACTCTGAAGGTACATGTGAGAGGGCCAGCAGCAGGTGTAATATGTGATCTCTACTCCCTCCCCACCATCAATTAGCAATCTCATTGGGAGGAGATCTGAAAGTAGAGCTAAGAGGAAGCAAAAAAATAAGCTGACATCTGGATACCTCTGAATCTTCTGACCACCCATACTTTGAGCCATACATACTTGTGAAGGTGTGGATAGTGTGTGCCTGTGACGTGTGCTGGGGTGACTATGTGACCACACCTCAGTAGACCTGAAAGGGGGTAGATTGCATGCTATGTTTGCATAGCCACCAGTGGTGCTGCCCCTCAGTAGACACTGGGAAGTACTGCCAATCCACACTGCTCAAGATTCCAGTGCTCTATAGCCTATGGTAGTGTGCCATGTGCAGTGGCAGGTATACCAGCAACACGACAGACAAGATGTCCTAGAAGAGATTCTACCATGTGGCTTTCCACACTCCCTCCACTGCAGTGGATCCCAAACTAGGTTCTTACCTCAAACTAGGTGGGCCTCAGCAGTGCCCAGTGGTAAGCAAGAGGCCCAGTGGGAGACTCCATTCTCTCCCTGACCCCAGCTTCAAGAGCCACCCCACTTCCACTTGTGTTATGTGCTGGGTTTCCACATGATGATTTGGTTAAAGGATCAGTCAAACATTTAAAGAATGAACACTCTTGCTCTAGTGAGAGGAAAGGCCAAAAATACTAGAGTCTTATGGACATGGGAAGAGAAAAGGGACATATGTGCATGCTTGGTGGGATGACAGCTGTGAATGTGACATGTCCCTCCAGGATCGTAGCATCTGCACGGCACGGCATGGCTCAGGAAAAGCCACTGAAAAGTTGTGGGTTCAGAAGGATCTGGCTACCATGGTGTACCACATATGTACATGCATGTTTGTGCATGCACAAGTCACACACACACCTGCCTGTGGCTGTTTACTAAGACCAGAAAAATGATGGTGAAAAAAAATGAAGCTGACTGCGGTGTCTGTGTGGGTGTTTAGTCAGACTTTTGTCCGATATTCATACTTCAAAACAAGGCAATACTGTTTCAGAAAAATGATTGTGGTATTTTTACATTAAGGTATGTTACAGGAGGGCTTACCCACTTGTATTTATTTTCTATGCTGTGGAACAGATTGCTACAACCTTAACACGTTAAAACAATACAAATGTCTTATCTCATCGTTTCTAAGGGTCAGGCATCCAGGTCTGGTTGAGCTGAGTCCCCTGCTGAGGGTCCGACAGATGAATCACGGTGTGAGCTGGGCCTGTGCCCTCATCTGAGGTCAAGGTCTCCCAGGCTCACAGGATATGGGATCTTTTTTTTTTTTTTTTTTTGTTTGGTTATGAGGCTGGAGTCACCAGCTTCCAGAGGCTGCCTGTTACTCCCTGTCACACCCCCTACAGCATGGTAGCTTCCTTCTTCAGGACCAATAGGAAAGTCTCACATGGCTTCCAATCCCTCTGACCTCTTTTGTCTCTGACCTCCATCTCCTCTTCTAAGGGGCGCATCTGATTAAACCCAGCCCACCCAGGAAACTTTCCTTTTCATTAACTGAAAGTCAAGTGATTAGAACCTCAATGATACCTGAACAAGCCCTTCACCTTTGCCACATGGCACAACCTGCCCATGGGAGGAATCTGTCCATCATAGTAACAGATGCCACACCCATTCAAGGGGAAGGAATCACCCAGGCACATACACTAGAAGGTAAGGATCTTGGGGACCCATTGTAGAATCCTGCCTACCACACAGACACGAATGAAATCATTTTTCCACTCTTGGAAAATCTGTATTGAGGATCTAGTATGTTCCAGATACTGGCCCAGGAACTAAAGATGCAGAGAAACAGGATGGGCATGGTGGGGTTTGCAAGCTAGTGGGGGAGACAGACGTTGATAGATCACCCCTGAGTGGACTGTGTCAAGTGCAATGATGAAGAAGAGTCTCAACAGAGACATGGGAGCCCTGACCTGACCTAAGCTGGTGATCAGGGAAGACTTCCTGGAGGAAATGACGTGTGCTAGAACCTGAGAGATGAGTAAGAGTTGCCAGGAAGAAGGCAGAGGGTGGGAAAAACTCCAGACAGAGGCATCCCAAGGCCCTGGATCATGGCATCCCAAGGGCCCGGGGTGGGAGAAGCAAACCACGTTCAGGGAACTGAAACAGAGCTCAGTGTTGGGGAGCACCATCAGATCAGGGGGAGAGCCCAACTGCTGACCTGTCCTGTCCATGTGGACCTCCAAAGGGCCCATCAAGTGACAGCAGGAAGAGAATTCCAGGTCCTGGTTCTTGCAACTGAGAAGATGATGGGGCCATTTCCTGAGATGGGGCAAGAGAAGCACAGGTTTGGATAGAAGATGGTGAGTGCTGTTGTGACTATGTCGGTCTAAGGTGCCCGTGTGAAACATCTCAGCCAATTGGACACATGAGACACAGAAGCATCTGCAGCTCAGAAGGGATGTCCAGGTGCATTGGAGGAATGTAGAAGAGAGGATTCTCTGAAGGCCACATTCTTTACTGCAATCAATTAAACTTAAATGCAGAACTCCTCTCTATGATGCCCAGGAATTCATGAAAACTTCCCAAGTTTGTTTTGACCTTCATAAGAAAAACTCAGATTACCAAAATGGAATGTGGTCACTAAGAATGTTTCAAGAAAATATGTCCCAGACAGACATATACCGTTTTTTACTCCATCCTATGCCATCTCTGTCTTCTGCAACTCTCAGTGTCTGGTGTTTGTCATTCACCACTGAGTCACAAAGTAAAGGCTAGTATCATTTAGTGACATATAATCCAAGGACATAAGGATGGTTATTAGAGATGATAGCTAGAACTTATTTGGTGCTTACTGTACAGAGAACAATAAATAAATGATTTACATGAATTATCTCTTATAATTCTAACAGTAAAAACATAAGCCAGCACAGTTATTATTGTAGATTTATAAATGAGGGAACTAAAGATTATTAGAGAAGTTAATCAGCTTGTCCAGGACGTGGAACTAAGTGCTAGAGCCGCATGAAACCAGCAGTGAGGCTCCAGGGCCCACACCTTTAAGCTTTATGATGTTGTCCAAACCAGAACTAAAATGTTAAGTTCTAGCTCTGAAAAGATTAGCTCAGTCATCCAGAAAACCTTCCAAAATGCCGTGTTCTTCAACTTATCTATGTTGTTATTTTATTGTACAAAGTTCTAGTAACCATACAAGGAAAGACTGTGTAAGATAGATCATAAATCCATGCAGGAGGAGCCAACTGCGAGTTTAGATGGTGCAGTAAAAGTCCCTTGATCGGCTGTGACACAGGCATGCTCACGGAAATCATCACTTAAAACAAGGAATCACCAAACTTTGCAGTGGCCAGGAAGTACCTGAAATGTTGCATTTTAACTTAAAACATATAAATATGTATTTATTCCCTAATCATTCTCTAATCACATGACTTAGGATCACTTCTTGAAGTTTTGGGTGAAAAGATTGGAGCTCTGTGCCATCTTTTACTCCATGAACTGCATTTAATGTGTAGCATCTGCATTTTTCAACTGGTGTCTCAAGTAAGAGCATGTGACCATTTACCAACGATCTGTTTGCAAATTGGGACAAATCCACATGTCCCATTCTTCTCAGTGGTCCTGACCAAACATAGATCGGCCTTCTTCTTTCTTTCCTTTCTTCTTTCCTTCTTTTCTTCTTTCTTTTCTTTTTTATCCTTCTTTCCTTTTGTCTTCCCTTCTTCCTTCCCTCCTTCCTTCCTTCCTTTCTTTTTTCTTCCCTCTTTCCTTTCTTCCTTCCTTCCCTCCTTCATTCCTTTTGTTCTTCCCTCCTTCATTTCTTTCTCTTTTTAATTTCTTTTCTAACTTACCTCTAAGGAAGGCTTTCCAAAGTAGTCCCATTAACTGTCATAGAAACAGCTTTCTCTTGCACTTGAATTTCATTGGTTTACGTAATTAATTAACTTACAGTACTACCCATGACACGTACAATTGTCACAAACAGGTTGGAAACAAATACAACTGACTCCTCTTCAGCAGCCATTCAACTGGTTGGTGCTAAACTACTTGGCCTCCTAAAGAGAAGCTGTCCAGCAAGAATGTTCACTGTGGTGAACACCAACCAGGGGCTTTATGGAAAGGACTGAGAGTGTTGGCTAAGCTGGGGTGTCTACTAGGATTAAAATCCCCAGGAAACGTTCACTCTGCCCTTGTTGTTCAGGAGGAACCCTGGCAGCTCTGAACTAGGTTGTGGATGTCTTAGACATTACCCTCACCTGATAGAGGTTTGTTCTCAAGGGATTTTTTAACCCAGGATCTATCATTTATGTGTGTTACCTTTTCTAGACCTTCCACTGTTAGCAAGACTTGCCAAAAATGGATTACCAAGATTTTATATTTTCAAATGGTGACTATGTCCAACCCAAGTTAGTTCTCACCAGAGCTCTTGGTTTTGTTATGCAGACTTAGAAGAGTCAAGGTGACGATTATGAGAAGCACATTCAACTCCAAAACAATTTACTGAGCAGTTGCATTGCCATCAAAGCAGTAAAAGACTCACAGATTTCTCCAGGGGCTTGCAAGGGACTTCTATTGGTTTGAATTTCAATGTCTCCATCAATGTGGTTGCCCTCCATATGGACAGTGAGGTTAATGAGAAACAAAGCAAGAGCTCTGATGCCTTCCTCACTGGCACCTTTGACATTTTGGCATCTTCTTGTCTTGGCCATCTCACCCGCCCTCACCTCTTCAACCTGGAAAATAAAAGAACAAGAGGAGTGGGACATGCCTTCAATCTCACTCCCAAATCATGCTTAGTATTGCTGCCACCATGTTCTGCCTTCTTAGCTGGTTTACAGAGGAGAGTTTGTCTTACATGGATACTGTGAATCTTTGACCCAATAATCCCTATTCATCAACAATATTTCCATACCTCTCCTGAGCCCAAAGTGGTGCCATTACAAAATGACTAGGGTGAGGGAGGGTGGGGTCTCTGATGGCTGAGGTAGTTCACCCTCATGCTTCTCAAATTCAGGATCCAAAAGGTTCATCCCCAGTACATTCAAAGCCAAAAACTGCAGCAGAAATGAGACTGATCCAGAAGTTAATTCTCCAGTTATCCAGAGGCAGGAAGTTGCCAGGGGCTGAAATGGGTTGGGAAGACTCCCCAGGACAAGAGGGACTAGAACTGACTGTATTAGGTCCTAGAGCTACAAAGGACCACAGACTCCAACATTAGGAATTTATTTGCTGTCTCTGAGTTCTGGAGGCCAGAAGTCCAAAATCAAGGTGTCTGCAGGGCTGGTTCTCTTTAAGAGCTTTGAGACAAGCATCTGTCCTGGGCTTCTCTCCTTGGCTTATAGATGCCCTCTTCTCCCTGTGTCTTCACATCATCTTCCCTCTATACATGTCTGTCTCTGTGTCCAAACTGGCCCTTTTTATAAGGACACCAGAAGTACTGGATTAGGGACCACCCTAACAAACTCATTTTAACTTGATTACCTCTGTAAAGACCCTACCTCCAATTACAGTGTCATTCTGTGGTCCTGGGGGTTAGGACTTCAACATATGCATTTGGGGGGACACAGCGGAACCCATAACGCTCATCCTGAAAGAGCTGAACAGTAAGTGCGGAGTGGGGTCATGTTGGGAAGCGTGGGTCCGCAAGCCCAAGTTGAGGCCCCACCTTGTGACTAAACACACGGCTCTTCCAGTTCCAGGTCCTCCCGCGGGTGTGAAGGCAGCGGCGGCCTCAGCCTCCATGGTCTTTGTGTCCTGGCTTCCCCCTCTCAAGCTGAACGGCATCATCCGAAAGTACACTGTATTCTGCTCCCACCCCTATCCCACAGTAAGTTGGTAAATAACCAAGTGCCTTTCAAGCGTCTGCCAGGGACGAGCTGCAGGTGCTCGCACTGGACAGTTTCGTTCCTTTGTTTCCCACCTACCTGGGTCTTTCCAGTGGTTTTGTTTTGCCCCTGCTGTCTCCACATACAAAACAAAGTCCTCATTTACACCTCATTTGAAAATACGCTCCTGAATCATGACAAGGGGGACAATTGTCTGGAATTATTGTTTATTTGGTGAGTTCCCACTAAACTGCCAGCAGCCTGATCAAAATCAAAACCCAGAGGCCTTGATTGTGCCTTAATTGATAGTCAGTGGACAACACCTATTGATTTTACTGTTGGACTCATCATGATAAGCACTTCACGCCTTCCCTCCCTCCCTTCTCCCTCCCTCCCTCCTTCCCTCCCTCCTTCCTTCCCTCCCACCCTATCCCTCCCTTCTTTCCCTCCTCCATCTCTCACAGGGAAAAGAATAGCAGGCAAAACCCTATTGTGCTAGAAATGAGGGACTTTAATGAAGATCTATTACCCTTACAGTTACAGCAGTCAGCCTGGTTCATTGTGAAGGAACTAAAAGTTATTTACTATTTCAAAGTGTGGTTTTTGTTATCGTTCATATTATTCCTGCTGAATAATCATTATAAAGTTAGACTGCTTCTGAGACCACACCAAAACATATCAAAAAGGGAAATTTTAAAGAAAAGAAAACATTAAAATGACCCACCAAAATTGACGATGTCTTCATGGAAACATTATGACATTTTCTGCAGCAGGTGCCATGTCTCTTCCATCTTTGTATCTCCAGCTCCCAGCATAGAACTTGACACATGTAGTCATTCACTAAGCGTTTGTTGAGTGAATATACACACTGGTTTTGTTTCCTTTCTGGTAAAATACACATAACGTAAAACTTACCCTCTTGACCACTTTGATTATTGAGTTCATCAGTATTACATACCTTCACGTTGTTGTGAAGCCATCACCACCATCCATCTCCAGAACTCTACAAAACCGAAACTCTGTCCCCATTAAACACGAATTCCCTATCCTCCCTCCCACCAGCCCATGGCACCCACCATTCTACTTTCTGTCTCTGGATTTGACTCCTCTAGGGACCTCATGCATGTGGAATGATATAGCATTTGTCATTTAGTGACCAGCTCGTTTCACTTGACATGATATCCTCAAGGTTCATCCATGTTGTAGCATGCGATGGAATCTCCTTCCTTGTTAGGGCTGAAAAATATTCCCAAACAAATTTATGGATTAATCTTTTAATCAAGGTGATATGTTTGCCCAAGCTCAGAGTCCACAGGTGCCCCTGAGGCCTGGTGTACCCCAACAGTGAGTGTGTGAGAGTGTGTGGGCTTGCTTGGCCCATGAAGTTCCGTCTGTTGCTGAAAAAGCAAGGTGTGTTCTCTACTGCTTATGCATTCATGGCAGTACTCTGCCCTTGAAGTCAATATGTAAACGTAAATAGTCAGAGTTAGACTCCACAACATTTTTCTGGGCTTCTTATGTGGTTTTCAATATGCTGTTAATCCTCACTTACTGAATCCTACTATCAAAGCCCAGAGATGGAGAGCAGCGTAGACACTGAAAAAAAGCTGAGCCATTGTGCCCTCAATGCCCAGGGTGGCTTCTGCTTTTCTGCTTATCACTGACATGTCCCGTATTCACCAAAGAGAGACAAAAATTATTGCTGAAATAAAGTATACTCATTTTCCACTAGAACTTGAATTGCATCTGTATTAGTATTCACTCATTCATTCATTGATCTCTTTGCTATGGGATTCACGGTTGCTCTTTTGACTCTAACAGGCTAGAAAGCACCTAGCAGGGTATAGAAAGACCAGCAGCTTCCTCTCGTTTTGTCTTCTCAATCATCTTATCTTTATCTCTGCACTAAAAATCCCTACCTGGCTTACTTGAAATGAGTCCTTAGTGACTGATGCTTACTGAGAAAGCCCCTATTTGTGGATGATACAGGCTGTATTTGGCTCTGTCCTCCTGGCCTAAGAATTACATACAATAGAAAAGGAAGAAAAAACATCCTATCCTGAAAACAAAGTCACACAGGTGTTGTTAGATGGGGTAGAAACGCATTTCCCCAGGATTTCTCCTGTCTCTTCACCCACAGAACAATGGGATTTGACCTGCCCAGGATCTTAACAACACACTCTCAAAAGGGACAGTAATGAGGGCCAGCAAGGCACGGTGGCTCACGCCTGTAATCCCAGCACTTTGGGAAGCCAAGGCAGGAGGATCACTTGAGGCCAGGAGTTTGAGACCAGCCTGGCCAACGTATGAAACTCCGCCTCTACAAAAAATACAAAAATTAGCCAGGTGTGGTGGTACATGCCTGTAATCTCAGGTACTTGGGAGGAGCTGAGGCAGGAGAAACTCTTGAACCTGGGAGGTGGAGGTTGCCGTGAGCCAAAATGTCACCACTGCACTCCAGCCTGGGCAACAGAGCAAGACTCTGTCTCAAAAAAAAAAAAAAAAAAAAAAAAAAGACAGTAATGAGAGCAAACCCACCAGAAAAAGGTGGGAAATAACAGCTGAGATTTTTATCAGGGTATCTCTGTGTTGCCTTTTGACCATATTAAAAAGACTAGAGACATAGAAATATGATGGGCAGGTGCCTGTGTTCTTCCAGGAGATAATACCTAGAAAGTGTTACAAGGAGGTCCCAGAACCCCAGAGCATCTTAATTGAAGTGAAGTGAACTAAAAACAGTTCCCTCTCCATATCCACCTTCCTGTCTATCTATCTCAACCATCATTTAAGAGCACGAGACCTATTTTTTACATCAAATAGTATCAGTGAGAGTCAAGCTCAGAGACAATTATTTCTCTTCAGAGGTGAATACTTGTAAATAGTATCCATTATTCTGTTTTAAATATGAAATGATCAAGAAACTTTAAAGTACAGGAAAGAGGGTGTTTTTTTGTTTTGTTTTGTTTTCATCAGTTTCTGCAATTTGACTTTCAGTCGGTAAACTAGATGCTGTCAAGTTTTCCAAGGCATTTGCATTTCTGGCTATGTGTGCGAATGACCACCAGAGGACAGTATGAGCTCTAGATATTTTCCTTGCTCATAAATCTGAATTTTTTTTTCTTTGAAATGATTTCATAGTTAAATGTAGAACATAGGGGGATAAATCAGGACACAATATGCCTTGTAATTTGGTCCCTTTTATAAGAGTCCCTCAGCTAACCTCCTCGCTGATGTCATTTTCTCTCAAGATCCCAAATTCATCTCCCCTTCTTGGGAAAGAACCCTGTTAAAATAGACAAGCTTTTTTCTCTAATATGTGACATATAATGTCTGCTGATAGGCATTTATTTCATGGTGCTCTCTCAGTTTAGCTTAGAAAAAGACATTAGAATTTGAAACTTGCATGTGGCCAGATGACAAGTTAGGGTAACTGAGAATGAATCTACAAACAGGTTGTCTAAAGATGATGTGGACTGAACATGAACTTTCCCTCGGGGGTCCAACAGTGCAATGAGATATTAAACTCCCCAATCAGAGATTCAAACTGCAAAATCTCAAAAGTCATTTGATTCAGAGCCTCATCCACATAATTTGTGGATTCTGGCTATTAATTTTAATATATAGTGGTTTGAATGATCAAACAATCTATTATAAGCAATGAAAATCCAAAGACGTGAGATAACCCTTTTAAGGTCCCAGGAAGAAAACAGCCAAGCTTCATTTCCTCCCCAACGCTCCCGTCTACATAAAAGCAGTCTGAAAAACTTTCACAAACAGACTGCTTTTACTATATACACATTAAATAAGCATTATGATATAGACATTGTCTGTTTCACAATGCTAATCTCATTTGCGGAGCTTAGAAATGTAAAATTAGGAAGCACAGACTTCTCATTAATGAAAACTAAAAATCAGAAGGCATAAAATATCTCTGAGCTGTGATTCACATTGGTTATTCCAGCTTCAGATGATAATGTTATTCAGTTCCTGTACATAGTAGGTGCTCAATAAATGTTGCTGAGTTAATCAGTGAGAATACACCACTACTCTTCTTACCCAGAAGACCTGGGCAATTAAGTTCTCCACATTGTAGCCCATAACTTAGAATTAAACAAGTCTTCTGGGAGGCAAAGTAACTCACCAGGTCCAGACAGCTTCCCACCCCAGGCAACAGGTGTGTGTTTGCCTCCCAATCAGCCACAGACTGCATCAAATAAAGCCATAGTCAGGCTGAGAGCGAAAGGGGACTTCCGAGAACCAGAAATGTGCAGGAATCTCAAGGAGTGGAAAAGTGGTATAACGTGGAATCTGGAAAGCAGCATCTAACGTGCTCATCTGTATCTACAATGATACTCATCGCTGTGTTCATTCTTCCTCTCTCACACGGAACACGGACCTCCTGGCTGTATTAAAACGTCGTTCCTCCCTCCCAGTACCCTCCCTATTTCATGTCACTGTAGCATATAGTGACGCTACTAGATAGCAATTTGCTTTTAAAATCCTCCTTCTCTTAGCTTCCATTATCATGTTTTTTATTCTTTGTTGCTTCTTGTCCCTCTGCTTCCCACCCTTAAATGTAGGCATTTCCCAATATTCTTCCTTTATCTCTTAATATTCTTCACTATCTCTGTGGATCATTGAATCTGTTCTTATAATGTAACTATCATCTGAAATTAAAGAGTTCGCATTTTTTATCTCTATCCTGACAATCTTAGAGAACCGTCAGTCCTATATTTCCAGCTTACCACCATCTGCGTACTCAGGAAGACCTCTCCAGTACTTCGCATTCAATGTGCCCACAAACACATTTATACTTGTGTCTCCCTCTTTTCCTGTGTTCTGATTTAGCTTACGATCTAACAAAATCTGCTGCCTTCTGACCAGAAGCCTTCAAGCTACCTATAGTTCCTCTCCTAATCATTTATTCATTTTTACCACAAATAAACATAGAGCACTACTCTTACACCAAGCTCTGAGCCAGGTTCTGAATCACATCAATCAAGAGATGCTGAGTTAGGGGGCATCACAAACAGGCCTGAAACCTCAGTGATTTACAACAACCATACAACAACCAATGGTTTTATTTTTCTTTCACGATCATGCTCATTGTGAGTATGTGGTAGTACATGCCATGCTATCTTCACTCCAGGAAGGACCCAGGCAGGTTTCATGACAAAGAGAAAGAAATCTCTGAGGCGCTGACATAGGCAGGTAAACGCTCCAAGCACAAATCACGAGCCAGAATCTGTCATAAGATTCTGGTCCATGTCTTAACCACAAAGGGACCATGACGTACGCTCCAAACCCATACCCAGAAGTTCCAGGGAAGGCAGGAAACACTAGACAATGTCACCCTTCTGTGTGATGTGACAGAGGACACAGCAATGATGTGCACAGCACAGTGCAGGAGCGCGGACTGGGTGTCACTCAAACATACGGCCAGAGATGGTTGCTTGGAACACATAGCTAGCCCTGGCTTGCAGGAAGAGAAGAATTTTACCTGATGAATCAGAGGCAGGAAAGGGTAATATGATCAGAGGAAATAAATGAGCAAAGTGACATCATGTCACAAGAGCTCTCTGCAATGTCTTTTTTGTTGTTTGTTTGTTTTGAGACGGAGTTTCACTCTGTCGCCAGGCTATAGTGCAGTGGCGCAATCTCGGCTCACTGCAACCTCCACCTCCCAGGTTCAAACGATTCTCCTGCCTCAGCCTCCTGAGTAGCTGGGATTACAGGCACCCGCCACCCCACCAGGCTAATTTCTGTGGTTTTAGTGGAGATGGGGTTTTCACCATGTTGGCCAGGCTGCTCTCAAACTTCTGACCTCAAGTGATCGGCCTGCCTCGGCCTCCCAATGCAATGTCTTCTTAATCTCCTTCCTTTCACACCCAATGCCATTGCCTTGCTTCAGGTCCTCCCCTGGAGAATCAAAACCAAGTCAGAAGCCTTCCCACTGCCAGGCTCAACTCCCAGTCTGTTGTCCACATCCCTGTCACAATTCCTTTTTCCAATTCTGAATCTGAGCATGTTATTTCCTAGTGCAAATTTATTGGATGACTTCGCAGTTTTTACCTAAAGACATTCAAAATTCTCAATATGACCTAGATAGATTTCCACAATCCAGCTGCATCTCCTGTCTAGTTTCATATTCTAAAAACCTTCTTCCATCCAATATCTAAGTAATACCATGTCTCATATGTGTCTGCATTTGTGCACGTGTGTGTATGTGTGTGTGTGTGTGTGTGTGTACACGTATTGGGTTTTTCTTACCTTTTCCATTCCATCCTCTTTGGTAAAAATGTTTATTGTTTAAAGCTCAACTTAAATGCTGTATTTTTATTTCACCACTTTTTATCACTGGCTACACATTAGGCACCGAGTGCCAAAAGCTTTATACCTATGGTTTTTGAACTTGCCCTATGGTGACCCACGATAGAAAATATAAGTTATAATCACGCCACGAAAGTACTCGCACACCACAAACTTACATTTACTACACGTGATGCCCTCCGATATTTTCTGTTCCATTTGACTTTTTTTCTATTCTATTTCATTTTGTTTTTAAAGTGATTGTCATGTTCCATTAAATTCCTCCTATGACTCACATTTTTAAAAATACTGTTTTGCATCAGTTAATTCTGGTGACTACCTTACGCAGGAGGTGTTATGATTGTTATCTTCACTCAGTGATACTGAAATGAAGACTCTGCAATCTGGCCAGGGTCACGCAGGTTAGCAAAGGAAGATGGGATCTGCAACCCACAGCGGGCTGAGCTCTTTGTCCTCATGCTTACCTGCCTTCCCTGGGATCCCAGTTCCATCCTGCCCCAGTACTCCCAGCACTGACTTTCAACCTCACTTTGACATAACCACAATCTCTTGCGTTATTGTTAGACATGGGCATAGACTGGCAAACCTGGTATTGTGCTGAAATAGTGGATGTTCCTCAAATGTGTGTTGAATTAAATTTTATAGATGATGACTGTGAGTCATCTAAAAGAGGTTAAATTGTGTAATGAAGCTGTAGCTTAATAAGGCAAGAAATTGTGTTATGTACTTTGGGATGCTTTGTATCCCAGAAGGATTTGGATCAAGTGCCTGTGCTTTTAAATCACTTACATAGAAATCATTCTTCCATCATTTTATTTAAATGACTTAAGGATGAATCTTTTTTTTTTTTTTTTTTTTTTTTTTTGAGACAGAGTCTCACTCTGTCACCCAGGCTGGAGTGCAATGGTGCGATCTCGGCTCACTGCAAACTCTGCCTCCCGGGTTCATGCTATTCTCCTGCCTCGGCCTCCCAAGTAGCTGGGACTACAGGCGCCCGCCACCATGCCTGGCTAATGTTTTGTATTTTTAGTAGAGATGAGGTTTCACTGTGTTAGCCAGGATGGTCTCGATCTCCTGACCTCATGATCCGCCCGCCTCGGCCTCCCAAAGTGCTGGGATTACAGGCGTGAGCCACCGCGCCCGGTCGAATCTCTCTCTTTTTTTTTTTTTAATAATGGAAAATCTGAAAATTATGGAGATACCACAAGTTGGCCTAAAAATAGACAATTGTATTCCATTTACGCACATGTAATGAATCATATACATGAGACCTTTGTGCAGTGCTTCTACATGGCAGGCAGATGCTAGGCTCTCTATGTTCTTGGATCAACCAAGGATTACTGTAGCCCCAGCATCCTGTCATGGAATCATACGGCTGGAAAAAACCTCGAAGGGTTTCTTTGAGGCAAGGCTACATCTAAATATCCCAGACATGTGAAAATCAATTCTGGTTTTATAAAATTTCTTGGGAAGTCTATTCCTGAAGCTTTCTTGGAAATATCTTTTTATTTCACGGCTAGTTCTAATGGAATGCAGTTCGTTATTTTTTCACTTTTAAGTTCAGGGGTAACGTGCAGATTTCTTATATAGGTAAACTTGTGTCACAAAAGTTTGTTTTACAGATTATTTCATCACCCAAGTATTAATCCTAATACCCATTAGTAGTTTTTCCTGATCCTCCCCCTCCTCTCACCCTCCACCCTCTGAAAGGTGTGTGTTGTTGTTGTGTTGTGTGTTGTTCCCCTCTATGTGTGTGTATGTTCTCATAATTTAGCTACCACATACAAGTGAGAACATGTGGTATTTGTTTTTCTATTTCCATGTTAGTTTGCTAAGAATAATGGCATCCAGCTCCATCCATCTCTGC
Organism: Homo sapiens; assembly: GCF_000001405.40. NCBI lineage: Eukaryota > Metazoa > Chordata > Mammalia > Primates > Hominidae > Homo > Homo sapiens. The sequence goes on along the minus strand of NC_000021.9, from coordinate 40,115,999 downwards.
AAAGGACATGATCTTGTTCTTTTTCATGGCTGCATAGTATTCTATGGTGTATATTTATCACATTTTCTTTATCTAGTCTATCATTGATGGGCATTTAGATTGATTTCACATCTTTGCTATTGTGAATAGAGCTGCAATGAATATATGTGTGCATGTGTCTTTATAACATAATGATTTCTATTCCTTTGGGTATATACCCAGTAATGGGATTGCCAGGTCAAATGGTATTTCTGTCATTAGGTCTTTGAGGAGTTGCCACACTGTCTTCCACAATGCCTGAACTAATTTATACTCCCATCAACAGTGTATGAGCATCCCTTTTTCTCCACAACCTCACCAGCATCTGTTATTTTTTGGCTTTCTAATAATAGTCATTCTGCCTGGTGTGAGATGATATCTCATCGTGGTTTTGATTTGCATTTCTTTTTTTTTATTATTATACTGTAAGTTTTAGGGTACATGTGCACAACGTGCAGGTTTGTTACATATGTATACATGTGCCATGTTGGTGTGCTGCACCCATTAACTAGTCATTTAACATTAGGTATATCTCCTAATGCTATTCCTCCCCCGTCCCCGCACCCCACAACAGGCTCCAGTGTGTGATGTTCCCCTTCCTGTGTCCATGTGTTCTCATTGTTCAATTCCCACCTATGAGTGAGAACTTGCGGCGTTTGGTTTTTTCTCCTTGCGATAGTTTGCTCAGAATGATGGTTTCCAGCTTCTTCCATGTCCCTACAAAGGACATGAACTCATCCTTTTTTATGGCTGCATAGTGTTCCGTGGTGTATATGTGCCACATTTTCTTAATCCAGTCTATCATTGCTGGACATTTAGGTTGGTTCCAAGTCTTTGCTATTGTGAATAGTGCCACAGTAAACATACGTGTGCATGTGTCTTTATAGCAGCATGTTTTATAATCCTTTGGGTATATACCCAGTAATAGGATGGCTGGGTCAAATGGTATTTCTAGTTCTAGATCCCCAAGGAATCGCCACACTGACTTCCACAATGGTTGAACTAGTTTACAGTCCCACCAACAGTGTAAAAGTGTTCCTATTTCTCCACATCCTCTCCAACACCTGTTGTTTCCTGACTTTTTAATGATAGCCATTCTAACTGGTGTGAGATGGTATCTCATTGTGGTTTTGATTTGCATTTCTCTAACAGCCAGTGATGATGAGCATTTTGTCATGTGTCTTTTGGCTGCATAAATGTCTTCTTTTGAGAAGTGTCTGTTCGTATCCTTCACCCACTTTTTGATGGGGTTGTTTGTTTTTTTCTTGTAAATTTGTTTGAGTTCATTGTAGATTCTGGATATTAGCCCTTTGTCAGATGAGTAGATTGCAAAAATTTTCTCCCATTCTGTAGGTTGCCTGTTCACGCTGATGGTAGTCTCTTTTGCTGTGCAGAAGCTCTTTAGTTTAATTAGATCCCATTTGTCAATTTTGGCTTTTGTTGCCATTGCTTTTGGTGTTTTAGACATGAAGTCCTTGCCCATGCCTATGTCCTGAATGGTATTGCCTAGGTTTTCTTCTAGGGTTTTTATGGTTTTAGATCTAACATTTAAGTCTTTAATCCATCTTGAATTAATTTTTGTATAAGGTGTAAGGAAGGGATCCAGTTTCAGCTTTCTACATATGGCTAGCCAGTTTTCCCAGCACCATATATTAAATAGGGAATCCTTTCCCCATTGCTTGTTTTTCTCAGGTTTGTCAAAGATCAGATAGTTGTAGATATGGAGCATTATTTCTGAGGGCTCTGTTCTGTTCCATTGGTCTATATCTCTGTTTTGGTACCAGTACCATGCTGTTTTGGTTACTGTAGCCTTGTAGTATAGTTTGAAGTCAGGTAGCGTGATGCCTCCAGCTTTGTTCTTTTGGCTTAGGATTGACTTGGCGATGCGGGCTCTTTTTTGGTTCCATATGAACTTTAAAGTAGTTTTTTCCAATTCTATGAAGAAAGTCATTGGTAGCTTGATGGGGATGGCATTGAATCTATAAATTACCTTGGGCAGTATGGCCATTTTCACAATATTGATTCTTCCTACCCATGAGCATGGAATGTTCTTCCATTTGTTTGTATCCTCTTTTATTTCGTTGAGCAGTGGTTTGTAGTTCTCCTTGAAGAGGTCCTTCACATCCCTTGTAAGTTGGATTCCTAGGTATTTTATTCTCTTTGAAGCAGTTGTAAATGGGAGTTCAGTCATGATTTGGCTCTCTGTTTGTCTGTTATTGGTATATAAGAATGCTTGTGATTTTTGCACATTGATTTTGTATCCTGAGACTTTGCTGAAATTGCTTATCAGCTTAAGGAGATTTTGGGCTGAGACGATGGGGTTTTCTAGATATACAATCATGTCATCTGCAAACAGGGACAATTTGACTTCCTCTTTTCCTACTTGAATACCCTTTATTTCCTTCTCCTGCCTGAATGCCCTGGCCAGAACTTCCAACACTATGTTGAATAGGAGTGGTGAGAGAGGGCATCCCTGTCTTGTGCCAGTTTTCAAGGGAATGCTTCCAGTTTTTGCCCATTCAGTATGATATTGGCTGTGGGTTTGTCATAGATAGTTCTTATTATTTTGAGATACGTCCCATCAATACCTAATTTATTGAGAGTTTTTAGCATGAAGGGTTGTTGAATTTTGTCAAAGGCCTTTTCTGCATCTATTGAGATAATCATGTGGTTTTTGTCTTTGGTTCTGTTTATATGCTGGATTACGTTTATTGATTTGCGTATGCTGAACCAGCCTTGCATCCCAGGGATGAAGCCCACTTGATCATGGTGGATAAGCTTTTTGAAGTGCTTATTCGGTTTGCCAGTATTTTACTGAGGATTTTTGCATCGATGTTCATCAGGGATATAGGTCTAAAATTCCCTTTTTTTGTTGTGTCTCTGCCAGGCTTTGGTATCAGGATGATGCTGGCCTCATAAAATGAGTTAGGGAGGATTTCCTCTTTTTCTATTGATTGGAATAGTTTCAGAAGGAATGGTACCAGCTCCTCCTTGTACCTCTGGTAGAATTTGGCTGTGAATCCATCTGGTCCTGGACTTTTTTTGGTTGGTAAGCTATTAATTATTACCTCAATTTCAGAGCCTCTTATTGGTCTATTCAGAGATTCAACTTCTTTCTGGTTTAGTCTTGGGAGGGTGTATTTGTCAAGGAATTTTACCATTTCTTCTAGATTTTCTAGTTTATTTGCATAGAGGTGTGTATAGTATTCTCTGATGGTAGTTTGTATTTCTGTGGGATTGGTGGTGATATCCCCTTTATCATTTGTATTGGGTGTATTTGATTCTTCTCTCTTTTCTTCTTTATTAGTCTTGCTAGCGGTCTATCAATTTTGTTGATCTTTTCAAAAAACCACCTCCTGGATTCATTGATTTTTTCAAGGGTTTTTTGTTTCTCTATTTCATTCAGTTCTGCTCTGATCTTAGCTATTTCTTGCCTTCTGCTAGCTTTTGAATGTGTTTGCTCTTGCTTCTCTAGTTCTTTTAATTGTGATGTTAGGGTGTCAATTTTAGATCTTTCCTGCTTTCTCTTGTGGGCATTTAGTGCTATAAATTTCCTTCTACATACTGTCTTAAATGTGTCCCAGAGATTCTGGTATGTTGTGTCTTTGTTCTCATTGGTTTCAAGGAACATCTTTATTTCTGCCTTCATTTCGTTATGTACCCAGTAGTCATTCAGGAGCAGGTTGTTCAGTTTCCATGTAGTTAAGCGATTTTGAGTGAGATTCTTAATCCTGAGTTCTAGTTTGATTGACCTGTGGTCTGAGAGACAGTTTGTTATAATTTCTGTTCTTTTACATTTGCTGAGGAGAGCTTTACTTCCAAGTATGTGGTCAATTTTGGAATACGTGTGGTGTGGTGCTGAAAAAAATGTGTATTCTGTTGATTTGGGGTGGAGAGTTCTGTAGATGTCTATTAGGTCCGCTTGGTGCAGAGCTGAGTTCACTTCCTGGATATCCTTGTTAACTTTCTGTCTCGTTGATCTGTCTAATGTTGACAGTAGGGTGTTAAAGTCTCCCATTATTATTGTGTGGGAGTCTAAGTCTCTTTGTAGGTCTCTAAGGACTTGCTTTATGAATCTGAGTGCTCCTGTATTGGGTGCATATATATTTAGGATAGTTAGCTCTTCTTGTTGAATTGATCCCTTTACCATTATGTAATGGCCTTCTTTGTCTCTTTTGATCTTTGTTGGTTTCAAGTCTGTTTTATCAGAGACTGGGATTGCAACCCCTGCCTTTTTTTGTTTTCTATTTGCTTGGTAGATCTTCCTCCAACCCTTTATTTTGAGCCTATATGTGTCTCTGCATGTGAGATGGGTTTCCTGAATACAGCACACTGATGGGTCTTGACTCTTTATCCAATTTGCCAGTCAGTGTCTTTTAATTGGAGCATTTAGTCCATTTACATGTAAAGTTAATATTGTTATGTGTGAATTTGATCCTGTCATCATGATGTTAGCTGGTTATTTTGCTCGTTAGTTGATGCAGTTTCTTCCTAGCCTCGACAGTCTTTACAATTTGGCATGTTTTTGCAGTGACTGGTACTGGTTGTTCCTTTCCATGTTTAGTGCTTCCTTTAGGAGCTCTTTTAGGGCCGGCCTGGTGGTGACAAAATCTCTCAGCATTTGCTTGTCTGTAAAGTATTTTATTTCTCCTTCACTTATGAAGCTTAGTTTGGCTGGATATGAAATTCTGGGTTGAAAATTCTTTTCTTTAAGAATGTTGAATATTGGCCCCCACTCTCTTCTGGCTTGTAGAGTTTCTGCTGAGAGATCAGCTCTTAGTCTGATAGGCTTTCCTTTGTGGGTAACCCAACCTTTCTCTCTGGCTGCCCTTAACATTTTTTCCTTCATTTCAACTTTGGTGAATCTGACAATTATGTGTCTTGGAGTTGCTCTTCTCAAGGAGTATCTTTATGGTGTTCTCTGTATTTCCTGAATTTGAATGTTGGCCTGCCTTGCTAGATTGGGGAAATTCTCCTGGATAATATCCTGCAGAGTGTTTTCCAACTTGGTTCCATTCTCTCTGTCACTTTCAGGCACACCAATCAGATGTAGATTTGGTCTTTTCACATAGTCCCATATTTCTTGGAGGCTTTGTTCATTTCTTTTTATTCTTTTTTCTCTAAACTTCTCTTCTCACTTCATTTCATTCATTTGATCTTCCATCACTGATACCCTTTCTTCCAGTTGATTGAATCAGCTACTGAGGCTTGTGCATTCGTCACGTAGTTCTCATGCTGTGGTTTTCAGCTCCATCAGGTCCTTTAAGGACTTCTCTGCATTGGTTATTCTAGTTAGCCATTCGTCTAATTTTTTTCAAGGTTTTTAACTTCTTTGCCATGGGTTCAAACTTCCTCCTTTAGCTCTGAGTCGTTTGATCATCTGAAGCCTTCTTCTCTCAACTCATCAAAATCATCTTCCATCCAGCTTTGTTCTGTTGCTGGTGAGGAGCTACGTTCCTTTGGAGGAGGAGAGGCATTCTGATTTTTAGAGTTTCCAGTTCTTCTGCTCTGTTTTTTCCCCATCTTTGTGGTTTTATCTACCTTTGGTCTTTGATGATGGTGACGTACAGATGGGGTTTTGGTGTGGATGTCCTTTCTGTTTGTTAGTTTTCCTTCTGACAGTCAGGACCCTCAGGTGAAGGTCTGTTGGAGTTTGCTGGAGGTCCTCTCCAGACCCTGTTTGCCTGGGTATCAGCAGCGGAGGCTGCAGAACAGTGGATATTGGTGAACAGCAAATGTTGCTGCCTGATCTTTCCTGTGGAAATTTTGTCTCAGAGGAGTACCTGGCCGTGTGAGGTGTCAGTCTGCCCCACTGGTGGGTGCCTCCCAGTTAGGCTACTCGGGGGTCAGGGACCCACTTGAGGAGGCAGTCTGTCTGTTCTCAGATCTCCAGCTGCATGCTAGGGGAACCACTACTCTCTTCAAAGCTGTCAGACAGTGACATTTAAGTGTTCAGAGGTTTCTGCTGCCTTTTGTTTGGCTATGCCCTGCCCCCAGAGGTGGAGTCTACAGAGGCAGGCAGGCCTCCTTGAGCTGCGGTGGGCTCCACCCAGTTTGAGCTTCCCGGCCACTTTGTTTACCTACTCAAGCCTCCGCAATGGTGGGCGCCCCTCCCCCAGCTTCACTGCCACCTTGCAGTTTGATCTCAGACTGCTGTGCTAGCAATGAGTGAGGCTCTGTGGGCATAGGACCCTCCAAGCAAGGCACAGGATATAATCTCCTGGTGTGCCGTTTGCTAAGACCATCGGAAAAGTGCAGTATTAGGGTGGGAGTGACCCGATTTTCCAGGTGCCGTCTGTCACCCCTTTCTTTAACTAGGAAAGGGAATCCCCTGAACCCTTGTGCTTCCTGGGTGAGGCGATGCCTCGCCCTGCTTTGCCTCATGCTCGGTGCGCTGCACCCGCTGTCCTGCGTCCACTGTCCGACACTCCCCAGTGAGATGAACCCGGTACCTCAGTTGGAAATGCAGAAATCACCCATCTTCTGCGTCGCTCACACTGGGAGCTGTAGACTGGAGCTGTTCCTATTCCGCCATCTTGGCTCCACACCACTGATTTGCATTTCTCTAATGATCAGTGATGTTGAGCTTTTCCTATGCTTGTTGGCTGCATGTAGGTTCTCTTTTGAAAAGTGTCTATTCATGTCCTCTGCCCACGTTTTATCGGATTGTTTATTTTTTTCTTGTAAATTTGTTTACGTTTCTTATAAAGGCTGAATATTAGACCTTTGTCAGATGCATAGTTTGCAAAAATTTTCTCCCATTCTGTCAGCTGTTTACTCTGTTGATAATTTCTTTTGCTGCACAGAAGCTCTTTCATTTACTTGATCCCATTTGTCCATTTTTGTTGTTGTTGCGAATTGCTTTTGGTGTCTTCATCATGAAATCTTTGCCCATGCCTATGTCCTGAATAGTATTGCCTAGGCTGTCTTCCAGAGTGTTTTTAGCTTTAGGTTTTACATTTACATTTTTTAATCCATCTTGAGTTGATTTTTGTATATCGTGTAAGGAAGGGAGCCAGCTTCAATCTTCTGCATATGGCTAGCTAGTTATCCCAGCACCATTTATTGAATAGGGAGTCCTTTCCCCATTGCTTGTTTTTGTCAGGTTTGTTGAAGATTAGATAGTTGTAGATGTGCAGTCTTATTTCTGGGTTCTTTATTCTGTTCCATTGGTCTATGTGTCTGTTCTTGTACCAGAACCATGCTGTTTTGGTTACTGTAGCCCTGTAGTATAGTTTGAAGTCCAGTAGCATGATGCTTCTAGCTTTGTTCTTTTTGCTTAGGATTGCCTTGGCTGTTTGGGCTCTTTTTGGTTCCAACTGAATTTTTAAAATAGTTTTTTCTAGTTCTGTGAAGAATCTTAATGGTAGTTTAATGAGAATAGCATGAATCTATAAGTTGCGTGGGTAGTATAGCCATTTTCAGATATTGATTCTTCCTATTCATGAGCATGAAATGTTTTTCCATTTGTTTGTGTCATCTCTGATTTCTTTGAGCAGTAGTTTGTAGTTCTCCTTGTAGGGATCTCTCACCATCCTAGTTAGCTTCATTCCAAGGTACTTTATTCTTTTTGTGGCAGTTGTGAATGGGAGTTTATTCCTGATTTGGCTCTCAGCTTGACTGTTGTTAGAGGATAGGAATGCTAGTGATTTTCGCACTATCCTGAGACTTTACTGAAGTTGTTTATCAGCTTAAGAAGCTTTTGGGCTGAGATGATGGCATTTTCTAGATATGGAATCATGCCATCTACAAATAGGGATAGTTTGACTTCCTCTCTTCCTGTTTGAATGCCTTTTATTTCTTTCTCTTGCCTGATTGCCCTGGCCAGAACTTCCAATACTGTGTTGAGTAGGAGTGGTGAGAGAGGGCATCCTTGTCTTGTGCCAGTTTTCAAGGGGAATACTTCCAGCTTTTGCCCATTCAGTATGATGTTGGCTGTGGGTTTGTCATATATGGGTCATAATACTTTGAGGTGTGTTCCTTCAATAACTAGTTTATTGAGAGTTTTTAACATGAATGGATGTTGGATTTTACCAAAAGCCTTTTCTGCATCTATTTGAGATAATCACATTGGCTCAAAATAAAGGGATGGAGGAAAATCCAGTAAGCAAATCAAAAACAGAAAAAAGCAGGGGTTGCAATCCTAGTTTCTGACAAAACAGACTTTAAACCAACAAAGAACAAAAAAGACAAAGATCTAACTGTCCTAAGTTTACATCATCCTATATTTTACATAATGGTAAAGGGTTCAATTCAAGAAGATCTAACTATCCTAAATATATATACATCCAACACGGGAGCACCCAGGTTCATAAAGCAAGTTCTTAGAGACCATCAAAGAGACTTAGACTCCCACCCAATAACAGTGGGAGACTTTAACACCCCACTGACAATATTAGACAGATCATTGAGACAAAAAATTAACAAAGATATTCAGGACCTGAGCTCAGGTCCTGAATTAGATGGATTTGATAAATATCTACAGAACTCAAATGGATCTGAAAGATATTTACAGAACTCTCCACCCCCAAACAACAGAATATACATTCTTCTCATTGCTACATGACACTTACTGTAAAATTGATCATATTAATCAGAAGTAAAACACTCCTCAGCAAATGCAAAAGAACTGAAGTCGTAACAGTCTCTCAGACCACAGCACAATCATATTCAAAATCAATACTAAGAAATTCACTTAAAACTATACAAATTACATGGAAATTGAATGACCTGCTCCTGAATGACTTTGGGGGTAAATAATGAAATTAAGACAGAAATCAAGAAGTTCTTTGAAACTAATAAGAACAAAGATACAATGTACCAGAATCTCTGAGACACTGCTAAGGCAGTGTTAAGAGAGAAATTTATAGTACTAAATGCCCACGTCAAAAAGTTAGAAAGGTCTCAAGTTAACAACCTAACATCACAGCTAGAAGAACTAGAGAATCAAGAACAAACAAATCCCAAAGCTAGCAAAAGACAAGAAATAATCAAAATCAGAGCTGAACAGAAGGAGATAGAGACATGAAAAACCATTCAATGGATCAACAAATCCAGGAGCTAGTTTTTTGAAAAAAAAAATAAAATAGATAGACCACTAGCTAGGATAATAAAGAAAAAAAGTGACAAGATTCAAACAAGTACAATCAGAATAAATAAGTGGGATGTTACCACTGGCCCCACAGAAATACAAACAACCATCAGAGAATATTATGAACACCTCTATGCACATAAACTAGAAAACCTAGAAGAAATGGATAAATTCCTGAACACATACACTCTCCCAAGACTGAAATAGGAAGAAATTGAATCCCCGAACATACCAATAATGAGTTCTGAAGTTGAGGCAGGAATAAGTAGCCTACCAAATGAAAAAAGCCCAAGATTAGATGGATTCATGGCTGAATTCTACAAGATATACAAAGAAGAGCTGGTACCATTCCTATTGAAACTATTCCAAAAAATCTAGGAGGGGGGACTCCTTCCTAACTCGTTCTATGAGGCCAGCATCATCCTGATACCCAAATCTGGCAGAGATATGACAAAAAAGAAAACTTCAGGAGAATATCCTTGATGAACATCAATGCAGAAATCTCAACAAAATACTGAAAAACTGAATCCAGCAATACATCAAAAAGCTTATTGATATAGTTTGGCTGTGTCTCCACTCAAATCTCTTCTTGAATTGTACCTCACATTTTCTCCATGTGTCATGGGAAAGACCCGGTGGAAGGTAATTGAATCATGGGGGCGGATTTTCCTGTGCTGTTCTCATGATAGTGAATAAGTCTCATGAGTTCTGATGGTTTTATAAAGAGCAGTTCCCCTGCACACCCTCTCTTGTCTGCCACCATGTAAAACATGCCTTTGCTCCTCCTTCGCCTTCTGCCATGATTTTAAAGCCTCCCCAGCCATGTGGAACTGTGAGTCCATTAAACTTCTTTTTCTTTATAAATTACACAGTCTCTGGTATTTCTTCATAGCAGTATAAAAATGGGCTAATACACTTATCCACCATGATCAAGTAGGCTTTATTCCCAGGATGCAAGGTTGGTTCAACATACTCAATCAATAAATGTGATTCATCACATAAACAGAAGTAAAGACAAAAACTACATGATTATCTCAATAGATATGGAATGTGGTTCTAAATCTTCTCAGTTTTTTGTGTGCAATTTTTGCCTATTTATTTGACTTCTATTCTTTAAGAAAGTGGAAGGGAAGTCGATGTTGTTTTTTATAAGTTTATCATTTAATAGTGGTCTTTTTTCCCTGTTATCCTATTCACAGTGTCTGTTCTCACACTGCTAATAAAGACATACTCAAGATTGAGTGACTTACAAAGGAAAGAGGTTTAATTGACTTACAGTTCAGCATGGCTGGGGAGGCCTTAGGAAACTTACAATCATGGTGGAAGGGGACACAAACATGTCCTTCTTCACGTGGCAGCAGCAAGAGGAAGTGCAGAACCAAGGCGGGAAATGCCCCTTATAAAGCCAGGTCTCATGAGAACTCACTCACTGTCACAAGAACAGCATGAGGGTAACCACACCCATGATTCAGTTACCTCCCACGGGGTCCCTCCCACGGCACATGGGGATTGTGGGAACTACAATTCAAGATGAGATTTGGGTGGGGACACAGCCAACCCATATCACACAGTGAACAAGCCAATAACTACTCAATCTTTCTGTTGAAGCTATATTTCAGTTTTCTTCTCATATTGTTCTCAGTGGTTGTTTGTCCACTAGGCATTATGTGAAATCATTCAATTGCTATAACTGGTAAAATGCAGATGGCCTATACTCAAGGTAGAAATCTTGGCCTTTAAAATTCTGAGCCCAATCATGTAATTTATAGAGCAAAGAAAACTTAAGCATATACTCCCCTAAAATTTTCATACAGAAAGAGGCCCTGGAAATCTCTTTTGAAGCTCAGTCTCATAAGACTGCCTGCCTGATTTGTCAGATAACCTGTCACTAAGCATTCTAGCTTTGAGGTAGCATTCATTCAGACTAGGTAGCTTAGTGTATGCCACCCTGAATGTACTTCCCCATTGCTGCGTAGAGCTTTCTGATTATCCACAGGCTAAAATGCCTTTAAAAAACTTGACTTTATTTTTTAAGCAGTTTTAGGTTCACAGAAAAATTGAGAAGAAGGTACAGAGATTTTCCAAATGCCCCTGCCCCTACTGCACAGCCTCCCCCACTATCGACATCCCCCAATAAAGTGGTGCATTTGTAACAATGGTGGAACCTACATTGACACATCATTATTAGCCAGTGTTCATAGTTTATGTAAGACTTACTCTTGGGGTTGTACATTTTATAGGTTTGGACAAATGTTTGATGACATGGATCCACCATTATAGCATCATGCAGAAGTTTCACTGCCCTGAAAACCCTCTGTGCTCCTCCTATTCATCCCACCCTCTTAACCTCTGATCTTTTTACTGTCTCCAAAGTTTTGCTAAAATGCCCTTTTTATCAATTAGCTTTTGGAGCTTTTGGAAGATTGCAGCTTTGAAAACATCTTATCTTTTTGACTTGGCCTGACACAGACATATTGTACTATTTAAGGAAATAAATTGGCTTTAAATCATTTTTCAATTAACACTAGTGGAAAGAGCTATTTTTTTCAATTTTGTAAATTCTGCATATATTATTTTTATTACTAAGAATTGTGTTTCTCATTAATTTCTTGTATGTGAGAAACTATATGATAACAAATTAGTTTTTTTGTACAGAATTTGTTGAATAGGTGACAGCAATCAAGTTAAATTAATAATGTAACTTTGACAGATAGATAATTTTCATGGCAGGTGGTATGACAATGAAAAGGGGATGAGGAAAAATTGTAGCAAAGGGAGATTATATCGGTTGGAAAGAGCCTGTTAACATAAGTATCTGTAATGCCACCTGGGCTAATTGGATGGTGCTTCTAATTCTAAACAATTACATCAAGAAACTAGTTTTTCTCATGCCTTCTCTGGATATCAACTTTAATATAGTTGCAAAACATTATAGCAATAACTTTTATATTTGGAAGGCCAAAAATAAAATATTTTATATTTGAAAGGCTTTTTAAAAGTAGCCAATAGTCTATGTATATAATTATATATATAGTCTACATATAGTCATATATATAGACATATATATAATGGTATCTATAGTCATATATATATATATGGTCATATATAAAATATTTTATATTTGAAAGGCTTTTTAAAAGTAGCCAATAGTCTATGTATATAGTTATATACATAGTCTATATATAGTCATATATATAGTCATATATGTAATGGTATCTACAGTAATCTCAGTGAAAGGCAGAGGAAACTACCAGAATTGCCTGGCTGTTATCCCATTTCTACCAATGTTGGCCTCTCAACCTATGCCTTTAGGAAGATCTTTCTGCCATGACATCTTCTTTTATAGATGGGAACTGTGAAATAAAATGGAAATTAGATCAAAATATATTATACATAAGAATTTTAAAAATCTTAAATTAATGCAGTGAACTGCTAATTCTTAATGGAATCCAGGCCATTTCTTTGCCACTAAACAAGAAGATGTTAAGCATTCTAAAAGTTCCCTTACCCTATAATTAAAAGAGCTATCAATTTTGTTTATTGCTTGGGGGAGTTTTTTTTTCACTGCTGTGGACATTCTATCTATGAAATCACAGCCTTCAAGTTTTTTTAATTGCATGTTAACAATTAGCTATCAGAGCTTTTTAAAACATCACATTTCCTTATAGAATTAGTTTTTCATTAAAAAGTTAATTGAAATTTTTAAAAGTAGAATTCCTTTTATATCAGACAGGCTGAATAGTTTGACATGAACAGCCTATGGCTTTGTAGTCATTTTATCCTCATTATTTCCTATCGTACTCAAATCATTTCTAGGTCATTACTAAACTCACCTAGTACAACAAGAATTTCTTCAGTGTATTCCAGTTACTGGTCATTGAGTCCCAGCTCTAAGCAATGCTCTGAACCAGGTTCCCTGCAGAGTGAGTAGAGGGATGGGTGAGTAAAAGGAGTAGAGGGATGGGTCGGGGAGCCTGACCCCTGGGGAGATGCAGTAAGCACATGCAAGACCATAACCCACAGTGGAATAAAGGCAAAGGCTATGAAAGACAAAGGGCAGACTTAGCCCCTGATTGAGAGGACTAGAGAAGGCTCTGCAAGGTCTTACAAGTGCAGCTACAAGCTAAGTAATGTGAGGGGTTCGGAAATGAATTTGGCAATTATTGGGTAAACGTCTAGTTTTATAGACATGACCAAAGAGTGTTTAAAGTGCCTCACTGTGGCTAATTATATCTTATTTACTGGTCAAAAGCATCTTACACATGAAAAGAAAAATATTATATCAACACCACAAGGCAACAATAATTGTGGAATGAAGGCAGGTCTAGAAGACGCTGTTCCCAGGCTTTCCATGAGTTGACCCTGAAGCACTAGGAGAAAACTAACTTCCTCACAACCCTTACACTCTTTTGACTGGAAGAGTAAACTGTGCACATTTAGTTCCTTAGGAACCCACGACTCTACCCAGCAGACCTAAAGCAGTAACATACAAAGACAAAACGCTTGAAATGTGAACGCTCTGGCTTGGGTGTCACAAGATTTATCCCATTTACTGTATTTTCCACTCTGGATACGGCTTTGGGGAGGCAAACATGTCAGAAGTCTTGTAAAACCTTGCTATAAATATTTTTTAAAACAAATATATGAAGTTTCCATTTATTTTTTAGGCATCTTATAAATATTCATCCATGTCTTCAACTATGACAGGGTTGGTTTTAGAGAAAGGTTCAAACGAGTTTATATCTAAATTTTAGTAGGAATTGGTCAGACTTCTATGGTGCCTCATTTTAAATTAATCTGTTTGCCAAGCTGTGGTCACTTCTTGCTCCCCGGGGGCAGGAACTTGCCTTATAATCTACACACTGCAACTGAACTCAGTAAATGACCATTAATTGAAACTCAGTAATTATTTACAAGCCCTTCCTATTACGAGGCATGAAGCTAAGAACTTTTGCCTAGATTTTCTTCCCACAGCCCAAAGGAGAGAACGATAGTCCAACAAGCTTCTATGTCTGGCTCATGGGGTCCTATAACTCTCGCCAACATCCCTTATCCACAGACCTCCATACTTTGAAGGCAGCAGTGTCTGCCTGGACCCCCCCCCACCACCTCCCACAGTAAAAACCATGACCAGCCCACTGTAAGAATAGTATTTGAGATGGTTCATTACATAAGCAACATGCATATTTTACATTTTATGTGTGTGTCCTCAGACCAAATACCCAAATCTTCCCCTAAGAACACTGTGGATTGCCCCTGTTACATGACATCGGTAGAGCAGGATTCCCCAACCCCCGGGCTACGGACTAATACTAGGGACCTATACTGCATGCTTCTTATGGGAATCCAACTAATGCCTGATGATCTGAGGTGAAACAGTTTCATCCCAAGACCATCCCATCCTACCACGTCCATCCATCTGTGAAAAAAAAAACTGTCTTCCACGAAATCTGTCCCTGATGCCAAAAAGGCTGGGGACCGCTGAGCCAGAGAGAGCCCTGTTCTTCTCATGCCACCATGTTATCTGGTGGACCAAGAAATCAGTAACTTGGCAGCCACTTAGAGCCTTTCAATTGAGAAGTGATTAATTAATAATAAATGTTGGCTTGCTTCTCAACTTGGATAGAGCCTACATGTTTAAACACATTTTAGATGAGAAATAACAGGCTTTTTCCTCAGCTAGCCAAGAGGAATATATGACAGATGCAAAATAATTGGCAACCCCAGTCCACAAATGTCCCATCCACTTCCTCAAGCTGGGCATAGACAGAGCAGGATTAAAAATAAGCCATGGAAGGGAATCCCTGGCATTCTGGTTCAGGGACATGGGGGATGGGATCCCTCAAGTCCATGCCTGGCGGCAACTTCGTAATGTTGGCTGTTTCTGTATTTCCACAGGTCACAAAGGAACTCTTATGTCTTCTCTTCAAACAAATGGTTAGCACAATTACTGTAGTCCACTCAAAATTAATTCACACTTTAGGCATAACAAAATCTAGGATGACTGACACGTCTGTCTTAACTCTAAAGAAGATGAGACTGGAGAGTTCAAAGTCTACCTGAAGAAAATGAAATATTTAAATATTAAGAAAAGTGTCTCTGTTGCTTCCCCACAGATTTCTCCTTTTGCCACATTTGGTTCATTAATCCCTAAGAAACTCCATTGTGAGTTTGCCCTTCTTTATACCGCAGTGTTTATCTGTTGTCCTTGATAGCGAAGCTTTGCTTTGTTTCTTTAAAAAAAAAAAAAAAAAAGATTCAGAGTCTCTGAAATAGCAACCCAGCTGATATATCAGGCGAAATCTGGAAATCAAAGTGATCCCTTCTCATTGAACATTCTCTATATTTGGAAGAGAGTGCTACGTAATAAAATATGCATGTAGAAATTAGCAAGTCAGTTTACACACTATTGGATTGTTGTGTTGGAAAATCTGGTATCCAATAAAAAGAAAATTAATGAAATATAAATATAGTCCATGCTATCCTAACTTAATAAAATATGGAGGGAAATATTTCAAAAGGAGATGATATTTATCATCCCTTCTTTTCAGAACAAGCATTTTTGGCTGAGCATTAAAAAGGATTTAATCAACTAGATTGGCTCCACTACACTGAGAGAACTTCTGGTTATTTTCTTCCCATTTTGCTCTTTTTTTCTTTTTTCTCCTACCTACTGTTAAAATGGTTAATAATGATTGAGTTATGCACCATCCATAGCTAATGATTCTGTTTACAATAAATACTATATAATTTACACTGCATCCCTCTGTTGGAGGCATTTCATGCCTATGGTTCTCTCTCTCAAGACATCCAGGCTTGCTCTGTCCTCTAGGGTCAACCAGTAGGCATCCTTACCCTGCTTCACTCTAGGAGGCGTGGCCAGTCCAGCCCAGCCTCCTCTCCTGTTGTGAGCAGGGCTAACCTCTGCCACTGTGGTTCGCCATTAGCCTTCTCAGGTGTGGCTCACTTACCAAGCTCTGTGTCCTTCAGACTCCAAGTTCTCCGAGAGATTCCCTAGAGCTCAAAGCCCTCTTCCACCCATAAGAGGGAATACTCACAGACCTCTCTCAACAGAAAATCCTTATTCCTGCCCCAGCCTCTTTTGGAGCCTGGAAATGGATGACTGGCAAAACATGAGAACCAGCAAGTCCTGCCCAGGTGGCCTCACAGCTCTTGTTAGGAAAGAAGGCACTGGCATCTTTAGGAGCATTCTCACGCTTTAAGATCATCGCTAAAACTTCCAGAGAACAGGAAGAGTCAACTTTAATATCCAGTTACATATATTCCAAAGAAAATAAATCAACTCTGATGGTTTAAATTGTTCAGTTATCAACTTTCTGCTTGCCCTTCTACTAAGACCAGGAAAATTGTGCCTAATTATGGCAGTCCTCAGAGGAATACACAGTGGCATCAAAGGGTGGTGACATCAGTGTAACTAACTTACCCAAATAACCAATAGGAGCCACTAACAGCTTGACGTTATTATTTTTCATCCTAACCTACGGAGAAATTAAGGAAGTTTCTATGAATATACCTTTTTTACTTCAATTCTTGATTAGTCTTCTATATAAATGATGAAACAAATCTTGTTGCATAAAAAGTCATATTTTATTGTTGATTTTAGCCATGCATTATGTTACAGGCAAAAATTAAAGTGTGTGTTTTGGAGGTAATCAAGAACGAATTTTACCTTGTCAACAGGATAAGTATGGAGTTTTAACTAAAAGCTATGTTGTCTACACAGAAAAAGATCTTTATTTTATAAATATATCTTAATGCTTTCCTGATGCTTAATGTTCAGTAAGAGTAATTGTTAGAATTTGCACATCATTAAGCTTTGTAAAATTAATTTGGCAATGACATAGCCTTGGAGAATCACACAATGCAAGTACATACAGTCTCAGGATTGTCTCTTTGGTTTATCAGGAAACAGGCCAAATTCCCTCTGAACTTCTAGAGGGACTAATTTTCCCATAATACTCTAAGACGTGACTGGAGTGTTGTAGTGGGAGGGGGGTGGAGGTGAGGTGTAAATGAGTGCATACACATGCACGTGCATGCTAGATTATAGTGATGTATCTAGGGAATCCATGCAAGAGTCTCTCCAAATCATCTGACACTGTGTACCCACAAATTAAAGTTTTGACAATAAGTAATTATCTGACATTATGTTTTGTTGAGGAAGCATGAGGTTGTATGACAATTAAGAGATATAGTGAAGATTTAAATCCCCTGTTTAATTGCATGACTGGTATTGTAACTTATGCAGCCTGCTGAGGCATGTAAGGTTTATTGAAAAGCTAACAAGAGTAAAAGTAAGTCCTTCTTGTTTTGGTCACTTCTAATTGACAGCATAAAGTGTGAGGAAATAGCACCAGACTTGGGACCAGAGGCCCTGAGCTGGAGCCATTGTTCTGCAGTTGTCTGGTCTTGTGACATCAGTGAATCACTTACTTTCTCTGAACCTCAGTTTCCTGATCTATAAAATGGATCCAGCTCCACCTACTTCACATGGCTTTTTAAGGAACAATTCTGACCTATCTAGGTCTATGTCTCCTTGAAGTTCCATTAGTTTTGTTTCATGTAATAATAAATCCTAAACGTTTATTCACCTAATAACCAAGCTTCATATCTTTGAATAATAGGTGAATATTAGGTGAATAAATGTTTAGAATTGTTATGTTCTCTTGATGAACTGACCCCATTATCGTTATGAAATTTCTGTCTTTATTACTGGTAATATCCTTTGCTTTTAAATCTATTTTGTCTGATATTACTATAGCCATTCCATATTTTTTTGATTAGTGTTATCATAGGATATCACTTAAGTTCCTTTATTTTTAACCTATTTGTGTTTTTATATTTCAAGTACATTTCTTTCTTTCTTTCTTTCTTTCTTTCTTTCTTTCTTTCTTTCTTTCTTTCTTTCTTTCTTTTTTTTTTTTTTTTTGAGACAGAGTCTCACTCTGTCACCCAGGCTGGAGTGCAGTGGCACAATCTTGGCTCACTGCAAGCTCCGCCTCCTGGGTTCATGCCATTCTCCTGCCTCAGCCTCCAGAGTAGCTGGGACTACAGGGACCCACCACTACGCCCGGCTAATTTTTTGTGTTTTTAGTAGAGACAGGGTTTCACCACGTTGGCTAGGATGGTCTTAATCTCCTGACCTCGTGATCCACCTGCCTCGGCCTCCCACAGTGCTGGGATTACAGGCGTGAGCCACCGCACCTGGCCTATTTCAAGTACATTTCTTGTAAGCAGCATATAGTCGGATATTGCTTTTATATCAGGTCTGACAATCTTTGCCTTTAATATATTTAGATCATTTATACTTAAAATTATTATTACTATGTTTATGTTTAACTCTGTGTAGTGCTATTTGCTATTTGAGTTCTGCTGCTGTTGTGCTACTTGTTGCCCTTGTCAGTCTTTCTCTGACTTCTTTGGGGTTTTTTTTGTAATTCCATTTTATTTATCTTATTAGTTCATTAGCTTTATTTTATGCTATATTTTGTAATTTCAGCAGTTTCCTTACAATTCACAGCATATACTTTTAACATCTTAGTGTACTTTCAAGCGGTATTACACACTTTGCATATAGTATAAGAAACTTACAATCATATACTTCCATTTTTTCCTCCCAACATTTGTGCTATTGTTAAACATTTTACTTTTATTTATATTATATACCCACATTACATTGGTATTGTTTTTAACTATCAACCATATTTTAATAATATTTAAATAAGAAATACCATATATATGTATCTGTATAATTACCTCCTTTTTCTACTTATTTGTGTACATTTATGTCTCTGTCTATCTGGTATTATTTTCCTTCTGCTGGAAGGACTTTCTTTAACATTTCTTGTAATGTGGGTCTACTGGTGATTAATTCTTTCAGCTTCTTATGTATCTGAAAAAAGTCTTTATTCACTTTCATTTTGAATTATATTTGTTGAATATAGAATTCTAGGTTGATTTTTTTCTTTCAGTACTTGAAAGAAATCATTCCACTGTCTTCTTACCTTGATTGTTTTTCAAATGAAATTGGCTGCCATGCTTATCTTTGTTCCCCTTTACACAACATTTACTTTCTCTGGCTACTTTTAAGATTTTCTCTCTAGCACTGAAACTAAAACTCTTGAGTAGTTTGATTATGATGCTCCTTGGTACAGTTTTTTTTTTTAATATTCTTGTGGCTAGAATTCACTGAGTATCTTGGCTCTGCGGGCTACAGTTTTCATCAAATTTGGAAATTTTTCAACCACTATTTTTACAACCTTTTTTTGGTCCTGTCTCTCTCCCCTCCTTTAGGAACTCCACTATGTGCATGTTAGGCAGCCTGATATTTTTCCATAGCTCACTAATGCCCTGTTAACTTTTTTATTCTCTTTTCTATGTATCATTTATTAATATGTGTTGTGAACCTCAAATATCTGAGACAGGTCTCAGTCAATTTAGGCAGTTTATTTTGCCAAAGTGAGGATGCGTGCCCATGACACAGCCTTAGGAGGTCCTGACAGTATGTGCTCAAGGTGGTCCGAGCACAGCTTGGTTTTATGCATTTTAGCGAGACATGAGACATCAACCAATTTTTTAACATTGGTTCCATCTGAAAAGGCAGGACAACTTGAAGCAAAGGCGGGACAACTCAAAGTGGGGAGGGGGCTCGTGAGGAGGGGGCTTCTAGGTCCTAGGTAGATAAGAGACAAATGGTTACATTCTTTTGAGTTTCTGATTAGCCTTCTAAAGGAGGCCATCAGATATGCATCTATCTCAGTGAGCAGAGGGATAACTTTGAATAGAATGGGAGGCAGGTTTGCCCTAAGCAGTTCCCAGCTTGACTTTTCCCTTTAGCTTAGTGATTTGGGGGCCCCAATATTTATTTTCCTTCCACACCTTTAAGTTCACTAATCAGTTTTTCTGCAATATCTACGCTGCTGCTAATCAAGTTCAATGTATTTTTTATTTCATGCATTATAGTTTCATTTTGAGTTTAATTTAGGTCTTTTTGTATCATATCTACTTAAATTTTTGAACATATACAGTTATAATACCGCTATAATACAATTATAACTACTTTATTGCCCTTGTTTGCATAAATCTAATGTCTGTGCCAATTATGGGTGAATTTTGATTGATTGATTTCTTCTTATGAATTATGTTTTCCTGGAAATTTTTATGACAGCTTTATTGAGATGTCATTCACTTTTAACTTCAACAATTCAGTGGCTCTTAGTATATTCACAGAGTTATGCAACCCTTACCACTATCTAATTTTAGAACATTTTCATCACCCTGAAAAGAAACTGCACGCCCATTAGCAGTCATTCCCAATTTTCCCCTTCCCCTACCCTGCCCCTGACAACCACTAATCTATGTTGCCATCGATCTGCCTATTCTGAACATTTTAAATGAAGAGAATCACAAATGTGTGGTTTCTTATAATTGGCTCCTTTCACTTAGCATAATGTTTTCAAGATTTATCCAAGTTATAGCATTTATCAGTACTTCATTCCTTTCTATTATCTCATAACACTCTGATATGGCTTGGCTCCATGTCCCCAGCCAAATCTCATCTTTAATTATATAGCTCCCATAATTCCCATGTGTTGTGGGAGAGACCTGGTGGGAGATAATTGAATCATGAGGGCAGTTTCCTCTGTACTGTTCTCCTCGTAGTGAATAAGTCTCCTGAGATATAATGGTTTTACAAGGGGGAACCCCTTTTGCTTGGCCTCATTCTTTCTTGCCTGCCACCATGTAAGACATGCCTTTCACCTTCTGCCGTGATCGTGAGGCCTCCCCAGCCATGTGGAACTGTGAATCCATTAAACCTCTTTTTATTTATAAATTACCTAGTCTCGGGTATGTCTTTATCAGCAGCATGAAAATGGACTAATACAGACTCCATGGTATCGCTGTGACATATTATGTTTATCCAGTCATCAGGTGACACATATTTGGGCTATTTGTTTGTGGAAATATTTTAGTAGGTGTTAAACTTTGTGAACTTCACCTTTTGGAGTACTACATGCTTCAATTTCTATAAATTCTATAAATATTCTTGACCTTTATTCTTGGATGTAGTTAAGTTATTTAGGAATAATTTGTTCTCTCTAAGTCTTGCCTTTAAGAATAATTAGGAAAGACTGGAGTGGTATTCAGCCTGGGGCTAATTATTTCCCCTTTGTGGTAAGACCCTTATGCACTATACCCAATGCTCGAGGAATCTTGATGTTTTCCAACCCAACTGGTGAGAACAGCCACTACTCCCATCCCTGTGTGAGCATTAGGCACCGTGACCTCCAATTCTTTCAGGTGTCTTTCCCTGGCCTTGGGTAGTTTCCTCACATGCATCCATGGATCTGCTCAGCTGAATACCCAAGTAGGACCCTCTTCAATCTCCAGAGCTTGTCCTTTGTGTGTAGCTCTCTTTCCAGTGCTCTTCCTTGTGAACTCTAGCTTCCTTCAGGCTCTCAGCTCTGCCTCCTTAGCTTGGAAAGGCTGCCAACCTCCCGAGTTGAGGAGGTGGAGCTCTCTATTTTATCAGAAATAAAATTTACACTGCCCTACAAATTGCAAAATCTCTGCGATTGTGGGGTTTTCTTCATTCGTTTCCCATCTTTCAGAGATCACTGTCATTTATTACCTGATGTGCAATGCTTTTAGAACCATTGTTTTATGGATGGTGTGTGTTCCTCAGTTGTTTCAGGTGGGAGGGTAAATCTGGTTCTTGTTACTCCATCTCAGCCAAATACAGAAGTGCTGTGGCCTGTAATGTAAAGGGGTAAATTATTTATTGGTGGCCATCAAAGCTGCTGCAGAGAAAAATGTAGATGGTGGGTCACTTAAACTTACCAGTTACATTTTATATTGCAAAGCCAGCCTTTTAGAGGAGAGTGAGTTGAGTTTTTTTGTTATGATATTTAATATGTTCATGACCATTCCTTCGGGAAATCCATTTTTGCCACATGCTTCTTTGAATGTGGGAACACTTATGTCTCTTTTTACAGGTGATCAGCGAGTTTGAGGCCTCTCCCGACTCGTTTTCCTACAGAATTCCCAACCTGAGTAGGAATCGTCAGTACAGCGTCTGGGTGGTGGCTGTTACTTCAGCCGGAAGAGGCAACAGCAGTGAAATCATCACAGTCGAGCCACTAGCAAAAGGTAGGCAGTGGCTATAAGGACCTCATTTCCTGTTGTAACTTGACTGTTTTTAAGTCTCTATTTTACCTGAAATAAAACTTACACTTTCCTAAAAATCAAATAAACCAGAATATCACATTTTAGCTCAAGAAACAGGGTTGTGGCTAACAAGCTCTGAGCTTCTGTCCCATGGAAAAGTAATTCCCTGGAGGTAAACACAAAGCTGAGAATGAGTGGCCTTACAATGGAAGTGTCTATGAAAATTAGGAAAGGAGCCCTCATTCATTCCTTGGAGTAGCTGAAAATCATTACACGGCATTTTCCCAAGGATGTTCTACTTTCAGCAAAATCAGGTATCACACTTCTTAATGAGAAATGTCTATTTTATAGTCTATGGAATTTGCAAGCTTAAAAATATTTGAAAATCATTCACTATCTGTTGACAGAATGCTATAAGCAAAGACTTTAAGTAACAGCAGGAAGTAGGAGTCACCAAAGAATAAAAAGTTCCTTAAAGTGAATATAATATCTTCACATTTGTACGTTAAACTGGTCCTTAAAAAGCACACGCAGGCACGGGGTATTCTTGCTCTTCTGGTAATCACGGCCATCCAGTGTTTCCAGGAACCCCCTAAATTAGCATTCATAATAAGTCAATTTCCTTACGACACAATTCCAGGCCAGCAGGAGTTGCCCCTAATTTTGAGTTATAGAACAGTGGCAACTTATTACTAATATGTTCTCTGATAGCCTGAAAGACAAGAATGAACATTCCAAGATTCCAATTTTACCTCCAAGAATTCTCTGAAAAATGTGCTTTTTAATGAGATAGTTAAGAAATAGGCAGAATAAAGCAGTGAGGGGAAAAAAGAGGGGTGTCACATTTTGAGCTCAAATACAGATAGAAAATAAGTAAGTTGGTAAGGGAAATAAACTGGGGGACTTACTTTATGTATTACACTCTTTGGTCATGATATCCAGCCACTCCCTGAGAATGAGAAAATGATGATTACCAAGGAAAATGTTGGACATAAGGACTGAGCTGTGGGATTTACCAAAAAAACAACAAAAACAAACAAACAAAAAAACACTGCAACAAAACACATAGGATTAGCAATAATGTTTCTTCCTTTCCTTTGTGCTTTCAAAGTTCTATCTCTAGACACAGCCAGAAAGGCCTGGCTAGTGCAGTGGGGTATGACTTACTCAGTGGGGGAACAATTGAAAACTCTCACAGAAGCAGGTCTTGCCTGGGGAAATTCAATGTCCTCCAGTCATTTAATAAGTCATTTTGAGTGCCTGTTGTATGTCAGGGTCTATGCTGGGGACACAGAGGATTTGGTCAAGGGAGGCTGACTGCTGAAATAAATGTTCCCTAAATCTCAGTGGCTTCACATAATAATATAGTCCAACAGAGGTATTTTTGGTCAGGGCTCTCTTGGGTGGCCTGTTCCACATGGTGATTCAGGCATCCAGGCCCCTTCCACCTTATGATTTACAACCCTGGATTTCTCCTCATTTACAGCTAAATAGATGGGGGAAGAAGGGAGTATGGAGGGTTTGATGAGAGGTTTTCATGAGCCAGATACGGAAGTGTATACATTATTTTTACTAATATCCTATTGTCTAGAATAAAGGCATGGACCCACCAGGGAAAAGAAAACAGGGTTTGGAGAGCCCAGAGGAGTCTTTTGAGATGGTTTAAGAGATGTGTTCACTCCCTGACCCCCTGAAGCTTACAGTTTGGTGGGGAGCCAGTCAGTGATATGGTTTGTCTGTGTCCCCACCCAAGTCTCATCTTGGATTGTAGCTCCCATAATTTCCAAGTGTCATGGGACGGACCCAGTGGGAGGTAATTGAGTCATGGGAGCAGGTCTTTCCTGTGCTGTTCTCATGACAGTGAGTAAGTCTCACGAGATCTGATGGTTTTGTAAAGGGGAGTTCCACCACACATGCTCTCTTGCCTGCCGCCATGTAATACATGCCCTATGCTCCTCATTCACCTTCTGCCATAATTGTGAGGCCTCCCCAGCCATGTGGCACTGTGAGTCCATTAAACCCCTTTCCTTTATAAATTACCCAGTCTCAGGCATGCCTTTATTAGCAGCATGAGAACAGACTAATACAGTCAGTAAACAAAGCATCACAAAAGTATATGCATAGAGACAAACTGTAGTAAGTGCTATAAAGAAATAGTGTGAGAGGACCTCACCTGGAGTGTCAGATGGAGGACACACTTGGTCCCTGAGCACAAGCAAAGGCGGTTATGTGAAGAGAGAAGAAGTGAGCAGTCAGAAGCTCCTGCAGAGAAAGATTTAGCAGGTGGGAGGTCCAGGACACTGGACCCTGCTGGGGCCGGGGAAGGAACAGTGGTCCCAGAGACGCTGGGAAGGAAGACAGGGACCTGATCATGCTGGGTTTTCAACACTGTGTTAGGGATTTCAGATTTTGCCGCAAGAGAAATAAGGAGATGGTGTAGGGTTTTAAGCAAGGGAGGCACATGATCTCTCTTTCTCTCTGTGTGCATGTGTGTGTGTGTGATAAACCTTATTTTTTAGAACAGTTTTAGATTTACAGAAAAATTGTGATGATAGTACAGAGAGTTGCCATTTACCTCACACCTAGTTTCCCTTTTTATAGACATCCTAATTAAATGCCTTTCTTACAACTAATGGCGGGTGTGCTTTTTAAGACCACCTGGTCTCTCTGTCCTGAATGGACTGCAGAGAGGCAGAAATGGAGGAGGGTGGAGAAGGAGATAGCAAGAATGAACACCCAAATTCTCACATGAGTTAGCATAAGTGGAGGCACGATTTCTTGATGAAGAAGACCATGGAAGAAGTGGATTTTGAAGCCAGTGAGAGGAGGTACAGACATTTGGAGGGGTTCAATCCAAGGTGACGAAGAGCCATTCACTCAGAGGCATCTGTGCACTGAGGCATGTCCTGGCTCTCAAGAGACATCTGGCAGGAGGCAGAAATTCAGGCGGGTCAGCGTCTGGATATCGCTTACACCTGGGATGGGAATGAGATTGGCTGAGAGATGGAGGAGAGATGAAGGTGCAGGACGGACTCTCAAAGGGAGTGGGAGCAGGCAAAGGAAAAGGGGAAAAGCCAGAGAGGCAGCAGAGCCAGGAGGGTGTTAGGCTGTGGATTCAAAACAGATGCTTGCAAAAGGAGGGAGTGGTCAGGTGAGGCTGCTGCTGCTGGAAAGTCAGGCAAAACCAGGCGAAAATGCCCCTCAGTGGCCACACGGAAGATCGTGGTGACCTTCCTGTGAGCAGCATCAGTGGGTGTGGAGGGGCATGCAGAAATGAGCCTGAGTCAGGTGAGAAAGTGGGTAGGAGGTGAGGGGCAGGCTGACTGGGCAGAACATTCCTTCAACACACATCACCTGGAAGAAGTGACAACCAAGAGAAGAAGCTGGGAGGGGGAGGGAGGCTCTCATTCGAGGAAAGGCTCTGGGTTCATTATTTTTCATGAGGCCTGCCATCAGAGCATGTTTATGTGGTAACGGGAAGATCCCAGTAGAGAGGGAGAAACGAGAAATCAACAATACATAAGAAAGAGCCCACGACCACAGCACTGAGGTTTAGAGGAGGAAATGCCAGTAGGTTCACAGATTTGGTGGCTGGAAATGCAGGGTTCCTGGATGGTGTCTCTGAAGCATTAGGCAATTTGGGGATAGTGGAGGGAAGCCCAGAAGTGTGAGAAGAGGAGGGACAGCAGGAAGCCATCGTTGCAGGGAATGGGGAGGACATTTACTAAAGAAACAGTAAGACCAGCAGGGAGTGCTGACAGTTCAATTGAGGTTGATGATCCTAAATGGTGGTCAATCTCCAAATGCTCTATTGCGTGGATTTTTTTTCCAGAAATGTTCAACTTTTCATGCTTAAGGGAGGTTGACTCAGGGTTAGGATTGCTGTAGGTAGGTTTTCTGGAAAGGGGATAAGCTAGGGAGTGCCTCAGGATGGAGCAGACAGTCAGTTGGGCAGCCCCCACCCAGAAGCCCAGACACTGGCAAACCATGAAGGCTGAAAGGCCCATCCTAGAGGGATGGGGATGTCCACAGCAGAGGAGATTGAGACAGGTTATTCTGTAGTTGTTGGGAAGTCAAGGCAGACCAGCAGCAGTCTAGCGACAGGTAGCAGGGTCCAAAATTCAGATACAGTTGAAGAAGAGGAGGACCACTGCTTTTATGGAGGGAGTGGCAGAATGGGGCCATGGCACTGGTCCTGGGGGAAGCCCCTCCTAGGAAGGGGTCCAGGACACGAAGGCACAGAGAGCCTGGCCCCATGGCTGAGAACAAACGGGACCCGAATCAGAGGGGACACCAGGTTGCAGAGGGGTTCAGTTTCTCATCAGAATCACCTGGGATGCTTGTCAAAAGGCAGATGCCCCAAGTACAGGAAAGAGCTGCTGAATCCACAAGGCTGTGGTGGGAACCTGCATTTTAAACAAAGATTCTAGGGGATTCTCTTGGCTGCCCCAGGTCTAGTGTGTTGAGTTGCCCAGTCATACATTTCTGGCTAGAGACCCTTTAAATTTCAGCCGTCTAAAATGGGCAAAATGGGCATTGAGCGATAGCATGGGGGTTGTTGGGCTTGAAGATGAAGTAGCTCTAGCTTGTATTTTTTAAATTGCTAATGGAAAAGCATTCATAAGTCCTGGAGTTAATTTGAGGGGTTATGCCCAGAATGTTAAAGAACAACAATGGAATAGAGTGGAACAGAGTCAAATCAACTAGACTAGACTAAACTAGGGTTTAAAAAAGACAGAAAATATCAGAATGCATCACATACAGTGAAGTCTTTATTCATGCAACTTTGTTTGCACATACACAACATCCCAATGCATGTGTAGCTTCTGGAGTTTGATGTAAAACATATTTCTTAAAGTGGGTGACTGTTATAAAGCTGGAAAGCCCCTAACTCTAGCTGAATTTCTCTAGCCACCCGCCTTTTACTGCTGAGGACATTCTCTACTCTCTAAAGAACTGTCTGAAGTGTGTGAAAAAGAAAATGCCAAAAGCTACCAATGCAGGAAATCTGATGCTGCCTAATCAGGACCTTTTTGTTATCATGATGCAAAATCAGAAATGTCAATGACTGATGAAATGGGCCCTGCCTTAGAATACTTCATCTCAGTCCAGGGAAATTGCTTGAAACATGGGTTTTGCTGCAACAAAAAACAAGGTCCAGCTTCTAAGCCCTCTGGCATTTTCTTTTTCTCTCTACTCTTGCCCACAGTGCCCAGAGGCAAAAATGTATGATTTGGTCTGGTAGATCCTAGTGACTAATGTGGGTATTCTATACTAGGATGGCTGCATAATGACTTGGCTCTGGGTACTCTGCCCTTCCAGGGATTCTAGAGCTTCCCTGGGGGAGCCTTCTCCTCATCTTCCTTTGCCAATGCAAACCCTCAACCCAGAAATGGTGCAGGGGTCTCACATTTGTCCCATTTTTATGGGCTCTGAATCAGTTCAAGGCTGCCTTCCACCTATGGTTTCCGGTCTGTGCATCCATCGAGGGTGAGCTCCTGTAGGGGCACCTGTTTCCTCTATGTCCCCAGCTCCATGACAGTGTCTGAAGCATACTGGCTAAAACAAAGGACAGGAGAAGCCCCGGGCTCCTGTTTACACCCCAGAAAGTAATGTCCCAATGTATGGCAAAGACTGAGCAGATTGTTTTCCTCTGGAAGACTTGTGTGTGGTGTCCCTGTCAGCTTTTGTGACTCACTGATGGAGGTAGCACTAGAACCTCTCATTGCTGGCCACACTGGACTTCAAGGCAAGTTCACCCTGGGCTTTTTCTGACTGTCTTCTGGGACTTCTGCTACCTTGGGGCTGCACCAGTACCAGATGCCCCTGGCAGATGCTCCTGTTTGGGCATCTGAATCACTGTTCCAAGCAAATGGTTGTTCTTCAAGAGAGGCCACTCTGAAAATGTTCATTCTCCTTAATGTGTGTCCTAAAGATCAACTTGCTATAATACAGTCGGGAAATTGTTAAGTAGAACTTGTTCCAGTTTTACTCCTTCCCGTCTTTGGGGCCTTTGTGTTTTGTATTGTCTACTTTCTCTGATATTAAAGTATATTTTAATGAGCAGTTTTTGTGTTGAGGTAAATTGCTTCCTAAAGTGCTTTGAGAAATAATTGGGCTCATAGAAAACACAGCTTGGAGCTGCTTGGCTTATGAAGCCCTAGATATTTAATTTGGACTCCTCATGTTTAGTCAATAGAAGAAAAGAATGCTACAATGGGAATTTTCTGCTAGTTGTGTGTTCTTACAATGACAATTCCTCATAACCCGGGTACCAGAGAGTAGTGTTGACAGTTGTAATGTGAATTGGCTTCACATCCATTTTTAGGTATTGCCCTTATTGAGTAGGTCATGTTGGCCTCTGTGTAGACACGTCTGTGGAGTAATCAGGATTCCACTTTGTTTGGTTCCTCAGCTCCTGCACGAATCCTGACCTTCAGTGGGACAGTGACTACTCCATGGATGAAAGACATTGTCTTGCCTTGTAAGGCTGTTGGGGACCCTTCTCCTGCAGTCAAATGGATGAAAGACAGGTAACCAGTAACCCAATGTATGCCTTCAGTGAGACTCTAAGAGATTACATCTGACATACTCAGGTTGTGTCTAGTGGTCTCCTAATTTTGTGTTTATTTATATTAGTGAAAACTCAAGGAAACCTACCAATTCTTCTGAGATGAGGGCAGAGAAGGAATCTCAGCTTTAGCACTGAAAGGGTCTGATTTATTGTATCAACCCTCTGTTAATTCAGAGCCTTCTAGTTCATGAGAGAATGCTTGCAAGGAAAGTAGTTGAACCAACTCAATTATTGTGGAAGTTTGCTGCACCCTCTCAGGTAAATTGTCCATGTAACTGAGATGAATGCAGCCAAGGCTATTGTGAGATTTAACACCTATCTCTTCTTCTTTAAAGATAGTGAACTAACCATAACTCAAATACCCTGAGAAAGAACTTTAAGAAATGGAGTACATTAGGACTTTGCTAATTTAAAATCTGGTTCTCCATACTCCATAGTAATTATTTAAATAATAGGAGCCAAGATAGAGGGAGAGAGTGAGTGAGATATGGTCTGTCCATATAACTTTTTAAAGTGCTATATCTCTATTCAGGAGAAGAAATTAGGATATAAGTTAAGGGTCGAAAATTCATTTATGAGCATAGAAATGTGATCTAATGGATTCAGAAGAATGCCTATTTTCAAGCAAAAGCACTTAGAAGGCATAAACTGTAGAAATAATGGCTTGGTGTAGTGACCAAACTGTAGAAATAATGGTTTGGTTTAGTGACCACTTTTCTCATACATTTAAAGTTGGTTCATCCAAATGAAATATGTAGCTCCCAAGGTCAAGTTGGCATTCTGCCTGTTGTGGGAATGACCCCAAAGGACTGGACAATCTGCCACCGGAGCAGTGGTTATGATGGCCACGCAGTTCTTTTTATACTAGGGTAAACTCATCACCCTCTTGAGATATCACATGTCATTTTTCATGTCAAAATCATGAATAATTGTGACTTTAAGTGAATCTAAAAATGATCCCAAGGTTTAGTTTCCCCTGTATGATTTGTTCAAACTGGCACTTCTGCCTACAGAAGAAATTCCCAGAATTGCCAAAATGAGGATATCTCCAGTGCCCACAGAGTGGAGTAAAGAGGGACCCATCAGTCTCTGGCACAGATGAGGAGTCCACTGACTTGAGCCAGAATCTGGGCCCTTGACACAGATCTCATCTTCAACGTAACATTTTTTACAAAGGAAAACTTCAGCTACACAGCTATTGATTGTTTTCATTATGTAATCATATTTAGTTCTTTCATAATGCAAGAAATATGAAGCTTCCAAATGTGTGGTTTGCTTCACAGAGTCTTTCTGTTTTTCCCCAACCTCAGCTAATTTGGATTGTAATTTCTTTAATCTGTGCATTTTTCTTCCTGTGAGGCAGTAACGGGACACCCAGTCTAGTAACGATTGATGGGCGGAGGAGCATCTTTAGCAACGGAAGCTTCATTATTCGCACGGTGAAAGCAGAAGACTCCGGCTATTACAGCTGCATTGCCAATAACAACTGGGGATCTGATGAAATTATTTTAAACTTACAAGTACAAGGTACAACATTTGAGGACTCTTTTTAATGATATCTTTTACATGTATGCTTTCTATGCAAAAAGTAGCACTGAACAAATTTTAAAATCAGCCCTTATAAAGAGCTAACTTCTGTTTCCATATTACAGAAAAAGAAAACACATGTTCATTTTGCAAAATATAATTAAACAAATCAAAGAAAATACAAAGCATTCACAACCTCAGAAATACTGAGATACAAAACATCTTTGCATACAGAAAGCCTAGTCTCTTTTTTCTTTATGTGTACATGTCTAAAAAAGTCCTTCTTAATAATTTCCATTAATTGCACTGTTTACTCTACATATATGTAAGTGTATCCCAGAAAACACAAACAAAAAACAAGTCTGAATTGTGGTCTTTTTTGTATGCTAATTAACTCAATTTTTATATGCAATGTATTTTAAAAAATGAAAGTAACTGGAGCTCTAAGTAGATCGCTGTAGTATTTAGCTATGTATTTAATACTAAGTATTTTTCTTGATATCATACACAAAATGTGCACAACTTCAAAAGATTGTCATGTTAAAATTTTGTGTAAATCCCAATCAATAAGTGATTGAGTTCAGATTTGTATGCACAGCAATATTTTATTAGTAGAAAAATCAAAGTGTGTGCTTCTTTGGATTTAGGTGTTGTCACATTAATAGATTACAGCAAGTAAAAATAAAATCAATACTGTTCTCGGTGGGATGGAAGGAAAGGAAAAGAACTATATTTCTAAAAATGCTGCAAAATTGATCTTGAATTTCAAATTAATTGAAGTCAGGAGAATTCCAGGGAATTTTGGAAGACAGGCACTATATTATGACTCTGAAGAGATAGGTCAATATATTAGGCTTCTCTCAGAGGAAAAGAGAAGGGAATTTTATATGAAGCTTTCTATATGATTTGGATAACCTGATTCTGAATTTCTTTAGTGTTTCTGCCCTCAGAACCCATCCAGACTTACTTACCAGTATGTATTCTACAAGCCTTGTAAGAGAGACCAGTTCATATTCTGCAGTTCAAAGGCCTGCTTTTGATTTTCTGTGTGTGTGTGTGTGTGTGTGTGTGTGTGTGTGTGTGTGTGTGTGTGTGTGTGTTGCATCTTGGAGCAATAGCTTAGAAAGTGAAGATTTTTGCAATTCTTTTTCCCACTAGCTATTTTTCCTCCTTCCCCTTTTCCATCCTGAGAAGAACGGAACTGCTAAGTGGATGCCATTTATCTTTTTCACTTAAATTTCATGGCTGAAATTCATAGTAAAATGAGGCATGTATCCTTAGTAAGTTTAAAGAAGATTTCAATTAGTGATAAATAACTCAGACAGTCAAGGAACTGGTGAGGAAATGAGTTAGATATGAATCCAAGTAGAAATGTGGCTGAATTTTTTTTTAAATAATAGATTCACTCCGTTCTATCTCTTTAGCCCAGGATATCAACTAAATAGACATTTTGACAGAAGTGAATTGTATATTTTGGCAAACTGAAACACTTATTTAATAAATGGCTGTTAAAAATGAGTTGGTAAATGACTGTTCAGGAAAGTTAAAGATGTGAAAAACTAATTCTTGTTTTCTAAAAACTGTTTCCTCTCCAGTTCCACCAGATCAGCCTCGGCTTACAGTCTCCAAGACCACGTCTTCCTCCATCACCCTTTCTTGGCTCCCTGGAGACAACGGGGGCAGCTCTATCAGAGGTAATAAGATATAGATTGTCCACAATAGTTGATTAGTTGTGTGATCCACATGCCAATAAGTGACACATCTTCAGCAAATGACTGGTATGTGTTACTTTATTCTCCCCCAAAAATACGTCATATAAACAATCCCTCCATTACCTAAGAAAGAAACCATACATTTATTTTTAGGATATTTGTTGAAATTCAAATCATTCATCCAAGGATGCTCATTTAAGAGTGAAATATCAACAGTTGCAAGAAAGAAAGAAAAAAGAAATTTGGATATCTCTTTTTTGAGATTCTAAACACTGTTTCTTTTTTATTTTGTCAACACAAAGTCATTCATTTATGTAACCATGGGTACTGTCCTGACTTAGAAAGTAATAAAAGACAGAGGACCTAAAGTGTAGATGTAAAACAATCTATTTGCACAAAACCTTTGCAATTAGTTCATAGTTGAGGTGTATAAACAAGATTTTGTTTTGTTTTGTTGTTTTGAGATGGAGTCTCACTCTGTCACCCAGGCTGGAGTGCAGTGGCACTATCTCAGCTCACTGCAACCTCCGCCTGTCGAGTTGAAGTGATTCTTCTGCCTCAACCTCCCAAGTAGCTGGGATTAGAGACACACACCACTGCTCCCAGTTAGTTTTTGTATTTTTACTAGAGACGGGGTTTTGCCATGTTGGCCAGGCTGGTCTCGAACTTCTGACCTCAGGTGATCCGCTCACCTCGGCCTCTCAAAGTACTGGGATTACAGGCGTGAGCCACCACGCCCGGCCTAAATGAGGTTTATATGGAAGGAGTGAGCATGGTCGTTCTAGTGTGGGTGGAGTTAAGCTAGAGACAGAAGATACACAGGAAAGAGGGCCTGTACCATAAAGGAGGTCCCAGGGCCGGGGAGAGAGAATAGGGGCTTAGACTTCCTAAGGCAGAGAACATCCTTTCTTCTGAGAGAGAAAGAAGGCTGGGAAGTAAACAGGAAGTCAGGAGCATTTCAGAGTGACATCAGTAGTGTGCTGGAGCAGCTCCTTCCAGCTCCGAGAGTGAGGTGCCACATCCCTTCCCAGCTTCATGCTCAGTGGCCACAGCCACCCTAAGAACATTCCCTCACCATGGAAATCAGAAATGCTACAAATCAGAGCCTTTTTTCTCCTCTCCAAGAACCAGTTGTTAAACATTTATCAGCACTCCAATGGGTGAAGGGAAGATCTTTTTTTTTTTTTTTTCTTTTAGGAAAGAAAAAGTGAGGTGATTTTTTTAAAATCGTGGTGAGGATGTGTCTGTGGATTTGAGGAGCATGGGATAGGTTTGTAATAGCTGCCTTGTGGAATGCACAGAGAGTCATTAATAGATGAACCGAGTCATTGCCAAGAAGCTTGCAAGGACCCAGCTGCAGATGCACAGCACAAATTGTACGAGTCACAATTATCACTGTCTAATGACTTTCTTTTTTGTTTTGTTTTGTTGAGACGGAGTCTCACTCTGTCGCCCAGGCCGGAGTGCAGTGGCACGATCTCGGCTCACTGCAACCTCTGCCTCCCGGGTTCAAGTGATTCTCCTGCCTCAGCCTCCCACGTAGCTGGGACTACAGGCACGTGTCACCACGTCCGACTGATTTTTTGTACTTTTAGTAGAGATGGGGTTTCACCATGTTAGCCAGGATGGTCTCAATCTCCTGACTTAGTGATCTACCCGCCTTGGCTTCCCAACGTGCTGGGATTACAGTCCTGAGCCACCACACCTGGCCTA
This sequence comes from Homo sapiens, assembly GCF_000001405.40. Taxonomy (NCBI): domain Eukaryota; kingdom Metazoa; phylum Chordata; class Mammalia; order Primates; family Hominidae; genus Homo; species Homo sapiens. The sequence goes on along the minus strand of NC_000021.9, from coordinate 40,082,176 downwards.
ATGACTTTTCTAAATGATTCTGGACAGCTGGGAAGAAAAGTGGATCACAGATTACCAGTAACATAAGCATTGCCAGAAGTCTGAAGAGTGAGAGAAACTAGGCTCCTTGTTGAAATGGCCTACCAAAGGTTCCAGGCTGACTAGAGAACCTTCTTATAGGAAAAAAATAGGGGGCACCTAGGGATGGGCTCGAGGGACCCTAGGTTTTAGGCTCAAATGAAATGAGGCTTGGATTCTACAAGTGTGAGAGCATGGGAGAGGTAGAACAAGAAGGGTGTGTCAGAGCACAAGGTCTTCCAGATGAAGCCAGTTTTAGTGAGGGAGAGTTTCCAAGACAAAGGTAACCCAGCATTCCTGAAACACAGTAGTGGCCAAAGCCATTGCCATCATCAGGAGGTGTCGTAAGTTGTGTGCCCACACTGATGGACACTGATGGCACTGAGGATGATAGCAGGGGACAGGGAACTATACAGGCCTATCACCAAGGATTAGAGGAGTTTTTTGAGGTGGCTTCGAGGGTGGAAAGTGGGAGGAAAGCAGAGTCCCTACAATGTGTAGGGCGGCTGGAATACAGGCTGGGATGTGGCTGGGAGCAGGTGCACAGGTATCACCTGTCAGGTACTGAAGGAGCTTTATGGAGGTCAGATGAGGAACACAAAGGCTCAGGAAGGAGGAGGGACCCTATGGCCACAGAAGGCCAGTGGTGAGGGAAGGCTGAAAGGAGTAGGGGAGATACTGACAATGACCTCAGAAGGAGGCATCAGAGATGAGTGATCGCCATGTAAGGGGTGTGGAAATCAGCAAACCTGCCCATTTGGGTTTAGGAGACACTGTAGTGTGCAGGGAAAAAAAATGCTTTATTTTTATTAAAATGGAGCTCCACAGGACAGGAATAGAAGGTACCAACCCGTTGTTGCAAACACACCATGTTCCAGGCCAGCTAGCCAGGGTGGAGAAGGAACATGGCTGCAGATAACAGGGCTGAAGGAGTTAACAGGAAGAATATTTCAGCATTCACAGGGGTGAAGAACATGGGCTTCAGGCTGACTGCAGGATCTGCATCCTCCTTTCAGCACTTGGGACTCACCGCTTAACTGCTCTGGACTTCAGTGTCCCACGTGTTCTGTGGGAGAGTCGTCACTGTTCCATAGGGTTGCAGAAATACTGTAAGCAAAGGGCTTAGGACAGGGCTTGGCATGGAGTGAGTGCTCTAGAGTGGACAGTCATCCTTACTAGTTGTAAAAGTAGAGGTAGTGCTCATGTGGGGGAATGAATTGTTGGAGGAATTTTTCAAACCAAAGAGAAGCCAGGTTACTGTCAGAATAGTGGGATGGCTGCAAGACTTGGAGCTGTTTCTCCTAGTGTCTGTGAACTGTGAGACCAGGAGTACATGAGGAGTGAGGCAGTTGAAGAAATCTCTACTCCCATTGATAATGTATCCCTTTCCCAGAGATTCGAGTGTCTTGCAAAAATAACAGCTTCAGCCTATGTCTTCACTCAAGGATTCAGGCATGTATGATCTGAGGGACAGATATTTGGCAACTTAAGTATTCCCTGCTGCTCAATATGGCTTTTAGAAGAGAATGAGCAGAAAACAGCAATACTTCACAGTGATAATGTCTGGTGTGGCCCAAATGACTCACTAATCAATACATCATGGTGCTTCTCCCAGGCTGGGTTACATTTCCTGGAATCAGAAAGAGCGAAAATGTTCCTTCTGAAGATTCTTCAGTTCTGAGAATGCTCGTTCTATTACCCACACAAAATGCAAGCATCAGTCCACTTCCCATAGAAAGCAAACACAGTGCTCATGTGAATCTTTCTCATTCTCTGCAGGATACATACTGCAGTACTCCGAGGACAATAGTGAGCAGTGGGGGAGTTTTCCAATCAGCCCCAGCGAACGTTCCTATCGCTTGGAAAATCTCAAATGTGGGACTTGGTATAAGTTCACACTGACAGCCCAAAATGGAGTGGGCCCAGGGCGCATAAGTGAAATCATAGAAGCAAAGACCTTAGGAAAAGGTAGGTATGCCTTCTCATCGCTTCTTAATATCCTTTCTTTTCCCGGCCAGAAGAGGAGATTGGAATCATAAAAGATCCATCATGTTTTACGTTTATGTGTTTGAACTTTGTCATTCCTCACATGGCTTCAGCAGTGCCACGGCATAATGAGAGGGACAGCTGGACCTTCCAGAGTGTTCTGGTCCTCTCTTTTATTGTTTCATTTGCAGTTAAAAAGAAGAATGTCAGTTTGAAAATCAAGGGCGTTGGTGTGAATGTGAGGTGCCAAGGCTGGGCAGCCATGAAGCGTGGCGCTTGCCCTCTCAGCCGTTTGGAGGCGCCCTTCTCCCTTAGCCACCCTTGCTCCCACCTTCCTATCATTTCCACATTGCCACATAGCCACCGCTTTTCAGAGGGAAAATGATGGGGTAAATTGCGTTTGTTTTTTTTTTAATCTAAAATGTGGACTTTCAAGGAGATGAATCCCAAAGAAATCATATTCAGAGAAAGAGGTTTTGTCCCAGGAACTCCAGAAGGAAGGAGGGATGATGCAGCTCTATGTGGGCATAGGAAGAAGGTGAGGAGATGTCTTTGCAGGCTTCCCTCCCATAGGAGTCCTACCAGGTGGGGTGGGGTCAGATGGCAGGAGAGCGAGTAATGAGATAGCAAGGGTATTATTTGTGCCTGGTGCCACAGTTTTGGGTAACAAGTGGTAAGAGGTCAAATGATCGGGGATTGATTTATGCAGAAATATATCCTTTAGGTCCCTGGGCACCAAGACCAAGTGTTTAGTTGTGGAGGAAAATCTGTTGGTGCTTCCCAAATCCAACTCTGTCTTCTCTTGAATCAGGTTCATCACATGAGGATGGAAAAAGTGCCCAGCACACTGCCCCGCAAACCACAGAAGGAAACCCATATGTGAACATCCTATTGTTCTTTAGGGAACTCTAAGATACCCCAAAATAACCTCCACCCATGCAATTTTCTGTCACACACCCAGGTCATTACAGTTGGAGAAAGCCTGTTGGTCCATAAAGTCTCTATTAACAGGGGACAAGTTGCCAGTGGCCTGTGAGCCAGACTTGGACTGAGCTCCTGGCCTCGCTGGAGGAAGCAGTCCGAGGGAAATGCGTGAAGATGCTGATGGCCTCCCCATGTGTCCTGTGAGCTGACCTCCATGTGCCTTCTCCCCCAGAGCCCCAGTTCTCAAAGGAGCAGGAGCTGTTTGCCAGCATCAACACCACACGCGTGAGGCTGAACCTCATTGGCTGGAATGATGGCGGCTGCCCCATCACCTCCTTCACACTAGAGTACAGGCCCTTTGGGACCACAGTTTGGACCACAGCTCAGAGGACCTCTCTCTCCAAGTCCTACATCCTGTATGACCTGCAGGAAGCCACCTGGTATGAGCTGCAGATGCGGGTGTGCAACAGTGCGGGCTGCGCGGAGAAGCAGGCCAACTTCGCTACGCTGAACTACGATGGCAGTAAGCTGGCTGGCTTTGTGGCTCTCCTGCTTGTGTCTTGGGGGATGTGCACGTGGGCCCTGCCCCTTTCCCATCGAACATCATCTTTGCCATAGTTTGACCAGTGCCCACGGAGCCCATTAGGCTTTCGGGATTCAATGGACTCTGTCTGGGGCTCCCTAGTTCGTTATATCCAGATGACCATCACTGTGTGTCCAGAAATAAGAGACTCAGGGCCATAGGGAGTCTCACTGGGGAGTCATGGGGCAGGAGTGATTTCTCTTAGGGCTGAAGGACTCTTGACCCTGTGGTTCTGTGCTTGTGTTGATGTCTATGAGCTAACATTGCTTTTGTTGTCTCCCACCCCTTTCCCCACCTCATCCCAATCCACATAACAACTTTCTTTTTTGCACTCATTACACCCTAAACTGCATGTGCAAAAACAATTTTCCATGGTAAAGGAGCTTATGTTAGTCTCTGGGCAGGAGCAGGGCCACTGATGGAAATAGGATAATAATAGGAATCCATGAACACGTGCACACACACAAACTCACACACACTTGCCACTTGCATTTACTTTCCAAAAACTAGGTGAGGTGTCTCTTGACATTAGTTAACCAAAAATAAATGGTTTAAAATCTCACTCATTTTTTCTGGTATCAAGGGCCATTTATTGCTAACTGAACAAATGCTAAGCCCAGTGAAGCTGAAAGGAGCGAGTCCTCGACTGCAACTTAGTAGGGGAACTTTAGAAAGTCCCAGCAGCAGCGGGCTGATGCTCATTTCTCACTAGGGGAACAGCAAGGATTGAGTTAGGTGCTCTAATTGCAAGGTAAAAACGGCAGCAATGCATCAGGATGAGTTGGAACTCCAGTGCAACTCTCCTCAGAGCCTTCTATTCACTGCCTGTTGGTCAGGCTAGACCACAGTGTTGAATGAGTTAACCAAGAAACACCCAAACCCTTTATTGACAGCCAAGCCAAGACCACGTTGGAAGTGCTCCTCTACCTGTGGGTGATGCTTTGTGAGGGGATGCCTTTCAATGAAGTCACTCATAACTGAGGGCTGTAAAATTAGACAGAGGCAGCCCATGAAAAGCATCAGCATTGCTCTCTAGGAGAGTGATTCTTTCTTTACTTTGTGCATTTGGGAGGCCGCTTTATTAAAGCTCCAGCAGGTAGCTCCTTGGAGCACAGTTTATGCCATCCTAAGAAGAGTGGCTGTGAACCTAAGGACCCACAGAAATGACCACCAGGAGCTAATGAGGTGACATTGCCTGGGATTTTCATCGGACCAATTTCTCCTATAATGTCCGGATGGCCCAGGGCTGGCTCTTCTTGCTTTGGCACACAGAGCAGACCTACCCCAAATCTCCTGTCCAAGGTCATTTTTCCACAACATCCTTCTCTGCCAGAGTCCAGGGTCTTCCTGGCACTTCTGGCCTGGGTCTCAGGGCTGTAGGAAGACCTTGAGCTTGTAGAAAGCTCTTCTAGTGTTGGTTACGCTAGCCGGGGTCCCTGGCCTCTGCACGGGCTCTGTCCTATGGCCCCAGAATAGCCTATGCCCTCCCAGACGACAACTTTTCTCTTCAAGGGCTGATGCTTTTCATGGGCTGCCTCTTTCTAATTTTATAGCCCTCACTCTTCAGTGACTTCATTCAAAGGTGTCCCCATCACAAAGCATCACCCAGAGGCAGAGGAGCACTTCCAAGCTGGCCTCTCCCTGTAATATGGTTGAATTATTTGATCTTACAAAATAAAGAACTTTGACACTTACCAGACACTTTACTTAGCATTTAAGGGTGCACCAAAATCCTCTGTTAACCAGCACACATTTGAGTAGTAAGTATCTTTTTTACTTTAGATCATTATCTTGCAATATTCACACTCTGGTTCCCAGCTTCTCTATAATATGTGCAGATGCCTGGGCACCCAGCTTAAATGTGCACACTGATGATATGCTCACAGCTAATGATTTAATTAGAAACTACTCATGTGTAGAATTTGAAACTGTGATTCTAATTCACAAAGTGTTCTGCGGATTTTAAATGTTTGTCTTCTAAGAAAAGATATAATTTTCTCACTTTATCCAAGATCCCAAATTTTGAAAAATGCTGCAAGCTACCTTTACGTTTTGGAAATATGAAATCACTTTATTACACTAAGAAATATGGCTGCATATTTATATTTTCCTTGAGAGAGATTACAGATTTCTTTGGACCAGTCTCATGAATGGATAGCCTCTATTGTCACATCTGCCTGAAGAACTTTGTTATCTTGAGAAAGCCAAGATTGGCAGCCTACATTCATACCACTCAGGTTTCAGAGTCCTCCATTTAATGATCTCACTCTTTCTTCTGCCATTTCCTTAGCCGAATGTTTCTGCTTGACCTAGTGTTGTCTTGGTTTTGCAGACCCCTCTTCATGGGCATCCTGTAAGTGCCTCTTTCCTGAATTTCTAAGCATTTGGAGACTTGGGCTTCCACAAAAACACTTTAAAGTTGGGAGAACACTCTTCTCAGCTTTAGCAGAGATCACAGAGGAACGAGGATTCCATTATCCCTGCTCTGCTTACTAAATGCAGGATAAAGACCGTTTTGCTGAGGGAGAAATTATATTATTTTTGCATTCTCTTTTCCTGAAGTGCTGACTTTCTGGCCCTTGTTGTACATGGAAAGTGCAGTGGCGTGGAGCATCTTATATAATGGAGGGTAGCAAAATATATACCTCATAAAAAGTGGATGCCTGTGTTTAGATCTCTGCACCCACGGTACTGAGCATCTGGATAGAAGGCAGCTTAAGATAGCTCAGAGTTCATCTTCCTTCAGTGTTTCCTTATTACTCGAAATAATCTAGATTTTGTAGCACTATTTAACCATGCCTGATCAAAAGTAGGCTCCTTTAGAAACCTAGTTGGGTCCCCTTTGAAAAGCTGTCTGTAGCTCTTGTACCCTCAAACCACAGCTGTTGAAGTAGATTTGGTCTTACACCTGCGATAAAAGCCAGCAAATTACCTAATCACAAGGGATTTGAGTTTCTTTATGCCAGTGTATCTAGGACCCTCTCCCTGCACACGCGCTTCTGTCCATTTGCCCAACCTTTTGTTCATTCTTTGATGTGCAATTTTTTCGAATAGTCTCTATCAATTGTACTGTGGGTGACAGTCAAGGGAACACTTAATTCTGGGTAGATGCATGTGGCTTTTGTCAGCACCAAGCCTGGGCCTCATGCTTTCAAGTGCCTGCACACTGTAGTGCATTGCAAAATGAAGTCCTTTTCAAACGTGCACTATAGAATAAGTTGGAAGTTCAGGCAGAGGGAGGGAAATAAATAAGAAAAAAAGTTAGCCAGGGCCTAGAGACAGAGTTCTTTTCATTTCTCATCACCTCCAACACCCTTGGATCACACAGCGCGATTTTTATAACCTGTCATCCCTAAAAGCTCCGCCATGCCGTCTTCATTAATAGCCATCTAACACCGTGGCCCTGCTTTCAGGTACAATTCCTCCACTCATTAAGTCAGTTGTCCAAAACGAAGAAGGGCTGACGACCAACGAGGGGCTCAAGATGCTGGTGACCATCTCCTGTATCCTGGTGGGGGTCTTGCTGCTGTTTGTGCTCCTGCTGGTTGTGCGGAGGAGGCGGCGGGAGCAGAGGCTAAAGAGGCTGCGAGGTAGGTCCAGGCCCAGCTGTCCACCTACGCGTGTCCCCTGCTGCTCTGCAGCCAATGGGAGAGATGCCAGCTGGAGAACAAACCTCAAAAGGGAGTGACTCTTCCCTCTTTAACCCAGGTCCCTCCACTGCCTGGTTCTCTGACATTCCTTCAGCGAGACTGCAGAGCCTCAGGGAAGAGCAATAAGAATGTTCCTATCTCGGTCAGAAATCAGGTGAAAGCCAACCTGTCCCCTAAATCCTAGCTGTTGGTATGCAAGGAAAATTAATTTTTTAACTCTAGTCTCTTAAATTTTCAGTGGGTCCAGCAAAGCCACCAATTGTGGCTTTCTATGAAAAGATCTATCAGATTTGCTCTGGGAATGAGAATTACTTGACTGACTGGAAGTGGAAATTGAGGGCTTAGGATACTGGTGAAGCATTGTGAGGCAGAGGACACATGCCATCCCAAATTAGAAACGGGAGCTGAAGCCCAGTGTAAGAGTTTCACTCTAATGTAGCAAAAACATAATGAAGGCTGGAGAAGCCAGGCCAGATGAGCTCCATTGTGAACAGACACCATGATTATAATGTCCAGCCCCGTGTCGTTCTGTGATGAGGCTGTTCTCAGCTTCTGGCCAAGAGCCCTTACTTGCCCTTGCTCTGCAATGTGAGGACAGGGAGTTATTTCAAATATGAAACTGTGCAGACGTGTTCCCAGGTCCTTTGCCCTTTACCAGTGAGGGTGTTTAACTAAGCCACTTTTTCGGTAACGTGTATTACAAGGGATTTTCATTTTAATATCAGTGCAGTGTGGGATACTGCTATGCAGCATCCTATGTGTGTTTCAAAGTTATGTTCAAAGTACAAATCTGGAAGCACTCTCTCCTCAAAACATATCCCAAACTTTACTGATACATTTAGAAAACGTTGACCTCTTCTGTAAATACTTAATTTGACCATAATCCACTTAGAGCAGAGAACATGGTAATATTTTCACCTGTCTTCACTTATCCAAAGCACCAAAGCACTGCTTTTTATGGAATTCTGGTACATTTCACTATCAACTTGCTTTTGCTCTGCCAACAAATTACAATTCTGAAGTACATTGTACTTCATCTGTACAATTAAGAATCTGTCCATGTAAATCTCCTGCAGCCCAATAATTCAGGTCAGCCATCAGTCTCCTTGAAATGTTCTTTCGCAATCGTGCGAACCAATTATCTTTTAATTTTGCAGACATTACTTGAGTGAATGCTAGGTGCTTAATACACAAAGATGAGAAGAAAGAGCTTTCTGAACTCTAGGTTTAAGGTAGGAGGTAGGCCCATAAGCAGCTACCAGTGAAAGACAAAACATGTCATGAATACAGAAATAGGGCTTCAAAGAAAGACCGCATCAGTGAAAAAGAAGGACGGATTAATCCCAAGTGGAGAGGAAAAGGGAGGCTACTTCAGTGCTAAGTAAAACAGAACTACAAGCGTATAATACAGCCCATTATGGTGAGAAGTTCCATATAATGTGGACCATGTTGAATTCCATTCAGTTCATCACTAAAACACAAAAAGGATGTTTTCATAACCCTTGTTCACAGTGGCCTGGACTTTAGGAGAATTATTATGAGATACCAAGGGTGTCTTTCCTTGTTACCATTAGACAACTATGTCTAACTACTTGCATTTAGAAGGCTGCACATTGTCTGTATGATGTTTCTAAAAACCAATAGTAAATATTTCTTATTAATGATTTTGATTTAATCACAAGAGTTAAGCATCTAGGTAATGCTTCTCATCGGTCTACACCCTCGCCAAATTCACTTTTTCTTCTTTTCCCTGACTCCTATTGCTCTCCATCCTTCTCAGCTACTATTTTATTTTTCCTACTCACCTTCGAACTTGAGCACCCCAGCTGTGCATTTCCTCTCGCTGAGAGCACCTCCAGTTAAAGGTGCTGTGGGCTCTTACTGAGTGAGGCCTTTGGGTTGAAATGATGACCCATGCACCCTGTATTTGTATTCTTAGTAGTTCCTTGTAATTTAATTGTTGCTGTACAAGGGCTATCTCCAGAAAACATCCTGGGGCTGGCATTTTTATTGTTGGCCTCCCTGCTTCCAGACACTAGTGTTTTGCAGTTGGTTTTGGTAAAGACAGCAGTCTATCACCTCAGAGAACATGGCCTTTCATTCTCCGGAAATAGTTTTGATTTCTATGTTCTGGGGAAAAGGTAAATCCAACACAAAGGTTTCAGTAGGAAGAAAGTAAGTGCTGAGGGAAAGAGGGAGTATTACTAAGAGATGTTAAGGAGCAAAGGATTTCAGAAAAGTAGCTTGCCATGGCACAAAGGTATCTGCAGTTCGGCATTTTGTACATGGCTAATAAAGGGTTCTCTCAAATCAAGAATCTGACAGGAGAGGCCGGGTGCGGTGGCTCACACCTGTAATCCTAGCACTTTGGGAGGCCAAGGTGGGCGGATCACGAGGTCAGGAGATCGAGACCATCCTGGCTAACATGGTGAAACCCCGTCTCTACTAAAAATACAAAAAAAATTAGCCGGGGGTGGTGGCGGGCGCCTGTAGTCCCAACTACTTGGGAGGCTGAGGCAGGAGAATCGCTTGAACCTGGGAGGCGGAGCTTGCAGTGAGCCGAGATCCCGCCACTGCACTCCAGCCTGGGTGACAGAGCGAGACTCTGTCTCAAAAAAAAAAAAAAGAATCTGACAGGAGGGCGGTCAGGATGCCAAGGATTGGGTACCCAATTTCACACCACTTCTGAATGGCAAGTTTTAATGTAGACACACTGCAATAAATTCAGTTTGACAAACCACTGTAGATTATCTACCAGGTGCAAGATGGAACCTTTTTTTAAACTAGTGGTAACATTTGCTGGTTGACCATTTCTATTTGATCACAAGAGTTTAGCCAGGTCCTAGAGAGAGAAGAGATTTCTAAGACTCAGAACTATAAAGGTGACATTGTAGTGGCAGTGGGTCAAGGCTTGCAAGGGGCAGACTCATCTCCGTAACTGTGCAAAGCACTGCCATAAAAGGACAGCGCCAGAGGTGAGGGTGGTAAAGGGGAATCGATGAAAGGTCAGGCATTGCCCCAGAAAGACGTTTGTTTCTTAGCCCTGCAGGGCCCTGAAATGTTCATTAATGATACAAAGTATTTTCAACTCACTCATGGAGGGAAATTGCAGCTGCAGAGTTTAAAGGAATAGGTGCCTGTCTATTAAATATCCGGAGTGCATTAGTCGAATCACCCAATAACAAGCGAACCCACATAAGGTACAGACTCTGTGCCTCTGGGAGAATAAGTTCAAATATATTTACAGACTCTACAGACAGAATATTTTGATTGTCAAAATTAAGGACAACATTTCTAGTAACATGTCAGTGTTGCGTGAGCAACCATCTATCAGGATCAAAAATGGAAATAAGGAGATTTGAATTATAGAAAAATATTATAGGGATCCCCAGTGGATGTTTTTAGAGTGATTAGGTGGGATCAATTTTATATGGTTGAAATTGATCACATTTTTCAATTGCTAGAAACAGCAAAAATGTTTATAAGCTGAGTATGTTTTACTGTATAGACAAGTAACCTAGTTAGATGAATATAATATAATGTTATTTTATGTAAAATTTTAGAAAGAAAGAAAGAAAATGGGACTCTAGCAGTGTCGTCAACCTATATTCTCTCTTCCTGAGTACTTTACTAATTTTAGAGCATGGCGACCTCCTAAACTCTAAATTGCCTGCAAGTGCCCACATTTTTTTTTAAATCTATAACCTTATCCAGGAGTTCAGGAGCCGCATTTTGCTTTTAATGATGCCCTGGTTTTTCTTGAACTTCTAGATCCTTTGAAGTGCAAGGTTATAGAGTGAGTCACTGGTTGGGCCTGAGATCCCAGCAGCCCTAACCTTATAAAATGTGATCCCGTGTCAAGTAATCAACTCCAATATTTCTAAAAGCCTCCTCCTTTGGTACGCATTTACGCAAGAAGGCACAAGCTTCTGTTGGCACCAGTTAGTGTGGGTCAACCTGCAGGACTTCAAATAAGCTAAAGATAAAAATCAGTGAGTGATGTCACATTTGACCATGCTTTTGTGGCAGAGTGTCTTGCTTCTCTTGAATGGAAATGTGTTTATTATTTTAAACATGCTTTGAAATGGATTGTTACAAAACTGATCAATTCCGGAAGAGACTGTTCCCAGAGAGGATCTGGGTTCATGGTGCTATGCAGGCAGATTAAGGGGTAGGTTATGAGAAATCATTGTTATTTTCTGAGTACTAACAGGACATTTATCTGCTCTGCAAATGAGCCCAAAGCTCCCCTCATTTGGAAAACCAAAAGGTAACTTGAACTTTACTAACCTAAAGCAGGAATGTGCATCCAGGAACCCAGTGACACTCAGACTTGAGATAGACTCAAAGTTTCAATAGATGCCCCAGCACTAATGCATAAAGCCACCCTGAATGTGGGAAGCCCACATTGTTAATGCATGAGTAGCACACATGCACCCTAGAGCTTTCGTTACCAAGTGTGGCTAAGATGGCATTAGAAGCCTGTACTCTGAAACTCTTTAGTTCTGTGCTTTGTGTTTTCTTTCTTTCTTTCTCTTTGTCTTTCTTTCTCTTTCTTTTTCTTTTCTTTTCTTTTCTTTTCCTTCCTTCCTTGCTTTTCTCTCCTTCCCTCCCTCCTTCCCTCCCTCCCTCCTTCCCTACCTTCCTTCTTTCCTTCTATCCTTCCTTCCTTCTCTCTCCTTCCCTCCCTCCCTCCCTCCTTCACTCCCTCCCTCCCTCCCTCCTTCCCTACCTTCCTTCCTTCCTTTCCCCTTCTCTCTCCTTTTTTCTCTCTCTCCCTCTCTCTTTCTCTTCCTCTCTCTTTCTTTCTGTCTTGGTTTCTTAATGAAATTATTCTCTTAAAACATCAAACTTGTTATGGCAAACTGAATAGAAAAGGCTCTCTGCATCTGACAGCGGGAAGCAAAAGAGCATGGGGGTGAGGGGGAGTCGAGGGCTACCAGTGGAGGGGAGCCAGGGAGTGGGTAGTCAGGAGGGGATTGTGGGTCTCAGCCGGGCCCTGGAGCTCTGCCTTGCCTGGGTGTCCTATTTTGTCTGTGTCTGTGCATGCAGTTTTTTCAGATTACCAGTATATATGGCCTTCTTTTTTTAATATATGTCTGCCACAGTTTTCAAATTAGCTTTCATCTGAGCATTGTGATGATTGGAAGTCCTATTTGGGATCTTATAAAAACATAAATGCAGGTTTATAGCCCTTGCAAAAATAGCTACTTTATGAGACTATTTCAATTCCACAGAAAGGCAGGGACTGTTGAGGGAGAGGCTGCAAATAAAACCTTTTGATGGATGGTAATATAAGGTCAAAATCTGCCACCCTCAGAAAGTTTTTTTGTGGATATCTGCAAGTGACTGCCCAGTAGAAGTATTAACCTAAGCGTCTTCCATTTTACGTAACTAGAACTTCAGATATGAAAATGTAGCCATGTGGCTATAAACAAGATTTCTCTTTTTTAAAGAAGCATTTGAGTGTGCAAAATGTGAGGCAGTTCAGCCTCTCAAGCTTTGCACAGCTGCAGTGCCTGGGGCCATGGTGGGCACTCTCCCACGCCATGCTGTGTCATGCTCTGCCTTGCTGATGTGCACCTTCATGCCAGGCACAACCCCAGGATGCAAGCTGTGGTCTATAAACAGAACACAGGAACTGGGCAAGACCAAGCTGGGAGCCTCCTCATCCAACCAGAGGTGCCATTTCCCAAAACTCGATCTAACCATGTACTAATCCACAGGCTACTAATGCTTCCCATTGTTTCGCTCCTCTTTCTTCTCCATAGTACTTCACTATACACCATCCTGCCTTAGTCTCTCAATAGCCATGCAAAATGGTTGAGTATGAACTGCCCATTATGATGCCCCAATTTTCTTTCTTTTCTTTTTCTTTTTTTTTTTTTTCTGAGACAGAGTTTTGCTCTTTTTGCCCAGGCTGGAGTGCAATGGTATGATCTCAGCTCACCACAACCTCCACCTCCTGGGTTCAAGCGACTCTCCTGCCTCAGCCTCCCAAGTAGCTGGGATTGTGGGCATGCACCACCATGCCCGGCTAATTTTGTATTTTTAGTAGAGACGGGGTTTCTCCAAGTTGGTCAGGCTGGTCTCGAACTCACAACCTCAGGTGATCCGCCTGCCTCAGCCTCCCAAAGTGCTGGGATTATAGGCATGAGCCACTGCGTCCAGCCATCATACCCCATTTTCTGACGTGAAAACTGAAGGCCAGCTATAGAATTATCCAGAATCACATATGAGTCCAGGCAGAGCTAGAAGAGAGTTCAGATCAATCTCCCTACCCTACTCCTCTTGCCATGAAACTTCTGCAGGATTTTGAATATTCAAGTAAGAAACAGGTTGTCTCATCAATATTAAGTAAGCTCTAAAGGTTTATCAATTATACCTGGAATTAGAAGATGTATTAACACAGTATCAATAGCTACTATATAATTTTATGTTTGCCCATCAAAAATACTTGGTCTATTGATTTTGTATTTCGATATTCACTACCCTTCAGCCTTCCCCTAATTATATTTTAAATATGTATATATTATATACAGAGAGAGGCACATATACATATTCCTTCTAGCTTGCATATCTTCATCCTACTGTCTCTCTGATTCTTTTCTCCACTGAATACTTGAGAGTATTCTGTCCTCAGCTACACTACCTCTCAATTACTCCCAAATTCCCACAGTCCCCTTCCACTCGCCACCCAAATGTAACTGTTCTCCTGAAGACAGATGACCAGTTATTCTCTGATCTCCAAATTATCCTTTCAGCCATCATTTTTTAGCCCTCTTTGCAGCATTCAGAGTGTTAGCAAATGTTGTCTTTTGAAATTCCTTCCTTCCACATTTTAATATCACTAGATTATCCTGGTATCATTTCTCCATCATTTCCCAGCCCAACAGATAAGGGAGGAGCCCAGAGCCAAGGATGGAAGTGTGGGAGTAGCAAGCGGCTTTAGAAAAGATGTCGCGAAGTCTGAATCTCAGGCTGATCTGAAATGTGTGGGAAAAAATGTGACAGGCAATGCAAGGGCTGTTTAGCTGTGTTTGGGCAAGAAGAACAAGGCTGTGAACAATGTTCTCATATTAACAGATGGCAGGTAGACAGGAGAGCTGCTCAGCATCTGCTTTGCTTGATGTGTACCAGGAGAAATGCTATTTGAATCAGAAAACGTGGACCAGGAATTATAAAAAGAAGGAAGGAAGGAAGGGAGGGAGGGAGGGAGGGAGGGAGGGAGGGAATGAGGGGAGGGAGGGAATGAGGGGAGGGGAGGGGAGGGGAAGGGAGAAACTCAGGATGCTTATGAAAATAATCAGCACCCTGATAGTTTAAAAGGATTTATTTTTTTTCAAAACATACTCTGTATTAGCCATTATGTGGAGGTGGAGATGTTGCTTTTTGCAGACAATGTTTACAAAGAACTATTACACAAGTTCCAAAGCGTAAGCAGCCTAATGCAGACAGAATAAATGCTGTGCTGTTTCACTGAAAGGAAAGATCTCCACCACTTAAAAAATTAGGGAAGCTGTCATGGGGTTCCAGTCCCATGATTCTGAAGGATAACATTTTAGGGTTCTGAACAAAATTTTTCCAGACATAACCCCAAGATCTTTCTGGATAACCTTTGAACAATCAAATGTAAATTAGAGGTGTTAGAAAATGATTATGCAGATGGTCCCTGACTTACTATGGTTCAACTTAGGAGTTTTTGACTTTGCAATGGTGCAAAAATGATATGCATTCAGTAGAAACTGTATTTTGAATTTTGATCTTTGTCTGGGTTAGTGATATGTGATCCATTATTTTTACATGAGATACTCAACACCTTATTATAAAATAAGCTCTGTGTTAGATAGTTTTGCCCAACTGTAGGGTAGGGTAAATGTTCTGAGCACGTTGAAGATAGGCTAGGCTAAGCCCTGATGTTTGGTAGGTCAGGCATATTAAATGCATTTTTGACTTAATTATATTTTCAATTGATGATGGGTTCATCAGGAGGTAATCGTAAGTCAAAGAGCATCTAGACCCTGGACCCATTTTCAACAACAATAGATTAATTCTGGACATTATAGACTGAAATAAGTTAGTTGAGGTTATAGAAAGGATGTTTTGTGAGCAATCAGGGAAGGGAAGGGACCACCAGGGGCCCAGACAAACTCCATTTGCATTTTGACAGGGCTGATTAATAAGGGTACACCAGGATGTAGCTGAAAGCATGGGCAGGCTAATCCAATCTTGGAGGCCACATACATCCTGGTGGGGAAGCTAATGTATTAGAGGGACAAATCCACATTTTAAGAGATTTTGAAAGGCTGGAAGCAAGAAGATACAGTTTAATAGGAATAATTGTGAAGTCTTCTATAGAAGTTGTAAAAAAAAATTCATTTGCAACACGTATAATGAGCATTGTGCTCTCCCTAGTGTGCTAGAAGATCAAGAATTACCAGCGTCTTTCTCAGCCTCATTTTATAGAGAAATAAAAAAATCACAAACCTTTCAAAGAAGAGATTCCCAAGTAGGGAATTACCTAGAAATCATTCCGTATGAGGAGTGGCTGAGAAAATTAGAGAATGTAACCCAGAAAAGAGAAAGCTGAGGCCAAGCAAGGGAAATGCAGCTACATGGAAATATCTGAACAGCTGGCAAATGACTTCAGGTTAAAATTACATCAAGGAATTTCTGCACAAGAAAAGGAAGATGTCTCTCACAATTAAATGTGTCCTCAGGAAATCTTTGTGCAGCTTCACTATGGATCAGGGACAGGACTGTGCCCAAAAGGGCCAAGAGAAAGACAACCCGAAAACAGGTGGGCACAGTATGAGCTGGGAAGGGCTGTCTGAGATATAAGGCAGAGGTCCAGGGAAGCGGAGGGAACCGAAGCTTCACCCCTGCCTACTGGGCATGGGAGGGTACACGGAGCAAGTTGCGTCTGCATGGGGCGGTGGGGACGATGGAGGGCTTTGCACTAGCAAAGTCTTGGGCTCTCTGCAGAAAGTGGCAAGTGCAGGAAACTCAGAGAGAGGTTGGAGGTTACAAGTGAGCGGCAGCGGAGCCGGATGACAGCTTGGACCAGCACGGAAGGTGGGTTCTCTGTGCTAATGAGGGCTGTTGCAGTGAGGTCCCTTTGAAGGTTTCAAAGCACAGGTATCACTCAGTAAGATGGATTCCAGTCTTCACCCTTCCTGCAGTGTGGGTATCAGTGTTGGGCACACCAGCAGTAAGGATGCTGACTAATAAGTGAGATTAGGACTGAGAAGAGAAAAAACAAAGGTTCCCCTGGGGACATGCTGGCTGGGAGAGACCTGCAGACCTGGAAGGCAGGAGAGTACTGGGAGGAGAGGAAGGACACTAGGTGTGCAGCAGGAGCACCGACCCCAACCGTGGAGTGGCAGTGGCCCCAGCTCTGGATTCATGCAGACAGAGAATATGTGTACGTCTGTGTAAGACATTGTGAAAGGGATTCCAACATTCATTAGGTGGCCAATCTGAAAAGTCTTTATTGCTCTTAAGATTCTGTGATTCCGGGACTTTAAATTTTTTTCTTGGCTTGTCTCAGACTCTCTTCTCACCCTCAACAAAAGTGTGTCCCAGATGAGATTTTGCCATCTTCTTTTTGCACTCTCTCTATGGGGATATGAAAAACACCCAGACCCTCATCTCAGCCCTGGCATCTTTCCAAATTTGATTCCAAATTTGCCTCTGAACAGCCTCACCTAATGTCCCCCGATATTGAAACTAGACAAGTCTCTCCCAAGATTGCTGCTTCCATGTTGTTCTAGTCCATTCCTGTCACTCATGTTACTACATCCAGCTCTGCATATCCCAAATCTTGCCCTTTTCCTGGACTCCCTGCAACTCCTCCTTGTCCCACTGTACACCTGGTAGGACTCTGATTCGTACAGATTTCCTCTATCTTCACATTATAATGTTACCCACATAACCCTGGCTCTCTTCTCTAATGCCCAGAGCCTCTCACTTGGACTAAGGACTAAGAAGCTTTCAACAAGTCCCAGGCCCCCACCTCCACATTCAGAGCATTCTGGATTGCCTGGTGGATGCTAGTTCACAGCACCCACACCCATCCACCACCCACCTCTGCCCTCCTTTTTCCTCTCTCCCTTTGGCCCAGGTAGAAGCTTTCAGGTCAGTAATACAAAGTCACATCTCCTTAGCTCTTTAATGTCTAGACTGTGCACCAGACCACCATCCTGGCAACTTCTCTGTCCAGTCAAATTGACCTAGACTTTACTTCTCAAATGGGCTCATAATTCCGATGCATGTGAATTCTCTGCATGGAGCACACTGCCCATTCATGGCAAAGCTCCCCACGTCCCATGCTCCTTTAAGGTGGGGTCAGTGTTAGGTTTAGGGAAGGGTTGACCCAAACGGTCAACCCTTGGCATCTAGACCTGTGAAAGACCTTAGCCTTGGGGAGGATGCCTGCACGTGGCAGCCAAGAGAGGTCTGCTGTCGGCATGGCAGTCATTGTGGGGAGCTCTTTTCTCCCTGCTGGACTCCGCAATTCCTTAGTACATTGCCATGAACAGCTCATAGGAGAGAGCTGTGATGACTGACCGAGAATAGGAAAAGGAGAGATTATTGTGGCGGGCAGAATGAGGAAAGCAGTTGATCAGAAGACAATTGAGGCTGAGAACTCTTTCAAGTGTGAACTGAAGTGGGATGTTTACTCCTTGAATTTGTTTCCCCCTTTTTAGAGTATTGTACCAGCCACTGCTTGGTAGTTCATTGGAGCTAATTAAGTCCAGGCTTCTGGCATTATATGTATGTGTATATATATGTGTGTGTGTGTATGTATATATATATACATACATGAAGTATATATAAGCACATATATATATATATATACTTTGTAAGTGTTAAATCATTCAGGGAAAGAGGAAATTCATTATATTTACTGTGTCTTTGCAGATAAATATAAAGACATGAACTGGGAAATCCAATCCTATTTTGATTTCTTTTCTTTGCTGTGTGGGTGGAGTATATGGGCCCTGTTTCATTGCCCAGGCTGAACCCATCTGTGCACAAAACCAGGCCCCATCTTGGGGTTACCATTGGGACTGGCCAACTTAACGAACTAAGCTTGGCTCATGGCAAGGACAGCCTCTACGTGGTCATTCTGTGACTGTCCACGTCTTTCAGAAATAGCATGCTGCCCACTGTGCAGAAACTGACTACGTTTAATTGTCAGCCCCCAAAGGCATGAGATGGAAATGCTCCCACATACGTATACTTTCACTGCAGAGCTGGTCACACTGTCAGCTGAGTCCATTTCCGGAAAGTTCTGTTCATTGAACAGTATACTTAGCATCAAGACTTTTTAGAGAGCAATGAAATAAAAACAAAAAGAAGGTTTTTGTGCTCTAAGTAAGGAAACATTCATTTTTGCCAGGACCAAATGTGTAAAAAGAATAAATTATATTTTAAAGGAAACGGGAATTTCAAAATAACACCACCAAAAAAAGGGATTTTTTTTTTCCTACACTTTTAGTCAGGATTCCTTCTGTCAAGAGTGGTAACCCGGTCTTGGTAAACAATGTGCTCAGAGAAAAAAAAAATAAAGTTTTTTTAATTTCTGAATTCAAAATAAACATCTAAGTTTCCAGGAACATTTATATTTCATTTATACGATTCTTTGGTCAACCCAAGGAACTCAGAGCTCTGTAATAATGCCACTTACTTCTGATATTTTGATAACAAAAAGCATGGGTTTGTTCAACGTAAATGATATACCCTCAAAATGTTAATTTTCTGACTACTGAAAATAAAATTGGATTTCCTAGAAGTGACTGTAGGTTGGAATAAAACATTTAGTAGATGTCTGAGAATGTTATAATCATAGGATAGTTATGTTGATATTTTTGTAATTAATAAAATACATTTTAAAAGTCCCATTTAGAAGAAATAAGGACTCCATGAAACTCTAGGTCATTAGTAGTGAGCTGGGTATATGATTGTGTTTCAAAATGACTGTTCTGATCTGACTGTAGAGTATTTGTCATAAATGCCTAAGTGAATGTTAATGAGTTATTTACCATGTACTAATGTTAACTTTCTTTCCCCAGATGCAAAGAGTTTAGCTGAAATGCTCATGAGGTAAGAACAAGACCTAGCACCCCAGATATCATGTTTGAAAGAACAATTTCCAACTTGCCTTGATGATTTCTATTTTTTTAATAATGGCAGTCTGAAATTGATAATGTCTTTTCTTTTTAGAAAAAACTGTAATTTCCTATACATTCCAAAATATCCATGTAATGCCTAGCTGAAGGTGTAGATGAAAATGATGTATTTGTAGACATGCCACAGGTAGTTGTCTTGTTGGCTGGACACAACCAATAGAAGGCTTCCCATTAGCCTGGGAACAGAAGCACGTAAAGAGGAAGTAGCTTTAGTTTTGCCTTCATCTAAATTTACTACTGGTGAGGTCAAGCCTTCTTTCTAACAGAATAATCCAAGTTAAAAGAAAAGCACAAAAGGAATGTGCTATGCCCCATGCTCTTCAAAGGCTCTGTGTCTCCATCAGCACCCTCCACCAGGGCACCCTTCAGCTCCTCTTACCACTGTCTGTTCACTGTCTATTCTGGTCCTGGAAGTCACAGCCTTCATAGTTCATCCTCGTGTTAGGAGTAGCCAGCACAGTAGTTGCCCCATTCATAACCGTGGAGGGGATGAATGAAGAGTGGTTATTGAATGAGTACGAGAATGTTCACAACTGTGGAAGACAGAAATGCATCCTTCACAGCTTTCCTTTCACACGTCCACAGGCTTGTGATTGGCAAAGCTGTGACAAGTGTGTTACTTTCACGTCCCCAAACTCTATTTTCCACCCAGTCCCCCTCTTCAAATGTTCAGTTTTCTTGTGCTGTCCAACCTTTTTACTCTGTAAATACTAGAACACTCTGATATGAAGCATTTACACGTATGGATTAATTGCCTGATGTGTTACCTCACCCTGATATTTGCATTTTAGGCCTTTCATATTGCAATGATTACATGAAAAGTGAAAAAGGAAAATCAGAGTCTAGGAAATAAGTAGGGAAAATGTCAAGGACTCCGATAGTGAACTCAACATTGCCAGTTTAGGATGATTTACGTGGGAGAGAGAGGGTGGATCTAGGACCTCTTCCCACTCCCATCACCAACACATTTGCCTGTGACTTCCTCCTCCATCTATACATATAAAATTAGTACTCTTTGTTATTTAAAAACTTCCCATGTTCCATATCACTAATATCTTTGAAGACCGAAGGCAGTAGTAGAATGCCATTGGCACACAGATTCCATCCTACAGACATTTTGTTTGGCCATACCGTATTTCAAAACAATGTGAATCGTAGGTAAAACAATGATATGAAGGATAAGTCTTTTCCTTTTTCTTTTTTTTTTTTTTTTGGGACAGAGTTTTGCTCTTGTCGCCCAGGCTGGAGTGCAATGGTGCGGTCTTGGCTCACTGCAACCTCCGCCTCAGAGGTTCAAGCGATTTTCCTGCCTCAGCCTCCCGAGGAGCCACGATTACAGGCGCCCGCCACCATGCCTGGCTGATTTTTGTATTTTTAGTAGAGACAGAGTTTCACCATGTTGGCCAGGCTGGTCTCGAACTCCTGACCTGAGGCAATTCTCCCGCCTCAGCCTCCCAAAATGCTGGGATTACAGGCATGAGCCACCACGGAAGGATAACTCTAAAATACATTTGTTGTGACTGATCTGATGAATGTTGGTGCCATCTGCCAAGATTAGGAAGATAGAGGCAGGCTATGGACTTTTGATTTTTTTGGAAGGTAGGTTGGGAGGAGGTATTGATGGGAATGAAAAGACCTATTTGGGTCATGTTGAATTTGGGATTATTTTTAAGGCATCCAGAGGAAATGTCAGATAGACAACTGGTAGCAGAAATCTGGAGCTCAGAGGAAAAGCAAAGATGCAAATTCCCTGTACAGTATCTCCTTCATAAGGGGTACTTCATCACATTTCCAGGAGAAGATTACAGAAATTGCATGAGATGCCTTCAGCCCGTGCTTTTTGTTTATGTGACATTTATGGGTCACAGGGAACACATCCAAACACACATGCACTTGTGTTAAGCAGATCTGATAAAACAAAGATCTGCTTAACACAAAGAAGCTGGAAAACAAAGAAGTCAGAGTCACATGACTTGTAATAACTGATCTACCTAATAAAAGAAATTGTCAAAGGTAGACTTTAAAAATATGAATTAGTTGATGACATTTAAAATGAGGAGATTTCACATAAAATTTGGCTTTCTGATTTCTCTTGAAAATGCCCTGGCCATACTAGCACCGCGGAGGTGATAATGGTGCCTGGAGGTAGGCACAGTAGCCCTTTAGAATGGCGTGAGTTTGCTCACCACCGCAGCCCCCACCCCTACCCCACCCCGGGCCTGCTTCACCAGTCCGTACACTGAGCAGGGCTCCTTCAGCCCTCCAGAGAGCTTCTCCTCCCCTCAACTGTGCTCTGCACAACCTACCCTGGCCCCCTCCCCTATCTACTCCCAAACTGTAAATCATGCCTTTGTCCAGAGGCTGTGAAACTGCGGGCTATATTTTCTGACATGTTCAACATTTGCTCAATTAGGATGATTTGCTTTTTCTCTTCTCCTCATATTCTAGAGTACATTCCTACTCCTTCTCCCTAGCCTCTGAGAAAGACATTAGCAAGCATCCTCTATGAATAGGGCAGTTGCTGTGGTTGCAAGACCATCTGTTGATAAGAGGAGGAATTAATTATGGTCTTCCTATTGCCAGTTACCAGCATGAATTAGGAAGAGTAAAGCCAGTAATCACAACCACTTATGATAGTTACAGTGGTTTTCCTTCAAATGGTCAAAGTGATTGAAAAGGAAGAGAATTTTCAAGCTCCTCCAATAGGTGGATTTGTATGGGATTAATTTAGAAGTAAAAGCAAAGCTTTTACCCATGAAAGGTTGGTTCAATCTAAGTTCGGCAGGTGAATGGGCCAAGCAAACAAAAACCTCATTACCTAACTGGTCAATTTAGAATCAACCATATTTGGACATGGCCCAGGGGGTCCAGACAAATCATGTCCACTGGCAGAGAGAAAGATACTGAACAGCTACCCCTGGTCTGTGTTGCTGTTTTCTCTAGAAGTCAAAGGAACTGGCAGCCTGGTACAGTGAGAATACGAACCACAAGTCTGTGCTCTAGGCCCCATGTGGCCATAAGCTGGTTTTCAGATCTTAGTAGGTCATTTTACCGCTTTGTTTTCCTTACCTAAAAAATAAAAATAAAATAAAAAATTCAACATTGTTTCTAGCTTTATCACTCCACATTCTGTGTTCTAAATGGATGTAACATTTATTTTTCAACCATTTTCTACCAAGAAGTATCTGCGTATTTCAGGGAGATTAGCTGAGGGCCAGGCCAGGAAGGCAGATTGGACAGCAGAACATACCCACTCAGTCTAGGTCCCCAGGGATTCCTGGCCTGGCAGCATCACCCATTGCTGGGCTTCATGCTCCTAGATATCCACCTGTTTCACCCATGCACATCACCCCAGAGAAGAGAGACTGCATCCCTCACACCCAGACAGAAAGATTGTCCTTTTATATTTTTATGTAAGATTTTTATTTTTAAAAAACAGCCTTCTAAGAGGTGTTTGCTCCAAAGAGATAACTGTATACTGTAGAGAGCTAACATATAATGTTTAAGGTCCAGGAATCAGCATTAGCGAGTGAGTTGGGTGTAAGCAGAAAAAGGTTCAAATTAGTTCAGCTTTTTTGATGTTCATATTTTTGTGCACATAATAAAAAATCTCTACCCTAGTGTTATAATGAGCTATGCTCCTAATAGTCCAATAGTCATTGTACATTTAAGGAATGTTCTGTGTCATATTTGGGAGGATGATGGACTATTAAGACTTTGAAGAGTGGCAGTGGCTGCAAATAATTGATTGGCTAAGCTGGGAAATTCTCTGCCCTATGAAACCGTCTCTGCTCTCCTCTTCTTCTCATTTTATTCAAACAACCAGATGGCAAATAAATGGATGGTTGAAGATTATAGCTCAATAATAACTAATATGTTTAGCATGATCCTATGCCATGCAAAAAAGATGCAATTTTTGCTTCCACAGTGAAAACATTTGGACTGTTTTTCCAGGTTGCAAATGAGGTTTGTTCAAATCACTTTTTTAAGGTTTGCTGCCATTCTAATGACCAATTGTTATCATTTTTGAGGTTAACAGAACACAGAGTGATAAATATAAATGTAACAATAGATTGTCAAAAGTGACAGCAAATATTAAGTAATGAAATAACTTAGTTGGAATCCAGTGACCTTTTAGAATGAGAAGGATATTATTGCCTCAAAACAAAGTCTTGGGGACATCTCACTCAGCTCACGTTGTGCCCTCAAAATAAATCAATGTGAGGATTTACTTCACAGATATTTATTGAGCACCTACTTTGGCCATATACTGTTCTAAGTTCTAGGGAGACACAGGAAACAGAGCAGGTGAAGAAAACCCTGGTGGAGCATATTTTCCAGTGAGAGAGGCAGATAATGGATAAGATAAATCAACTAAGTATATGCTAGAGAGTAATAAGTGCCAAGCAGACAAAATTAAACAGAGAATGGGGACAGGACACAGAAGACGTCCCCATCGCAGGGCCAGCCTGGCTCCACTGGAAAGATGATGGCATCTGAGTCCAGCCTTGCAACAAGGGAGCCAGTATGTGGGTTTTGGGGGTAGCAGGGGAAGTGTGTTCTAAACAACGGGAACAGCCAAGTGCAAAGAGAAAGAAGAACTGTGAGTCCGGCCAGGCGCAGTGGCTCACACCTGTAATCCCAGCACTTTGGGAGGCTGAGGCGGGTGGATCACGAGGTCAGGAGATTGAGACCATTCTGGCTAACAGGGCGAAACCCGGTCTCTACTAAAAATACAAAAAAGCCAGACATGGTGGTGGGCACCTGTAGTCCCAGCTACTCGGGAGGCTGAGGAAGGAGAATGGTGTGAACCTGGGAGGCGGAGCTTGCAGTGAGCTGAGATCGCGCCACTGCACTCCAGCCTGGGCAACAGAGCAAGAGTCCATCTCAAAAAAAAAAAAAAAAAAAAGACTGCAGTGAACTGTGATTGCATCACTGCACTCCAGCCTGGGCGACAGAGCAAGACCCTGTCTCTAAAAACAATTAGCTTCTGAATCTCAAGGCTTGTTGGGCCGTTTTCTTATAGTCTTCTGAGGAGGAAGAATTTACCTCCAGCCTTGGTTGTCCTGGTTCGCAGAGTTGAATCAAGTTCTAAATCTTGGTGCCAGCCAGTCGCAGTGGTTCACAGCCATTATTTAGCCTGCTTCCTGTGGCAATCTGGTAGCAGACCCCTTATTGTTGTTTAAGTATAGCCTGCACTTGGTGTTCATCGCTATTTAATAGAGCAGCCGCTGACTGCCTCATAACTATTCATGAAGAGCAGAAGGAACTAGCTCACACTTCTATTTTTGGTGCAAGGACAAGCTCAAGTCCCTAGTGAGGTTTCTAAACAGATCTTTGGGATATTCACAGAGGAGTAGTTCCCCATATGTTTTTGTGGAAATATAGCTTGTCTAAGCATGCCGTAAATGCAGCCCCCCAAGTAACCAAAATGCTCCTCCTTTTATTTGATTATTTGAATTTTTTCATTACTCTCTTTTTAACAAAATCAACGAATGACAAGTTAGTTAAGTCAGTAATTTGAAAGAGCTTGGAGACCATGTGAAAAGTCAGGACAAAACGTTTGAATTTGGGCTCTGCATAATTAGCATGATGTAGGTACATAGCCCAGTTCCTTATCTGCAGAGCAAGCAATCTGGTTCAAGATCAAGTCCTAAGTAGGAATGTTGCACCTTTCAGAAGTTGTCTTTTTCATGGGATAATTTGCTTTTACTCAAACGAGGAGTATACATGGATCTCATCAGGCAAACATCTAAGGGGGTACTTGAGTGACCTTCACTTTGGGATAATTAAAGTTCTGTCCACCACTTGGTTTAAGAGTGGATGAGTCCTCATTAACAAGGAAGGATCGGTGGAGGCACAGCCCTGGGACTCGGGGTAAATGGCTCGGTTAGAGGGGAAAGCATTTAAAATGTAGCATTGAGTATTCCTATTTTGGTCTCCACTAAAAGTAACACAGAGGTAAACCATTATTGAGTTAACTAGGCTCCAGAAATCTTTCTCAAAACCAGTGTTAACAACAATTGAGCTGGATTGATGGATGCCATAGATTATGCCATTGATTGGATTATCCAAGTGACTGCTGCTTCTTAGAGGATGCTTCAGTAAATACTATTTGAACATCTAGTAAAGTCTTATTATTCTGTAAAGACTGAACAACCACCCTTCTAATGTGGATTGCTAATTAAAGTCTTTATTGACTTTTTTAGATTTTTGTGCAACGTGGAGTTTTTTTTTTAACTGCAGGCTATAACTGAATCCGATTCTACCATGCAGTTTTACTACTTATTTTCATTTACTTTTAGAGAACAGCTCACTCTAAGAGTAATCTTCTGATACACAAATTTTGAGATTAAATTATGATAGTAATTGCTTTTTTTCCATTCTAAAATGTACTATCAGTTAGGAAAACTAACGTCAGGGAAGCTAACAAGGTTTGTGATTTGCTTCTAGAACAAAAATAAAATGACACCAGATATAAATACAAATCCATTAGTAAAACTCCCATCCGACAAACAGCTGGTGCACGTGCTTTTTCCCTCACCATCTTTGGAATATCTGGTGCTTTATTCCTCACCATCACTGGAATATCTCACATCTGACAAATGAAAATGCTGTTGGTTTTTAATTGCTTTTCATTTGTTTCATTTAGCATTTACACAAGAAATGAGAACTTTCTAAAGATTCTATTGGTAGATATAGAGCCAATCTCTATTGACAATTTGTATTTTCTGAAACTCTCCAGCCAGCTGAAATTTAATATTAATAAATAAATAACATTTGAATGAAGGAAACGTTTTCATAGTATGTACGTTTTCTGTTCCCCTCCTCACAAGGTATTTGTATATTTAGACAATAAACTAAGTTGGTATACAGGTGCATGTTGGTAGAATGTTAACACTGAACTGGATTTGTTAATGCATTACCCCATTTTATTCCCAGTAAGAATACCCGGACTTCAGATACGTTAAGCAAGCAACAGCAGACCCTGCGAATGCACATCGACATACCCAGGGCTCAGCTTTTGATTGAAGAGAGAGACACGATGGAGACCATTGGTAAGCTGCCCTATTTGCCACTTTACACAAAGTGGCTGCCACAGCCATGCCTTCTCAATCCAAACCCCAGGATGTGGGAAATATTAGACAGGAGAGCGTCTTGAAGGCTACGTGAGTACCAAAGCTAGAAGGTAGAGAATTGTTCTTGTGAAGAAGAATCAGTACCAGCAAATGTGCAGAAAATTTGACTTATATATACCACCATATATGCCAATATGCCAGTCAGTTCCAGGCATTTGGGACAGAAATCCCTCAGCTCTGATCCATTTGGGATCTTTCCAGGGGAGGCTACGGATGCCACTCCAAGGAATAAACATCTGTAATCGACTACACATCAATCCAGAAGGCCTGCACTCTAAAGCCCCAGGTTGAAAATCCACTCCGTGCCCCCCTCATCAACTCTGATAATGCAAGCCTTCATTAAATAAAACTTTTAAACTGTACTTAACACTTAAACAAACACATGTCTTTGTACAGGGTATCTTCCCCCACACCAGTGCCCCAGAAACATCCTGCAGCTGTTTCCCCAGCAGCACTTTGGGAAAAACACCAGGGCCCTAGTTTTAGGGTTTCAGAACAGCCACCCTGAGGTTTTCTGGCTTGTTCAACCAGAACCCAGGTATCTTCACTCTTCCCAGCCTCTTTCCACCTGAAGTCCATTACCCCACACTGCCTGCCTCGATTATTCTATTTATTCCGGAGTGAAATACCTTATATTTCCTTTCCAGTAATAATGAGAAGAATAGCTAACATGTATTGAGAATTCTGTAAATGTCACATAGTTTTTATAAGCACTTCGTGTGCATTACTTAATTTAACCTTTCAACCAACATATGAAAGAAGTCTTGCTTTTGTAACCAAGATGTAGAGAGGTCTGTGTAGCTTTCCAAGGTCACAGAGACAGGCGCAGAACCAGGTTCCCCACCTGGCCACACTCACCGCCATGCTGTCTGTCTCCAATGACAGCTAGCACAGCAGCAGGCCACCTGCTTCCACACCAACAGGCTGCTTCCAAGAAACCCTCAACCAGAAGTTATCCAAGCTTTTGAGTGCCCATGGAAACACCCTGAGGCAGGCTCCGAGGCTGCCTCTTTTCAAACCTGGCTATGTTTGTTTTGGAAGGTGTTTGCTGGCATGAGTCCCAGGACAACCCTTTCTTGTGGTCTGGATAAACTGCCTGACTCTCAGCACATAGCCCAGCTGCCTCCTGCCGGGAAGGCAGTGGTAAGAGACCAGGTGGGCAGAACACCTGCTCCATCAACCATCACCCTTCTGCTGCCCCACCCACCACTGGAGACATCTTGACCTAATGGCTCCTAAATTCTAAGGCCTGGGTTCTCCTGGCTGAAGTCACATTTGGTCCAGGCATAGCAGCACTTAAAGATTGGTCAAGTGCAAAGTGGCTCTTGATCAGCTAACTTCAGTGAAACACTTCAGTTAAACCATGTATGTGAGGTGGCACTACCTGCCCTAAAGTACACAAGATTTTATTAGCTTGCTTGTATCAGGACAAGGGATAAGCTACTATGTTTTGCTTTTGATTATCTTTTTTTGGGAAAGGGGAAGGTATACCTGGAATCTCTTTTGTTTCACCCAGTAGATTGGGCATTAAAACTGAAAATTTCCTTTGAAAAAATTTCAAAAATTAGAATGTAATTCCTTTGACCATATAATTTTATAAGCCATTTATATGCATTATTTAATTTAACCCTTCCAGCCAACATAGGAAAAGTTTCTTTTGTAACTGAGACACAGAGAGGTTACATAGTTTGTGGAGGTCACCATGGTTATATAACACGTTACAATATTTGCTAAATGCGTCTCACTAGACAATAATCCTACATATGGCTATGAAAATAGATAGCTAGGCAGATGCCATGAGTGGTCTATGGCCTTCCAAGAGCTGGTCACTGGGGGGCTTAACACCAGAGGAAGCCTGCCAGTCATTTCCATTTGTAAATATGACCGTTCGCCAGAGATCCATCCCAGTCCATGCAGGATCATGTATCAGCAAGAGCCCTTGACCTCCTTGTGATGCCTGACAATGGGTCGATGGCATTTTCTAATTACTGGGAAGTGGAACTGTGGTGCTTCAAAATGCTCTGGGCTCTGACCACAAGAATCCAATATTACAGTGACATTAATTTCCAGCTAGAATGAATGGTTAACCTCATGATCAGACAGGCGCCCAAAATTTTCCATGAAAAGTGTGTAACCTAGCCCCGCAGATCATCTGGTGTGATCTAAAAGGGCCTGCCTGCTAGAAACTGTGACATATCCCATCATTAATGAAAAACAAATGTAGACACGGAGCCTCTCGTGCTGGGTCCAGTTGTAGGAAGCTGTCTCTGTGGAAGAGCCACCCTCTTTGAGGAGTCGAGTGACCGCCACGGGGCCGGACCTCCAAGCCAAGCCCAGGCGCCTGCTGTGGTGCCAACCTCACCGCACCATGCGCTGGGATACTCACAGACATCTTGGCAGCCTTTCCTCTATTTCTCTGCCAGGAAATTTTATTCTAACTTTGAGAGGCTTTCCTTTCCTGCCAGAGACTGAGTAATTGGATTTTGTAAGGTTCATTCTGTTCAGAGCCTTTTTTGGGCACAGAAGTCGAGCTGTGTTGTTTACGACTTTCGCATCCCTGTTGCAGTGTCAGGGCAGGGCTGCAGTATGGTCCCTGCTGACTGATAAACTCTTAGCAACAGCATCCTGGGCTGCAATCTTTGAAAATTTATGAAAAATCTGTATATCCTAGCCAAAGTCTCCCTTGGAGTAAAAAAGCTTTTTAAAAAGTATGAAACATATCACAAGGTAGTAATGAGAATCCTGGCCCACCAAATAATGACCCAGCTCAAACAGCAGCTCCTGCTCCAAGCACTAAGATGCCCAGAACCCATCCAAACCCAGGCTCCTGCCTCGCTCACCTTCAAGTGCCCACGGCAGTAGGACTTGGGAAGTCTGACAAGTGAATCATGTAGGAGAAGTCAGTTAATGGATGTTCTAGAGTGCTTAAAGCTTACAGGAGGTGGGAAGAAAAGGAACATACCTTGAGTCCTTTAAAATAGAGCAATCAATAAGCTCTGAAGACTGGCATGTTTTCTTCTCTTTTATTTCCCCTCCAAACATTAGCCAAGTTCAGAATGAGAGCAAACCTCAGTAGAGAGAACTGTAGTGGCGATTTTCTAGTCCTGCAAACAGAGCTTCCCAGCAGCCAAAGGGACCTGTCTTCATTGACAGCCTCATCACTGGTGAGGGGGCTGGCATCGCAGATGATGTCTCAGAGAAGCTTTTGACAAACACATAAATCCAGAGTTCAAATCAATGTTAGCTTAATGAAAAGCCAAGCCCAAAGAGAAAAGAGAGCTCCTTCTCTGCATAGTCATGGTTCTTCTTAGCTCATTGCTCCCAAAGCCAACCCCTAGGAAGAAGCTTCTATTCCTAGCACTCTAGAGTAATGCTAATTCAGTGCTTGAATTTTCAATCATTTTTGTCACTTTAGATGGGGCTATTATTGTGGTTGTCATTAACAATAACACAAGTGCCTCAGGAGAGAAAAGGCCAGGGAGTGGTTGGAAGGGAGATAAACGTGTTTGGCTTTCTGTGTTCCTGCCATCCTGTAGATGATCGCTCCACGGTTCTGTTGACGGATGCTGACTTTGGAGAGGCAGCTAAGCAGAAGTCCCTGACGGTCACTCACACGGTCCATTACCAATCGGTGTCTCAGGCCACTGGGCCCTTAGTGGATGTTTCAGACGCTCGGCCGGGAACGAGTGAGTGGTCAACAATGCTTAAAATGTGTGGGTGTTAACAATGCTGAAAACATAGTAATGTTCTTTCTCTCTCAAATGAAAATGTGTGGCTTTTCATACCTATGCCTGAGAAACAAATGGGTATAATAACATCCCTAATTGGGATAATGAGCTGTTATTGATGGATCTTGGCTATTATTATGTCAGTTGAATTACTGTTAGTATTGGTTACTATAAAAAGTGCTAGAAATTTCAGGTACATGTATTTATTTTTTTAATTTAAGCAACACAGAAAAGGAAAAAAGTAATCTACTTTAGTGTGTATCTGCTGTATGCCAGTATTGGGATAGAACGATGATGTCATGCACGTTATCTTTGCAACAATCCTGTAAGATACCTACTCGTGAAGCAGGTATCATAGCCTCTATTCTGCAGATGAGAAAACTGCAGCCTCAGATAAATTATGCAAACAGTATAAAGTTGCACACATAAGTAGTAAAACCAAGATTCAGAAACAGACCCATCTATCCCCAAAGCTTATGCTTTTGCCCCTGAACACACTGTTTGAGAAAAATTATAATTCTAGTTAATGTGAAGATTATGTTGGATTTTGTTATTAATATTTGCATCCATAATATATGGAAATTAATTACTGCAATGAAGGTGAATCCCCTAATATGTATCTAGAGCTTATTAATTAGATACTCTTATTTCTTCATAATTGGAATCGTTCCTAAATCTCTTTAAAGACTGAGAAATTGATGTCCTGATTATTATCATTTTGGAAACTTTGACGTCTAGCTTTCAAATCTCTAATCAATTTCTTTGCAAAAATTTACATTCTTAGAATAGTGTGTTATTATTAGAAAAATAACTATTATAATGTTAAAAGCTATTCTTCATAAATCCTAGCTTGGGAAGCATTTGCGAAATGCAGTGAGCTTTATGAAGTAAACCCATTGCCTACGAAATAACATTGTAATATACAGAAAACAGTTTCAGCAGGCATTGAAATTCATTTAAAAAATGTTTTCAAGAATATTCTACATTCTAAAGAAGTCTTTTACCTCTTCCTTTTGTCTAATCTTCTTACCGCCTTTCTTCTTTGATCACATTAATACATTCTGAAGACATAAACGGGATATGAGTGGGAATTAGCTTTGCAAAGGGGTGTGTGCCAGAGCCTTGCTCTTAAAAAATGATCCAGACTGGGCGCAGTGGCTCAATCCCAGCACTTTGGGAGGCCGAGGCGGTCGGATCACGAGGTCAGGAGATTGAGACCATCCTGGCTAACATGGTGAAACCTCGTCTCTACTAAAAATAAGAAAAATTAGCCGGCCTGGTGGCGGGCACCTGTAGTCCCAGCTACTCAGAAGGCCGAGGCAGGAGAATGGCGTGAACCTGGGAGGCAGAGCTTGCAGTGAGCTGAGATCACGCCACTGCACTCCAGCCTGGACGACAGAGCGAGACTCTGTCTCCAAAAAAAAAAAAGATTCAAGGGCTTTGACATCTCTTCAGCCGTTGGCTTCTCCCTTGTGAACTGCCTGGTGTGGCTTGCTGCTACTCCAAGACACTGCTCCAATGGGTTTAAGAGCCACTTTTTTGCTGCTAAATCAGAAAAAGTTACAGATATTGAAAGGATTAGATTTTTAGAGTGATGCAGCATTGGCTTCAGCATTCTGTTGGAAACGGTGGCAGAAGAGCAGGCAAAAGAGACAACAGAGCAGATGCCCTGGGTCTCGTTCTCCACCTTTACATGCATCAGAATCACCTGGTGCCTATTTAAATATCAATTCCAGGCCTCCACCCAGAGATTCTGGCCTAGGAATCCGCATGGTAACAGACACCCTGGGTGATTCTGATGCTGGCCGTTTGGACCCCACATTGAGAAACACTGCCCCAAGGGTTAGAAATGTTTCCTGCATGTAACGCAGCAGGGCAGGACCCCTCCGGCACATCAGTTCTTCCTGCCAGGTAAAAAGCAACATGCATTTCTGCTTCCCTGTCAATGGTCAGCTAGCAGCCGAGAATGCATAAAGCTAGTCATAAATAGTTAAGACAGGAGAAGCAGCAGCCCAAAACAAAAGCACTGGCAACCTTCCAGCTTCATGGTCAGCCCCAGAATAATGGGGAAGTTGATTTGTTGGCATGTAAAATATCAACAGAGACATGAACCGGAGTCACAGCAGATACTGTAAACCAGTGGTCAGCGAGTGCCAGGCAGGACGCACATGGGAGGGACGTGTGTGTATCTCATGGCTATAAAGTTGGAAGCAGGGCTGGGAATGTTAATGCGTTCATTCAGCACTCAAAAGTATTTATTCAGGTTTCACTTTACGTATATGGCTCAGTGCTGTATGATGGAGATACACCATGAGTAAGATGCAAAAAGACATTCATTTCATCCTAGTCAGGGGGCAGACATTAGACATGGAACTAAAGTAGTTTTCATTTCTCAGTAAGTCCTAGACAGAAAGAGAATGAAGCCATGGTGAGTCAGCGGGCGTGTGGAGCAGTGGGAGGGGCTCTCTTGGGTCCAAGTCATTCAGGAGGACTTCCAGTGAGGGGAAGACATGAAACAAGATCAGAGTCACAGCAGGAGCAGAGGGGGCAGCAGGGAAAAGCTCCCAAGGTTCCCCGCATGATGAGGATGGAAGTGGCACTGGAGCACAGTGAAAGGCAGGGAAAAGGTGAGACAGAGAAACAGCTGTCCTCATCTTTCAGGGTCCCCTAAGCCAGTGCCTGGCAGGTGCATTTCATTCTGAGAGTGCTGAGATGCTGTCCCTGGGGCTTAGCCTGATGATCACAGGGAAACACTATAGCTTATAGAACAATGTTTCTGTCCTTTGTGCTGAATTTCACTAAATGATGTTTACCAACATCAAGCAAATCTACTCAAATGCATGCATCAGTCTCTGGTTCCCCCCTCACTCTCCAAATTGAGCGTATTAATTTAGCATTTGCAGAACCCTCTGTATTAGTAAAAGATCTGCTGGATCATTTTTTTCATTAAATCTTCCTCAAAAACCACAGTGTGAGGGACTGACAACACTCCGTGTTTTATTTAGAGTTAGAAATGGTAGGTGACTGGCCCCACAGTGGGTTCAAGAGTCTGAAACCCATGAACTTTCTGAAGCACAGTCCCCCACTAGCTTCTTGCACCAGAGCTTCTCACCTCTGCCCAGGTGTTTATACCTCTGTGAATTCCATGGAGCCGGTTCTTCTCACCACAGTTTGGCATACTTGCAGAGAATCATTTGTATTCTCTATTTTCTCAGCTAGAGAACACATCGTGATTCTATTTTGTATGTTAGGACTGTGTTGTCATTGCAAGAATTCTTTATTTTTAAGAAAAGCATCTAAAACATGTTGCTTGCATACCAGAATGACTGCATTGTAGAAGTTATGTTTCTAGGCATTTTATTAGTTTGCCAGAGGGTTGCAACAGATTCTTATGAGGATGGAAGAAATCATAACAATTTGCTATTTATCTCTGTCAGTAGTGAAAACACATCCCTTGGCTGGTTCTGCTGCACTGATTACTTCTCTGTCTTTCCTGTGGATTATAATACACTGGAAAACTAGGACTCTATCCATGTCCTCATCCCCATACCAGCCACAGTGTCTGACACAGGCATGTAGTGGATAAATACCAATCAGCCATCAAGTTCTGAGATCAGAACAATGGGAATGGAAAAGAAAAGACATTGAGTCATGTTTGCTGCATAGGAATCATGGGCACGGCCAGCTGTGCCTGTGCCATGTGCCCGGAGCACTTGGGCACATTAATCTCATTTAAACTTCAGGACAGCTCTTAACGTGGGTGATGACATCACCTAGTCTCAGAGACTAGGGGATTAGTCAGGTCTGTCTGACAAGGTCACTTGGCCAGCGACACAGCCAGGGAGTAGTGAATATGAACTTCCAGCCCAGGCAGCCTAATTCCAAAGCTCTCACTCTCAGTCATTCTACATGGCCTTTAGGTAGAGATACTACATATAGAATATGTAGAGACTAAAGAATAGACTTCACATGTACGCACATTCAATGACAAGAGCTTACAACATGGACTTGAATCTTTATTGCTGAGACTTTGAAAGAAAAAATGCCCTCTGTTACCCAGGATGGGACTAGCAGTGGCCCTGAGGGAAATACCTGGGGTGGGTGAGGTGCATCCAGTGGTCCAGGATGTAATAAGTGCTAGATAAATATTTTTTAGTTACATGAGGGAGTGTTCAGATCTCCCAGTTTCATCCTCTCTCTGAGACAACTAGTAAATTCGTTATGTAAAGCTGGACCTCCACAACTGCAAGATATGGAAACCAATGGCACAGATGAAAGCAGATTAATACCATGATCACAGTACGCATGACATGTTCTGTAACCTATTATATTATCTACAAAATCCTCTCTCATCCCAAACTCAGGATAATTAAAATAATCTGATTCAATGGGCAGAAGCTTAATTAGGGTTCAAACCCCATGTTGAAAGGCCATGAGCTATTTATATCCTGTGCCCTCCAACTCATGGGCTGCTGAGCAGGCATGAAGCTTAATCACCGAGTTTTATTTATATTAGAATGCTGGGAGCCTAACAAAATACTTTCCATGAAGGAGCAGTAAATCCCAGCGTTTATTTGCTCAGTAGATGAGCTAGTAAGTTACACAAAAAAGGCTTCCTGTGGAATCCAAGTAAAAATTATATTTTAGCTGCTATCTTAGTCATTATCATACAGCAGAGTTCAGTTCAGGTACAAAACAATGGCTCCAAAAACCAAATTATTAAAAAATAAATGTGTCAAATACCCCAGTATTCTACATACTGAGGCAATTTTGACCCTAGGATGCCTGCCTAGCGCAGTACAGAACTGAGGGCTGTGGTTTAAGGAAACTAATATCATGACCTAAATTTTCAACATTATCAGGCCACCAGTAAAACTGTCCTCATCTAGAAAAAAAGAGATTATGAACAAAATTAACTTGAAAAGAGACCAGGCTTTGAATCAAGGCTGCATGTGCGACTTTCCCATGGAATTTTCCAAGTAGGGTGATCTCAATGAGGAAAGGGGCTATGACAGTGAAGATCTTTGCCCCACCATTGGAGAGTGAGCTCAAGCAGAAGAAATGAGGGTCAAGGTTTGGGGGATTGGAGGAAATGACTGTATCCTTGAAGTGGGACTAGCAAACTATACCCCCCAACCACCCCCCAACTTCCATGCCAGAAGTAAACCTGCTCAGAATGAGCTACAACAGTTGTAGTTGCAAGAAACTTAAAGAAGAATAAAAATGAGAATTTTCAAAACTTATGTAAGGGACTGGGTAATTTTCTGGAAAAGACTCATTAGCATTTAAATAACAAGCTTCACTTATTTAAGCTCCACTTATCAAGTCGATAGTGCCTGGAAGACATTTAGCCTCTTCCCCATCATAATGTTTTTCTGTCTTTTTGAGGGCCTCTTTCCTAGCATTTCGGTGAAGAAACCCAATTATCATTCATACCTGGTTGTGTAGAGCTCCAACATAACTCATTTACATTCTCATCAAGGACAAAAAAAATCTAATGAAGTCTTCCGTGGAATTGTGCAAGTAAGGGATGAAATGTGTCTTAAAATCAATGCCCCAGAGAATATTTACCAAGATTGAGTATTCTGATGATTTAGGAGATCTTAAAATCTATCTCTTTGGCTGCCATCTTAACGCACCTCTCCAGCGACACAGAATGATAGATTAGATTCAAAGTCGAATTAACTAGAAACTTGCAGTGAGGAAATCTCCCGTTTAAAAACAAAGTCATTGCACCTTCCCAGTGTTAGCCTTTCACATTCCAACATGGAATTATAAGCAAGCCAAGGTCATGTAGACACAGCACTAGGAAACTTAGACACTCAGGATTTGGCCATATGTGGTCAAGTAACAGGCGTTATCTGAACTGAAAAGGCAGAAGGTTTGGGTTATAGTTTTATCACGTAACAGCTATGTCACTTCTCTCTGAGCTTCCATTGCCTTCATAAAGTGACCCTAGGTCTATGAATTCCTTCAGAAAACTCTGTATGTCAGGGATTATTGTAGGCTCTATGAATGGATCCACAGAGGGATACCATTGCCCCTGCCCTGGAGACACTGCCAGGCTCATGAAAGCACATAAATAAATCGGTGCAATAACATTACAGGCCGGCCCTGTCAGTTTTGCTCCTTTGAAACTTCGTGAGAGCCCAACAGTGAATACAGTCTGCTGGGTTTAGAAGTGGCCAGACCATACTGAAATATAACTGTATCAAACTGCTCTTTGAGAAGCAGAGAATTCAAAGGTAGAAAAGACCCATCTAGGACCTTAAGCTGTCTCCAGGCTGGAGCCCCAGAAAAATCATTCCAGGTAACTGAACCTCTCTCATTTTCCACAGAATTCCAGAAGAGGCGATGTTGTAGCCCATTCTGGTACCTGACAGTCTCTGCTGGTGGAACATCCTTCTTCTTACCTCACCAAAGGGTTGAGCTAAGAACTCCGTCCACCCCATAGACTTGCTGCCTTTGGTTCCAGATTTAGAGAAAATGAAACCCATCTGGCACCAGCTTAACCCTTTGTTCTCCATATTAAATAACCCAAGTTGTCTCTGTTAAAGTTAGGACAATTCTATTGAAGAGATGTGCTATCATAGGCAAGGCCTTAAGGAGAGTTGGGACATAAAAATATGGTCCCTCTGCTTTAGGAGCTTTCAACTTAATGAATAAAACAGTCATCATTAAAACAATGAGTAGTAATATGAGAAACAAAAATACAGGCAACATCTGTATTAATTTCCTAGAGCTGTTTTAACGTAGTACCACCAAATGGGTGGCTTCACAGCACAGAAATGTATTTGCTTGCAGCTGTAGCACTCCAGTCTCCACCTGCATCATCCCATGGCCCTCTCCCCTCCTGTGTCTGTGTCCTCTTCTTAAAAGGACACCAGTCACAGTGGATTAAGGGCCAACCCTATTCCAATATGACCTTGTCTTAGCTAATTTCATCTGTGATGACCTTATTTCCAAACCAGATCACACATTCTGAGGTCCTGGGGGTTAGGACATGAACATGTCTTTTGGGGGGACGTGATTCACGCATAACAACACCTAAGGATGTAGAAAGGAGGTCATGTTAGAACACACTGGGCTGAGCTTCCTTGTTTTACAGAATATGACGATGCCCAGGAAGTTTAAATGATGTGCATCGGGTCATAACATTATTTTTTGTACTATCATCCATTTAATTGCAGTTGCAAACATCGTAACCAAAGTACCTCTCTCAAGTCATTCTCTAGCACAGTAATTGGTTTCATTTTCTTTATAATCTTCATCACTGTTTGAAATTTTCTTGTTTTGTCCTGTAATTGTTGTCAGTCTCCCCTCATTCCATTTCTAGCTTTTAATGTTAGAAGGGTCATAACATTATTAAAGGCCAAGAGCAAGACTCAAATATGTAACTTCTGAATCCAAGTAGGGTGTTCTTTTCCCTGCAGGGCTGATTAAACACGTAAGTATCAGATGAAGGTTTCAAGCCATAAAGGAAAGGGAAAGTATCCTCTGCACAGGAGAAGTCAAGGAAGTTTTCCTGGAGGGCGTGGGCGAGTCGGCAGTGCTGGGTGGGTGGCACTGACCTCTACGCTTGCTCTCAGCTGACCACACTCCTGCAGACAAAGGCAGACATGATTCTTGGCTCTTCACAGATCCCACCACCAGGAGGAATGCCAAGGCTGGGCCCACAGCGAGAAACCGCTATGCCAGCCAGTGGACCCTCAACCGACCCCACCCCACCATCTCAGCACACACCCTCACCACAGACTGGAGGCTGCCAACACCCAGGGCTGCAGGATCAGTAGACAAAGAGAGCGACAGTTACAGCGTCAGCCCCTCGCAAGACACAGGTAGGCCCTGACGCTGCCTCCTCCGTCCCTGGGGACCAGCACGGCCCCCGCACCTTGAGCTTCATGGGCTCCTTGGGGAGGGGAGAGAGGGCTTCCTCCCTCTTACTTATGTTCTTTTGAAGGTCACTTTCAAATTGTTACGCGGTTTATCTAACAGTTACTAATACAACTGCACAGCCTTTACTCCACACAGGGCAAAACAGAGCCAAACTGCATCTATTCTGCAGGTGTCCTGAATCTTAGACCCAAGCTTATTTCTCCATTTAGTTCCTACCCCACTGGGAGAAATAGAGACATTTTTAAATTTTCACCCCCGTGATTGCAGTAATTGCTGATTACACTCTGAGGGCGTCTGACCCATTACCATCTCCAAGATTAAGACACAGCACTTGAAGTTACATGATGAGGTCATAGCACCCTCTATAGGGAACACAGGCTGATCCGTTTGACAATTAAACAGGGGTTGGTTATAAGGTAAGTCATCCAGTCTATGCCATCAACCACCAAGTTTTCACTTCAGAGAGAAGACAGGCCCTAAGAATAGCACCGGGTTGCCCACCACCCCCTCTTAAATTTTGAAAAGAAATTACATCTGAATCTAATAGCTGTAGGAAATTTTAATACTCATTTTTCTTTTGTTCTTGATGATATACTTCAAAAACAGTGTTCCAGAGGAGGATCATCGCCATGTGAATTTATTTTTAAGGCTGTGATTTCTCTTAGAAGAGTCTCAGAGTTCCACACAGAGGAGACCCTAAAACTTTTTAGTGCATTTGAAACGCAGACATCTCCCTGACCAAGATGGCGTGGCCCAGCTCAAAGGCATGTGGGCACCAGTTTTTGTCCTGATGGTTTTCTAGTCCCCATAAAGGGTAATCACAACAGAAGACGCATCCCAGGGGTCGGGGGCCATTCTGGCTTGTGGCCAATTTCCGTGCAACATGACATCTTTATTTCTAAATATCATCACATCTTCCTTCCTGAGCTGAGGCCCCAGAAGCTGAACTGCAGCTCAAATCATTCATGCCAATTAAAGAGTCTCTAGGGCATAGATCCATTTGCAGGTTGGAGCAGAGAGGGGGCTGCTGCCTGGCTCCTACTGTTTTCACTAAAAGCAGGATTTTTTTTAAAGGGAAGGCGTTATTTATTTATGGAAATGTCCCAAGCTGGGACATCTGACTACAGCAATTTGGTTGCAACAAAGCTTCCCTTAACCGGATCTGCTGAGACTTGTGAAGCTGGCCTCAGAGTGCCTAAGGCAGGAGCCTCCGCCAAGGAGCCAGAACTCCTACCAGGTCCCACCATGATCTGGAAGAAAACAGCCCCAAGCCAGGAAGGGCCATGCCGTTGGTTCAGACTTCTGATGGTGAGTCGTCCGTCTTGTTTTTCTCTTTCCTGGTGTAGATCGAGCAAGAAGCAGCATGGTCTCCACAGAAAGTGCCTCCTCCACTTACGAAGAACTGGCCAGGGCCTACGAACACGCCAAGATGGAAGAGCAACTGAGGCACGCCAAGTTCACCATCACGGAGTGCTTCATATCAGACACGTCATCGGAGCAGTTGACGGCAGGGACAAATGAGTACACGGACAGTCTGACCTCCAGCACCCCTTCCGAATCGGGAATCTGCAGGTTCACTGCATCTCCCCCCAAACCTCAGGATGGAGGAAGAGTAATGAATATGGCAGTTCCAAAGGCACATCGGCCAGGTAGGTGAGCAAGGCCACCTGGGGGCCGTCGCTTAGGGAAGTGCACCTTCCTGGTCCTCCCTCATCTGCTGTGAAAGCCCTTCTCAGTGTTCAGACCAAATGGGTGCTCTGTTTATGGATGGCTGCATAACAAACCATCCCAAAGTTCACTGGATTAAAACTACAGCAGTCACTTACTTTGTTTATGAATCTGAAATTTGGGCGGGACCTAGTGAGGGTACCATGCTGCAGAGGCTCTCCTGGGGCTGGGGATCCACTTCCAAAGTGGCTCACCGACCTGGCTGTGTTCTCCCTGTGCTGGCCTCTCCACAAGGTGCTTTAGCTTCCTCACAGCATGGTGGCTGGGTTCTAGCAGCAAATGGTCCAAGATACAGTCTGTGGAAATAGCCAGTTTCCTTAGGTTGGGCCTGGAAACTGACACAGCTATCATTTCTGTCATATTCTATTGGGCAAGCAGTCACAGAGCCCAAGAAACCCTGATTCCAGAGAAAGAGGCCCCCACTGCTTGATGAGAAGACTGTCAAAAATGTGAGGGCTGTATTTTAAAACTGCCACACTGAGGGCTTCTGAAAGGGGAGAGGTCTTACTATATAGTCAGTGTTTGGGACTTGGCCTCACTGAATTACACAAGGTGATGGTAACTGGCTAACATTAAGTCAGCCAGCAGTTTGGTCTTCAACTTGAACACCTGTGAATCGTCCGGGTTGTGAAAGCTGCAAATTTTGAGGTCAGCAAGGCATGGCAGATAATAGAATGCAGAGGCTAGAGAACAGGGTCAAAGGAGCGAGGCGGACATGGGCCATTTCAGGGTTCACTACTGTCTAAAAGAAAAGACTCTAGCAAGGCCCTGCCAACTGATCGCAAGTGGAAATGGGGTCTTAGTATGGACTTGTGTTTTAAGAGAAGCCGGAAAACTTGGTTTTATATGGAAATTCACAGCTTTTTAGTGTTGGCTTGGATATTTGTAAACCATTGTACAGGGCAAATAAAACCCATCTTTAGGTGGAATCCAACCTATGGCAGCCAAGTGTAGTTCTCATCTGAAGAACCACTTTTTCTTTTTCACCCTGAAATAGTTGCCTGTAGACTTTCCTTCACAGACTGATCTATCCAATCTTATTGAATCCAGTTTTGTTTCTCATTTTACCCATTTTCTACACCACTGTTCTAGTTCCATTTCAAAAAGTATCTTCACTTTTGAATTACTACAATTCCCTTGGGTTTTATGGGACAAGGCCTAGCTGAAATGAGCTTTATAAATGCATAAAAATATATAAAATAAGAATAGTTTATCCAGCAAATAATCTTCCATACCAGCTCAAGATTCATGCCAGCATCCAATAAAGAATGATGGCTTCCTTTATTTTCATTCTGTCTACCTCCTTAGGGGAAAAGACAAGCTGTTATTTGTGGGTGTTTTTATTTCAACTATTTTTTTTTTTTCGTGTTGTTGGCATTTATTTGCAAGGCAAATGGAGAAAAATGCAGGATAAATGCCATGACTTTCTGCAGCTCTTCAGCCTGAAGGTGAGGAGGACTGGAGAGAAGACCATAAGCCTGTGGGCATGTTGTATAGGCGTTCTCAGCTTCAGTTCCTGCATCTGTAAAATGGGAATGGCGTTGGTGACTGTGTACTGGGCTTCTGTTAGATGCACATAGCATTATACAGGTGAAGGGGTCAGCAGAGGAGGCACTCAGCCATGTTAGCCATTGTTTCTGGCACTGGGTTGCTAGAATCCCCACTGTGACTCCAGCTGTACTGCTGACCTCCTCTTCCTTCTTGCTTTTATTTTTCTCCAGTGACCACTGAAGTCCTAGCAGGTACCCACCTCAATTGTGTGTCACCCAGTTAAGTACTTTATGTTTCCACCTGAGATAGCATGCCGTCATTTTCCCTTTGTGTGTGATTTAGGGCACAGAATGAGCTTCTAGGTTAAAAGACTGTCCTATTTGTGCAGGCCTTTACATAATTACAGGGTTGAAGCTTGTTTTTGATGGCACGCTGCTCATATTGTTGGATTGTTTCTTAAAAATTTGACCTTTGCTCATGATATTGTGACCTGGACCCATTAGAGCAATGGAAGATCATAGCTAAGTTACTATTGTCTTCATAGACTATTCAGAGTAAAATGATTTTATAAATATAGGTTTGAATAATCTCTTAAATCAATGCAAG
This sequence comes from Homo sapiens, assembly GCF_000001405.40. Lineage (NCBI taxonomy): Eukaryota > Metazoa > Chordata > Mammalia > Primates > Hominidae > Homo > Homo sapiens. Next base: position 40,040,194 of record NC_000021.9, on the reverse strand, counting down.
TTCAAATGTCCACAAACTTTGTTTTGTCTACCCTAGATGACTGCATTATTACTGAACATCTGATATGCTTTAGAAAATATTTCAGCCTTTGGAAACCTTTCCGTCGCTCCTTTATAATTCAACTAAATTCAACATTGGGCACAAAATACAAGGTTGCAGTTTACTATTCTGCTAACTAGAGCTTGTGATACAATTAGCAGCTCCTAGAGCTGTGCTTTTACATCACATTCTTTCCCTATATGCCCTCTTCACGCTAGATGATATTCGTCATGTCTGTTTCTGTTTATAGTCTTCCAAATCTCTCAATTTCTTCCTCCTCAACTTTAGAGCTTCTTTTCTGATGGTCCTTTTTTTCTCTTTCCCTTTTTATTTTTTCTGTCTTCAGTACAAATAGTTATGATCCCCAGACTTTGAAATTCTCTGCAAATTGCCATCAAGTTACATGAATTTGGCCAGACTGTGGCTTCAGAAAAATAGGAAATATGTCTTAGTTATCTTCATACTTCCTTCTCAAGGTCTAGCAGATACCTGATAGCCAAGTAGTTATCATGCAAGAATTATTTTTAAATGAATTAATAGTATTGAATACTCAATACTACATACTTAAAACTCTCTCTCTATACATAAATATATATATCTCCTGTGTGTGTTTATAATATACACATATATGGCCAGACTGTGTCTGGCACATTAGTAGATGCTTCATAAACCTTACTGTATGAATGAATATATCATGCTTGTGACAACAAAACCAACTGGTTAAATTGGTTAAAATATTTCAATTAATAGAAATTATAGTCAAATAAATACAAAAGGACATTTAAATCTACTCCAACTTTCAGTAGCTTTAATCAAAGTGACTTATTTTCCATTCTTTTTTTTTTTGATTTTTATTTCATCTGCATAATTTAATCAGTTTTTCCTTCACATATTCAAAAACCTACATTGGTATTTTTTTCTGACACGTTTCCCCTGTTAGACTTTAGTTTTTCTTAGTTCATATTCTTTTTCTTTTCTTTTCTTTATTATTATACTTTAAGTTTCAGGGTACATGTGCATATTGTGCAGGTTAGTTACATATGTATACATGTGCCATTCTGGTGCGCTGCACCCACTAACTGGTCATCTAGCATTAGGTATATCTCCCAGTGCTATCCCTCCCCCCTCCCCCCACCCCACTACAGTCCCCAGAGTGTGATGTTCCCCTTCCTGTGTCCATGTGATCTCATTGTTCAATTCCCACCTATGAGTGAGAATATGCGGCGTTTGGTTTTTTGTTCTTGCGATAGTTTACTGAGAATGATGATTTCCAATTTCATCCATGTCCCTACAAAGGACATGAACTCATCATTTTTAATGGCTGCATAGTGTTCCATGGTGTATATGTGCCACATTTTCTTAATCCAGTCTATCATTGTTGGACATTTGGGTTGGTTCCAAGTCTTTGCTATTGTGAATAATGCCACAATAAACATATGTGTGCATGTGTCTTTATAGCAGCATGATTTATAGTCCTTTGGGTATATACCCAGTAATGGGATGGCTGGGTCAAATGGTATTTCTAGTTCTAGATCCCTGAGGAATCGCCACACTGACTTCCACAATGGTTGAACTAGTTTACAGTCCCACCAACAGTGTAAAAGTGTTCCTATTTCTCCACATCCTCTCCAGCACCTGTTGTTTCCTGACTTTTTAATGATTGCCATTCTAACTGGTGTGAGATGGTATCTCATTGTGGTTTTGATTTGCATTTCTCTGATGGCCAGTGATGGTGAGCATTTTTTCATGTGTTTTTGGCTGCATAAATGTCTTCTTTTGAGAAGTGTCTGTTCATGTCCTTCACCCACTTTTCGATGGGGTTGTTTGTTTTTATCTTGTAAATTTGTTTGAGTTCATTGTAGATTCTGGATATTAGCCCTTTGTCAGATGAGTAGGTTGCGAAAATTTTCTCCCATTTTGTAGGTTGCCTGTTCACTCTGATGGTAGTTTCTTTTGCTGTGCAGAAACTCTTTAGTTTAATTAGATCCCATTTGTCAATTTTGGCTTTTGTTGCCTTTGCTTTTGGTGTTTTAGACATGAAGTCCTTACCCATGCTTATGTCCTGAATGGTAATGCCTAGGTTTTCTTCTAGGGTTTTTATGGTTTTAGGTCTAACGTTTAAGTCTTTAATCCATCTTGAATTGATTTTTGTATAAGGTGTAAGGAAGGGATCCAGTTTCAGCTTTCTACATATGGCTAGCCAGTTTTCCCAGCACCATTTATTAAATAGGGAATCCTTTCCCCATTGCTTGTTTTTCTCAGGTTGGTCAAAGATCAGATAGTTGTAGATATGCAGCATTATTTCTGAGGGCTCTGTTCTGTTCCATTGTTCTATATCTGTGTTTTGGTACCAGTACCATGCTGTTTTGGTTACTGTAGCCTTGTAGTATAGTTTGAAGTCAGGTAGTGTGATGCCTCCAGCTTTTTTCTTTTGGCTTAGGATTGCCTTGGCAATGCGGGCTCTTTTTTGGTTCCATATGAACTTTAAAGTAGTTTCTTCCAATTCTGTGAAGAAAGGCATTGGTAGCTTGATGGGGATGGCATTGAATCTGTAAATTACCTTGGGCAGTATGGCCATTTTCACGATATTAATTCTTCCTACCCATGAGCATAGAATGTTCTTCCATTTGTTTGTATCCTCTTTTATTTCGTTGAGCAGTGGTTTGTAGTTCTCCTTGAAGAGGTCCTTCACATCCCTTGTAAGTTGGATTCCTAGGTATTTTATTCTCTTTGAAGCAATTGTGAATGGGAGTTCACTCATGATTTGGCTCTCTGTTTGTCTGTTATTGGTGTATAAGAATGCTTGTGACTTTTGTACATTGATTTTGTATCCTGAGACTTTGCTGAAGTTGCTTATCAGCTTAAGGAGATTTTGGGCTGAGACAATGGGGTTTTCTAGATATACAATCATGTCATCTGCAAACAGGGACAATTTGACTTCCTCTTTTCCTACTTGAATACCCTTTATTTCCTTCTCCTGCCTAATTGCCCTGGCCAGAACTTCCAACACTATGTTGAATAGGAGTGGTGAGAGAGGGCATCCCTGTCTTGTGCCAGTTTTCAAGGGAATGCTTCCAGTTTTTGCCCATTCAGTATGATATTGGCTGTGGGTTTGTCATAGATAGCTCTTATTATTTTGAAATACGTCCCATCAATACCTAATTTATTAAGAGTTTTTAGCATGAAGGGTTGTTGAATTTTGTCAAAGGCCCTTTCTGCATCTATGCAGATAATCATGTGGTTTTTGTCTTTGGCTCTGTTTATATGCTGGATTACATTTATTGATATGTGTATATTGAACCAGCCTTGCATCCCAGGGATGAAGCCCACTTGATCATGGTGGATAAGCTTTTTGATGTGCTGCTGGATTCGGTCTGCCAGTATTTTATTGAGGGTTTTTGCATCAATGTTCATCAAGGATATTGGTCTAAAATTCTCTTTTTTGGTTGTGTCTCTGCCTGGCTTTGGTATCAGAATGATGCTGGCCTCATAAAATGAGTTAGGGAGGATTCCCTCTTTTTCTATTGATTGGAATAGTTTCAGAAGGAATGGTACCAGTTCCTTCTTGTACCTCTGGTAGAATTCGGCTGTGAATCCATCTGGTCCTGGACTCTTTTTGGTTGGTAAGCTATTGATTATTGCCACAATTTCAGATCCTGTTATTGGTCTATTCAGAGATTCAACTTCTTCCTGGTTTAGTCTTGGGAGAGTGTATGTGTCGAGGAATTTATCCATTTCTTCTAGATTTTCTAGTTTATTTGCGTAGAGGTGTTTGTAGTATTCTCTGATGGTAGTTTGTATTTCTGTGGGATTGGTGGTGATGTCCCCTTTATCATTTTTTATTGCATCTATTTGATTCTTCTCTCTTTTTCTCTTTATTAGTCTTGCTAGCAGTCTATCTATTTTGTTGATCCTTTCAAAAAACCAGCTCCTGGATTCATTAATTTTTTGAAGGGTTTTTTGTGTCTCTATTTCCTTCAGTTCTGCTCTGATTTTAGTTATTTCTTGCCTTCTGCTAGCTTTTGAATGTGTTTGCTCTTGCTTTTCTAGTTCTTTTAATTGTGATGTTAGGGTGTCAATTTTGGATCTTTCCTGCTTTCTCTTGTGGGCATTTAGTGCTATAAATTTCCCTCTATACACTGCTTTGAATGCGTCCCAGAGATTCTGGTATGTTGTGTCTTTGTTCTCGTTGGTTTCAAAGAACATCTTTATTTCTAGCTTCATTTCGTTATGTACCCAGTAGTCATTCAGGAGCAGGTTGTTCAGTTTCCATGTAGTTGAGCGGTTTTGAGTGAGATTCTTAATCCTGAGTTCTAGTTTGATTGCACTGTGGTCTGAGAGATAGTTTGTTATAATTTCTGTTCTTTTACATTTGCTGAGGAGAGCTTTACTTCCAAGTATGTGGTCAATTTTGGAATACGTGTGGTGTGGTGCTGAAAAAAATGTGTATTCTGTTGATTTGGGGTGGAGAGTTCTGTAGATGTCTATTAGGTCCACTTGGTGCAGAGCTGAGTTCAATTCCTGGGTATCCTTGTTGACTTTCTGTCTCGTTGATCTGTCTAATGTTGACAGTGGGGTGTTAAAGTCTCCCATTATTAATGTGTGGGAGTCTAAGTCTCTTTGTAGGTCACTCAGGACTTGCTTTATGAATCTGGGTGCTCCTGTATTGGGTGCATATATATTTAGGATAGTTAGCTCTTCTTGTTGAATTGATCCCTTTACCATTATGTAATGGCCTTCTTTGTCTCTTTTGATCTTTGTTGGTTTGAAGTCTGTTTTATCTGAGACTAGGATTGCAACCCCTGCCTTTTTTTGTTTTCCATTTGCTTGGTAGATCTTCCTCCATCCTTTTATTTTGAGCCTATGTGTGTCTCTGCACGTGAGATGGGTTTCCTGAATACAGCACACTGATGGGTCTTGACTCTTTATCCAATTTGCCAGACTGTGTCTTTTAATTGGAGCATTTAGTCCATTTACATGTAAAGTTAATATTGTTATGTGTGTATTTGATCCTGTCATTATGATGTTAGCTGGTTATTTTGCTCGTTAGTTGATGCAGTTTCTTCCTAGCCTCGACAGTCTTTACAATTTGGCATGTTTTTGCAGTGACTGGTACTGGTTGTTCCTTTCCATGTTTAGTGCTTCCTTTAGGAGCTCTTTTAGGGCCGGCCTGGTGGTGACAAAATCTCTCAGCATTTGCTTGTCTGTAAAGTATTTTATTTCTCCTTCACTTATGAAGCTTAGTTTGGCTGGATATGAAATTCTGGGTTGAAAATTCTTTTCTTTAAGAATGTTGAATATTGGCCCCCACTCTCTTCTGGCTTGTAGAGTTTCTGCTGAGAGATCCACTCTTAGTCTGATAGGCTTTCCTTTGTGGGTAACCCAACCTTTCTCTCTGGCTGCCCTTAACATTTTTTCCTTCATTTCAACTTTGGTGAATCTGACAATTATGTGTCTTGGAGTTGCTCTTGTCAAGGAATATCTTTGTGGCATTCTCTGTATTTCCTGAATCTGAACTTTGGCCTGCCTTGCTAGATTGGGGAAGTTCTCCTGGATAATATCCTGCAGAGTGTTTTTCAACTTGGTTCCATTCTCCCCATCACTTTCAGGTACACCAATCAGACGTAGATTTGGTCTTTTCACATAGTCCCATATTTCTTGGAGGCTTTGCTCATTTCTTTTTATTCTTTTTTCTCTAAACTTCCCTTCTTGCTTCATTTCATTCATTTCATCTTCCATCACTGATACCCTTTCTTCCAGTTGATCGCATCGGCTCCTGAGGCTTCTGCATTCTTCACGTAGTTCTCGAGCCTTGGTTTTCAGCTCCATCAGCTCCTTTAAGCACTTCTGTGTATTAGTTATTCTAGTTATACATTCTTCTAAATTTTTTTCAAAGTTTTCAACATCTTTGCCTTTGGTTTGAATGTCCTCCTGTAGCTCAGAGTAATTTGATCGTCTGAAGCCTTCTTCTCTCAGCTTGTCATAGTCATTCTCTGTCCAGCTTTGTTCCGTTGCTGGTGAGGAACTGCATTCCTTTGGCAGAGGAGAGGCGCTCTGCTTTTTAGAGTTTCCAGTTTTTCCCCATCTTTGTGGTTTTATCTACTTTTGGTCTTTGATGATGGTGATGTACAGATGGGTTTTTGGTGTGGATGTCCTTTCTGTTTGTTAGTTTTCCTTCTAACAGACAGGACCCTCAGCTGCAGGTCTGTTGGAGTACCCTGCCCTGTGAGGTGTCAGTCTGCCCCTGCTGGGGGGTGCCTCCCAGTTAGGCTGCTCGGGGGTCCGGGGTCAGGGACCCACTTGAGGAGGCAGTCTGCCCTTCTCAGATGTCCAGCTGCGTACTGGGAGGACCACTGCTCTCTTCAAAGCTGTCAGACAGGGACATTTGAGTCTGCAGAGGTTACTGCTGTCTTTTTGTTTGTCTGTGCCCTGCCCCTAGAGGTGGAGCCTACAGAGGCAGGCAGGCAGGCCTCCTTGAGCTGTGGTGGGCTCCACCCAGTTCGAGCTTCCTGGCTGCTTTGTTTATCTAAGCAAGCCTGGGCAATGGGGGGCCCCCCTCCCCCAGCCTCACTGCCGCCTTGCAGTTTGATCTCAGACTGCTGTGCTAGCAATCAGCAAGACTCAGTGGGTGTGGGACCCTCCAAGCCAGGTGCGGGATATAGTCTCGTGGTGCGCCGTGTTTTAAGCTCGTCAGAAAAGCGCAGTATTCGGGTGGGAGTGACCCGATTTTCCAGGTGCCGTCCGTCACCCCTTTCTTTGACTAGGAAAGGGAACTCCCTGACCCCTGTGCTTCCCGAGTGATGCAATGCCTCGCCCTGCTTCGGCTCGCGCATGGTGTGCACACCCACTGACCTGCGCCCACTGTCTGGCACTCCCTAGTGAGATGAACCCGGTACCTCAGATGGAAATGCCGAAATCACCCGTCTTCTGCGTCGCTCAGGCTGGGAGCTGTAGACGGGAGCTGTTCCTATTCGGCCATCTTGGCTCCTCCCCCCCAGGCACAATACTTTCTAAAGGCACCTTGAAGCCTAAAAGAGCCCTTCTTATACTCTGAGGTATCTCACCACTGAAACTGGTTACATACATCTGTATTGGGAATTAATGGATAAGGGTGGAACAAATGAAATGCATTTCTGGGGGCCAGATATTCCAAAGCAGTTTGGGGTAGCCTTCTTCCTCCTCCTCTGCAATGCTTTGTTAGTTGGAGGCTGTAAACATGCCGATGCTTTCCCAAATTTGTGGGAATGAATGTGAATCACAGTTTTTGGGGCTTCAATCTCCTCTGCGGACACATAAAAAGGAACTTTCATCAATTTCTAACAAGGTTTGAGATCTATGCCTGGATAGAGCTGGATATTGATGCAAAAGTAAGAAGCAAAAGATGATTTCCTTGAGTTCCAGCAATTTCAATAAAAAACACAGAGACCAGACTTGCAACAACACTATAGTGTCAAAGAGCTGGTTCCCAAAGGGGAGCATAGAGTCCACCCATACCAGAGACAGACGAGATCTAACACTTTTTGAGTTTAATATTAATGTTGCAGCATGGTAATGAAAACTAGTAAAAGAATCTCTCTTGGTAAATGAATCTTCACTCCCAAACGGCAAGCAGGAAAAACCCTAAATAAATAATGTGAGATTGATATCAGAGGCCCATGTGCAGGGACTCGATTACAATTCTTGGCTTGTACTCAGGGGCCCTCATGCATTTTTTAAGAGCTCATCAATATTGTGATCCTTCTGCTTGCTGGTGAACTTTAAAAACTACACCGAGGTATAAAAGTAGGGCTTTGACTTTGTTGAGGCTTATGATTCTTCTCAAATAAAGTAGATCTGAATAAAAGACGGATTGGAAAATCTTCCCTGGCCTTTAGGCAAGCACAGAACTTAGCAGTGGTTTTGGAGCACCCACTATGGAACGATCCATGAGATCCAAAGATGGATACAGTTCCCACACAACAGCCACAAGGAACCACACATTGGGGACCACCTGAAGCAGAACCCTAGCTGGGGGCTTGGCCTTGTTCTGCCATGAAGCTGACAGAGCTGTTTCTACAACAATGTGCATCTTGAATCATCCCACAGAAGGAGCTGAGTTAGGCTGGAAATGAGAGAATTCCAGACAGAGGGAAGGTATATTTGTGGAGTTGTAGGAGGCCAGAAAGTTGAAGGCTGGAGACTAGGGGCAAGGTTGGAGGCTGGAGACCAGGGGTCAAGGCAAGGAAGACAAGGCTGACCCCTCAGACGCTAGTAAGTCTCTACTGTGAGAGCAGCAGGAAGCCATGGAAGGGGGTTAAACAGAGGAAGGTTGACTCTTACTGGAAATGATGGCTTGTCTCCCATTTCTGGTTTGGGATACAGGATGCCTTAGGCCCTGGTGCCAGCAGAGTGTACAGGAGGCCACATTGGAAGACGATGGTCTTTGCTGTCTTCTTACCTTTCTGTATGCTCCCTGGGCCTTCGTGTGGCTTTAGCTTCTCACAAGGCCTCACTGGGCTGTGTATGTGTGTGCGTGTTTGTGTGTGTAGGTGGTGACTGACCATCTTCTATGAGCTGGGCTTTGTATTATTTCTTGACCTTCTCAAGATTTGCCTGTCTCATGTCTTCAGAACCCATTGCCTGCAGTCTTTGATACACACTATTCTGATAAATGAATGAGACTGTGAGGAGTGTTAATTTAAGATATTAACCCTTTTATGTGTTAGGGTAATACCCAGTGTCTTTTTACTCAGGAGATATTCAATCAGTAGGGATTCAATACACGAGTGTCGTATATTTGTGTTTTAACCGGGTCTGTCTGAGATGCAGTGAACGTTCAGTTAGCCTGGGCAGCCTTCTTTCTTGTCATCTGTAGAGCTGGAATCTGGGAGCTTCCTTCTGGTCACTCAGCAGGGACAAAGAGGCCTCTACCCCCACATCACTGTTCTCTAAGGTACATGCCTCCCCCATCACTTTCCACCTCTCGAGGAACTGGCACAGCCCAGGATTTCGCAATGATTAGAACTGAACCCCAATAAGCTACCCAAGAAAAACAGTGAGCCTTTTAAGGGGCTCAGAAGTCAGACAAGAGAATCAGAACACAGGGAATACATGTTCTGGAACAAGAGGACACAAACACCAGCTTAGCAACTGCAGCAAGTACAGTGAACCAGCCAGACCACCGGACAAGGTCAGAGGTACAGGGGATGGCCTCTTGAACACAGTGGCAGGAGGATGGTTGCAGGGTAGTGGCTGCAGAAGACCCCATGTACATACATGCTAAGCTTTTATTTCAGGCAAAGGGCTTAGAGTTCTAAGCTTGAGAACCCCTCAGAACAGGTCCTACTGTCACTTTCTGAGTCTGAGGGAGAGTTACTAAGAAGACACTGAAATTCTATAAGAGCCCTTAAGAAGCTAAAATTGCAAATACTCCTCAGAGAGACCTGGATTTCCAGCAGAAATCAGGATTAGCACATGCCAATATTTAGGTCGACATCGAGTGGGCGTGAACAGCAGTATGTGGAGGCTTTGTTGGATGGCCCCAGGGTTCTTTTAACCTAAAATTCTATGGGAGTGTTTGAAGGGTCGTAGTTCAGAGGGAACTCTTGATCCCTGTTGTGAACGCCAAGCTCATTCCTATCTCCTGGCCTTTATCTTTGCTCAGCTCTCTGGACCACCAGAAGGATCTTTGCAGGGCTCCTTCCATCCCATCATTTACGTCTCATTGCCTGAGAGGCCTTTCCGGGCCATTCTTTCCAAAATACTCCCCTCCCACGTTTTATCCCCTTCCTGGATTTGCTTCTCCACCCAGCACTCACCACAGTCGGGAACGATACTATTTGTTTGTTTACTTGATCAGTGGGGATCTCTGTGGGTCTTGTCTATCAATCACTGCATCCTCAGTTCCCAAAACAGGACCAGTCATTTAGTGTCCACTCAACACACGCATGGCAAAAAAAGACAGAGGAGCAGGGAGGCTGAGAGGGAGGGAGCAAGCCTTCCTCTAGAAGGGTGGAACGCAGAGCAGTGCAGTGAGAATGTGTGTGTGCCTGTGTGTATCCATGCATGGGAGCATGTGCTTATGTATCCACGTACATGTGCATGTGTGTCAACATATATGTGTCCATGCATGTGTACTTGTGTGTGAATGTGTATGTGTGCACGCATGTGTGTGCGCAAGCACACGTGTAGGCATCAAAGAGACTTGCATTTGAAAGGAGACCCTTAGTATAATATTTATGATAAACATTTCAAAACTGAGTTTTAGTGATGTGCAGAACAGAGGAGGAAGATGCAAGCCCCGAGGCTTGGCACCCCAGCTGCCTGAGCCAAGTCCTCAGGCAGTGAGGGAGATATAGGTAAGTGAAGCTGGGGGTGGGGGTTATTTAGCTCTGAAGATTGGACTGCTGGTGTCTTGTTTTGATTTCAGAGCCAACATGACAGATACCCAGACTTCAGAGAGGGAAAACAGCATGGTCAAAATGACAACTGAGAATACGGTGGCCAGCCTTGGTCAGAATAGTGCTGACCTGTGCAGAGGTAGGCTCTTTCTTCAGGTAAGGGCTCCTGGCCTCTCTGCATGCCTTGGGGCCCGCCTCCTACTCTCCACCCTCACACCCTCAGGAGAGAGTGATGCAAGATGAATGGATCCTAAAATTAAAATCCAGTAACTCTTTCGAATTACTGGCAATTTAGTGAATTAACAAGTTGGCACCAGGCAGTGGCCTTTTCCCACTAAAAAAAAAAAAAACAACCTCAAATGCATTCCCCAAGGAAGGGGCTGAAACTCATAACCTTGTGTCTGGGGCCCAGAGGGCATGAGCACAGAGATCCAAAGGGGCTGATGCTTTCCCTACCACTAGTGGGGCAGGCTGTGTTAGGGTGCATGTCTGAAACTTGAAACTGAATTAAGTAGCTTCATGTAATGGCTTCTCTTGACGGCACAGGATAAACATCATAAGAAGAAGAAGCAGTAATCCAAGAAGGTTTGCAACTGGCTCAAAATGCTACCTGAAACCAAGAATTGGAAGCCACCTTGACCCAGAGGAAAAAAAATTGTTAAACTTTGCAGCTATTTCTCAAAAGAATAGAGAATTTTGTTTTCTGTTTGTAGAGATGGGAATAGTCATCCCTTATGGAAGAAGACAATAATTTGCTGCATTTTTAGGACTTGTAATTGTACAGGCAAATTCAAAATTCAGGTAGCATTAAAATTACAGCTAGATAATGCTGCCTGCTTTGTGGATAGCTATCCTCATTTCAAGGGAGAGCACCCCTTTATCTGTTGAAGAGATGTCTTTTTGATTTGCTAAGGGCAAGAATGGAAAATAAGTGCGAATAGGAACAGCTCCGGTCTGCAGCTCCCAGCGTGAGCGACGCAGAAGACGGGTGATCTCGGCATTTCCATCTGAGGTACCGGGTTCATCTCACTAGGGAGTGCCAGACAGTGGGTGCGCACACTGTGCGTGAGCCGAAGCAGAGCGAGGCATTGCCTCACTCGGGAAGCACAAAGGGTCAGGGAGTTCCCTTTCCTAGTCAAAGAAAGGGGTGACGGACGGCACCTGGAAAATCGGGTCACTCCCACCCGAATACTGTGCTTTTCTGACGGGCTTAAAACATGGCGCACCACGAGATTATATCCCGCACCTGGCTTGGAGGGTCCTACGCCCATGGAGTCTCGCTGATTGCTAGCAGAGCAGTCTGAGATCAAACTGCAAGGTGGCAGCCAGGCTGGGGGAGGGGGGCCCGCCATTGCCCAGGCTTGCTTAGGTAAACAAAGCAGCCTGGAAGCTCGAACTGGGTGGAGCCCACCACAGCTCAAGGAGGCCTGCCTGCCTGCCTCTGTAGGCTGCACAGACAAACAAAAAGACAGCAGTAACCTCTGCAGACTCAAATGTCCCTGTCTGACAGCTTTGAAGAGAGCAGTGGTCCTCCCAGTACGCAGCTGGACATCTGAGAAGGGCAGACTGCCTCCTCAAGTGGGTCCCTGACCCCGGACCCCCGAGCAGCCTAACTGGGAGGCACCCCCCAGCAGGGGCAGACTGACACCTCACAGGGCAGGGTACTCCAACAGACCTGCAGCTGAGGGTCCTGTCTGTTAGAAGGAAAACTAACAAACAGAAAGGACATCCACACCAAAAACCCATCTGTACATCACCATCATCAAAGACCAAAAGTAGATAAAACCACAAAGATGGGGAAAAACTGGAAACTCTAAAAAGCAGAGCGCCTCTCCTCTGCCAAAGGAATGCAGTTCCTCACCAGCAACGGAACAAAGCTGGACAGAGAATGACTATGACAAGCTGAGAGAAGAAGGCTTCAGACGATCAAATTACTCTGAGCTACAGGAGGACATTCAAACCAAAGGCAAAGATGTTGAAAACTTTGAAAAAAATTTAGAAGAATGTATAACTAGAATAACTAATACACAGAAGTGCTTAAAGGAGCTGATGGAGCTGAAAACCAAGGCTCGAGAACTACGTGAAGAATGCAGAAGCCTCAGGAGCCGATGCGATCAACTGGAAGAAAGGGTATCAGTGATGGAAGATGAAATGAATGAAATGAAGCAAGAAGGGAAGTTTAGAGAAAAAAGAATAAAAAGAAATGAGCAAAGCCTCCAAGAAATATGGGACTATGTGAAAAGACCAAATCTACGTCTGATTGGTGTACCTGAAAGTGATGGGGAGAATGGAACCAAGTTGAAAAACACTCTGCAGGATATTATCCAGGAGAACTTCCCCAATCTAGCAAGGCAGGCCAAAGTTCAGATTCAGGAAATACAGAGAATGCCACAAAGATATTCCTTGACAAGAGCAACTCCAAGACACATAATTGTCAGATTCACCAAAGTTGAAATGAAGGAAAAAATGTTAAGGGCAGCCAGAGAGAAAGGTCGGGTTACCCTCAAAGGGAAGCCCATCAGACTAACAGTGGATCTCTCGGCAGAAACCCTACAAGCCAGAAGAGAGTGGGGGCCAATATTCAACATTCTTAAAGAAAAGAATTTTCAACCCAGAATTTCATATCCAGCCAAACTAAGCTTCATAAGTGAAGGAGAAATAAAATACTTTACAGACAAGCAAATGCTGAGAGATTTTGTCACTACCAGGCCTGCCCTAAAAGAGCTCCTGAAGGAAGCACTAAACATGGAAAGGAACAACCGGTACCAGCCACTGCAAAATCATGCCAAAATGTAGAGACCATCAAGACTAGGAAGAAACTGCATCAACTAACGAGCAAAATAACCAGCTAACATCATAATGACAGGATCAAATACACACATAACAATATTAACTTTACATGTAAATGGACTAAATGCTCCAATTAAAAGACACAGACTGGCAAATTGGATAAAGAAAGAGTCAAGACCCATCAGTGTGCTGTATTCAGGAGACCCATCTCACGTGCAGAGACACACATAGGCTCAAAATAAAAGGATGGAGGAAGATCTACCAAGCAAATGGAAAACAAAAAAAGGCAGGGGTTGCAATCCTAGTCTCGGATAAAACAGACTTTAAGCCAACAAAGATCAAAAGAGACAAAGAAGGCCATTACATAATGGTAAAGGGATCAATTCAACAAGAAGAGCTAACTATCCTAAATATATATGCACCCAATACAGGAGCACCCAGATTCATAAAGCAAGTCCTGAGTGACCTACAAAGAGACTTAGACTCCCACACATTAATAATGGGAGACTTTAACACCCCACTGTCAACATTAGACAGATCAACGAGACAGAAAGTCAACAAGGATACCCAGGAATTGAACTCAGCTCTGCATCAAGTGGACCTAATAGACATCTACAGAACTCTCCACCCCAAATCAACAGAATACACATTTTTTTCAGCACCACACCACACCTATTCCAAAATTGACCACATACTTGGAAGTAAAGCTCTCCTCAGCAAATGTAAAAGAACAGAAATTATAACAAACTGTCTCTCAGACCACAGGTCAATCAAACTAGATCTCAGGATTAAGAATCTCACTCAAAATCGCTCAACTACATGGAAACTGAACAACCTGCTCCTGAATGACTACTGGGTACATAACGAAATGAAACCAGAAATAAAGATGTTCTTTGAAACCAACGAGAACAAAGACACAACATACCAGAATCTCTGGGACGCATTCAAAGCAGTGTGTACAGGGAAATTTATAGCACTAAATGCCCACAAGAGAAAGCAGGAAAGATCCAAAATTGACACCCTAACATCACAATTAAAAGAACTAGAAAAGCAAGAGCAAACACATTCAAAAGCTAGCAGAAGGCAAGAAATAACTAAAATCAGAGTAGAACCGAAGCAAATAGAGACACAAAAAACCCTTCAAAAAATTAATGAATCCAGGAGCTGGTTTTTTGAAAGGATCAACAAAATAGATAGACTGCTAGCAAGACTAATAAAGAGAAAAAGAGAGAAGAATCAAATAGATGCAATAAAAAATGATAAAGGGGACATCACCACCAATCCCACAGAAATACAAACTACCATCAGAGAGTACTACAAACACCTCTACGCAAATAAACTAGAAAATCTAGAAGAAATGGATAAATTCCTCGACACATACACTCTCCCAAGACTAAACCAGGAAGAAGTTGAATCTCTGAATAGACCAATAACAGGATCTGAAATTGTGGCAACAATCAATAGCTTACCAACCAAAAAGAGTCCAGGACCAGATGGATTCACAGCCGAATTCTACCAGAGGTACAAGGAGGAACTGGTACCATTCCTTCTGAAACTATTCCAATCAATAGAAAAAGAGGGAATCCTCCCTAACTCATTTTATGAGGCCAGCATCATTCTGATACCAAAGCCAGGCAGAGACACAACCAAAAAAGATAATTTTAGACCAATATCCTTGATGAACATTGATGCAAAAATCCTCAATAAAATACTGGCAGACCGAATCCAGCAGCACATCAAAAAGCTTATCCACCATGATCAAGTGGGCTTCATCCCTGGGATGCAAGGCTGGTTCAATATACACAAATCAATAAATGTAATCCAGCATATAAACAGAGCCAAAGACAAAAACCACATGATTATCTCAATAGATGCAGAAAAGGCCTTTGACAAAATTCAACAACCCTTCATGCTAAAAACTCTCAATAAGTTAGGTATTGATGGGACGTATCTCAAAATAATAAGAGCTATCTATGACAAACCCACAGCCAATATCATACTGAATGGGCAAAAACTGGAAGCATTCCCTTTGAAAACTGGCACAAGACAGGGATGCCCTCTCTCACCACTCCTATTCAACATAGTGTTGGAAGTTCTGGCCAGGGCAATTAGGCAGGAGAAGGAAATGAAGGGTATTCAATTAGGAAAAGAGGAAGTCAAATTGTCCCTGTTTGCAGATGACATGATTGTGTATCTAGAAAACCCCACTGTCTCAGCCCAAAATCTCCTTAAGCTGATAAGCAACTTCAGCAAAGTCTCAGGATACAAAATCAATGTACAAAAGTCACAAGCATTCTTATACACCAATAACAGACAAACAGAGAGCCAAATCATGAGTGAACTCCCATTCACAATTGCTTCAAAGAGAATAAAATACCTAGGAATCCAACTTACAAGGGATGTGAAGGACCTCTTCAAGGAGAACTACAAACCACTGCTCAACGAAATAAAAGAGGATACAAACAAATGGAAGAACATTCTATGCTCATGGGTAGGAAGAATCAATATCGTGAAAATGGCCATACTGCCCAAGGTAATTTACAGATTCAGTGCCATCCCCATCAAGGTACCAATGCCTTTCTTCACAGAATTGGAAGAAACTACTTTAAAGTTCATATGGAACCAAAAAAGAGCCCGCATTGCCAAGGCAATCCTAAGCCAAAAGAAAAAAGCTGGAGGCATCACACTACCTGACTTCAAACTATACTACAAGGCTACAGTAACCAAAACAGCATGGTACTGGTACCAAAACACAGATATAGATCAATGGAACAGAACAGAGCCCTCAGAAATAATGCCGCATATCTACAACTATCTGATCTTTGACCAACCTGAGAAAAAACAAGCAATGGGGAAAGGATTCCCTATTTAATAAATGGTGCTGGGAAAACTGGCTAGCCATATGTAGAAAGCTGAAACTGGATCCCTTCCTTACACCTTATACAAAAATCAATTCAAGATGGATTAAAGACTTAAACGTTAGACCTAAAACCATAAAAACCCTAGAAGAAAACCTAGGCATTACCATTCAGGACATAGGCATGGGCAAGGACTTCATGTCTAAAACACCAAAAGCAAAGGCAACAAAAGCCAAAATTGACAAATGGGATCTAATTAAACTAAAGAGTTTCTGCACAGCAAAAGAAACTACCATCAGAGTGAACAGGCAACCTACAAAATGGGAGAAAATTTTCGCAACCTACTCATCTGACAAAGGGCTAATATCCAGAATCTACAATGAACTCAAACAAATTTACAAGATAAAAACAAACAACCCCATCGAAAAGTGGGTGAAGGACATGAACAGACACTTCTCAAAAGAAGACATTTATGCAGCCAAAAACACATGAAAAAATGCTCACCATCACTGGCCATCAGAGAAATGCAAATCAAAACCACAATGAGATACCATCTCACACCAGTTAGAATGGCAATCATTAAAAAGTCAGGAAACAACAGGTGCTGGAGAGGATGTGGAGAAATAGGAACACTTTTACACTGTTGGTGGGACTGTAAACTAGTTCAACCATTGTGGAAGTCAGTGTGGCGATTCCTCAGGGACCTAGAACTAGAAATACCATTTGACCCAGCCATCCCATTACTGGGTATATACCCAAAGGAATATAAATCATGCTGCTATAAAGACATATGCACACGTATGTTTATTGCGGCATTATTCACAATAGCAAAGACTTGGAACCAACCCAAATGTCCAACAATGATTGGATTAAGAAAATGTGGCACATATACACCATGGAACACTATGCAGCCATAAAAAATGATGAGTTCATGTCCTTTGTAGGGACATGGATGAAATTGGAAATCATCATTCTCAGTAAACTATCGCAAGAACAAAAAACCAAACACCACATATTCTCACTCATAGGTGGGAATTGAACAATGAGATCACATGGACACAGGAAGGGGAACATCACACTCTGGGGACTGTAGTGGGGTGGGGGGAGGGGAGAGGGATAGCACTGGGAGATATACCTAATGCTAGATGACTAGTTAATGGGTGCAGCACACCAGCATGGCACATGTATACATATGTAACTAACCTGCACAATATGCACATGTACCCTAAAACTTAAAATAATAAAAGAAAAAAAGAAAAGAAAATACTGCTAAAATACATCCAACTCAATACTTTTGGTAAATATTACTTGTTGCTAATAAAAAGTTTAGATATAAGAAAAAAAAAAAGAATGTATTGTGCCTCATTCATTTGTCTAAAGGCAAGAGCACCAAGGCTCAAAAGGGTCACAAAACTACCTGGAGGCAGAAGCAGAGGCAGAGACAGGATTTCAACACCAAGCCCTGCACTCTGTAACTACTGCTCTTTCCACTGGAATCAGCTCCTGCCTCAGCGGGTGCCAATGGAGAAAGACCTGGGGGTTTTGCCTTCTGATTACAGTTCCATTGGACCATCTCTTATTTTCTTCCATGAAGAACTGAGGTCGTAACTCCTTGTGGACTAGTATTCTGAGGCTGAGGGGTACAACTGCTTATCCTGGTTGAATTCAATGCTTTATAAGTAGAATTAAAGTGAAATAAGGAACACTTGGCCTTATGAATTCTGATCATCTAAAACAGAGTTTCTCAACAGCAGCACCGTTAGTATTTGAAGCCAGATCATTCTTCGTGGCAGGGGCTATTCTGAGCATTGGATGATGTTGAGCAGCACCCCTGGCCTCTGACCAATAGGTATCAATAGTGTCACCCTCCCCTGTGTTATGACAATCAAAATGTCTCCAGACTTTGCTACATGTCCCCTGGGGACAAAGCCACCCTCAGTGGAGAGCCTCTGATCTAGTGTTCAGATATTTTCCCCTAGTGTGGTGCCTGGGAGATAGCAAGAACCATAGCAAGAACCATTGTTTGATGATGGATTAATGGAATGCACATCCATTTTCTGAATTGCTTCATTCTTGTTATTTCAGTATTGATTTTGCCATCCTTCTTCCAAGAACTGAAATACATTCAAACCTTGCGTGTGTCTGAATAGATTGAGAAAATTCAGGAAGTTTTGCTTTCCTAGGTTTCAGCTAAAAGGAGGCAGGTTTAGTTCAGCAGTTTTCCCACAGTCAGGCCAACCATGGTTCTAATGCACCGTTAGTGGAGGGGGACAAGCTCTGAGTGTGAATCTGCTGATGGATGTGGGGCCTGCAGAAGGAATCTGTACATTTCAGGACCAGAGGCAAGGAGGAGCTTGTGATACTAGTATGCAAAGTGGTTAGAGAAAGAGAGAGAAATCAATGCTGACCTATTTAATCAGAACTTTTGGAGACATTAATGGCACTGAAGGTCCCCAGAGGGCAGCAACAGAAGGATGAGAAATGAAGCATGATGTCAAATAAGAAAGCAAAATGCTGCAATAATGGGTAAAGCGTCTCATCCTCAAGGCGGAAGTCAAAGCAGCTGCCTGGGTTCCCTCCAGAAAGGCAGTGATGGGTGCAGCCTGTGATCTGCACTGGGTTTTGGTGAGGCTGATGAGAAAAGAATGAGAAATGGGTGCCCCAGTGATGGATGGGCCAGTGGTCCTTGTATGGTGCACACATCTTTAAAGCTCCACAAGGGCCGTTCAAAGTGGGTGGTACACATTTATTCTCATAGTACTCACCTTTCTGGTGCCCTCTTCCTCCACTGCTCCTTACCACTGTCCCAGATGGTTACCATGTTCCCCTTTTCCCTTCTCTATTTGTGACTCTGTCTCTAATTTTTATCTGTCTACCGACCTGCGTAGCTATGTTTCTTTTCTTTTTTTTTTTTTTTTTTTTTGAGACGGAGTCTCGCTCTATCGCCCAGGTTAGAGTGCTACGTTTCTTTCTTTCTGCCTCCCTGTGTGTGTTTCCATCTCTCTGATCCCTCTCTCTCTCTCTGTGTGTCTCTTCCCCTCTCTCTCATCCATCCTCCCTCACACCCCCCCAGCCTTATTCATCTCAGCCTCCCCTGACCCTGGTATGTTCCTGCATCTCAGTCCCTGAACTCAGTTTCCCAGAGCCCTTCTCTGTGCTTGGCCATCTCCACCTTCTCCATCCCTCACCCTCACTTAGGGTCTCTGACAGGAAGGGCATTGGCCTCAGGGCAGAGCACAGTGGGTTCATGGTGTGCAAATCCACCATTACAGCCCAAAGAAGTCAGCAGGGGGACCCTGTCCCAAAGGCCCAGGCAGGACTCTGTGAGCCTTTGTATTCATGCTGGGCCTGGGCTGGAGACACTAACTGGGTTTAGCTCACTGGGAAGGAACCGGCAGTGCGGGCAGGTAGGTGAGCAGGGCAGAAGGAGGGCATGGAAGTGAGTTCAAGCTCAGTTCCTCCTGCCGTCAGACCATGAGCTGGATCCTCCTACCAGCGCTAGTCCTTTCCTTCTCCATGCCTCAACTTCCCCTTTCAGTATGCTGCTCTTCCAGTTAGATTTTCCCTCCCATATCTCTCTCCTCTCTCTCTCTCTCTCACACACACACACACACCACACTTTTCTTGATGTGTATGCCCTGCTTGCTGTCTTATTGCACTCAGCTACCTCTTTGTCCCTCCCCTGCTTCATGTTTTTACCCCTTTTCTATGCCTTTGATTTCGTGGATAGAAGTTTTAGCACAAGGGAAACAAAACAAGGAAAAGAAGGAAGGAAGGAAGGAAGTTAGTTTTCATGTTGCCTGAGACTGGGTAATTTATAAAGAAGAGATTTAATGGACTCACAGTTCCATGTGGCTGGGGAAGCCTCACAATCATGGCGGAAGGTGACAGGCACATCTTATATGGTGGCAGGCAAGAGAAAAATGAGAGCCAAGTGAATGGGGCAACCCCTTATAAAGCCATCAGACCTTGTGAGACTCATCCACTACCATGAGAACAGTATGGGGGAAACCACTGCCATGATTCAATTACTTCCCACTGGGTCCCTCCTACAACACATGGGAATTATGGGAGCTACAATTCAAGAAGAGATTTGGGTGGGGACACAGCCAAACTATATTAGAAGGAAAATAAAGGAAAGAATGGAGGGAATGAGAGAAAGAGATAAAGAGACAGGAGGAAGGGAAAGAAGGAGGGAGAAGGGGAAGGGGGGAAATGTGGAGAAAGGTTGAGGGAAGCAAAGCAGAGGAAGTGAAGTGACACCATAGAGTATGGAAATCATTGCCAAAAATATAAGTGAATTTTGTCATAGCTGGTTTTACTGAAACAAGTACTAAGACTGGGCATTTGCCTTTGCCAGTGTTTATGGCAATGATAGATTTACACACAGGGATGCCGAGGGCATTTGCACCCAGTGGAGGTGAGTACCCATGACATGGTGACCCAATATGGTGACCCTGGAGTTCAAAGCACAAAGGATCCTTGGACTTCTTCTGGATCCCTGCTACTTTTCACTGCATGGGAGAACTGGAGAGGGTCCTGAATGGTAAGCTGTGGGGCAGGTGAGCTGGGGAGTACCAGACACACCCAAGAAGGCCCTGCTCCCTGTGGAAACAGATTCCTTAATCCAGGGAAAGCTTTCACATGCATTATCTAAGTTACTCTTCACCACAGCCCTCTATGCTAGATTCTGCTATTACTCCCATTTTATGGATAAGGAAACTGAGCCCAGATCTAGACCTGTCAGATAAATGCAGGCAATGTTATCCTGGCCTCTATTCCTCATCACCACAATTAAAGCCAAGGGCTGGTTTCTCCCATGTGACACAGGCAGATGGCAGGCAGGGCACTGGGGAATGCTGTGCCAATGTCCCCATGGTCACCACAGTCTCACACATCATGTGTCTCTTTCTGGATCAATAACTGCATGAGTTGTCTTGCTATGTGTAGGCATCTTAAGCATATAGGAGGACAATTAGAGAATCCAGGTCCTCAGAGGCTTTGTTGATGAGCACATGGGCTGGGGTTTTAAAGAACATAAGTGCCTGTAATAACAGAGCTTACCGCTGACTACTCTGGTGCTCTCTTCTCTGTAAGTGCATTAATTATTGAGAGAACTCATTTGCAGCACGCACACAGTTGAAAGGGCTACTTTGGACGCTAATCAGAAAATACACATTGTTGAAGGGAGCTAATTAGAGAATCACACAACTTTGTAGAGCTTTGCCTGAAAAACTGGATCAATCAGAGATATTGGATATTCAGAGATACTTGTCAGACCTGCAATAAACAAATACATGTAGGCATTGCATGTAAAGATGTAACACTGAGCTGTTTCCATTAGGAAGGATTTTTATTTCTCATCTGTCCATTTCAGTGACTGGAGCCCTCTTGATAACTACATCTGAAGTGGGAGCCCCTGCAGGCAGGATGCAGATATTATGAGTCCTATCTTTTGATTTCAAACACGTTTCTTCCTTCCAATCTAAGACCTGCGCATTCTGCAGTCCAGCCGGGACCACAATGCTATTACTTTGTGGAGGTTTAATAAGCCCTGTGCATTCAATGGGGAGTCACTAAAATAGAGATTTATCCCCAAATCTGTTGCAACACATTACAAATATGTCAAGCGTTCGTGATTGAGTCGGGTCTCAGAAAGAGCATGAGGCATTCTTGACCTATATATTTAAAGAACCCTGGAGGTAAATGTCTGTCCCATTTCCTCAAATATACAAACAACATGATAAAAATAATATTGAATAAAAATAATTTAAAATTTAAAATAAATAAATAATAAAATTAACAATTTGTTTATCAGATTCTTAGGAATAAAGACATAATCACTTTCAGGAGATTGAATGTATAAAACTACAAATCGCAAGACTGGTCAATTAAGGTGTATTGATTCACATACAAAAGGATGTTCACATTACAAAAGAATTATTCAATTTTTTCTTAATGACAGCTCTGTTAATGCTTTCATCACTTTTTTTGCAAATAATCCCTGGTTAGAGAAGACTGAAGAATAACTACCATAAACGAACATTAGTAATTTTCAATGCCATCAAGTTTCATAAAGTTTTAAAAACTCAAATTCTTTCAGGAACAAAGCTATTCTATATGGCAAGAGATTCCTGAACCCTCCACATTAGTGTCTATAATGGGTAGGCCTCATGCCATTATATTTTTCTAAGCCAAAGTTCAGATGCATCAAGTTACCAAAACCCTTTTTACAAGAATGCCAAATTATGTAATTCCTTCCTATAAGAATGTTATGGGCCAGGTGCGGTGGCTCACGCCTGTAATCCCAACACTTTGGGAGGCTGAGGCGGGTGGATCACCCGAGGTCAGGAATATGAGACCAGCCTGACCAACATGGAGAAACCCTGTCTCTACTAAAAATACAAAAATTAGCCAGGCGTGGTGGTGCATGCCTGTAATCCCAGCTACTCAGGAGGCTGAGGGGGGAGAATCGCTTGAACCGGGAGGTGGAGGTTGTGGCGAACCGAGTTGCACTCCAGCCTGGGCGACAAGAGCAAAACTCCATCTCAAAAAAAAAAAAAATGTTATGGCCCATTTATTGTCTAGGTATTTATTACTGAGCTTCCCTTGGATCCAGTTGACAGTAGGAAGCCAACGTTGAATTAGAATGCCTTTAATTTCAGTGAGCCCAGTCCAGTGTCGCTGGGGTCATTTAGTGAATTACATGCTGCCATTCCCAGTGAAATCATATAACTACTCATCATCACTTAGTAGAATAAAGATATCCTGAAAAAGCTAAATGGAGTTTTGAATCATAAATCCCAAGTGGTGCAACAATGTAATAACACAATGACAAAGAAATCATTTGCTGCATTTCCCAAAAATAAGGTCATTGCTCCTGTTGTTCGCGGAAAAAAATTTTCAAGACGGGTAATAACATTTTGAAAATTTGTATGCTCATTTAAATTGTATAAAATGCATTTTTAGGGCTTGATTTGGCCATATTTATTTTTAGTTCTCTTATACTTTTTTTTTTTTTTTTTGAGATGGAGTTTCATCCTTGTTGCCCAGGATAGAGTGCAATCGTGCAGCAACCTCCAATGCGCAGGTTCAAAAGATTCTCCTGCCTCAGCCTCCTGAGTAGCTGGGATTACAGGCGTGTACCACCACGTCCAGCTGATTTTTCTATTTTCAGTAGAGACGGGGTTTCCCCATTTTGGCCTGGCTGGTCTCGAACACCTGACCTCAGGTGATCCATTGCCTAGGCCTCCCAAAGTGGGCGGGGATTACAGGCCAGTTCTCTTATACTCTTGAATAGTCCTTTCCTTCTGTTATGCTGGTTGTTCTTTTTCTGTGGGTAAACTTGAAGGTGTTTCCTAAGGTTCAGGCTTTAAACACTGTCTAAACACATATCACTTTCATTGCCCCGCTAGCAGAGCAGCTGGCTAATGGCAGCCCTCACTTGGCTCAGGTGGTCTCAGATCCCCTCAGCCTGCACCTTCGGGGCCTATGGGTCCAAAGGGGCTGGATGAGGAAGGCTCAATTAATTATTGTTAGCATACAGTAACATAAGGAAAGCAGGGGATATTTTGAAGCAAAAGAAACAAGAATGTTCAGTTACTTTAGACTCAGAAAACGAGCAGTGAGTCATCCTAGAGCTACGTTTCTATGATAAAAATACCTACTAGATATCTTGTCTTGAATGTCCCCAGCTGCATCAAACTCAGCAGGTCTGAAACTAAACCCTTCATCTTTTGTCATCAAAGTACGATCTTTCCCCTATACACCCTTTCACAGTTAGTGATTTCACTGTCCACACAGTTTCCTGAGCTTAGAGCCTGGGAAGGAGTCACCCCTAACCCCTTCTCCTCTGTCACCACTCCCACTTGTCATTGACTCTGAAGCCACCTTCCTTGGACCCCCTTCATATCTCACAATTTAATTCCCTCTCTCACATCCCACAGCTGCTCCTGAGCTCAGACCATCATCATATCTCTCTCCCTGCACATCCTTTACCCTGGGCCCTCGCTCCAGGACCACACACCACCAGCCCATTCTCTAGACAGAGTTTTGCACCTGGTATGTCACGAGTTACAGGTGTGCCAAGATGGTGAGTCCTTCAGACCTCAAGGTGGCCAGAAACAGCTCCCTGGGTTCATCCCAGTGTACTGCACAAATACCCCTTGTCTGCCTGTTCCTCAAAAAGTGGGAAGCACTGGGCTGGATAAGGCACACTGTCTGTACCAAAACAGCAGAAACTCAGACCCAGCGTCAGTCCAGCTCAAGTCAGGCAGTGTTGGTTGCAAAGTGGACCTGGTGGCTGGGCCCTAATTGTGCTCATGCTTTGCAAGGAGGTGATGGGATATATTAAAGCCTTGAAACAGGGCCCTGAAGATGGGAATGAGAAGGAGTCAAGGCCAGGTGGCTCATGTCTGTAATCCCAGTGCTTTGAGAAGCTGAGGCAGGAGCATCACTTGAGTTCAAGAGTTTGAGACCAGCCTGGGAAACCAAGCAAGACCCTGTGTCTCCAGAATATTTTAAGAATAATAATTAGCCAGGCATGGTGGTATGTAACTGTAGCCCTAGCTACTCTGGAGGCTGAGGTGGAAGGTTTGCTTGAGCCCAGGAGTTTGAGGCTACAGTGAGCCATGAATGCACCATTGCACTCTAGCCTGGGCAACAGAGCAAGACTCTATCTCTTCTTGTTTAAAAAAGAAAAAAAAAAAAAAGAGTCAAGAGATATTTTGCCGGTAGAATTAACCTGGAGAGAAAGGTGTCAGTGAAACCTCTGAGGTTTCAAGGATGGAAGGATGGTGATAATGTTACACAAGATGGAGCACACAGGAGAGAAGCAGTATTTGGGATTGGGAGGGGATGGGGTTGGCCTTCATTAACTGAATTGGTAGACTGTGGCCTTCAGAATTCCAGATGGACACTCGTGTGGAAATGCCTAGCAAAGCACCTAAAATTCACATCTAGGGCTCAGGAGAAAGAGCAAAATGGAAAAGATAGATGGGAATGTTATTTATAAAGCAATGAGGAAAGCAGCCAAGCCTTCCGAGAGAGGCCTGAGAGCAGGCCACTGAACACTCCGTATTTAGAGGAAAGACAGAGAAAAGGATCCAGTCAAGGAAAGTGAGAAAGGGTGGCCAGAAATGTAGGCAGAGATCTGGAAGACCACAGTGCCCTGGCAGCTGAAAGGGCCAACAACAAAAATATCAACGGCATCAAATGCTATAGTAATGCAGGTAGGAAGAGGACGAAGAGGAAACCAGAGAATTTGGCAATGAGAGGTCAGGGTGACCTTTCAGTAGCTGATGGTGAAAGAAGCTGTGTCAGTTCAGGTTTTTGAGAAGCGCCTAGCAAGACAGATTAGACACACAAGGAATTTATTGGGGAAATTCTTGTGAAGAAGGAAGCAAAAGGAAGCAGGAGGTGGCAAGGAGAGTCTGGAGACCATAACAGAGGTCCGACACCTGTGAGAGGAGAAGGCGAAGGAGGGATTGGTTGGAGGCACGTCAGGCTGCGGTGCACTTCTGAGAAGGCTGCAGTGAGGCTGATGGGGTATCCCTGAGCAAAGGATGCCTGTTAGGGAGATCCTGCATCGGGCGGGGACGGCCATGAGAAAAGCCCTGTCACGCTTGTCATTGGCTTGCAGCATCCCAGAGAACACATGCCTCCCTTCCTGCAGCAGATGCTCTTGGTTTTTTTGTTTTGGTTTGGGTTTTTTGTTTGTTTTGTTTTGTTTTGTTTTGTTTTGTTTGAGTCTTGCTCTGTCACCCAGGCTGGAGTGCAGTGGCATAATCTCAGCTCACTGCAACCTCCTCCTCCCGGGTTCAAGCGATTCTCCTGCCTCAGTGTCCCCAGTACTGGGACTACAGGCGCCCACCATCATGCTTGGCTAGTTTTTGTATTTTTAGTAGAGAGGGGGTTTTGCCATGTTGGCCTGGCTGGTCTTGAACTCCTGACCTCAGGTGATCCTTCCGCCTCGGCCTCCCGAAGTTCTAGGATTACAGGCATGAGGCACACCGTGCCCAGCCAGCAGATGCTCTTGAAGGAGACCTGAGGTTATGTTTGCGTGGCACCACAGAAGCCAGAGTGACCATAAGCAGGAAGTAGAAACACTAGAATTCTGGTCTAAGCTGCTGTCATCTCTATACACAGCATGGCTGAAACAGAAGAGCCACGCAGAAGTTAGCAGGTAGGCAGGGCCTGGTAAGAAGGCCATAAGCTGTGGCGCTTTCACCCAAAGCCATCATGAAGACCCATAACTAAGTGGCTGGCCAAGGTCACAAGGTTTCATAGAATTGCCAGGACGAGAGCCAGCTGTCCATCTTCGCTTGGCGTCCCTGGCTCTCTCCTCAAACCCTGTGCTCTCCCTGTACTTCCAATCACATGCGGGGTTTGGTCTATCACCGTTCGTACCCAGTGGACACTGATGCCTTTGATGTATGTTTTTCTTTCAACGATGGTGTGTTGAAGGATTCTGTTACCTCCATTCCTCCATTTCTGTACAAGTAAGTTAATACAAGTAAGTAAGTACTGTAGGAAAATGAGCTCCTCCCGCGCCCAGGGAGGAGGTAGGAGGACGATTCCACCTGTCTTTGTGGTGAGCGCTGAAGGAGGATCTTGAGAAAGGCACCTGTGTGCAGCGGCATTCTCATCTCTAAAGCCCGCATGGCTTCCCGTGTGCACACAGGACATTCTGCCCATGTTTACCAAATGAAGACACCAACTAACTACCCTGTCTTTCCTTCTAGGTGACCTCATACATTTGCCTCCATACCTTAGAATGGACTTTTTGTTAAACCGAGGTGGTCCAGGCACCAGCAGGGACCTGAGCTTAGGACAAGCATGCTTGGAACCTCAGAAAAGCCGGACCCTGAAGCGCCCCACGGTCCTGGAGCCCATCCCGATGGAAGCCGCCTCCTCCGCCTCCTCCACGAGAGAAGGACAGTCGTGGCAGCCGGGGGCCGTGGCCACATTACCTCAGCGGGAGGGAGCAGAGCTGGGACAGGCAGCTAAAATGAGCAGCTCCCAAGAATCACTGCTCGACTCCCGGGGCCATTTGAAAGGAAACAATCCTTACGCAAAATCTTACACCCTGGTATAACAGACAGCATGACTGGACAGCGGTTGTAAATACAATTCAAACAATTCAATCAAAGCTACCTTTTTTTTACGGAATTCCAATATTTATAATTAAAGAAAATTGCCAAAATATATTAAAAAAAAAAAAGAGAAAATACTGAAACCACAGACAGTGCAAAGACTCTCCTGCTTTTTTTCTGTCTGAGTGTGAGCTCCATCCGCCTGGGCATCTGATTTTTTGGGAAAGAAGTCCAGTTTTATGATCTTCACAGGCTATTGCATTTTTACTGATTTTCTACAAAAGTGCATGGGGGGGATTAATTAAACCTTCTGACTGGAAGTTCTATCACACAAGAGGCAAGAAAGAAAACAGGGTGGGTGGGAAATCAGCCTATTTGTGAATTTAAAAGGAACACCGATTTGCGGGCAGGGGAAAACTTCAGTCACGTTTGCACACCTTTCTTTCCCATTAGAAACCGGGTTCTCAATTTGGTCTTCTTTTGTTGTTAATTAGGATGAGTGCCGTCAGTGAAGGGGTGGGGGGAATCAATTTGGTTTTCTCTCTTGTTTCTTTTTTAATTTAATGAGACACTCTTTGCATTTTGTCTAAGCGAAATAAAAAAGAAAAGGTTGTCTGCCTTTATTTCCATGTCTGCTTCTCTCGTCTTCTGCCAGTGGCCTGGTCCTCCTTCCCATTGACACTTCTGTTTGGAAACACCAGGCCTGAACCCAGAGCCCAATTCAATAAACCAGAGTCGATACTAACACCCTGAACTCCTCAGGAATCTCCAGGAAGCACAAAGAAGGTGCAGCTCCTGCTCTCAAGCTGGAGAGGACAAAATGCAGGCTGGTCTCCACCGCAACCAGAGGCCAGCCCAAGTATTCGAAGCCCGTCGCAAAGCTCTGCCCCTTGCCTGCCCATGGCCAGAGTTCAACTGACTGTGGCCTATGGGCCAAATCCAGCCTCCTGCTGTTTTTTAAATAAAGTTTTATTGAAACAAGGCCACATGCACTATTTGCTATTGTCTATGGCTGCTTTCATGGCACAATGGTAGAGCTGAATAGTTGCAGCAGAGATGGTATAGCCCATGAAGCCTAAAATATTTATTACCTGGCCCATTACAGGAAACATTTGCCAGACCCGTGCTCTGGAGTCTGAAATGTAGCCCCAGCTTGCGTGACAAGGGGCAAGATCGTGCATCTTACCCTCCATGACTTTTCCTATCTCCACTATGCCTGGTATGCAAATTTGTGATAGACCATCTTAATAAACATTGCCTGAATCCTCTGTAACCAGAGGAAAGTGATGTTCCTCTAAAATCTAAGTTTTTACTTTCCTTTCCCTCACTTTATCTCCCATGTGGCTCATCCTAAGAGAGAATTTACTCATAAATAGTCGGAACTGCATTCTTTATCCCACAACCCTCACAGGGTTTGCTTTATGAAAGAGGATGTAATCCTCCCCTGGCTGCAACACTCCATTCCAGGCTCACTTCCATAAAATGGAAAGATAAACAGGTCTTTGTGTCAGAGATTTGGCATTAACCAGAAAACATGATCAAATATCCACAGCTGCTCAGTCTCCCAGGCTGAAGATTCTCTACAGGCTTCCATTAAGGCCACCAACATAGACTGGTGCCAGTTATTACCATCTTGGGAACATATTCAGAAATGTCTTTCCTTCCCTCCCTCCCTCCTTCTTTCCCATCCTTTCTTCCTTCTATTTATTTTCCAGGCAGGCCCATTTGTCTGCTTAGATTCAGTGACACAGAATGGGTCCAGGACCATGTCAAGACCACCTGCTGATGCTAGTGTTAGATGACTCCAGGAATGTGAGGTGTGCATCCATGGTTTCAGAATGTAATCCGTGTTGACGTGTACTGTTTGCATACTCTCAGACTGTTTTTTTTTTATGCAAAAGAAATGTTACTTTCTGGGGGAAAAAATTAAAAGTCTATCTTTCATCAACCTAAAACTTCTATATCCCCCAAACATAGAAGTTTACCTTTTTAACATTTTTCTCTCAACCTGTACAAAAATAAAAAAATTCTACATTATGTCTGCCTCTAGAATGGATTGCTTTCAAGACTCCTGCCTTAAAAATACTCATTAAAATCAGTTTAACACACAAACAATTGTCTCAAAAGATCACCTCCTTCCAGTTCAGATAGGGGTCTATTATTGCTGTCTTCAAGGGGCTGCAGATTAAAGGGTAGTGTATACTAAAACGACTGTTATTGACAGTAATAATAATTAATCTTCCTCTAGACCTCTACCTGTCTGATTTGTTTTGTGGAAGTCACCGTATTAGCCCAAATCTGCACACAGATTATTCTATGTTGGAATGGTGAAACTCAAATAAATTCTCTATCCTCTGGTCAATATCTATAGGGTACATGGACAATAGCTGTTGAATCAGTGGACTGGGTTTCCTCCTCAGCATCCATCTGGCTGGCAGCCTGGAAAATGCCCACCCTCCTGGACTAAGCAAGGCCTTCTCTTAATACGCAGCCAATAAGCCTCGCAGGACTCAGCACTCACAATGTCTCCAGGAGCCTGGTTTTCCATGCCATTCACATCTGCCTGATGCCTGCTATCCTGCATCCACGTCCACCATGTCTACCCTTGAAGAGAAGAAGGTGGAACAGTTGAGATGGGAAAAGATGGACCAGTGCCATGACATGAAGCTGGTTACCAGCTACACCGGATAAGCTTTTATTCCACCCATCATCTTTGGGCCCTTGCTGCAGAGACCCTTGATACTATCTTACAACACAGAAAACACACTGTTGCTTAAATTGCTCTTTACGCAAGCAGGAGATCACCACTCAGTAGAGGTCCCTCTGGTCTGGTGTCAGGATCCCTGAATCACTCATATGCCAAAAGTTTTATGCAACTTTTAAGGACATGGCTGAGGCCTTCTAGAGAAGCTCTGAAACTCTATGAATCAATTTCCAGCAATGACACACAGCCTTCTGAAACTGGGATAAGACTGGGAACCAAAGGACTAGTGTGTTATAGACCACTTACCCACCAAAGGTTCAAAGGAAACTAACAGTTTGTCCATAAAAGTCCTCTTTTAACTTTCTAAAGAACGTGGTAGAGAGTATCTCAGCTCTCTGAGGAGCACCTGGAAAGACTAAATATCCTCAGTTTAATATCCAGGGCACCCGAGGCCCATGTTGCTTCTCCACCCATTATTCCAAAGTGGTCCATGAGAGGCAGCAGAGTGTGGCTGCAGTGAAAGAAAGATTTTCTGCAGGTCTTGGAAACCAAGCTGTTGTAATCCCTAACAAGAGTTTAAGCCAGGAAGGAATCTTCAGGCCTGCATAAAAGCTGTGTCTGTTTGCTGTGGGATGTTTGTTTGCTTGAGGAGGAGACTTGTGATGGCAGGGTCACTGAGTAGCCTGAAGAATATGTGGCAGTGACAAGCCAGAGCTACAGCAGGGTCAGATGGCAACTGCGGACAGGATCCTCGCTGATCTCCTCACCCCCTGGCAAGCAGGGACTGAAGACTGGATAGGCCTGATGCTAACTTGGGTCACCTGAGTGCCATCAAGGGAGTCAGTGTACCTGTGGGGAGACCATCCCCCATGGGTCATTGCATTTGTGCCTGTCTCTTGAGCAGAGGCTTTGATGGTTTCTGTTCTGTGCTGTTTTTTCAAG
Organism: Homo sapiens; assembly: GCF_000001405.40. Taxonomy (NCBI): domain Eukaryota; kingdom Metazoa; phylum Chordata; class Mammalia; order Primates; family Hominidae; genus Homo; species Homo sapiens. The sequence goes on along the minus strand of NC_000021.9, from coordinate 40,009,389 downwards.
GATGCTTGCATAGCAGATAGCCTTGGAAGATAGAGATAGTGTCTCCTTGCTGGGCAGAAGGCAGATTTGTTGGCTGACCTAGATAATAAAAACAGCATCTCCATCTGAGGCAAAATTTGGGCAGGTGTACCAGCAACCCCCTTCCAGAGTTTCTTAGGCATTAGACACAGCCAATCAGGAGTCACAGCCTCTCTGGTCTCTGCCTAGAATCTGGGTGGTCTGGGGCAGCCTCCCTCAGCTCCTTCATCTTTGGTCCAAGCTCATCTTTTCAATGAGGGCCTCCATGAGCACCCTATTCAATGCCACAACTCCCCCAGGATTCCTGCCCCCCACATCTGCTTTAGCTCTTGTCCATACCCTTATCATCTAACTCACTCTAGAATTTATTTATTCATAATGGTTATTCTTTGTTGTCTGTCTTTCCTCTCAAGGATGTCAGCTTCACAAGAACATAATTCTTTGTTTTGTTTACTTGTGCCCATAGTTCCTAGAAAAGTCCCTGGCACACAATAGCCATCTTACAAGTATTTGTCGACTGGAAAAAAAAAAGTTTAGGGTTTCCTAAGCTTAGAGCTCCTCAGCTATGACACAAACCCACTGCGTACACAGCATCCACTGGACTGCTCTGCCTCACCCCAAGGGCCCTGCAGGGATGGGTAGCTGGTGAGAATATGGCTCTCACGCTCATTGCTATAACTTGAGTAATGATATTCTCAATCTCTGATGCTGCCTTCTGCCAGCATCTATGAAACTGAGACAAGCCAGCTTGGTAACTCACAAGAAAAGTATAAATCCCAGGCTTTCTACCATCCTCAACAAGCACAAACCAGACATGGGCAGCACCAGCTCCCTCCCTGACTCCCCAGAGGGACAAGTCACAGCTTAGACTCACAAACTTTTTGCAATTTGGTGGGAACGGTATTTTTTTTCTTTCTCTCTCTTCTCAATCTCTCACCATCAAAAAGGAAGAAAAATGGAAAACTTGGTAAAAGTGACTGTTAGCACATGGCGCGGGGTGCCTGTTTCATCTCTCAAGACCAGCTTGACAAAGCCAGAAAGCCCTTTGTGTCCCAGAAACTTCAACCCCACTCTAAGAAGAAAAGATAATGTTTATCATCTTCAGCACTGGATCACCCAGAGAGTGCTGGACTCTGCCTCTAGGAGGTCATCTTTCCATGGAGAAGAAAATACCTGCCACATACATTCATGTGTGTGGTGGCACCAGGGGCAAGGGTCCTTGCTCCAAGATCCTTGGGGATGGCAGTCCTGGACCAGACCGCAACCTAGGTGGGTCACCAAGCCCACTGGACATCAGAGGGCATCACAGCCAAAGGAGAGGTGCCATTCCCTATCATGCTGTGTGTGCCTGCAAGGGTTTTATTCTCAAGCAATTAATTAATTCAATGTTTCCCTCAATCTTTCATTCTCTGAGGTTCCCCTAAGGGTGACCACCTCACTAAATAGAGGGGACGTCCCCTTGCTACTCTGTGAAGAAATGTTTTAGCAGTGTATTAAAAAGATGCTTCTGTTTCCGGAGCCGAAAGTATAAGTGTCTTATAAAGGTGCAACTTCCTAGATAGCAAACTGATGGTGTGGTATCCTGGTTCAACCCCCAGGTATGGAAAACCAGGCCCCTCACCCTGAGTGGAAGCACAGTCGTCCATGCAACCACTGCTCACACTTGGTAGAACACAAATCCACTACACGCCTGCAGCACGCCAACAACCCTCAACATCTGTTTCCCCATCCAGGGTGAAAGGTGGTTCCGTCACAGCCCAGCAAGGTGACTGATGACAGTTCTAAGAGATACACTTTGCACACGCCAAGTGAAGCAACAGCCAGAGAAAGATACAGCCACTAGAACTGATTTTACCTCCATCTAGTATCAACCCAATCCTGTGTCTGTTCCTCTGTTTAGTCATGTGATGACAGAACATTCCTCATTGAAACTTCTACTTCTCTTCTCCAGTTGATACTCTTTGAAAGGTCTCTCATCATCTTCGAGTTAGCAGATGGCATTCTGTCCACTTCTGTAGCAAAAGTTAACCCTCAACACCAAGGTGCTGACGTTTTCTGTAGCAAAAGTTTACCCTCAACACCAAGGTGCTGACGTTTCCAGGAAGAGGACTGGGAGTTCTTTGCATGGAGCCAAGAATAATGAAGACGCTTCCAAAAGGAGTTACAGAGCACCTGGGAAGGGGACATTCTTGTTGCTATGGAAGTAACTGGAAAAGCTTCTGATGTCCGTCTTGGTCAAGGTCCATTCTTAGATGTGTTTGCGTGTCCATTCCGCAGCATGTAAAAATTGGGCTTATTCAATGACCTAGGATCACAGGAAAATTTGGGGCGAGCAAGGGACGTGGCCTAATAGGAAGAACACTGCACTGAGAGGCTTAGTCCAAGCACCAGCTCCTCGGTAACAAGCCAGGAGGTCTCACAAAAGGCCATCTGGTTGGACATCAGTAAACAGACCTGAGTGGACCAGGAGGACGCTAAGGCCCTGCTTGCCCAACAAGGAGATGACCTTTCTCAGTACCAACCTCACTGGGCAGATATTTGAGCTCCTTAAAAGTGTGTGGTGGGGGGTAAGTTGAGGCTGCCCTCCATTTATTTTTTGTACCCCTAGCACCCTGCACAGGCATCAGCCCAAAGTGGTGAATTGGTGACTGTTTAAGAAGGATGTGACATGAAAGTCAGTGTGCATAGATGTGTCGTGGAACATAAAAAGGGAGGTTCTCCATGTCTGTGAGCTCAGTGTGTAAGGCAGACTTTTATCCTTTTAATAAACTCCTAAACTCACCTAATTATTGTTGTGTTTGCATTTTATCCTAGAGGGAAAAGGAAGTTTAAAAGACCAACCTGATTATTTGTAGGTTTCCGATACTACATGTGTGTTGCACAAATTCTCACATGCTGCTGTTGAAAAGATGGACCTTCCCTCAGGTCCTTCTAAATAAAAACCTCTCTTTAGGCAAAGCTCTACCTGAACATCCTCTTGAGTAGATTTCTAAATTCATGCTGGTGGCCCCTGCGTGAGAGTCAGCAGAAAACTGCTTTCTGTTGTTGCCATCATTGGTAAAAAGTCTGAGGGTCTCTCCGTAGGGGGCGTGTGCCCAGTCCCTCCCTCTCCCCAGGCCCTCCCTCTCCCCAGGCCCTGCTCCTGCCTTAGTACACCGGGCAGCAGGCACCTCACATTTCTCATCCTTGGAAATGTGAACCAGGTGACCAGAGCTGAGCCAGCTGAGGCTCCTGGGGAGCCAGCACATCTGATGCCAACCCAGGCAAACCCTTAGGGACCTTCCCAAATGCCCATCCCGTCTCCTTCCCTCACTCTCAGCAGACAGACACCCCTGACATCAAAGGCCATGGTGTATCTTTCCTGTTCTGCTCCCACCACCAAACTCCTCACAGCCACCTCCTTCCTGACCCTGCCTCTTCCCATCCATAACTCCTCCCTCCATCCACACTCTGGATCCCAGCTGCTCCCAACTTTACAAACTCTCACCCTCCCTTCTACACCTGGATCTTATCTCATACCCACGTGTGAAGACATTCAAGTCTCCCCCATCAATAAAAACGCCACCCACTTTCCCTGAACTCACTGGAGACACTGTCCTACATCTCCCCTTCGGTCTTAGTCCATTTTCTGTTGCTCATAACAGAATACCTGAAACTGGTTTATGAAGAAAAGGAATTTATTTCTCCAAGTTATAGAGTCTGAGAAGTCCAAGATCAAGGGGCTATATTCAGTGAGAGCTGTGTTGCTGGTGGGGACTCTCTGAAGGGTCTTGAGATAGAACAGAGCATCACCTCAGATCTCTCTTCCTTTTTTTTGTTTTTTTTGTTTTTTTTTTTTGAGATGGAGTCTCACTCTTGTCACTCAGGCTGGAATGCAATGAATGGCGCAATCTTGGCTCACTGCAACCTCTGCCTCCTGGGTTCAAGCGATTTTCCTGCCTCAGCCTCCCGAGTAGTTGAGATTGCAGGTGCACACCACCACACCCAGGTAATTTTTGGATTTTTAGTAGAGATGGGGTTTCACCATGTTAGCCAGGATGGTCCTGATTTTTTGACCTTGTGATCCACCCACCTTGGCCTCCCAAAGTGTTGGGATTACAGGGGTGAGCCATTAGCAAGGTCCTTTTTTTTTTTTGTTTTTTGGTTTTTTTTTTTTTTTTTTTTTTTGACAGAGTCTCACTCTGTCGCCCAGGCTGGAGTGTGGTGGCGTGATCTCGGCTTACTGCAGACTCCGCCTCCCGGGTTCATGCCATTCTTCTGCCTCAGCCCACCAAGTAGCTGGGACTACAGGCGCCCGCCACCACACTCGGCTAATTTTTTGTATTTTTAGTAGAGACGGGGTTTCACTGTGTTAGCCAGGATGGTCTTGATCTCCTGACCTCGTGATCCGCCCGCCTCGGCCTCCCAAAGTGCTGGGATTACAGGCATGAGCCATCGCTCCCGGCACCAGCAAGGTCCTCTTTCTCCAAATTACCTTCAAAGGTGTATGTTCCCAGAGTTGCAACCTCAGTCCTGTGCATTACTCACCCTGGGCAATGTTAGCATTTCATCTTCAATCACAGCTTTAGTTACCGTCTATATTCTGGTGATTCCTAAATTTAAATCTTCAGCCTGAACTTTTCTGAGCTTCCAGTCCACATTCAATAGCCTCCAGACACCTCTGCTTGCCCATCCCATGTAAAGCTCAAACTCAATCTAATCAACACTCATAACTACATGTGACCCCACTGCTCCTGGATCCCCTCTTCCTGAGTCTGTATTGCAATAGATGGCATTGCCATAGCACTCGGACTGACTGACAATTGCAGGTGTATGGAAACCCAGCTTCCTGGCCTCAAGATGGAGCACAGTCTGAATTTTTCCAACCTTTCCTCCTCTACCCTTTTTCTGATTTATCTTGATAACACTTTAATAAATCACTGCATATAAATTCACATCTCGAGTTCTATTTCTGGGGAGCTCTACCTAATGCAAGTTCTTATCTTTTATTCTATCCCTGTACCTATCCTAGTGCCTAGTATACATTCAATGTTCAATAAATATTTGATGATAAATAAATAAGTAGATGAATGAATAAGAGTAGATGACATTGTAAATGTGAGTATCTCCTTCCTTATTCTCCCCCGTGAAGTTTCTCTAGGGGCCAGGTGTGGTGGCTCACGCCTGTAATCTTAGCACTTTGGGAGGCCAAGGCACATTAATCACTTGAGGTCAGGAGTTTGAGACCAGCCTGGCCAACATGGGAAAACCCCGTCTCTACTAAAAATACAAAAATTGGCCGGGCATGGTGGTGGGCACTTGTAGTCCCAACTACTCGGAAGGCTGAGGCAGGAGACTTGCTTGAACCTGGGAGGCGGAGGTTGCAGTGAGCCAAGATTGCACCACTGCACTCCAGCGTGGACAACAAGAGTGAAACTCTGTCCCAAAAAAAAAAAAAAAAAAAAGATTTATCTAGGGCGACGCTTACTGAATACTATCTGAGCTTCTCAATGCATAGTGCAAGTAAATCTTGGCAAAAAGTAAAGGAGAAAGTATAAGATCAAATCTTCCTGAAATGCAAAAGTCTCTGCTATGCTTTCAAGGAGACGTGAGCCAGCCTGAGTCTGCTCTGCAGCTGCCCAGGAGCCAAGGGGAAGGAAGTGGGAAGCAGCATGATAGCCACTGCCTCTGCATCCCACAGCAGTCAGAACAGGCTTGCTCTGGGTTCAAATCTTCCCTTGTGAGCCCCCCTGCAGAGGACGACCTGAGAGGACACTGATACCCAGGTACTCAGCAAATGACTTTTTCAACTGGATTGACAGCCTGGAGGGAGAGGCGAATCCGTCAGGGCTTTGAATTCACAGAGGGGGAAGTAATTTGGCTTCTTCAAGCAAGCAGAATGGGCTCAGCCAGGAAGCATCTAATTTTAGCACTATCTTTGATGACAAAATCCTTTCAGGGTTTATAACCTAATGAGGATTTACATTTGGACTAGCAGTAAGGGCTTTCAAAGATAGAAGATGAGACATTTATAGATCTCAGAATACATGTGGAACCTTTAACACATTTCCAGAAATTTGAGTTTGGCCTCCTTTTAAGGTTCCTTTGTGAAGCCCTTCTTTGTGGCTGATTCATGCTCCCAGCTTCCTGCTAGGATGTGGCCCATGTTTCTAACACCTGGGGCAAGAGCTTGTTGACTTGAGCTGAGCACAATATTTCAAAAGAGGGCCAAAAATAAATTGCATTGCACACAAAGTTAACAGAAGCTTATCTTTGGACTAAAAACAATAAATTTGGGAGAATGAGCTTCATTGGAGCCTTCCTGTTGTACAGATGGAAGCCACTCTGAGACCCTGAACACACATCACACGAGGATCTTTTCATCAAGCAGTTAATCCTGAGATTTCACTCAACAGCCCAAAGACGGCTTATTTGCTTTTCTTTAACCATCTCAAGACTTTTTCACTGACTTCCCCATGTGCACCAACCCTGAAGGGAACTTAAAATGCAGTACTTAAGAGTGTGGGATCTGGAGCCAGAGGTTGAGTTCAGAACCGCGCTGCACCACAGATAAGCTTCTGACCGTGGACGAGGTACTAACCATGGCTCAATGTTCTTATCTTTAAGGCATGAGAAATAACAGTAACTCACTCCATTTAGGGATATTTTGAGTTATCAAATGAGTTAAGACATATAAAGGGCTTAGAATAGTGCGTGGCACATAACAAGTTCTCCAATAAGCATTAATGATGATCGTTAGCCATTCTTTTATTCTACTTACATAAGACCATGCATGCTTAGTAACACCTGCCCATGGAGAATGTCTCAGCCAACATCCCACTCAGTCATCCCAAGCACTGTCTCAACATTTGGGCTGAAAAGGGTCATTCTGTTATATTTGTACATATCAGCATAAGGCACACTCCCACGGCACTTTTGATTGGGCGACAGCCCGTGTATCCTGAAATCAATTCCTAGCCCAACAGCATATATGCATGTGTTTACTCATGTTCAAATGCTTAATTGTGCAGTTCTTTGCCGATCTGATACCATGTCTTCAGCTCATTTTAACCAGCTTCATTAATAAAGTTAATTATATTGACATCTATTTAAGAATGAGGAGGAGGAGAAAAGAAGAGAAGAGCAGCTAATTAAAGCCACCTTCTAAAGGATTTCTACCAATATGTATAAATGGCAGCATTTACATCTTAAGCTTCAAATGAAACTGTTCTGTTATCAGCCTAAAAGAAACATGTTTAAGGTTTTAAATAGTCTTTGTTGCCGTTGCTACATGCTCTCATTTATTTCTTATGTATTAGACTTAATAATAAGTAATAAAAGCAAGTTTGAGTTTCTCAAATGTTATATCTTTTGCAAGAGCCAAATTATTAATATTATTATTATTTGAGTCAGAGTCTAGCTCGGTTGCCCAGGCTGGAGTGCAGTGGCACCATCTCATCTCACTGCAACCTCTGCCTCCTGAGTTCAAGTAAATCTCCTGCATCAGCCTCCCGAGTAGCTGGGACTACAGGAGTACACCACCACACCCAGCTAATTTTGTATTTTTCGTAGAGATGGGGTTTCCCCATGTTGGCCAAGCTGGTCTTGAACTCCTGACCTCAAGTGATTCGCCCGTCTTGGCCTCCCAAAGTGCTGGGATTACAGGCATGAGCCGCCATGCTTGGCCATAGCCAGATTATATTGAGTAATACTTCAGTAAGTAAAGGAAACAATTCTGCTGGACTCTAGTGGCATATGAAAGTGTAAAATACAGTACACCCACATGGAAGCAATCCTTTCTAGCAATCACTAGAGTACTGCTTGTCCAGGTTTTTCCAAATGCAGCACTCCCTCCTGTCCTTTCTGTTCTCCTTAACTTTTCAGCATTCTACGTTCTGGGGGAAGCAGGGGAGAGAACTTACACGCAGTTTAGGACAGGGTTCCTGGCACAAGGGCTGCCTACAGCTCTTGCAGTTACCTCTGCCTCAGTGAAGTCACCCCTCATGGTCTTTGAGAATTCTTGGTTGACAGTCATTGCTGAAGTCCGTGGTGTCTGCCGTGGCACCTGAATTTCACACTGACCTTCCAGGCACAAGGTCCACTTTGGAGGCCTGCTCCTCCCTAGGATGTGCAGGACCCTGTGGCCTCTCTGGCTAATTGCTTCCCCCAGCTGTGGTTTCAGCTACCCCAGGGCCATGAGCTCTGGTCCCATCTTAAGGGGTTTGCAGTGCTTGCAGGCTTCCTTATGGAGCTCCCCAAACCTCTCTTCGTGACTCCTCCTCATTAGAGTCTTCACTCTGGGAGGAGGCAGAAATCATGGTGGGTGGAAGGGCTCTTCTCAGACTCCCCCCAGCAAGCTCAGTTCTGGCCTCATTGCCTTCTGAGCCCCTTGCCCGTTGAACTCCCTTTTTCTTCGCAAGTAAATAGCTGTGTGTATTAGTTCTCTTTCATGCTGCTGATAAAGACATAGCTGAGAGTTGGCCATTTACAAAAGAAAGAGGTTTAATTGACTTAACAATTTCACGTGGCTGGGGAGGCCTCACAATTATGATGGAAGTTGAAAGGCATGTCTCATATGGCAGCAGACAGGAGAAGAGAGCTTGTGCAGGGAAACTCCCCTGTATAAAACCATCAGATCTCATGAGACTTATTCACTATCATGAGAATAGCACAGGAAAGACCCACCCCCATGATTCAATTATCTCCCACTGGGTCCCTCCCACAACATGTGGGAATTATGGGAGCTAAAATTCAAGATGAGACTTGGGTGTGGACAGAGCCAAACCATATCACTGCATTTGCATCTTACTTTGTGTGCCCCCAGCTTTCTGGCTTATTTTATGCTTTCTGTGTTCAGGCCTCTGAGCTTTCTTGCTGAAACTCACGAATCCTTTTGTCTCTCAACAAACTCCAGCACTTGTTCATCTATATCCTTTAGTTTTTAGACTGTAATCTGTAGAGTGAATTTCAAGAGCCTGCTTTGGAACTCAAAAATCAAAAATCTGGCCTTTATCCTAGACATGATCATTCCTTCCCTTGAGGGCTGGGAGATAGAAAGCTGCCTGAATGCCAGTGGAAGATAGAGGGAACAAGGGGAAAACACCAAAATGATTCTCTGCCATGCATGGCCATGTACAATAGACATGAGAGCCTCCCAGAAAGACATGTTGAAGCCCTAACTCCAGTACCTGCGAATGTGACCTGGAAATAGGCTCTCGCAGTTGCCACCAAATAAAGACGAGGTTGTTTTCAACTAGGGTGGGCCCTAATTCAATAAAACTGGTGTCTTTATAAGAAGAAGGAAACACAGACTGACAAGCAGGGAAGATGGCAATGCATCTGCAAGCCAAGGAACACCAAGGATTCATGGCAACCTTGGAAGTCAGGAAGACACAAGGAATTATTCTCACCTACAGCCTTCGGAGGGAGCATGGCTCTGCTGACCTGACACCTTGATTTCAGACTTCTGGCCTCCACAACTATAAGAGAATAAATGTCTGCTGATTTAAGCCACACAGTTGGGGTCACTTCCTACGGCAGCCCTGGGAAACTAATACAAGGAGGTAGCCAGAGGCTGGTACCATCATGAATTGCTAGCCTACGCCACCTCTCTTCTCTGCTACCAGACTTCAAAATAGATGAGCATATTAGTGAATCATCTTTCAGATGCAAGTGAGTGGACACCCAGCCCATCTTGGTTTCAGCAAGAGAGAAAATTTGTTGGCTTAACCAAAGGTCTGAAAATGGATTTTATCAGCTTCAGGAGCAGCTGGATGCAGGGGCTCAAACAGCATTGCTGTTACCCAGCACCTCTGTATTTTCCCCTGGGCTTGTTCTTTGCTCTTCACAGGTCAACCCTTTCACTTGGTCTATTGCTCTACACTTTTATTCCTTCTTTGTGGTTGTTTACCACCAATTTCCTTCATCTTTCTCTGCTCAGCCAATCAATCAATCAATAATCAGTTTTTATATTGAAAGCTCATTCAGCATGAGACAGTGTTGTACAGTGGTTAAGAGCATAGGTTGTCAAGCCCATTTCCCTGTCAACTGCCTTCTCTATGTTCTTGGGAGAGTTATTTAACCCCTCTGTGCCTCAGTTGCCTCATTTGTAAGACAGGGATCATTTAAAAATTGGGCTCCTAGGGTTGCTTTAAGAATTGAGTTAGTAGATGTTAACTGCATGCAATTCAGTGAGTTCATATGCATTAAATATGGAGAACAAGGCCTGACACATAGTAAGCACCATATATGTGTTCCATATTTATGGAAGTAGAGGCACACTATGCATGATTGTTGCTATATTGATGGTATAACATTACAAAACTAGCTTTTGACTTAGGCTTGCCATCTCTAAAAGTTCCATATATTAAGAATGTGAGGCTCTGAGAGGTTTATTATCTTTTCCAGGGTCACCAAGCTAGCAGAAGTGTAGCCAAGATTCCATAAGAGGTTGAGCATTTTCACTATACATGTTTGGTCTCTCCTGCACTCTCGCTCTTTCTCTTCTGTCAACCATGATACCCAAGTCTCCCTCACCCTAAAAATATCTTTCCTCCACCCTGCTTGGACCTAAATGTTCCCTATATGCCCTAAAGTTTCCATCGTCTGTCTCCCCCTTTATTTACTAGGATCCCATAAAAGTAAGTGGCTGATACTGAGCTTTTCCACATTTCCTGTCCTTACAGTCTTCACTGACCTTCTTACTCTTTACAACCTTATTTTCTTTCTGGAATTCTCCCAAAAATATGCTCTTGAAGGTCACCAAACATCTCTCAAATATCAAATCAAATGGCTTTTCCTAAGGCCATCTTCCCCCGACCTCTGTGTAAAGGGTGTTCCTTTTATCCATGGCCTCTTCCCTCGAGCCCTCTCCCACCTTTGGCTCCGTTTCACCTCCCACTGGCCCATGGCTTTCTCCACTGCGACCTTGAGGCCCCCACTGCTCCAAAGCAGAGTCATCAAGTCAGCAGGAAAGAAAGAAGGAAGATGTTAAGTACTTCATCATCTGAGTTTTGTCTTTTGTTAAGCTCTAGGTCAAAGAAAAGAAGAAAATATTTTTTAACTACTTGCTTCTTCTAAGGAAAAATACTCTCTTCAGGCCAAAAGAGAGAGCATGGGAAATGAAAAGAATGAAGTGCATATGGGGTTTCTCAGAAGGAACCATGAACCCACCCAATGACTGGCCCCAAGGGGATTGTCGTTGTTTGACAATCTTAGAGTTAAGGGGTCCTGAGTGCACTTTGCCTCCTGCTACCCTGGGCACCAAGACAAGTAGGAACAGGTGTCTGCTCAGAAGGCTGAGGCCAAGGGCATGAGGAAGGCTCACAGTGGGCCCCCGCCCCTGCTGACCCATAATAGAGTAGAGAGGAATCAAATATGGCAGCAGACAATGGAGGAGGGGACACTGTCCTTGGGTAGGGTGGACTGGCCAGTGGAACCAATAAGTGCCAATGGGACAACACTCACTGCAGAGGAGGCCAATGCCTACCGAGGCCAAGGAAAACCCGTCTCTCCCCTGCTGAGACTGAGAAGCCGCCATGTCAGTCCCTGGAAGGAATGTGTCCCCTCTGAAGTGAAGGTGGTGGGAGAGGAATCTGAATAGTCATTGTGCTTCCTGTGAATTAGGGAGACTCTATTTCTGCTCCTTGCAAGAAAGGGGCCTCCAGAGAGAAAGTCAGTCACATTTCTAGCACACCGAAGGTGGTGGATTGAGAAATTCCCGCCTGTCACAGAAGCAGCCTTTTTCTACACCATCTTTAGATTTTTCAGATCCTGTTATTCCTTCAGCCTGATTGACCAGTTAGAGTCTATAAAAATCAGGGTTAGATCTGAGCAACAAAACCATCAGAGTGATAGAGACCGAGAGACAGAGAGAGACTATTTAACCGGCTTCCATCCTTGACTGTTTAACCAGCTTCCATCCCTGTGTGAGGTCACATTCCCTTATAATAAATCCCTTATGATATGGGATTTGATACCTTATGATATGATTATAGGGATTTGATGCCACATAATGATGGAAGCTAGTTAAATGGTCTCTGCAAGGCTGTCGTCTTTGTGTCTGGTGCTGGGATTTAAAGTCCACGGGGAGGCAGTGAGGAAGAGGGGAGGGACTTGAAGTGGGAGAGAGTGAGGCCACAGGCAGGAGCCAGAATCCAGGAGAACAGACTGGAACCTGGCGTGGGGCTGTGTTCTGAACATCATCACCTCTTCACCTTGTAGGCAAAGGAGGGATTCCCTGCCCAGGATTTTGAGCCTGGTCAAACACAGGACACCCCAACACTGAACAGGTGAAATTGACAGGTTGGGAGGAGGACACCATATACCATTCAGTGCCACACAGGGGTTTCACCCAGGAGCTGAGTGAACAAGAAAAGGCTAAGGGAGGCAGGCTCTGTGGTATCAAGAGAATGGGGTGCCCCTTGGCTTCTGCAGGAGGAGATGGTTCCTGCAGAGAACAGAGTCCCCTACCAACAATAGCAGGTACTGTGCCTGGCTCTGGTATTAGGGAGAGCGGCTTAGCCAGGACACCTTCTCTGCAGGAGCACCGTGGGATGGGGAATTTGCCATTAGGCTGGGTTCCCCAGATGTGAAGGCACACACATAATATTGGGCTGTAGCTTTAGGCCTCATACCCTAGTCTCTCACACTTCTAGGCCTCAACTTCAGTGACAGGGCTGGGGGTTCTGCAGGAGAAGCTGGCTTTCCTTGTCATGAGGCTGAGTCTGCCTGCAGCCCAGGAGTTGGAGAACAGAGTGGGCATTCAGCAGGAGCTGGAGGCTGAGCAGCCAGATGAGCCACAGGTGAGGACAAATTGCACAGGCAGTTTCAGAGCCCAGCCCTGTGCATTGGAGGAACATAGCTGTTGCTATGTTCCAAGGGCTGAAGGAACATAGCTGTTGCTTCTCCTTTACCTTCAAAACCTTCTGCAAATGCCCTGTGGCCCACCTCCAACCCACCCTCCAAGGGGAGCAGAATTCTGGAAAATGTAACTCCAGCGTAGCCAAGTCAACGTGTGAAGCCACCACAATCCCTGCCTTTCTTCCACGTTCAGTGGAAGTTCCATTTCCTGATTATCTCAGCTGAATATGACCCCTTTCTCCTCTGAACCTCCTGATCCTTCTCTAATGGCACTTTTCACTTTGTGCTAGATAATAACCATTTGTGATTACATTTTATTTCCCCTAATAATGATAATTAAACCAGGACGGGCCAGATCTTGCCCTGTATCTCCTCTAATTCTCCCAACAGGCAGAAAGCAAGCATGATGATCCCCCTCTTCCAGGTGGAGAACACTACTCAGGGAACATGGGAAACTCACCTGAGACAATGGCAGTAGAAGGGGCAGTGATGTGAGCCTGAAACCTAGACTCTCTGCTGACACTCAGCCTACTCACCAGCTCTCAGCTCCCCAAGGGAAAGGGACTGTGCCTTATCTGTGTCACTTGCATGCTGACTATTTCTGTAGCTTGCACAGAATAGTAACCCACTTGGGATTCATTCAAATCCTTTTCCTGTGTGCAAAGCAAAGGACCCATTTTTATGGAGACCACAACTGCAATTGATTAAACCTCAAATCACCATGCAGTTGATATTGACTGGCCCCTGGCAATGTTCGTGTCCTCAAACGATATAATGACTCTTCTGATGACAAGCTTTTGACTTGGGCCCCCTGACCATGCCTCAGGCTCCAGGCTCTGTGTTCAGTGCACACAGTCCTTTGTTTGATGTGCACCACAGCCCCCATGGAAGGTGTTACTACCCCCATTTTACAAGTGAGGAATCTCAGACTTGCAAATAACCACTTGCCCAAGGTCATGGACTTATGAAGTACAAAAGCTGGAGTATGAAGCACCCAGAACTCCTTATCACTGTCTCAGGGGCTGCTCTTGCAAGGTGAGAAGGCTTCACCTTGTACCACCTGCCAGATTCTAACATGTCTCAATGCCTTTCTCCCCTCCAGACGCCTCAGCTCCTTGCTTGCCAATGCTGTCTACTCTGTGTCTCAACCGCCGCTTGTTTCTGTGTTTTCTTGTCCATCTCTGCAGCCGTTGCTGGGGCCAGGTGCTCCTTCTCTCAATGCAGTGTTCTCCCAACCAGCCACTTGGACTCCAGTCCTTCTCCCTCCATCCCCTCCTTCATATTCCTGAAAACTCCATTCTCCCGAAATGGGAATCTGATGACATAAGTCCTCCACTGACATTTTTGGTGACTTCCTGTTGCCCCAGGACATGACACTCAGGGTCCCCTGGTCTCGCTCTACATACTACACAGACTCAACTCCCCAGCTCCTTGCAGCAGTAACTCCAGAACTCACCATGGCTCTCCATGCCTCTGAGCTTTTGCTCAAGGGCTTCTCTTTATTGGGAACACTTTGCCATGCCTAACTCCTACCCAGTCTTCAGAATGTCCCTTCAGGTGTCACCCTGTGAGCCCACATCTGGGACAGATGCTCCTGAGTACCCCGGGAAACCTCCATCAAAGCCAGGGTCACCCTGAGCTCTCTGACTACTCTACTTGTCTCTCCTCTTACCAGATGGAGCTTCTGGGTCCAATGGGTTCATCTATTCATCTTGGCACCCCCCACTGGTCTAGCCCAGTGCCTGGTAAACAGTGGGGGCTCAATATAGTTTTGTGGAATGAAAACAGTGATGAAACAGCAACTGCACATTGATTGAGTCCTTATCACATGCCAGGAACCTAGAAAGCCCTTCCCAGGCATTATCTCATGTGATCTTCCCAATATCCTTATGAAACAGCAATCTTCATTTTACAGATGCTGAAACAGTGGCACAGAGCCGGAGAGCTGTAATAACTTCCCCCATGCTACTCATGGGTGGCTGAGCCAGGCGTGGGGCTCCATGGCTTGGATTCCATCACCACGCGTTTCCCAGGGCTGACCAGGCAAGGCTTTGAGCACCCAGCCTGCACCTTCGGCAGATGAGAAGCTGTGCTCTCGGATCCATGGCAAAGCAAGGGTTAACTTATCTAAAATACGCTGTGCTGCTGTGTAGGGCCCTTAGGAGTTAGCAGGGTCTTGTTTAATGAGGGAGCATTTCCCAGGGTCTGGATTGCAGGAATTAACACACTGGGGTCAGGTCAAGTTACAAACTCATGGGAACCTCCTCAGCCTCAAAGAGAATCAACAGCTTGATAAACAAAACAACAAAAAAAAAAAGACACCTGCTTAACAGAGAGCCCGAGGGTTAACAGAAAGGACATTCATACTAACAAAAATTTCAGGCTGATAAACGTTGGAAATGCTGCCCCTCTCGTCACTTCAGGAGGGTTTATTGCTTCTTGGGGTGACCAGTTGCTCCTTGCAGAAGAGGCTATTCATGGGCCCAAGCCCTGTGAGACCATTAAGTCTTTTTCTTTTTTAGTTACTTTTCTGAATGTTTTTGAGTTTTCTCATTAGGATGAAAGCAAATTTTATGCTGTAAACAATTTAAACATCCTCTACCGTGTCCCCATTAAGCAGGAAGTCCTCTCACATGGTAAGCAATGGCTATTTTTAATTAAGTTTCACTGCTAATGTTTCATAATTTTCAAGTAACTCTTCAAGTTGATATTTTCAGCCAAAGGGTGCTCTTGGGTTTAGGCCCAAATGAACAATTTGTGAAAGACTTAGACTTACTTGACCCAAATGCGTTCAGCTTAATGAGAATTTTTAAAAACATTTTTACTTTTTTTTTTCCTGTTTATCTTGGGTCTTGGGTTGATTACTATCTCTTACAAAGCTGGCATGCCTTCTGCTTCTTCTCCTAACCACTCCTCTTTGTCCTCTGCATTCAAGATACTACCTTTGTACACCATACCAGATTCGCCGGAGGCAGGGCTCCTGGCCTCTTGAATTTAAGGAGGGCTCGCCAGGATCCCGCATCCTTGTTCCTTCCTCAGACTCAAGTGAGGGGGCATTATAAGTTCATAGATGTCAACCAGAATGCCTTCATGGAAACATTATGACATTCTCTCAAAAAAAAAAAAGTAAAATAAAAAACAACCCAGTTCATGGTAGATATAAATATACTGTATGATCAGATGTCAGGCTTCCTCATCATTGGCATCACTATTTGGATATTTGCATCTGAAGCAACATGATTTTTGGTGTGTTATACAAATGTAAGCCACCATAAGTGGACACAAAGCCCTTTGGCAGCAACAGCAGTCTGTGTCCTCAACCCCATTCTTGGGCTGCTGCAAGCACGGGACCTTTGATAGTTTAACATCCATATTCTGCTCTCTACAAATGAAAAAGATCAGAGGCAGAAGTCATCATGAAGATACTGCGAGTGCAGGTGAGTCAGCCAAAGTCACATACCTCCAATGGGCAGCCAAGTGGAGGTCAGAACCCATGTCTCACTGACTCCAGTTTCTGCTTTCGTCCACTCAAAAACCAGAATGGATTCTAGAACCAACCCAGCCACTGAAATAACCAGGAGGAAACAAGAGCCATTCCTGGGGAGGAGAGGTCAGGAGTGGCAGTGAGACTTATGCGGAACTCACATTGGAAGAAAACGGCACCTCTGAGTTACTTTAAGGGACCTCTGTCTTAGCACAAATGAAGCTAGGAGTACAATTCATGAATAGCTTTCTATATTTCAGAGTCAGTACTTTGAGGAATAATTGCTGGAGACTGGCTTACCGTTTTTAAATCAGCCAGAACACAAGTGGTTGTCCATCCAGTGCAGTCAGTGAATGGCCAGAAAGAAAAGGACGCCGCAGAACCACACCAGTGGAAAGAAGAGGGCAGAGACAGGGTCTCTTCAGTGGCCCCAACTCTCAGGGGGAAATGGATTTGCACTCAGTACCAGAACCAGGCTATTCTAGGGTACATAGGAATATTGGTTTCTTAAGCACATATTATAGTCAAAGTCTCCTGCCTAGCCAGCTGTGTATACATCTTCCCTAGCATGATTTGATTCTTCCCAAGTTTTTCCTTGGTTACCTCTGTAAGGCACCATGGAGAGGCCCCTTCTAGGGAGACTGGGAAGGAAGCTGAACAGGAGAGGTCACCCACCATCCGGTGTTAAGGTTCTGGATCTCAGAATAGGTGGAACTGGGATGTCTCCTCCATCAGAGCCTGTGAATGGGGCCCCCACTTGGTTGAGTCTGCCCAAGGTCATACATTTGTACATAAAATTAAATAAGGGAAAAGGGGAGCATCTATCAATTATGGATCTTTTCAAGCACATCACAGTTTCCCAATAAAGAAGGACTCAGAGAAAGATCAGAATAACTCAAACTTCTACCACTAGTTTGAGCTGCCCCTCCCAATCAAATGTTCAGCATTTTCTACTCAATAAAGAGCATCTTCTACTCAATAAAGAACACTCTATCAAATGTTCAGCATTTCCTACTCAATAAAGAGGCAACTATAAGTCCTGGAAAATATGATTCCCACTTTTAAAACTGTATCATCTGATTAGAGAAGTGAGATGAGTAGACTTCGCATACATAGTAAGACAAAACTGATTAAATTTAGTGCTGAATTATGCATTCAGGAAGAAAGATAAGGCCAAGGTAACCATAGGAGCCTTCGAGGACATAGTTATCTCAGTATTAAAAGGACTGATTTGGATGATGGAGGAAAGACCTAGATGCTCAAGAACCACGTGTGTGAGGAAGAAATGTGAAATGGAGGGGCAACATAGGCTGGGATGTTTTCTCTTCTGTAAAAGGAGAAAAACATCAGTCTTTTCAGCCTTATTGGATTTCTCTGGACAGGAAATTTAGGTAGCTGGTGTGTTTCAATTCAAGCCTGATGAGGAAGTTAGAAGCCATGGGGTCCTTGGAAGAATGAGTCCCTGTAGCCAATCAGAAGATTCCCCCATAAGCCTCTCTCCCTCCTGAGATACCACTAGCCCCACCCTACTGCTCTGTCTGCTGCTCCCCACAGCTCTCCTCGGAGTAGAGGAAAAGTGGGGTAAAGCAGCACTCCTCCTCCACGAAGACCAGTGAGAGGTCTTCAAGACTGGGCACCCCAAAGCAGCCTGAACCTCCTCATGAGACGTTGCAAGAATCCAGGAGTTCCCTGTGGATTGAATGAATACCAAAGGTTGTTCTGGCATGTGGATACCCAGTCAAGAGGGGTCTTTTAGACATGAAGCAAAAACTGAGGGCATGACTTCCTATAGTGGGAGCTAAGGAGTTGGAGATCTCCATACGGTCTCCAAAGAACCATATGGGTGTCCACCAATGATGGACCCTTGGATTTCCAGCTTAGCAAGAGCACCAAAGGCCAGCGTCAGCCACCGAGGCCACAATACACAGCAAAGCAGACTGTCATCTCACCCAGTCACTCGGGGGGCACTTGCACTTTCTTGCCAACTTCCTGACCTTATACTCAGAGGATCCTAGAAGAGAGATAGGGAGGAGGAGAAGAAGGAGGAGGAGGAGGAGAAGGATAAGGGGGATGAGGAGGAAACAGCTGAGGTGTACTTGCTCTGTAGGCAGGAGACAAGAGATCTGAACCCATCTCGACAGTGACGTTTGCAGGGGAACAGCACTGAATCCTGAGTAGCAAGATGAAACTGTGCTGAGAATCAGTGGGGCTGAGAAAGAAGTGGGGCTGCAGCAGAAAGTCATTGAGGATGCCTGGAGAAGGAAGGGTTCATCCTAGCAGAGTTGGAAGGGGCAAATATTGGAAAAAATAAAACTACAGGGTTTCCTGTGCATCCTGCCAGTGAACTGACACTTCACAAGAAGCCAATGTTCATTTGTATTTGTGAGAAATGAATATGTTCACGTTCCTGAAAGTTAGCATTTCGGGCTTCTACATAAACCTATGGCTCAAGCTTTGTCAATACCTTTGCAGGTGCTTCTTATCAAGGAATCAGAAAGAGTAAATAGGAAATCATTAGCTTCATAATAGGAGCATAAAACATATAATTCACAATGCTTATTGTTTTCCTTTTTTGCCCTGCTGCAGTCCAAAGTGACAATAAAAGCTATTTCCCCTAATTCACAACAACCTCAATTTCAGTTGACAGAAAATTCCCAGACAGTGGTTGTTTTGGTGAGCACTACATTTACCCTACGAAGAAATATTATATATGCAAAAAGCCATATTTACATAAAGAAACATCCAGTAAAATAAACCATTTGCTACAAAGCAGGTTTCAGGACCCAAGCATTCCAGTTAATTTGACTGTAAGGAAAGTCCTTGAATGGGAGCGGATCTTAAGTATTCAAAAATTTCCAGTGACCTAGTTTTTTAAGTTTATGTACAATTGTCATGATTTTTAGAATTCTTTTTCAGTCATATTTTGTTTTTTATGTCTAAAGTTGCAATTTACTCAATAATGCCCTGGCACCCTGAAAACATTAACGAGCATGTTTGAAAGCTGGTTTGAGGTACCTATAGAATCATTCACAAAAATCCTCAAAAACCTGCCTTAAAAGTCCCGTTTATTTATTTCTGGAATACAGCAAAGGTGGGCTTTCCTGGTGTGAGCTTCCTTCTCATGATCTTCACAAATAAAGAAGCAAAACCAAAATAGTCAAATGGCTCTGCTCAGGGTCATGAAGCAAGTGCATCAAAAATGGAAATGGACATTCTCTTTGTCTTTTTGCCAGTCCAATGACCACACAGATGGCTTCTTAACATGGTGGGAAGATGATGACCTATCCCCTTTATTCCTCCAATATCAGGAACATAGAGAAGCCGCATGGACAGGGTCCTTGGAGAGATGGGCTCTCCTTAGGCTCTGATTCTGGACCACAGACACTCCCTTCCTAAGAGTGATAGACACGAGTCAAGCACCCAAGTTACTCAATTATTTCTTTCTGAGATTTGCCAATTCCCAATGAAAGCCAAGGAACGTTATTACAAAATGTCAGTGATTTTTGATGCACTGTTTAATTTCTATGTTGATTCCACACACAGAAGCACAGGAAAATCTTTTATGACACTAATGTGAAACAGAGCTGTGGGTCTGGATTTGTCTGGACTGGAGGAACTTGGTGTTTACGGGTTCTGATGGCAACCGGCTGGGGATCAACCCCATGTAACTATCTCTCAGGCAACTCACCTGATTCCTAGAAACCAAAACCCATTCCAATTTTTACTTCTTTATCCCTATCAAAAAAAAAAAAGCATCTGAGGACTATAGACGCAACCTCAAAACCCCAAGTTCAGACAACGTTCAATATTTCCTAGGATTTTACATTCTTATAACAGAGCCCCTGAAAGCCAACCAGACAAATGCCTCCATGTGATGATAATGGAGCATGCACTGGGTTGAACTGTGTCCCCCAGAAAGATATGTTGGCATCCTTAACCCCTGTACCTGTGAATGGGACCTTATTTGAAAATAGAATGTTTGCAGATGTAAGCAAATTAAGATGCGGTCATATTGGATTGGGGTGGGTCCTAAGTCCAATGACTGGTGTCTTTATAAGAAAAGGGAAAATTGAGCACATAGGCACACACAAGGAGTACATTATGTGAAGACGGAGACCAAGATGAGAGTGACACAGCTGCAAACCAGGAAACACCACGAATTGACGGCCACCACCAGAAGCGAGGAGGAGGCAATGAAGGATTCTCTCCAGTGTCTCAGAGGTAGCATCTCCCTCTTGATACCTTGACTTCCTTTTTTGTTTTGTTGTTGTTGTTTCTTTTAGGAAAAGATAACAACCATCTTCATACTCACTCCAATTAAGATGTTATGTTTATCATCTTTATAGTTACCTCCCCCCATTACAGTGTAAATTCTTCACTGGTATAGAGCAGAGTCAGGCACATGGTGCATCTGTTGAGTTAAACAAATGTTTTAAAAACTACCAAAGACTATCATGAGAAAAAGGCTATTCTTATTTCCTGGAACCAGGATAAATCACTGACAAAGTCAGAGGCAGGGCCACAACTAAAATTCAAGTCACACAACAGCACTCTATGGAAAATCTACATACTCCTATAATAAAGATCTTCCAAATGGCCAAAATGTGTCATCCACTAGTTTGTGGGTAAGTGAATATGAAGCATGTCTCTAACTGATACCTTGACTTCTGACTTCTACCTTCCAGAACTGTGAGAGAATAAAGCGCTACCATTTTAAGCTACCCAGTGTGTGATATGGAACCTAGAGTTGCAAAGAAATCCAGAGTTGCATAGATTTTAGGTTTTTCTGTTTGTTTGTTTTTAATTCTTCTCCTTAGAATGCACATATTTTAAAGATAACAGCCCTCACTGACATTTCCATTTCTCCTTTGCTGAAGCTCAAAAGTGGTAGTGAAAATGTAACCTCCTGAGCCCCTCCCTGCATCCCTTGTTTTATCTTCAGCTCGAGGCTGCAACAGGACTCATCTGGAAATATGAAGGGCAGCTAGACCCATGGAGCCCATCACACACCTGGATCCTGTCCACAGGGCATCCCTGACATCTGGTCGGCCAACGGCAGAGTTTGCCAAAAATGTCAGAGTTTTGCACCCAGCACGTGCTTCAGGATGCAATAGATAATAAAAAGCACATCAAACAAAATGACTTGAAGCCTTTGCAGAAGACATGCGTTAGAGCACATACCCTGAAATTGCAATGACAGGTGCTTCAAAGTTGATCAACCTAGATAAAATATGGTTAGAAGTTGGAAGCCAAGAGTCAGAAATGTTGGCCCTATTTCCTTCTCCTTGCTGAGCTGTGGTGCTTCTACCAGTAAATCATCTTTGCCTGTCTGGATTCCAGTAACTCAAGTACATCTACAGCTATAACTGCATCTAATTCCCCAAGGCATGAAATTACCACCTTATCATGAAGTGCCTATGAAGAGCAAAGGAATCATGTTAGATCTCACAACAAAGTGATCTGAGTTCCTCAGAAGTGGGGGAGAAGAAAGGTATATTCTGAATATTTGGTTCTTTAAAAATCACACACCTGTATTTGAAGGGAGCAGATGCTGAGGTGAAAGATGATTATGCAGATGACACTGACTCTGAGCAGCCACCCTGTGATAATTGTTATTAATAGTCATGCTTCATCTCTAACCCTAAGACCATTCGCATGGCCAAATTCTGGCCTGCTGTGTACATCTGAGCATCCCAAAACCTCTTCCAGAAAGCCAAGCACTTGCAGCAGCCTGGCTGGAAAGAAAAATATAAATTAATTAAAACAAAACCACCCCGCAGTGACCTCAAAGCTGAAAATACAGCTCTCCTGTAAAAATCTGTAAAAAGACATTGATTCGATTCAGGATGCTTTCTTTTGAGGGGGGTGAGGGGGACGGAGTCTCGCTCTGTCACCAGCCTGGAGTGCAGTGGCGCGATCTCAGTTCACTGCAACTTCTGCCTCCCAGGTTCAAGCAATTCTCCTGCCTCAGCCTCCCCAGTAGCTGCGACTACAGGCACACATCACCATGCCTGGATAATTTTTATGTTTTTAGTAGAGACGGGGTTTCACCATGTTGGCCAGGATGGTCTCCATCTCTTGAACTTGTGATCTGCCAGCCTCTGCCCCCCAAAGTGCTGGGATTACAGGCGTGAGCCACCACGCCCGGCCCGATTCAGGATTCTTAACTACAGGAGACCAAGGGTGATAAGAGCACAGATGAAAATGTAAATTGTCCATGTTGAAGAAGGAAGAGCTGGTGGAAAGAAGAACCTTTCGGGGGCTCATTGCTGACCCTAAGATGAGTACAGAAACCAAGAGAGTGATCAAATGTTGTGATGGGTAAAATTACATCCCCTGCTACCCAGAAGAGGTATGTTGGCTTCCTAACTCCCAGTACCTCAGAATGTGACCTTATTTTGAGATACAGTCTTGACAGAGGTAATCAAGCTCAAGTGAGGTGCTTAGGGTGAACTTTAATCCAATATGAGTGGTGTCCTTACAAAAAGGAGAAATTTGGGAACAATTATACTCATTCAGGGAAGACAATTATCTTTGCCTGTTTTGTGCTGCAATAACAGAACACCACAGGTCATGTAATTTATAAAGAAAAGAAATGTATTTTGTATAGTTCTGGAGAGTGGGAAGTCCATGATCAAGCTGCCAGCAGGTTCATTGCTTAGTCAGGGTCTGGCCTCTGCTTCTAAGACGGCGCCTTGAACACTGTGTCCTCGGGAAGGGGTGAATGCTGTGTCCTCACATGGCAGAGGTTCCAGGCCTCAGAGACATCAAAAGTGTGTGTGTGTGTGTGTGTGTGTGTGTGTGTGTGTGGTGGGATGTGGTGTGGGATGTGGGAGGTAGGATGTGGGGTATGGTATAGGGGAGCAGGGTGTGTGGGAAGGTAGGGGGCTGTGGTGTGTGGAAGTGTATGTGTAGTGTGTGGTGTGCTATTTGTGTGTGGTGTGCATATGTGTGGGGTGTCTGGTGTTTGGGTGTGTTTGGTATGTGTGGTGTGTGGTATGAGTGTATGTGTGTGCACAGTGTGTGTGGTGTTGGGGGAGTGTCTGGGAGTGTGTGTTTGGTGTGTGTTTGTGTTATATGTGAGTGTGTGTGTGTAGTGTGAGGGGTGTCTGGTGTCTATGGGTTTGGTGTGTTGTGTGGTATGTGAGTGTGTGTGCACAGTGTATGGTGTGCGTGTTTGTGTGGTGTGTGTGATGTGTTTTGTGTGGGTGGTGATTGTGCATGTGTGTGTAGTGTGGAAAGTGTCAGGTGTGTGTGTATTTGTGTTGTATGTGAGTGTGTGTGTGTAATGTGGGGTGTCTGATGTGTGTTTGGTGGGTGTGTGTGGTGTGTGTGATGTGGTGTATGTACATTTGCGTGGGTGGTGAGTGTGTGTATATTTGTGTGTAGTGTGGAGAGGTGGCGTGCGTGTGTTCGGCGTGTTTGTGTTGTATGTGAGTGAGTGTGTGTGTGTGTAGTGTGGGGGTGTCTGATGTATTTGGGGTGTGTGTGTGTGTGTGTGTGTGTGTGTGTGTGTATGTTTGGTGCGTATGTGTGGTGTCTCCTGAAGAGCCCTTCAGAACCGTGTCTGGAAAGGTCAGAGTGACCCTGACCGTGGAGTAACATGACCTCCTGCTGACAGACTGGACTGTAGATTGGGAGCCCATGGATGCTTTAGAGACCCTGTGGGCCCCAGATGATGCAGGGATGGAGGAAGAAGGGAAGGGGCGGGAAGGCCAGTGTGACAATAATCCATTCTGGAGATGGGTCAGCCTCCATAGGCCAACTAACATCATATTTGGGGGTTGAACTAGAGGAGAGGCTGTGAGAATGTCTGGGAGACAGAGTTTTAAAAAGAAACACCAAAATCCATGACCAAGTAGGGGAGACAGGTAGGTCCCAGTGATGCAATGCTGGTGGAGAACTTGAATTAGGAGCCAGGATCTTGCCTTGGGGCAAGGGCAGGATTTGAACCTTCCCTCCAATGTCTATTAGCTATGACCTTGGAGTTTACCAATCTCACTATGCTTCGTATTTCCAAAATGACAAATATGAACAGATCATACCTCAAAAGATGACTGAAATTATTAAATATACAATACCAATAAAGCACTTGGTATGATGCCTGGCGCAAGATAAGCATTCCTAGAACATTAGCTACTGTGGGGGAAGAGAAGCACCAAAGTACACTTTGAAAATCTGAAAAAAATCTATGTACTTTCTTCCCAGAAAAATGCACTGTGCAAACACACCCTCCCCACACCCCCACATCCATAGGTATGCACACCACACGGACACGGACACACACACACACACACACACACACTCAATTTTGCATAAAACTTCCCCGGAACTATCGGCTCCCAGCAGCCGTGGCGGATTTTGTTAAATGCTCATGGATCCAGGCTAAATCGTTCCAATCTCCATAGAGGCGTCCTGCAGATATTCGGAAATGTGGCTGGATTTCCAGAGACTAGTCAAAGCCAGAGACATGAAGTTGGAAATCTCCAGCACATGTTTGTCCAAGATCATGAACCCTGAAGACATTCCGCGGGAAGTGGGGAGACTCAAGGGGGAATTTGGACGGCCTCACGCAGTCCACAGGCCGATGGGAAGGGGTCAGCAAACTGAAGAAGAAGCCCCCACACCAGAGAGCTGCAAACAGCGCTGGACCACCGGCATTTTAACTCCAGCTGGGTAATGTCTTAAGAACACAAACCACCACAACGAAAGCCCATAGGCAATTATTTTAAATTTCGTTGAAGTACATTTCACCATCAAATCCTTCTGTCTTATTTGGAGGCTGAATTTTTTTTCAAGCTTGTTTCTCCAGCTGTTCAATTTAAATTTATCCCTTTGCATAAAACTGTATTTCCCAAACCAAAACCATGGTACACATTTAGAAATAAGAGTATTTTTAGGGTTTATGGATTTATTTATGAGAAGTTTTACAAGCATACAAAAAGTAACATTTAGTTATGTAAGTTCAACAAATTAAATTTATTGAAAATAACAAAATTAGATGAAACCACAGAGATTCTGGAAAATCCCATTCTCCGATTTGAGATATTTTCATGGGTACCACTGCTGGGCAGAGAGCAGTGGCCCAATACATACTAGTTTCTCCTACTCCCTTTCAGCCTCAGCTTCAGAGGACAATGGGGAAGGAAGGAAGGAAGGAAGGGAGGGAGGGAGGGAGGGAGGGAATGTTAGTGTTAAGAGATGGGGAGGATGTGGTGCAGAAGGGGGAAGGAAGGAAGGAAGGAAAGAAGGAAGGAAGGGAGGGAGGGAGGCAGGCAAACTTGGTGGGATGAGGATGTGGTGCAGAAGAGGTGGGGTGATGGCATCTGGTGATCCAGGATTCTGCTCCCTTAGATGATGGGATTTGCAGGGCTCCTCTCACTAAGTTTCATGGTGGTTGTGTTACTGACCACAAGTTCTTAGGCCCCCATGCAACAGAAATTGTCACTAGGCCAAGCAAGTTTCCTAGACAAGCTTTATTAAGACTTCTGCCTGAAACATTGGGCATACATTGGGAGACAGCACAGGAAGAAGGGTCCTCTGGCTGGCACCCCAGGGGAATGCCTTGCGGTGTCTTAAGAAGGGTGACATGCATAACTCACGAGGTAGGTGAGGGTCATTTCACGTGCAGGGTGGAGTGCAGGGTGTGCAGATGCAGTAAGAAATCATGCTAACACATATTTTGCATGATTAGAAAATGGCAGCTAAGCCCCTCCCTGGGCGAAGGTATTACAATGAGGCTCAGAGTAAGGATTGGTCATTCTCCTGGTCTTGTGCACATGTGGGCAATAGACTTAACTCTCCTGAGTGGAATTTATGGTGAAATACTTCTTAGCTTAGTTTTTTTAGACAGCTTGCAAGGTCTGGTCAGCGGGTATGAGCCAGCTGGGGTGATGCCAGGAGGTCCGATGGTCAGCAGGCATGTATGGAGAAACATGTAGGTGGGGGTGGGCTCAGACCTGTCCCTACTCTGGCTCAGTTGGTGTATGTGGGTTTTTAGTTTTGTGCTCTGGTGTTTTTGTGGGGAATGTAGGGAGTTTCCAAAGCCATGCCACCGTCTGCTTCTTTCCGCTAGATGTTTTCATCAGCAAACTTGCTAAGCATCACTTAGTGATAGAAACGAGTACCACAGTCCATGAGAAATTTTCCCTTGACCCATCCTGGTAAGCACCAAATTGAAACTTGCAGAAAATCCAGGGTTAGTTGTTCTTTGCAGAACTACTGCATTAGCAATGGCACAGAGGGAGACATGGTGCTGATAATGACAAACATGGCAGCTAAGTACAGCGTGATTTGGGCCCTGAATCTGAATCTCAGTTTGGGGATCAATTCCCCCAATGCAGTCCGTGCGCCTGTGTCATGACACCTCAAACTACAGTGAGCAATGACAGGCCTTCCCTCCTTGAGAACTAGACTCCTATCTTAATCCTGTTTTAGTCCCCAGCACAAAACAGAGTCCCTAGCCCATAGATGCATTTTTTTAAATCTATTAATTAAGGGAAGGAATGATGCTTTAAGTTCTAGTTCTTGTCAACTGAATCCTATGAAATGCTTTTCTTTGTTGCACAAAATCCAGGCTGCCTATGTTATCGAACATGGAAAGGTGTGAAAACAAAGCTCTCTAATGAAATGGGCTCTGAAATCATTGGAACCTATGTCCACTGACATTGGTGGCGATGGTAGTAGGGTCCTTTAAACACCCTGTGGTGCTATAGGATGTAAGATGAAAATGGATGCGATCCTCCATTGCACCATCAGAAATCAACCTCTTCCCTTCTCCAGTAACAGCAGATCAAGCCAT
Source organism: Homo sapiens (assembly GCF_000001405.40). Classification (NCBI taxonomy): domain Eukaryota; kingdom Metazoa; phylum Chordata; class Mammalia; order Primates; family Hominidae; genus Homo; species Homo sapiens. The sequence goes on along the minus strand of NC_000021.9, from coordinate 39,982,246 downwards.
TACTGTTGAATATTTTATGCTCAACAGCATGTGGTCTACATAAAGATCATATTCATTTATTTACTTACACATTTAATAAATATTTATTGATCACCTACCATAAGCAGGGCCATGAGAGTAAAACAGTGAGCAACGGTTATGCACACCCCAGGAATATGACAAAGAAGATAAATTCATGACATAGAATCGAAATATGACAAATTATGTCCTAATCATGATCTGTTCTATATGAAAAGATCTTCTCTTGAAAAATACGAGAGCATTTTGGAGAAATTTGCATGTACTGATTCCAAAGTTGTGCATTTGCAGGCCAGGCATCTCGAGGCTGATCTACATCATAGCTGAATTTTACATAGGAAAAGGAGCTGGAGGGAAGTTACTGTGCTAGAGTATATAAAATATATTTCCAATATTTTCATGCCAAAGATATTCTGGTTTCCCATTAAACTCCTAGAATTTTGCTTTTCTCTTTTTCCTTTTTATTTTTCTGTTAGAGTACTTAAAGTATATTTTTGAGTTTGGTAGTAGTAGGTGGTCTGCCACCAGGTGGTCTTACTAAAGATCATAACTCTTGGCTAGAAAAGGGGAAAATAAGCAGAGAACCCTCAATGAATAACTCTCAGAAAAATTATTCTTTTCAGCCGGGCTCTGTAAGCAGAGACTTGACATCTAACATGTCGATTTTGAGGGAAGGCTGGTTTCTTATGATCACAACAAGTTTCTTATGATCTTGGTTAAAGACTGGAAAATAAATGGTTCATTATTTTCTTCCTTGAGACTCCTTTACTTTTGCCTTATCCAAGTGTGCAAAAAGAAAGGCTATCCTCCTCACCCAGTCAGCTTTGACGTCTACAATACTTGAGGTCAGGGACACTCATTCTGATCTGCACAAAACAGTGACCAACAAGATTTCTTTTGCCTTCTGCAAGGCCTCATTCTGATATAAAGGACCTAGTTAAATGGATTATAAGTATTCAGCTCTTGATGCTTAATCTAAATTTTCCATATTGGGTTCCTTTCTTGTTAACTGAGTAACAGCAAATGGAAAACAGGGCACTTACTGGTTGAAATAAAACTGGTAAACACATTTAGAAGACATTTGGATGCTCAGCAGATGTAGGGGGAGTCTGCCTGTGGGCTGGTGCAGGTGAAGGAAAAAAGATAGCTTCCTTTAATGTCCTTAATGGATGTGGCAATTTGCTTTTTCTAGTCAAGAATCAACATAAATTAGTTGCCTATAACAACGGCCAGCCATTAGAATTAATTCTTGGTTACTATGTGGTTAATATCCTAAATGGAAAATACCTATTAGCATGAATATTCATATGGCACCACAGGCCATTAAAACTCCATTTATTCCACAAACAGAGTACTTGATGATTTTGGAGCCAACTTCTTTTAAGTAGCATCAATAATAGAAACTTTCAGATCTTCAAAGTCTGTCTTTTGAGCTCAAAATAAGAGGCAGGATTGTGTCCATTTACTGAGAGAATTATGCTGTGGAGCTGGGAATTTCATCTCCATTTCTTCTTGATTTCCCAGAATCGTTACACTTCTGAACTGTATAATAAATTTCAACTTTGTGATAGCAGTCGATGAAGGATTTGTTTCCTGGATTTAATGGAGTGGTCACTAGGAGATGGGCTGGGACCACCAGGATGTTTCTCAAACTCCGCCAAGATTTTTATAGCACTAAAAAATTATTTCTGCCAATAGAAGCTCCCTGCTGCAGCAATCTTAAAAGAAATTCACTGCCTGCCAGCGGGTTCAGACTGTAAAACGATTGAATTAGAAAAATTAAAGCTGAAAACCCCTGGAGAACGGGCACAGATTTCCCAAGTGAGCTATAAGACTGTAACCACTAATTTCTTTTCATCTTTCCTCTGACTAATGTGATCTTTCTACCTAGTTCTCAGAGAAACCTGCCCAGAAAAAGTCAGGAGAAAGAAGAAAGAAAAGGGGCTGAGGCAACCAGAGAAGGAACACAGGCTAACCACAAGGCATGCCACTCCTGGGACCCAGTAAGAAGGACTTGCCCCATCCTTGATGGCCAATATGTGGACTAATAAAATGTATGGGACATTAGTCTTACCGTCAAGCAATCATACATGAACACAAAGGAGGAAGTCATGCCTGGAACTCCTTTTTCAAAGGAGCATACCATTAAAATTTAGAATGTGGCCATATCTCCACCTTCCCCAAACCCAGTGGCCTTTTCCTAATCCACATTCAAATCAACTAGTATTTTTTCAGAAAGAACCTTATAGATGGCTTATGCGGAGGTATTTCAAAGGAACCAGCTATATGATCCTGATGACGATCATTACTACTGCGGAATGTCTGTTATGCCCCAGACACTGTGCTAGGAGACTGTACATGTTACTCCCTTACATTTAATCTGCATCACAGGTGACTCTCCACACATAATAAATGAGGAATTGAAGCTAAGTAAAGGTAACCGACTTCCCCAGGTCAAGAAAATGGCCCAGTCTCATTCCAAAACACAGAGATCTCTTTTCTTGGCAAATAAAAGGAAATGATACTGATAAAAAAAAAGAAAATGATACTGATATCAGCGTATTGCTATTCGGTTGTTTCCCACTAGGAAAGGTGGCACCCATGTGAGTGCACGTCTAACACATGAACCGGGTGGAATCTGTGACCTAAGAGGATTTGCTGGGAGAGCCCGACCTGCTGACTACATGCCTCCAGCTCCAAGTCACGTGACTATGCCTGTCCCACAGGAGCCCCGTAAGCCCCTGCCCCCACAACTCATGTAGCTGCCTCCCTGTGCCCAGTCCTGACTCCTGCCCCAGCCACCTCCAGCCCCCTCTCCACCAAGTACATCACTAAGTTCTGGGGATCCAAACCCTTAAATACTACAGATTTCCCTGCACCGCTACTGGAGGGTTAGACCCATGGGTCATAGAATTTGATTGTAGAATCTGACGTTGAGGAATTTAAGAACTTTCAAAGCGCAGTAAGCTTGAAAGCCAATGTAAATACATTTATAGTCACTAATATAAAGCAACAAAACTCCACATCATCAACGGCATGGATACATTTTTAATTAGCAATGCTGTTTGCAGGGAGATTTATTTCCATGTATTTTCCTTGCTTGCCAGGGAATTCTCTAGCGCTCCACCTTGCCCAGGCTCAGTGAGCTGCTCTGACCCTCATTTTGCTTGACTGCAGCTCTGCTTACCGCAGTTCATCCCTGCATCTGATGTCCTGTCGGGACTTTCTGACTGCGGGATTGAGTTGCTAACCTCTACAATGGCTCTGTGGCCCCAGCGAGGCTATATGGCATGACTATTGGAGATACATTGGAATATTTCCTTGAAGACTGCAGAATGGGCATTTCTCAAGCCCTCCATGTTTTCAGTCTGCAGCCCCTGTCCCCAACCCCTCTCACCTATACCTCTGTACCCTCTCTCCTCAGGATCTGAGATTTGAGATCCTTTCCATCTCCCAAGGCTTTCAGTACAAAAATATGTATTTTTATTCGCCTTGTTTTCAAAAAATTACTCGCAGGAGCAACTCCTATTTTACAAGTACCAGAAGTGAAATTCTCCCAGATTGAGAAGAAAAGGTGTCTGCACTGGTATGACGCCCTTGGTTGGAAAGAGAGCTGCATGGTCACAAATCCTTCTCATCCTCTCCTTGGCTGCCCTGCTCATGCTGTCTCTCCCAGACATGGGCACACCATCCTTGCTCTCTCTCTCTCTCTCAGGTCTTTCTCAGCTGCAGTCTGTCCTCTGCAGGGCAGCCTGAATGTTCACTCCACCCACACCCTGACCTATCCTCCCCAGCTCACACTCTCCCGAGTCTCCACGTCCCTCCATTGCAGCAGCCCTCCATACTGTCTCTGTCCCAGCAAGCCTGAGGGACACACCCACAGCAGCCACTCTCATCAATCCAAGGCCAGTGCATGCAGAGGGGAAGAAGGATGTGCAGGTTTCCCAGTGGAAGGAGTGGCCAGATCTCTTGGGGTCACGTGAACTTTGAAACGCCCCCGTCTCAATAATTTCTACACTATTTTCCCATCTCATAACTCCAGACCCCAGGGTGACAACCACATGTTCCAAATTCTTCACCACAGTCTACAACATCCTTCCTGCCCTGACCCATCCCGTCCCTCACCCTGGAGCCTCCACCCTCCCAGGGCCTTAGACTCCCTGAGCCAGTGCCTGGGTCAGCACCCAGCATAGAGTAGGCATTCTGTAAGTGGAAGCTATTTCTATAGTATTATGAATAGAATAACCCCTGTGGACGTGAGTGGATGGCTATTCAGGGGCCAGGGGCCATGCTATGTGTTTTATATCCATTACCTGCCAATAGCCTTCCATATGTCTCATTACTCCCACTTGACAAATGGAGAAACTGAGGCTCAGAGAAGTGAAATCTACTTCATGGCAGAGACAGCCTCAAATGTGAGTCTGTCTACTTCCACGTCTATGCTCCTTCCATTAAGCATGATAACCCACACTGGTTGGGAGCTGTGTTAATTCCAGGCAAGGTGCAAGTGTCTTTTTTTTTTTTTGAGACGGAGTCTCACTCTATCACCAGGCTGGAGTGCAGTGGTGCGATCTCAGCTCACTGCAATCTCCAACTCCTGGGTTCAAGACACTCTCCTGCCTCAGCCTCCTGAGTAGCTGGGATTACAGGTACATGCCACCACACACAGCTAATTTTTGTATTGGGGTTTTACCACGTTGGCCAGGATGGTCTCCATCTCCTGACCTCATGTTCTGCCCACCTCGGCCTCCCAAAGTGCTGGGATCACAGGCGTGAGCCAACACAGCCGGCTGGTACAAGTGTCTTTTACACATCAACTTATTTTGGACAGCAGCTTATGAAGTGAATGTTATTATCATTCCTCATTAATAGGTTGAGAAAGGCAGAGAGAGGCTACATAACTTCAAGACACACAGCTTAGTAGGTTATTTGACCTCATAAGCACTGACTCTGTGTCCTGTTCTTGTAACTCTGTATAGTCTAAGGTTTAAATTAAAGCTAAGTATTATTTGTTTCCTTACATCTGTCAAAATCAGGAGGGCCTCAGATGGCATCACCACAAACTCACCTCCCCAGTCTGCTCCTGCAGAGAAGGTCCCCCAGCCAAGCAACCCTCCTTATCAAGGGACCAGGCAGATACTGCTTATCCTTGAGTAGTGAGTTTCATTCCCTGCCAGCCGGTGGAATTACTCAAATAAGCCAGTTGCATCCTCCCACAGGAACCGAGAGACATTGCAGTCTCTTGTTACTACAAAGCCTGCCTCCCACAGCCCCTGGTTATTCACTCTGTCCTTAAATGGCCTGCGTGGCATGGTGTCCTCCTCCCTTGGGCTGTGGGTATATGTTAGGAATAGGCTGCTGTCGATCGCATCTGTCCACTGTCAGGTGTTGTGTGTTTAGCCACATTCCAAATCCTAGGGAGAGAACCCTCCCTCACCAACAGGGTAAACAGGAGGCAATTAAAGCTCTAAGGAGGCTGAGGTTGGGGGATCACTTGAGCTCAGGAGTTCTAGACCAGCCTGGGCAACATGGCAAAACACCATCTCTACAAAAAATACAAATATTAGCCAGGCGTGGTGGTGCACACCTATAGTCCAAGCTACTTGGGGGGCTAAGGCAGAAGGATTGCTCAAATGCAGGAGGTCGAGACTGCAGTGAGCTGAGATTGCATCACTGCACTCCAGCCTGGGTGACAAAGTGAGACCCTGTCAAAAAAAAATAAATAAATAAAAATAAAGATAAAAAAGCTCTGGGAAGGACCAGACCAGGGAGTGAAAGTCAAAAAATTCAGAGTTAAATTTGAACAAAATACGCATAAATGAAGCCTCGTGCTCACTATTCATTCCTTCACATCATGTATTTATTGAGCACCTGCTATGTCAAACATTGGGAATAGGACCTGGGATCCAACAACGAACGTAACAGGCAAGTACCCTGACCACAGGGAGCTTCCATTCTGATAAGGGGGTGGGGTAGTAAACAGGAAAACAAATAAATAGGAGCCTTGATTTCAGATTGTGCTGGATCTTTGCAGGCTCTTCCCTCTGCCAAGTCCAGGTTCTAATTGAAGATTCCTAGTTAGAATTATAGAACCACAGAAGTCTAGTATGACTTCCAGTTGGACCACCATCTTTACTGACTTCAACTAATAGAAAAATTCTGAACGGCAGTACTGACAAGGGCAAGTTTGCCTTCTTCCCTGTGTTTTGTTCCAGAGCCTCCATCTATATCTTAGCTTCTATTTTCGCCCTTGCGAGGGCCCATTCCCCACCTTGGTTGGGCCCATTCCCTCTGTTCCGCCATACTGGGGTTCTTCCTCTTCTATTTATCCCAATACCATCTCGCCCTGTAGTCACTGCTGCCCTCTCCCTGCCCCAGGCCTCCCCATCACTTCACTGCTGACCCCTCAGCAGGGGAGTGTGTTTTTGTGAGCACAGTCCGCTCTGACAGCTCCTCCAGGAAGGGGCACTCCTGCCCTGAATCCACGGCAGGGCCACCATGAGTCTGCAGTGGGAGTCCACGCACTGTGGTTTGAGGAATGGGGAGAAGTCATTTCTGACCACAAAGATCTTCCCCATCAACTCTTTAGAGAGCACAAATGCCATTATTTTGGAGGAATTCTTTTGGATTTTTACTTATAACATTCCTTAAGTGAAAAAGTGCCTGAGTAGTACTGCCTAATTCAACGATTTACCCTCAAATTCCAATTTTTATGTGCAAAATCAGAGAATTTCAGAGCTATGGGGAGCGCCCCCCTCTAGCCACCATGCAGGGAACTTTAAAGCATTATCTTGGGGGAAAGAAAATGGGTCAGGTCAATGCAGAGTGAAACTCCTGCTGTCAAAGGCTTTGGTTTTCTAACAAATATCTCCCAAAAATTGAGTTACAACACTTAGTGGCCTTTCTGTGTTGTGTATTGTGGTTTGATGGGAGCAGCCCCCAAGAGATGTCCACTTGAGACCTGTGAGTGTGACCTTATTTGGAGAAAGGGTCTTTGCAGGTGTGATGAAGATAAACATCTTGAGATAATGTCATCCTGGACTATCCAAGTGGGCTCTAGATCCAGTGATACGTTTCCCTATAAGAGGAGGGTGGAGGGCAATTTCAGACACAGGCATTGAGGAGCAGGCAATAGGAAAAGGAGGCCAACACCTATAAGAGAAGGGTGGAGGGCAATTTCAGACACAGGCATAGAGGAGAAGGCAATAGGAAAAGGAGGCCAACACCTATAAGAGAAGGGTGGAGGGCAATTTCAGACACAGGCATAGAGGAGCAGGCAATAGGAAAAGGAGGCCAACACCTATAAGAGAAGGGTGGAGGGCAATTTTAGACACAGGCATAGAGGAGAAGGCAATAGGAAAAGGAGGCCAACACCTATAAGAGAAGGGTGGAGGGCAATTTTAGACACAGGCATTGAGGAGAAGGCAATAGGAAAAGGAGGCCAACACCTATAAGAGAAGGGTGGAGGGCAATTTCAGACACAGGCATTGAGGAGCAGGCAATAGGAAAAGGAGGCCAACACCTATAAGAGAAGGGTGGAGGGCAATTTCAGACACAGGCATAGAGGAGAAGGCAATAGGAAAAGGAGGCCAACACCTATAAGAGAAGGGTGGAGGGCAATTTCAGACACAGGCATAGAGGAGAAGGCAATAGGAAAAGGAGGCCAACACCTATGGCAATTTCAGACACAGGCATTGAGGAGAAGGCAATAGGAAAAGGAGGCCAACACCTATGGCAATTTCAGACACAGGCATTGAGGAGAAGGCAATAGGAAAAGGAGGCCAACACCTATGGCAATTTCAGACACAGGCATAGAGGAGAAGGCAATAGGAAAAGGAGGCCAACAATGGAAAGATGTGTCCACAACCCAAGGAGTGTGAAGGCCACCAGCCACACCAGAAGCCTGACACGCCTCCTGCTCTGGAGCCTTCAGAGGGCATGAGGCCCTGCCAAAAACTTGATTTTGAACTTCTGGCCTCCAGAATTGTGAAAATAAATGTGTGTTGTTTTACGTCCCTGGTTTGTGGAAATTTGTGACGACAGCCCCAGGAAACTCACACGTGGGTGGTGGAGAAGACACCCCTGACCACCACCACCTTCCAATCAACTCTCTAGGAAGCCCACATGCCATCATTTGACACAGATTTTTGCAAATTGTGAAGAGTTTTCAGTTTTTAGAAGTTGCATATTAAAAGGTGGCATCCTAAGCTGTTGAGAAATTTGGTGGTTATTAATTTTCTAAACCTGGTAGTGAGCAAAATATCAAGAACCTATAGTCATGAGATTTCACTTAGTTGCCTACAAGGGAGATGAGTCCAAGGTGGAAGTCAGGGCTCTGAAGAGGCAGCAACAAAGATCAACAAAGGTCACCTACTGGACATTTTCGTATCACACACACACACACACACACACACACACACACACACACACACACTCTTAATAAAACAAATTATTTTAAAACCAAAACTATGCTTTCCATTTTCCCCAAGAGCCAAACATGCCTTGATGATTGTTACGTAGTTTTAGCGACTCACACAAGCTATGACTCTTTAATATGCAACTGATGCACTGAGCACAGATGCAAGCTCCCTGGGAGATATTTATGGAGGCCGCCGTTAGGTTTACCTAATTAGATGTTCCAGAATGCAGATTTCCTACTTACAGTATGCCTGTTTTCTGTGAAAGCACCCCACAAATTCAGTTCAGCAGACACTTTTGTTTATCCACAGATCATCAACAGAAGTTAGCTGAAATAATTTAAAGAGGCAGTTACATGCTTCTGGCAAAAAGTAAAAACTGTAAAAATCAGCATTTCATGGTTCTTAGCTAGCTTGAGCCAAAAATATGCTGGGCTGCAGTCCGAAGTCTGATTTCCTTCCGTCTGAAGTTGACTGGGCGTGCTTTGAGCAGCAGCAGGACCGCAGGGAAGGACTCGTGGGTCAGAACTTTGGGTGGCGGGGCCAAGCACCAAGAGCGGTTTCCTTTACCTGCCTCTGTAGGCCACCCCAGGGGAGACAGATGCAGGGCGGAGGAGAAGCTGACCTTCCTGGGAGAGGTGATACATGTGTCTGGAATGGCTCCAGGCTAGTGGTGGCCATTAACAGGGGACATTCCATAGTCCATACCTTTGCCAGACATGGGATTGCATGGGAAACCTCAGGCCACCTGCACTCACGTATGCCTGATATATTTAAGACAAATCAGGAGTCCGGGAAATCAGAGGTGGGTAACAGACCCATCACCAAATGGAACATTCTAGAAGCCCTACAGAGCCAAACATACTATTGGATAAAAATGGACACACTAAACAAAAACAAACTGAATGTTTGCACAGATATTGGTGACTGAAAGGAACAGAAAACCTCCCATCCAAAGAGATGCTTGGAAATAAGCTCATAGACACGGCTGCTGAGAAGCTGTGATATCCAGGAAATTGGGGAACTGGATGGGCGTCTGCAACATGAAAGGCTTCCAGGCAGGTGAGGTCTACTTAGAGTCCAATGAAACACCTGCAGGCTCACACCTTCTCAATGATTCTTCTGTTTGCCTTAGCAAGACCAAAGGGCAAGTGTTCTCTTGCATTTACCCTCAACTTCTGTGACAACTCAGCACACAGACTCCAGCATCAAGACTCAGTAGCAAAATGGATTTTCCCTGGCCGGCAACATAGGACCCAACGTTATCCTTCTGCATCTCTGGGAACTCTTTGTAAGCCTTTGTGCTTCCTGAAGCTAATCTGTCACTCAGGGCAAAGGCCTTGACCTATAGAGAATTAACTTCCATGTCAAAGCCTCAGAGATGCTGGGGGTGGTAGAGATATTAAAAGATGGGGCAAATACTTTGCTAACAAAAAAAAATGAAAATCCCTCTGTTATTGTTAGAAAGGAAGAAATCACAGCTTTCAACTCTTTAAATGAAAATTTGTTTGACAAACTAACTTTGAACTTGATTTTTTCAGAGGAGCTTGCTGCAACATCAATTAACAAAGTCGTCAGCCCTGATTGTGCCAGTCTGCAGCAAAGGTCTCCACTTAAAAGGCTTTCTCAGCATTTCAAATATTTTGTTTGTACCAGATAAAAGCTGCTTTAGAACACAAAGGTCAGAGTTTCCATGATTTATCTTTTAAAAGCAGGCATGCTGGATGTCTTTTAAATGAAGTCATCCTGGATAAACTGCATACACACACACGAAAATTCAGTGGCTAATTGATGATGGTGATTTGGGGAGGACCCTCTCCCTGAATCACTTTGGGACACAATTGGTAAAAAGCTGCCATCTTTGATCATGGCAAGGAAAATCTATTTCAGTTTCCTCCTCGTATAACAGCAATCATTTTTTTTCCTATGTACTCTTTAATCTTCACAGCAAACCTAGGAAATAGACATTGCTTTCTCCCATTCTACAAAGAAAACAACGAGACTTGGAGATATTTATTTACTTAATTTGTTGCTGATGCAAGACTTGAAACTAGACTCTTTCAGCTCTACTCTGGGCATTTTAGACACATAATTCCTCATTAAACCACTGGAATTGTCCCCATGTGCTGAAGTTAGGTTTAGTGCAGAGTCATTTGACTCAGCATAACTAACTGTTCATTATCAAATAACAAAAAAAAGAAAAGAATTAAGAATAAAAATTAGTCTTTGGTCTCAAGGAGTTCAAAGCACTTCGTTTTTAAAAAAATTTTATTTTTATTTATTTATTTTAGAGACAAGATCTTGCTCTGTCTTCCAGGCTAGAGTGCAGTGGCACATTCATAGCTCACTGCAGCCTCAAACTCCTGGGCTCAAGCGATACTCCTGCCTCAGCCTCCCAAGTAGCTAGTACTACAGGTGCATATCACTATGCCTAGCTAACATTTTTATTTTTTTTATGTAGATGGGGTCTAGCTATGTTGCCCAGGCTGGTCTCAAACTCCTGGTCTCAAGTGATCTTCCAGCCTCAGTCTCCCAAAGTGTTGGGATTATAGGTATGAACCACTGTGCTTGCCCTCAAAGCACCTTAGAAGATTAGGGCTCCTTAATGCTCCTTGAATTATCTTCTTTATCATTTGAGTAGAAAATGGTGCTGAAAATGTGTGCAACTAGGCTAAAGATGAGGTAGTTAGTTCACAGTATCTAGTGTGAGCTGTGGAGTCAGTCAGAGCTGGGTTCAAGCCTAAATTCCAAACCTCAATTTTCTGATTTGAAAATTAATATGATAATAATAGTCACTATTTCAAAGAGTTCAAAGAGTTGTGAGAATTAAAAGTGTTAATGCCTGGGAAATAATGCACTTAAGGCATTTAGCTCAGTGCCCAACTTGTATGTGTGTATTTAATGAATCCTAGTTACAGTGGTTAGCTGTCACCATGAAAGATTCACTCATTTGGCCTTGCAAGCTTTAAGATCTTTGAGCGTCTGTGGTATAAATTCAAACAGCTCTGCAGAGCTGGCATTTAAAACACTCTCAGGCTTAACTATGTTAGTGAACATTAGTTGATCACCAGCAAAGAATAATACCCTGTGGCACTGGGAGAGAGGAGTCGGCAGCACAGGGAAAGAAATTTGGGATGGGAAGGAGGCAGGTAAATAGAGTGTTGAAAATGCAAGGACGTGGAGTCAAGGCTAAACTCCCTTGCTTCAAAATTTTACCAAGAACCAGCCCATGGGCAGTTAGTCTTTACTTAAAATTTTAAAAAATCTGGCCAATTTCATACTATTAAAAACGATGATACTAAAATAATAATAATGTAAATAATAACCATTGTTTGTCAAGTGCTTATTACAAGCTCAACTCTGAGCTCAGAGAATTTGATGTTCACATAATTGTTGCCGAATACCAGGGGTTCAGCCTAGGTCTGGATGCTCACCACACAGAAAGCCAGTCACTGAGACAAGTATTGCCAGGGAAGAAAGGCTTTATTGCAGGTGACGGCAGCCAGAAGATGGGAGGCAAGTCTCAAATCCATCTCTATAACCAAGTAAAATTCGGGGTTTGTATACCAGAGAATTAGGGAGGGGTAAGGAAGAGCAGTTAGTAAAGAGGCAGCAGGTGCGTCTGATTGTCCGGTTGTGGTGATCTGGGAAGTTTCAGTTCCTTGATGTGATCTGGGAGGCCTGATGGTTAGTTTCCTGAGAAGGTAACTCAGGTGAAACAAATGCAAGTTGCTCAAGCTTCAGTTCTATAGGAAAATTGGGCCGGTTTTGTAATTTTGCTTGCCTTGGTGTAATGCTCCTTTCTTTTCAGTAAAACTACATTTCTTCATGACTCTGTTGCACACAGCAGTGAAAATCAGTGGGGGTTTTGCTCACTCAGATTCAGAACATGGTTCTTACTTTGAGGGAGTCACCCCATTGTGTGACTTGCGGTGGAAGGCATAGCGGCAGTGCCACCTTGACTGCTACTGCGTGGGCCTGGGACTGCCACTCTGCCAAAGAGAAGCTCCTGCCCCAGCCTTCACATTCAGGAGGGTGACCCAGAGATGCTGGGATAGTGTGGTGGCTGCCACATGGAGGCAGATGTCCAGGGGCCTCTGCCCCCAGGATGTATCAGCATGGGCATTAAGCAACCAGTGGTAGCCACAGTGCCAACAACGAGGCCCAGGCTGGCAGGTTCTGGGCTTCATCGCTGTGCTACACCTGCCTTGGATACTGCCCTTCCTCTGTACCACATTCTCCAGCCTTCTCTTTGGTTCTAGAAACTTCCAGTGCATTCCTCCCTACTGCAGTTGGCAGAGGCTGTTTTGCATTCACCCTACACCCTCTGACAAGGTGCTCACCTACAAAACAGCCCCCAAGGTCAGGAATCAGATGGACATGGTAATATCTGGGCCAGCAATGCTGAGTGGTTTAAGCCACATGGACAAGTGTACCCCTCAGACTTGGCAACTATTTTACATTTTATATAAGCATCTATATTCCTACCTTGTATTCATTCATTCAACAAATATTATTGGGAGCCACCTCTACACTAGTTATTTAAGATGGTATGTCTTTGAACAAAGAAATAGGGTCCGGGATTTGTGTAGGTCTTAATCAGCAATTAAAAGATATGCCATATTTCATAGAACCAGATTTTTCTGAGACAAATTGAAACTTCATTCAAGGACACACAGGACTAACTATAATTATGATGCAGCTAGATCCTCATTCTAAGTCTGGGCTTCAAAAGTTTTATTTTTCAAAGCATAATTATAATAATTGATCTAAGTGACAAAATAGATGGGTTTTGGCTTTGTAATCAAACCACAGAAAAGGGCTTATGAATAGAGAGGTGCAAATGCATTAAGCCCTGGCCTTAGTAGATGTGAAAACATTCAAGTAGAACAGTGCCAGCCAGAGATCACCAAGAATTTCTGTTCCTATATGAAGAAACTAATGCTTGTGAATATTCCTTATCTTGTCCCAGTCATCAGGTTTGAGGAAAATTTGAAAATGTCCTTCAGTTTCATTCAATTTTCTTTTTTTTAGTGTGGTGGACAGTGATCCACCAGCTGAAATGGACAAAATGTTTTTGTCCCCTCCCCACTGCATTCAGATATCAGAATCCTAACTTCCAAGATGATGGTATTGGAGGTGGGGCCACTGGAGGTGATTAGGTCATGGGGGTGGAGCCCTCATGAATGGGATTAGTGCCCTTATAAAATAGGCCCAAAGTGACTCCTTACCCCTTCCACCATGTGAGGACACAAAAAGAAGATACCATCCATGAACCAGGAAATGAGCCCTCACCAGACACCAAATTGAGACTTTCCAGCCTCCAGAACCACCATGAGAAATGAATTACTGTTGCTTGTAAGCCACCCAGTGTATGGTATTTTGTTATAGGAGCCCAAATGGATTAAGACACCAGTGAAAGCAAGATGACTAAGATGCAGAGACAGTGATGGAGGAAGTTCTGGTCCCAGTGAACAGAACACACAGGCAATCTCATCAGTGCAAAGCTGTAATTGTTTGCTATTGTAGACATACAGCCATTAATGAATTGACTCAGCGTTTCATACCCAGTGACTCTTTGTGCCTGTGGTGCGCCCCCTGTGTCAGGTGGCAGCTAAGGCACTGCAGGGTCCCCTCCTGGAGAAAAGATGACATGCAGAACCAGGGCAGCAAGGCTCAACTTTTGAGCTTATAAATAACCTTTGAAACTCATTGGAGAAGCCACAGTTTACAAGAAAAGCTATTTGAGTCACAGAAACCATGATTTGGAGGGGCTGGGGAAAATACATTTTACACCCTAAACAATAGATTTGGAAGAACATAGGATAAAGGGAGAGCCAGGTTTTTCTGCCCCATGCCAGAACTCTCAGATGTCCCTGGCCTTTGGGTGAAGGAGTACAAGAAAGGAAGTCTGACAGTTAGGGGTCAGTGGGTGTGCTGAGAAGGAACCCTATGCCCAGGCTGGTTCTCGTCCTCTGGAGGGAAGCCATGCAGGAATGATAGATTTCCCCGCTCCCCTCCTGGATGAGTTTGAGGATCTAAGAACAGAGGTGACCTGTGCCTTACTTCCCAGCTGGGGACTGATTCCTCAGCTTTCCGTCTACCCTGTGATGGTTAATGTTACATGTTGACTTGGCTGGGCCCTGTCTTGTCGATACTGGCTGGTGCCAGTTTTGTGGTCAAATACCAGCCTAGAAGTTGCTGTGAAGGTATTTTGTAATTGTGATCAACATTTAAATCAGTAGATTTCAAATAAAGCATATGGCCCTCCATGCTTTGGGGAGGCCTCCTCCAATCGGTTAACAGCCTTAAAAGACTGAAGTTTCCCAAATAGGAAGGTATTCTCCTCAAGACTACAACACAAAATTCCGGCCTGAGCTTCCAGCCTACTGCTCTGTAGAACTCAATCCTGAGACTGTGACATCAGCACTCACCTGGATATCTGGCCTCCCAGCCTGCCCTGCAGATTTTAGCCTTCCCAGAACCCACAATCACATGATCCAATTCCTTAAAAATAAATTTATCTGTGTATGTCTACATGTACATAAAGATAGAAATAGAAAGAGACAGATACAGACATAGACATTGATATAGACCAATGTATGTATCCTAGTGGCTCTGTTTCTCTGAAGACCCCTGACTAATATGAGGGAGGAATAAGTTTCCCCCTCCCCTCCTGGCGGAGTTTGAGGGTCCAAGAAAAGAAGTGACCTGTGCCTTACTTCCCAGCTGGGGACCGATTCTTCAGCTTTCCACCCACCCTGGTGTTTTGATGCAGGAGAGCAGAAGTGACAGCTGGGACAGCCCCACAGTTCCCCAAAGCATAGAAGAGTGTCCCTTCCTCACTGAGAACTGCTCAGCAGGTGCTGAAGTGGAGGACAAGGAGATCTGCTGAGGGCTCAAGCTCAGGACAAAGCAGACATAGAGAGCTCCGAGTGGACCAATAATCCCTGATCAAATAGGAACATGGGAGTCTCAGAGTTTGCAGGAATGGACTGTGACCTCAAAGGACATGATGCCCAATCCCACCCAGGCTGTGGCACTTTCTGAACCCACCACCCTTGAATTTAGACACCACCAGAGGGAGAAGAGACCCTGAAGTGCCAGAGGAAACTCTGAATTGGTTGTGCTTATGTTTAATTAATTGACCCCACCATCCAGTAAGGGTTAGAATATAAACATGAAAACAAGGTTGAATTTTTGGTTCCTTGTGTTTGAAGACTGAGATCCATCCTCTCTGCAGAATTGTGAGCACAAAGATGGTAAATTATCCCTTGATAATGGTTTGGCTGTGTCCCCACCCAAATCTCATCTTGAATTATAACTCCCATAATTCCCATGTGTCATGGAGGAACCCGGTGGGAGGTGGTTGAATTATGGGGGTGAGTCTTCCCTGGGCTGTTCTTGTGATAGTGAAATGAGTCTCACAAGATCTGATGATTTTTAAAATGGGAGTTTTTCTGCACAAGCTCTCTCTTTTTGCCTGCTGCCATCCATGTAAGATGTGATTTGCTCCTCCTTGCCTTCCACCATGATTGTGAGGCCTCCCCAGCCATGTGGAACTGTAAGTCCAATAAACTTCTTTATTTTGTAAATTGCCCAGTCTCAGGTATGTTTTTATCAGCAGCCTGAAAACAGACTAATACATCCATCTTCACTCAGAAAAGTTATAAAATACTCTTTGTCTTAAGTCATTGTGTTTTTAAATCTGGAGTCTATAAATTCGCGGAGATCCTTCAACTCCTATGATGACATTTATATTATATAACATGTGTTATTTCCTTGATGTCAACTCTCTAAAGCCCAAGATTATTCTGAATGGCTGGATGCTCATGTTCACCTCAGGATTTCTGATGTTATGAGACTAGCTGACCGCCAAAAATGGCAGCATTTAACTCTAGCATTTCCCTTGAGGATCCATAAAAAGGATTTTCCTCTTTCAAAGGAGTTTCTACAATACTTGAGTTTGAGAAACACTCTTGTAATAAAGAGCATAGAAGACCTCGGTCTAAAAACATGATCAATCCTGGCTCCATCATTCTTTCCTCTGGTGGGTTATTTTACTTCTAGTGATCATTTTGGATATTAAATAAATTAAAATATAAAATACAATGTGTGCTGTAAATAATGAGATTATGTAGAATTGTAATATCCCTTGTAATCCAATCCCAGCACTGCAGAATGAGATGTTCTGGAGTTCTTAATTGCAATTTGCCGTGTGTGTGTGTGTGTGTGCATGTGTGTGCTTGTGTGTGAGTGCAGATTTTAAAAAGGCAAGGGAAACTCAGTGTCTAATAAAATCATAACCATGGAAGTTCATTCCTTTCCTTTAGCAAAACAAGCAAGCACCACCTATTTTGTGCATTGAGTATAAATCAGTTTATATAAACTGGGATTGCTATTTTGGAAAAGACAATTCATTAATTTAGGAATCCAAATGAAAATGAGTTCAAGCAGCTGGTGGGGGTGCAGGGTGTGGAGTGAGGAATTGATTATCTCTCTCTTCTCTATTCTTAAAGGATCTTGATTCTGGCTTCTGGCCTAGGGCACTGAGCATGTCAGAACCACTGGGGAACAGGATGATTACTCTATTAAATTGAGCGCAAAATCAATCAACAATATATCATTAAAATAAAAATGCAGCTTCTAAATGTAATTTAGCTCCCCAGTGATGGGCTTTTGTTGGAAGCACAGAAAATCTACTCTAAAATGCCTGGAAGGTTCCTAGCCAGAGGCAGAAAAGAGACCATCATTAAAAGCAATAGAAATCTTTAAGAAGTCATGCAAGAAGGATATTGAATGTGTTTTCCCCCAAATCTTGTGAATACTCTAGTCTTTGCTAATAGAGTAGGAACCATTGCCTTCTTCACAAGGTATTTAAACATACTTGTTTCAAAACAAGGTATGAATGAGAGATAATGAGACTATGACAGAATTTATATCTCAAAATGAGTTTGACTCTGAAAGTAATGTTTCAGTGATGCTGAAACACATAAGGGCATATTGAAATGGCTTTCGGAGCTCGTTTATAAATAATCCAGGCTTTATAAAAAATTTCATAAGAAATACAGGCTTAATTATTTATTTAAATCCTGTATTTAACTAGCAGAAAAGGCCTAGGACTAACCCCCTTTGTTCAACTCTGAATGATTTCAGACAATTCTCAATTTGGTTCTCAACTCTGACCTGTTTGTTCCCATTTGGACATTTCAAAATGTCCAATCATTTTGAAATCATCTGGACATTTCAAAAACTCAAATTCACCATCAAAGAGCAGGAATTTGCCAGCAGTGAGAAGAATGTGCCTGTCTTTGAAAGAACTTTTTTGTTTACCACTATATGCTTAGTGCCCAGATCATATTATCTGTTAAATAAATGGCCATACTTGCTTGTAATGGTTTGGGTGTACACTTTAAGCCATGTGACTATCAATATGCTTGCTTTTTTTCATAAATATGCTGACACTTACACTTTGAAATAAAAATTTTCCACCAACTGGAAAGATAGACATAAATTCCAGTGATGCTGTTGTTGTACAGGATGTTTTTGGAAACCATTTTGTTGGGATTTTTTTTTAACAAGTTCTATAGGGCATTACCAGCCCACAGGAAGGTCTCAGGCATTTAGTGTTACACCACAAATGACAGCAAACAGGAGGTCCAAATGATCCAATGGGCTCTGCACCATTTTAGGGGAGAGGGCCTGGTACATGGAAAGGACTCTGAATTGAGAGAAGACTGAGGGCCATTTGGTAACAGGAGTCCACGCATTAACAATGAAATAAATACTTCCAATCCTGAGGCACATACCAGCCTAGAGAAGCATTTGAAAAAGAGCAGTTAGCCAACAGTGCTCACAAGGGACTTATGAGTTACTCAGGTGACCAGGGAGGCAGGTAAACATATTACTCCAGAAGAGGTGATAAACGCTACCCCCAAGTTGCTGCGGAGCACAGAGGATAGAGAGAGGAATTCTGGAGGAAACACGACAGACCTCAGGGAGGTGCTGGCATTGGAGCTGAATCATAAAGAATGGATAAGATTTTAGTAAGCAAAAAGGAGAAGATAGCACAGCATGTAGAAAAGAAGGGAAGAATGTATTTAATGAGTTTCTTGTCTTCCATTTAATAGACACTTACTGAGTACATCTGATGTGCCAAGTACACGGATCAGAAAACCATGCTACCACTTTGTGAGAGGCTCATAGTCTAGATTGGTTTCTCAACCTTGGCACTGCTGACATTTGGGACTGAGGCATTCCTTGTTGTGGGGCTTCTGCTGCGTATCATTCAATGTTCAGCAACATATCTGGCCTCTACTCACTAGATGCAAGTGGAAGATGCCAAATAGTCACAACAGAAAATGTCTCCATATATTGTCAAATGTCCTTCAGAGAGCAAAATCTCCCCTGGTCAAGAATTACTGCTCTAAGAAACAGGAGAGACAGCTAACGAAAATGCAATGCAGTGATGACTGTCCTGATGGAGGAACACAGGGATCCCAGAGAAAAACTTCCCCCCGCCCCAACTCCAAACCACTCCATGCAGCCTGAGGACCCAGAGGATGCCAGGGGAAAGAGCAATATGACTTGAGTTTTGAAGGCCAAATGGAGGTTATGCAACTTAAATTTCAGGTCAACATATTGTGTTTAGGGTAATAATGAGCCAATTATATGGAGGCATCTGATAAGCACTTGAAATCTGGTTTGTTGCCTGAGAGAAAGGTAAGAGACTACAGGTGAAAATTTGGAAGTCATTCAAATAGAAATGGAAGTGTAAGGCATGAGTTTTAGTGAAATTAGGAGAGAATGTCCAGTAAGAAGAGGAAAAAGAAGAGAAAGTGGAAAAGACCCAGAAAGGTTACATCAAGGGAAATGCTGAAAAAAAGTCCAGAGGGGGAGAATTTTAACAGTAAAAGCAGCTGGATGTTTGGGTGTGAGAAACACTGAGAAGAAGCCTCTCGATTTTGTCATGTAGAAGGCATTTGAGGACCTTACCCAGAACTCTAAGAAGCAAAGTGCCAAGGGGTGTAATAAGTAGGAGATGGGGAGAAAAAGACAGCCCTAACACTGGAGTAAAAGGGGAGGGGGCGAAAGGAGGTGGTGTTAAGGGGCGTCAGAGTTTTAAAAACGTGTTTAGAGGCTGGGTGCGGTAGTTTATGCCTGTAATCCCAGCAGTTTGGGAGGCCGAGGTGGGAGGATTGCTCTCATCCAGGAGTTCGAGACCAGCCTGGGCAACATGATAAAACCCCATCTGTACAAAAAAATACAAAAATTAGCTGGGCACAGTGGTGCATGCCTGTAGTCCCAGCTACTTGGGAGGCTGAGGCAGGAGGATTGCCTGAGCCTGGGAGATTGAGGCTACAGTGAGCCGAGATCACACTACTACACTCCAGCCTAAGCAATAGAGCAAGAGACCCTGTCTCAAAAAAAAAAAAAAAAAGAAAGAAAAAAGAAAGAAAGAAAGAAAAGAAAAGAAAGAAAGAAAAGTGTTTAAGAGAGAAAAGACATAAAGATGTTTTTAAGCCAAAGGAAAAGAACAGGAAGAAAGGAAGATTCAAGGGAAATAAATATGGTTTGTGGGGCAGGATCTTTGAGGACTCAGACACAAGACAAAGAATAGAGACATTTTCCTTAAAAGGGAAGACAGAGAGACTTCTGCTTCAGGGTAAGATGTAGAAGTCATGGTAGGGCAATGCCCCTATTACAACAATTACAAAAAGGTGAATAAATTATAAAATCGTAGTTTTAAAGCAGGACTATGGGACAATAGGAAATGGATGAACTAAAATATCAGATGTAGGGCAACCATTCTGAGCCTCCATTTTTCCCTGGGAGATGTTCTATGTCTGGGTGAGGGCAAGGATCAGAACAGGCAGAGGGCCCTTGTTGAGAGACCGGAGAACCGGCAAAGCTTCCAGCAGCAAATGAGGCTGGTGTGACCAACTGGAAATGAGAGAGGTCTCAGGAAATCTGCTGAGCTCTGGAACTATGTGGGAGATGGAGGAGCCAGGCCACAGTCTCTAAACAATAAAGTGAGTTCTCCTGCATTCTCTCAGTACTTAAAAAATAAAACCTACCAGGGGTTTACCTCAAATACAAGGCAGGTCTTCTCTCAAGATGTTTGTCAGATTTTGAAAGACATATAAAGAGGTTTGATGGTTTTAAAGTATGTTCACAAATTTGCTTATACTCTTCCCTTCAGTGGAGCTAATTCCCCTCACCTTGAGGGTGGACTCTACTTAGTGACTCACTTCTGATCAATAGGAATTTCTGATGGCAGAAAATATGGACAGTAACCACTGAGCCTAAGTAATAAAAACATTATGATTTGCACTCTCTCTCTCGAATCACTCATGCTTGAATCACTCATAATGAATCACCATGTCATCAAGACACATAAGAACTCTCAGAGAAGCTCATGGTGAAGAAATGAGGCCTTTGGCCAGCAGCAAAAAAAGACAAAAGGCCCCAGCCCACAGCCACAGGACCAAGCTTGGAAGCAGGTCTTCCAGTCCCAGTCCAGTCTTCATTCTGTGGCATCTGCAGCCAACAGCTTGAGTGAAACCTCATGAGAGACCTGCAGCCAAATTCACCCATCTAAGCTGTTCACAAATTCTTGACACACAGAAACCATGACAAAATAAGTATTTGCTGTTTTGAGCTTCTAAACTTCAGGTAATTTGTTATGCAGAAATAGACACCAATACAGGTGTGAAGTTCAAGAGCTAAGCTAAAAACCTCTGAAAGGCAGAATGAAATCTTTCACAGTCTTTCAGGACTGAGATAGAAACCCGGATGGGCTCAGATCAAAAGGCTAGAAGAGCCGTGAACTAGATGTAGACTGAGTCTCACTAAAACTGAAGCTCAACACCCAGCTCAGCTCAACCTCTGTATTAAGCCAATTAGTCCTTACCCTCTCTGCCTAACAAAGGAAGCAACAATCTCTTTGGTGGAAGAGAACAACAACTGCAGTCTCTACTTACTACGAAGAAAAGGAGAATTGGACATCCAAAGAGGGAAGACCATATGACCAATAATCAGAAGAAAAAAAAATTTCAATCAAAGTGAAATCACAGATAAGCTAAAGAGAGCAAACAAGGTCTTTAATTTGATTAATATGTTTATTTAAATGAAGAAAAAGAATCATAAAGTGGATAAAAAGAAGGAGAATTTTGCCAAATAACTACTTTATAAATAACCAAGTAGACCTCTAGAATTGAAAAAGTAATAATATCTAAATATTAGGTAATAGTGGATAGGTTTAACAGTGGATCGGACACAGCAGAATACAGTATTAGTGAACTGGAGGAAAAACTAATAGCACCCGAATTTCAGAGAGGAAAAAAATAGTGGGAAAAATGGTTAAGAGCGTAAATAACATACGGGATACTCACAGAAGGTCCAACATACATATATTTGGTGTCCCAAAAAGGAGAAGAAAGAGGGAAAATTGGACAGAAGTAATATTCAAAGAGATAATGGCTGAGAATTTTCCAGTGATGAAAAAGGAAGAGAGATATTTCATCTTATGAAATATTACTAAAAGAGAAGAGAACAGGCGATGTAGAGAATTCTGATACTGGTGGGGTGAAACAGGCTGAGAGAGAGGGAAAATTTAAATAGTCATGTCTTCTCAGTGAAGTAGAACACAAGTTGATTTTCAGAGGATAAGGAGGTTTAAGAAAGTAAGTTTGAAAATTGGAGAGACTAGGAAAGGGACAGATTAGCCACTGTGAGCAACCCACTAGGGAATTAACTAGGATAACTGATGAGAAATGTCACATACGAAGGAGGACTCAACTGAGGCTATCTGAAATAATTTTCTAGTGGGAGTAATAAACATTATTGAGTATCGTTGGCCAGGCATGGTGGCTCACGCCTGTAATCCCAGCACTTTGGGAGTCCAAGGTGGGCAGATCACTTGAGGTCAGGAGTTCAAGACCAGCCTGGCCAACATGGTGAAAACTGTCTCTACTAAAACTACAAAAATTAGCCGGGCATGGTGGTGCACATCTGTAATCCCAGCTACTCAGGAGGCCGAGGTGGGAGAATCACCTGAACCCAGGAGATGGAGGCTGCAGTGAGCTGAAATGGCACCACTGCACTCCAGCCTAGAGGACAGAACGAGACCCGGTCTCAAAAACAAACAAACAAAACAACCATTATTGAGTATCTTTCTCTAGCAGTATCTAGAAGCTCAAAGTCAAGACTAGAAAAAAAAAATACTGCACATGCAACGTGGACACACACAGAGGTGAATTTAATAAATGAAAATAAAAGCAGTGAGAGTGAGGAAGTGGAAGAGACCAAAGGTCATAACCAAAGTGAGGAATTTGCCCTCCTTGTAAGCAGAGTAGCACTGAGTGCTTATAAGACCCAGAAAAAGGCCATGAATGACAATTTCTGAACCGAACTGAAATGCAAGTGATGATTATTGATGCCGAAAGGGTTGAAAAACTGTTACTGTGTTTCCCTACATCTGAGGTAGAATTCAAGTCAGACCCATTCTCTCATCCCTCTATTTCCTCTCCTCTCCTTGGATTCCTGACTTAAGCTAAAATGCAGTGTTTTCTGGGGTTGTTAAATTCAAATTTTTGAGAAAAGTTTCATTCTGTAAGCGTTCTTGCTAACATGAAGCATTCTTTTAAAATTTCTATTCACATTGTTAAAAATAAAAATATAGAAATAACAGTTTTTGAAAAGTCACTGTATTTAATAAATGCCTGCCTATTTTATTTTTGAGCCCCAGCCAAAAATATACAAACTGGCAGAATTTGAACTTCAAAAAAAGAAAAAGAAAGAAAAATCCACCTGACTCTTGAAATTTGAGGTGGAAAACACATCAGGTCAGCAAGTTTCAAAAAAAGAAGCAAGAAAGAACATCCCATTTCACGTGACTGCTTGGCTTATTAACACCGACACTGATAGAAGCATATTTTGGACACAACTTTGAGAAAAATATGACTCAATCCACAGCCTCCCCTTCTCTCCTGCCTTACCTGTTAAAAATGTTGTATATTTGCCTCTGTAATCCTAGCACTTTGGGAGGCCAAGACAGGTGGATCACCTGAGGTTGGGAGTTCGAGACCAGCCTGACCAACATGAAGAAACTCCATCTCTACTAAAAATACAAAAATTAGCTGGGCATGGTGGTGCTTGCCTGTAATCCCAGCTACTTGGGAGGCTGAGGCAGGAGAATTGCTTGAATCCAGGAGGCAGAGTTTGTGGTGAGCCGAGATCACACCATTGTACTCCAGCCTGGGCAACAAGAGCGAAACTCCATCTCAAAAAAAAAAAGTTGTATATTTGCTTAATAGTGATATATACCTTATGGGCAGGAGTTTTCAGCAGATGTACAGTTGTATGTCACTTTGAGAGTCAGTTCGCAGAAGGTATATCAAATACCCCTCAAAGTTTCGCCACACATTCATAGAAATTTCTTCCTCCTCAGATAAGTTTAACTCTTAAAACCTCAGAAGTACCACTTCTTTTCATAAAACTTAGTTTCTTATCTTTAAGTTTTTAAAAATTAGTTGCTTAGAAGCCAACGTCTACATTTAAAACCAAGAGTTAGCAGGCTCACATAATATTTTTAAAATACTCTTTCTACTTTGTTTTATTCTGTCATGTGCCATAACTTCCCAAGGTCAGACATTGTGGAAAAAAAAAATCTGTGCTGCAGTGTTTACTGAGGGTGCCAAAAGTAGAAAGAAACTAATTTTTCATAAGCTTAGTTTCATTTACATGACATTGACTTGAGCTTCTAAGTTTTAAAGACATTCCTAAGCTTCTAGAAATAGTTCCCTAGAACATTAGCTAGAAGAACAAGATCAGCTTTTATCAGCAGGAAGCCTGACTATCCTTGGATACAACATTGCGTTTGGGGGCTTTTGTTGGTGGGGTGGTGGGGAAGTGAACAAATTAATTTTATGAAATTCCCTTTGGATTTGGGACTGAGTAATAAAATGCCAAAAACAAATCCAATTGAAATGTGTAAGGAACCAACAGAGAGTCTTTGTAATTTTGCACCAAAGTGACTGACACAAAATTTTTAGTTTTTGAAATAATCATCCCATCGATGGGAGGTTTTCTATTTTCTCTTTAAGCTCCTCTTCTTTCTCCAGTTTAAGGCCTTTGCATAGCGTAATTTCAATGATATTCAGAAACAGTCACTCTCTCTTCCCTACACAGTAATTTTTCAGTAAAATTATAAATAAATCCCAAAGAAACCATCCTCTAAAGTGTTGATAGAAGATCATTTTTATGTTAGCCATCCCAAATTAAAAACTTCAGTGGTAAACCTGTGTATTAAAATCCCACAGCATTTTAGCCTACTAACAATTCTACTTTTTTGAGAAGAGGTTGCAGAGCCTGTTACAAAAGCCCATTGCATCTTGACAGGTTGCTTCTATTTTTAGCAATAAGCACTTTATTCTCTAAGATCATCCTTCATAGCTAGCTGTAGAGGTGGCTAGAACTATGTACTGGATCTTACATCTTTTACATTTTATAAACTATGTTAAACACACTCCCTCTTTAAAATTACTATTTTAACACAATTACTTACAGTTGTTCTATGAGCCAGTCACATTGAAGAGCTGTGCATGCGAACCTTGAATTCTAGAGTACCTAGCAGTGAAGGAGTGAGAAAGTCACAAAGCAAACATGGCGCATCTTCCTGAAAAAGTGATTTCTTTCCCTGGTGAGTAAAGTGCAAGTACTAGAGAATTGAATGCAACGTTTATGTGAATTTTTAGACTGAAACACCAGATTTCAAACACATTTGAAGCCTTTGGTCAGGTCATGTCCTGGGCTGGACATGACATTAAACATAACTTAGAATTTCTCTTTTATGGTCTCTGAAACTGAGTCCCATAACAACCATTACTGCAAAAGTTGAGTTTCCAAATGGATTCTCTCTGTCATGCAAAATGCATCTATGTATTTCTACTACCAGGTGCCGCTGATTCCCTCGGGCTGCATTCATTCAGCAAAGTCACTGAGTGTCTGCAGAGGTGCCGGGTACTGAGCTTTTCCTGTGACCACAGCACCCTCTCCCAGGTACAGTGTGTGGATCCTCTTGCCTCATGTTTTGGAACATTTAGTAGCCAGCTGCTGAGATCCATTTGGGGGCCCCCTTCAATTGAAAGCTGAACCAGAAAGTTTTCAATAATATTTAGACTCGATAATAGTTTTTGAATGGTGGGAAATGGAATAAACCTGTGCTAGTTAAGATTCCATTGTATGGTGATGTGAGAGGCCTGGGTGTGTTGAAAGTGAGAAAAAGCAGATAGCCTGATTCTTGCCCTTAAATAATTTGTAAGAGAGCCTGCCATTTGCAGTAACATGGATGAACCTAGAGGACATTATGCTAAGTAAAATAAGCCAGACAGGGAAAAAAAAAATACTGCCTGATTTCACTTATACGTGGAATACAAAAATAATAATTAAATACATACAAACAGAATAGAAAGTTGATTACCAGGGGTGGGGGCTTGGTAGGAATGTGGAGACATGGAAGCATATCAAGATGCAGTTAGCTGGGATGGATTACCCTAGAAATCTAATATACAATATGAGGACTGCTAAAAAGTGTCCATTTTTGGTACTCTTACTACAAAAAAAAAAAAGAACTATGCAAGGTGATGGATATGTTGATTTACATGACTGTGGTAATGACTGCACCATGTACACATACATCAAAGCAACATGTTGTAAACCTTAAATTCATATAATGAGAATATTTAAAAAGAGAAAACAGAGGTTACAGTTCGGCTATACCTCTGGGCCAACTGCCCACAGCCACATAGCTAACAAACCATCCTGATTTCCTTGCAATGCTAGCTTTAACTGTAAACAAAACTTAAGATTTTATTTTGTCAGCATGATTCTGAGCTAATCAGCTACAGACAAAACAGCTTATACAGTTCTACTTGGCCTAAAAGGAATGAGAGTTTATAATAGCCTGTAACAATAAAGTCAGTGTTCTTCTTCATTTGTGCTTCATGAGCTACACTGTAAATGCTATGACCTGAGCTACTTAGCACTTTTGGTTAGAAGTCTCCCAGTTCAAGACTGCTTTATTACATGCAGAGTAAACTGTTAAAAAAATTTTTAGGCCAGGCATGGTGGCTCATGGCTGTAATCCATGAGCACTTTGGGAGGCCAAGGCGGGCAGATCTGTTGAGCTCAGGAGTTTGAGGCCCACCTGTTTATAAAACAAGACTCTGTTTCTAAAAAAAACAAAAAAAAAATAGACTGGTGTGGTAGCACACACCTGCGGTGCTAGCTACTCCAGAGGCTGAGGTGGGAGGATTGCTTGAGCCCAGGAGGCAGAAGTTGCAGGTTTGCAGTAAGCTAAGATCTCGTCATTGCACTCCAGTCTGGGCAACAGAGCTAGACCCGTCTCAAAAAATAAAATAGAATAAAATAAAATAAAATAAAATAAAATAATAAAATAATTTGTAATCTCTGTATGCAGAAATATATTCTTATCAGACAACGGAGGAGCTTTCTTTAAGTACAATACATCACAGCATACGCTGGACACTAAGTACGGGCAACCTGAAGAAGACTGTTCACACAGTGGGACGTCAGCAAACAGTCCAAAAGACGAGCATCAAGAGAAAATCATGACTCAAACTTCAGCAAAGGTATAGGAGCCAGAAACCCCTCAGAGGCAGCAGCTAAACAGCCAGAAGAAATGGGGAAAAGAGAGCACCCCAGTCCGGGGCCCCAAATACATTCATACCTGGTTTTCCAGAGTGGAGCTAGCCCAAGGGCTGTACGAGGCCAATCTGACACTTCTAGAGCTTTCCATGAGTTTCTGGCCCTTCCTCTTCCAATCATTTTAGCCACAGGTCCTGGAGGTGACTTGGAGTTGACAGGGTGAGCCCTGTTCATGGCCCAGCCTTTCCAGCTCTGTGGAGTTGCCAGCGCCTTCACAGAACACGGAAAGGCCATCCACACTGGGCTCTAACATTGCCATCCCTCCTCAACGAAGCCACCAGCTCTCTCCACCAGGTCTCGCTGCACCCTGAGCACAGCTGCTGCAGAGCGCTTCCAACAGGCCGCCTATGACTGTCGGCCTGCTGCATCCTGCAAAACAAAGTGGCACATTTAACATTAGCAGAGGTTTTATTTACATCATTGGCTGCTTAACGACCTACCGTAGATAGTCTTCCGTACTTGTAATAGGTCAGATTAGCTGTGCTTCATTGGTTTCTAGACTGTTCTTTCTGGGAAGTGTTTTTATAGACTCATTAGTCAATCAGCTGGTCTTTGTGAAGGTTACGTGATTTCAGAACATCTCACTTTTGATAGGCAGGAGAGGTGGAAACTGCCCCCAATATCCCTCTAGAATAGTAGTGGTGAGTTAAAGGGATGGTATTAGTTACCTAGAGCTGCTGTCACAGATTACCACAAACCCGGTGGCTTAAAATAACAGACAAGCATTCTCTCACAGTTCTGCAGAAGAAATCCAAAATTAAGATATCAGCAAGACTATGCTCTCTCCAAAGGATCTAGGGGAGAATGGATACCTTGTCTCTTCCAGCCTCTGGTGGCCATCTGCATTCCTGTGGCAGGCCAGGTCTCACTACCAGCTGAGCAGGCAGCCTCCACGACAGCGGTTTCGGCACTGACTGAGTGGTTAAGTTAAATACTAAAAGCTGAAAGAGGTTGGGCATGGTGGCTTACGCCTGTAATCCCAGCACTTTGGGAGACAAAGGCGGGCAGATCACAAGGCCAGCAGTCTGAGACCAGCCTGACCAATATGGTGAAACCCCATCTCTACTAAAAATACAAAAATTAGCTGGGCGTGGTGGCAGGCACCTGTAGTCCCAGCTACTTGGGAGGTTGGGACAGGAGAATTGCTTGAACCTGGGAGGCGGAGGTTGCAGTGAGCCAAGATTGCGCCACCGCACTCCAGCCTCAGCAACAGAGCGAGACTCTGTCTCAAGAAAAAAAAAAAAAAAAAAAAAAAAGGCTGAAAGCCCCAGCGTCCTTATACAAAAGCTGGAATGTAACAAAAGCCCACCAAGAGTTTTGCCCAGGCCTTTCCTGGGCCTTGAAGCATGACAAGATAACAAAGGAATTCTTAACAGGACCTGTTTAGGATTAAACAAGTTTTATCGTGGGTCTGAAGAATCTCTCCAGATCTTCACAAACAAGTTTTATTGGGAACTCCCCAAACCTCCCTGATTTAGCAGGTGACAAGATAAGGGTAATCATCTCTGGCACCTGGACCCATCTACATTAAGTAAATTTACTGAGGCTCCAGAGGAAGGTCTTCAGGACTCAGACCTTAGTTATAGATTAGAAGTTAATCACTTATATCTTTGGATGAATGCACACTTACATGTACACATTAGCTTAGAAGGTATATAAGCTCCGGAAAACTTTGTAATTTTGAGTTGGCCCGGTGATATTTTCCTGGCCTTCTCCCTGTCCCTGGTTACAGAAATAAACTTTCATCTTTCCCAGTTCATCTACATCTCATTACTGGGCTGTGAGAATAAGCACCCCTACCCTCGATTCAGTCTGGGGACATTCCTTGGCTTGGGACTGTCTCTCTGCACTCTATGCCTCTGTGGTCACATGGTCACCTTCTCTTCTGTCTGTGTAATCTTCCTCTGTGTTGTTCTTATAAGGACGCTTGCCATTGGATTTAGGGCCTACCCAGATAACCCAGGATAATCTCATCTCAAGATTCCTAACTTCATTACATATGCAGAGACAGGGTCTGGGGTCTCTGCCTTTTCCCAAGTAAGGTCGCATCGACAGATTCTGGAGATTAGGATGCAGACATATCTTTTTGGGGACAAACTATCCCGGTTTTCCAGGGACTGAGGGGTTTCCCAGAACATAAGAAGTTTAATGCCAAAATGGAGACTAATTGATTACCCTAACTCTGAGAAACAGATCCCAGAAGAGGAACACCCTTAGGCAGAGTTAGGCAGTGGTTCTCAAAGAAGTGGCCTGGACCAGCAGTACCAGCATCAACTGGGTATTTGTTAGAAATGCACATTCTTAGGCCCCACCCCAGACCTACTGAATCAAAAACGCTGAGGATGAGCGTCCAAAATCCGTCTTAGCAAGTTCTCCAGGTGATTCCAATATACACTGAAGTCTGAGAACCTTTGGAGAAAAACTTAAGTCTTGGCCAAAAAAGCACAAAAAAGCAGAGAACAAAACCCAACTGGAACGTTAGTTCTCTGTGCTGGCAGCACATTTGAATCCTTTGAAAAGCTTTGTGAAAATCCTGATGCCCAAGCCCTATAATTGGTCTGGGGAGGAGCCCACACAATGGTGCTTTTACAGAGCTTCCCAGGTGACTATTATGTGTGGCAGGACTCAGCACCTAAGCCACGAGGCTCCATCCAAGAGCAGCTTAATGAGCACGTGAGCAAGTGAGGGGCTCCAAAGAGGTTGCTTGCTCCTTTGTGCACTAAATCACAGAATACGCACTAGGCTTTTATTTTGAACTTAAAAAGAGTGAAAGACCATATTTCCTTGGTCTACATCTACAGATGGACAACAAAATGTAATTTCAGAGTAATTTGGCAAGCAGAAGTATGTGAATAGCTTAGGAGCAAAACAAAACAAAACAAAAGTTCCCAAATTAAGATAGAACAAAATGAAGGTGTGATGTGGAGGAAGGGTAGAAATGCCGAATATTTTCTCTGAGGTGAGAGGCTATTTTCCACACCTGGCAAAGTGAGCCCACCAGGAAACCACAGCAGGTTGACAGGGGATGCCGCACTCTGCCATTATGCACGTAGCCATTGCAGCAATATTTTGACTTCTGTCTTTTTTTCCGCACTGCTGCAGCTGTGGCCAGGATTCCCTCGCAGTTCCCAAGAGAAGGGAGTACACCATGCCATGCAGGACCAGTCGGGAGGCTGGGGAAATCCTGGCCCGGAGCCCTCATGATGGTTTCCATGGTGAAGCAGAGTAGATAAGTTTGAGCAAGTTTAGGATTGGATAGTTTGAATAATTTCAGCAGGCTCTGGGCTAGAGAGATGGTCTCTAGTTGTCCAGTACCTGACCTTTGGGGCAATTTAGGGCAGAGAAAACATTGGCTTGGTATATGAGCGTTTGATAAAAGAGGTGGTTGGTGATTTGGGCTTTCTTTTATTGTTTTGCACATGAAAGGCGTGTTTGCAGGGAAAATGTTTGCTATGTCGGGAATTCGCTAGCGCTGGAAGGGATCGTCTCTCCAGGCCCCAGAATAGCAAAGCATCAGCAAAGCATCATAAAATGCAAAAAATACACATATGACTAATATACCCACATAATCTAAAATCACAGGGCTCTTACCCTCAGGTATGCCTCATAGGGAACCTGAGCTTGTTAAACCGGGAAGCTGGTGATGCAGATCTGGGAGCCAACTGAGTAGAAACCATGGGTCTGCCTACGATTATCCCGCAGAGAAGGAATAAGGGGAGTGCGGTGCCCAGAGCGACTCTTCCATGTATTAGTGAGCAGGAGGAAAGGAACACCCAATAACGGGGAGAGAAGAAACCAGCAGAGAGGAAACACAGTGACAAGAGGATAGGGAACTCTGGGATTGTCCCCCAGAGGGTCAGCCAGGATTATCACCAGTGATATTTGGAGGGAAGGAAGGGAGGGCCAGCTCTCATATGCCAGGTGGGTAATTTTTTTCCAGAAATGCAGACAACTTTTTTAAAGAAAATTGGCTGTGAGGAGAAGGACAGGAGTCTTAGTAAATACCAGAGTAATGGAATGACTTTGTTTTTAAAGCCAGAGTAGACTTGACCATATTTTTACAGGAAGAACGGGGACCATGATGTGGAAGAAACGGAATGCTCACGTAAAGGAGAACTGTGGAGCAGCTTTTTTGGACAGCTAGGAGGAGAGTGATCCGGCACACAGGGCAACGGGGCAACTTTATAAGGGAACAGACATTTCTTCATAAACAGGAGTGAGAAGAGAGATGAGGCTAAGCCACGCCGTCCATAAGAGGAATGAAATTAGGATTTATATTGGAATGGCTTCAGTCTGCTCAGTAACATGGGAGGTGAGATCATCTGCTAAGACTTCAGGGAGCAGCTGACAGTGGATAAGCGTTTAAAGAGAATTTAAAGGGTATGTGGCAGCTACTGGGGAAAACCAGCAGAGTCAACTCTGAAAGAAGGAATGACCTGCAGGGAGGATGGACAGAGGTTAGAGCTCAGGGGGACACTGGGGAGCAGGTGTTCCCAAAAACAGGAGCATTGATTGAAAGTCTGTGTAAGGGCAGTTACCTCCCAAGCTGTCCACCTCCACCCGGCATGAGGCTGAAGTTCATTCTCTAGAGAGACTGAAATAGAGGCATCACTGAGGTTAAGAGAATTCAATAAAAATGGACACACTAAAGGGTAAGACCCCTGAGCCCCTTCAGTTCAGAGCACATGCGTTGCCAGACTTATACTCTTCCCGCTACACACTCATGCTAGGACTTTGAGGATTTCTCCTGAGCCCTAACAATGATCCAAACATAATAATGGAAAGACCCAGCCAAACCTCCCTACCTTGAAGCCATGGGTCAGCAAGCCTTGCCCACAGATACTTTGGAATGCACTGCCTTTAAATATGAACTATCAGCAGACATTTCACAAAAGCATCTACAAGCACAGGGTTTCTCAGCCTCAGCACTATTATGATTTGCAGCTGGAAAATCCTTTGCTATGGCAAGGTGTATTAGTCAGGGTTCTCTAGAGGGACAGGACTAATAGGATAGATGTATATATGAAAGGGAGTTTATTAAGGAGCATTGACTTACACGATCACAAAGTGAAGTCCTGCAATAGGCCATCTGCAAGCTGAGAAGCAAGAAGGCCACTCCAAGTCCCAAAACCTCAAAACTAAGAAGGGGACAGTGCAGCCTTCAGTCTGCGTCCAAAGGCCTGAGAGCTCCTGGCAAACCACTGGTGTAGGTCCAAGAGTCCCAAAGCTGAAGAACTTGGAGTCCAATGTTCTAGGGCAGGAAGCATCCAGCACAGGAGAAAGATGAAGGCCAGAAGACTCAGCCAGTCTAGTTCTTCCATGTTCGTCTGCCTGCTTTATTCCAGCTGTACTGGCAGCTAATTAGATTGTACCCACCCAGATTGAGGGTGGGTCTGCTTTTTCCTGTCCACTGACTCAAATGTGAATCTCCTTTGGCAATACCCCTACAGACACACCCAGGAACAATACTTTGCATCCGTCAATCCAATCAGGTTGACACTCAGTATTAACCATCACAGGGGGCTATTCTGTGCATTGTAAAATGCTTAGCAACATCCCTGGCCTCCACCCGCTAGATGCTAGCAGCACCCACGCCAGTTGTGACAACTCAAACTATTTCCAGCTATTGACAAATATCTATTGAAGATGAAATATCTGCCTACTCCCAACCCAGTTGAGAATCACTTATTTAACATGAAAGGAAAGACAAACTCTAAAAAATAAAAAATAGAAAAAAAGAGATGTTGCAGGGAGCATAATATATCTTTTGGGGAAAAAACTGTAATTAACATCCTAATAGCTATGAGTAGATACTTTTTAAATAAAATCAGAAAAAAGTGTGATTACAAAAAAAATAGATTCAAGCAACTAAAAATAGACATAGGAAACTAAAAATATCAGGTCAAAATGAAAAACAGATGCATTGAAAGGCAAAATTGAAAAAAGAAATCTTCCAGCTAGTAAGACAAAGTGACAGAGAGATGAAAATGGGAGAGAAAAATAAACAAAATAAAAGGATCATTCCAGGAAGCCAACATCCATATAACAGATATTTTAGAAAGTTACTTCAGATAAAAATGGAGAATAAATTACCAAATAAATAATTTAGGAATATTTCCAGGAACTGAAGGATGCAAGACTCCAGTTGGAAAGTTACCTTTAAACATCCAGTACAAATGGATGAAAGACACTTACCTCAATGCAATCCATGTAAATTTTCAGAAAACTGGGGCTAAAGAGAAGAATTTTAAGTATTTTAGAGTAAAAACTAGGGCACAAAAGATTGGAAATGAGAATGGTGTTGGATTCCTCTTCAGCAATAATGGAAGCTATACAATAAAGAACAATTCAGAGTCTTAAGAAACAGTGCCACGTGTTGAAAAGGATGGGCAACTACTAAAAATCTCATGCGTTGCTGGCAAAAATGCAAAATGGCACAGCCACTTTGGAAAACAGTTTGGCCATTTCTTATAAACTTAAGTACAAACTTACCATATGACCTAGCAATACCACTCATTGAAAAAGAAATGAAATAAACACATATATGCACACAAAGACTTGTATGCTAATGTTTGTTTCAGAATGAATAATAAAATCCCAAAATGGATGCAAATAAATTGTCTATCAGTTGTTGAAGGGATGGTACAGGATATCCATACTAGGGAATACTACTCTGCCATAAATTGAAATGAAATACTGGCATACACAACAACATGGATGAATCACAAAACATACTAAATAAGAAGTTAAACACAACAGTCTACGTAATGTATGATTCCTTTTATATGAAGTTCTGGAAAAGGCAAATCTATAGTGACACAAAGCAGAGCACTGGCTGCCTGAGGTTCAAATATAGAGGGGCATGAGGAATTGTTTTAGGGTGATAGGACTGTTCTGTATCTTGATAGTAGTAGCCGTTACACAGCTGTATACAGTCACCAAAATCATAAAACTGTATACTTTTTAATGAGTGATCATTATTGCTTGTAAATTATGTATCAGTAAAGCTAATAAAAGAGTATTAAAAACCAAAAAAATAATTGTTCACCCCCTAAAATTGTATACCTAGCCAAACTATCATTCAATTAAAGTGTTAAGAAAAATACATCTTAAAAATGCAGAAATTCAATACCTTCTAGGTCCCCTTTCTTCACCTTTCTTAACAGGATCCTAAAGATATATTCCATCCACATGAGAAAGACAACCATGAAAGAGGAATGAACATATGATGACCTAGGACAGGAGAAATACTGAACAGCTCCCTGAAGGATAATGAATAGACACTCCAGGATGGAATCTGTGCCAGAGCCCTACTGGAGCATGAAGATGGAGGAAGAGTCTCTGAAAAAAAATTTGAAAAAAGGAAACTACAGGTTACTCTTGAGACCTTTGAATATATTAAGGAAAAATATATTTTTGGTGGAAAGTCCAGCATTAAAATAGTGGTAACTACATAAAAACTAAGCAAAGGTAAAATTAGAAAATTATTAACTCCAGGAAAGAAAATGCGATGACAGTATGTTAAATGACTCAGCTGTGGATTACATTAACAAAGACATAATAAAGAAAACATCAAAACATCAATTGTATTGAGAAAATAAGGGAAAGGAAAGATCAGGAGGAGAGGCAAATCCTCATGTTTCATGTAGGAAGTCATCATACAATATCTGAAACTGAAAAATTAAGAAAGAGCTACATAAGCAAGTTTTAGAAATATGGAAGTAAGTGCCCAAAGGAGCAGCTGAAAAAGTTGAAAGCTATTTTGGCAGGGAAACAGGACATGGAAATGGAAAATTTGGGGTATAGAATGCTGATAGATTCTTATCAGCTTAGTAGAATCATGTAATGTTTTCACAAGTAAGAAACAAAAGCCAGGCAATGGGCCAAGAGGGAAGGGGAATGTGTATGCTAAAAAAATTAGGCTGACTTAGAGGCAGAGGCTAAAAAGAAAATGAAGGTTAATGGGGGTGGTTGGAAGAAATTAATGAGAGGGCAGAGACACAGTCATAGTGGGGCTGTGGAGCAAGGTCAGTAAACGGCTGTGGTTGCAGACATGCAGAGGGAATTAATGGAGGCAGCAAGAGGGTAGGGGTGGAATTCAGCATTCGGATCAGAACAATGTGTTTCGAAAACCAT
The DNA here is from genome assembly GCF_000001405.40 of Homo sapiens. Lineage (NCBI taxonomy): Eukaryota > Metazoa > Chordata > Mammalia > Primates > Hominidae > Homo > Homo sapiens. Next base: position 39,946,946 of record NC_000021.9, on the reverse strand, counting down.
CTTCATCAATTTTCTGTTCATCTGCAGGTCAGTTCTTCAAGCACTTCATTTTTCAAACAAAATGTCCCTTTTGTTCTATGCTAAATCATTTTATCAATAAAGAGTCATAATAATGAAGAACAGTTATCAAGACAGTACTGCCGCTGCCCAAGTTTTCAAGGGACACATGCACTAAACACTTACATGCTGTAACGCTTTGCTGGAAATTCTGCCTTTGGCAGATGAATGTGCTTCTCTTTACATACCCTGGTCTACCAGATTAACTAAAGGTCTGCAGGACTCATGATGAACATGATTAAGAAAACAAAGCCTAAGCCATGACATGAATATTATGCTTTTAAGAATTGGCTCCAAATAAGTCTAAAAGCATAGACAGGCTAAAGCCCCTAAATACAGAATACAACCAATGGCATTATATACATCTTCAAAATGGAGATAATAGTTCCCAATCTGTAGGGTCAGTGTCAGGGTTAAATGAAAAAAAAAAAAAATGAGAGCACTTAGAATGACATCTGGCATGGCATGTGAGCTGGACACGTGTTCATAGTCACAGCCATGGTGGTCACAGCTGCTGGTGGCAGCTGGCATGGTAGCATGTGTGGTACCACCATGCAAGCTCACCTTCCCCCTGCACATAGAGTCTGCTCCTCTTTGGCGGCAAGTTTACACCCTGCTTTGTAATGCACTTTAGTTTGATCCTGACTTTTCTTCCTTGTTAGGCTGAAATGTTTCAAAAAGCAAGAGCTCTATCTCATGTATCATTGATTTTTCAACATGCTGGAGTAGGGGGACTTGAAAATAATAGATGCTCAACACTACAGTGAAATAAGAAATTTTTGAAATAATGAGCATGACCCACCATTCAAGGATGTTTATCCACTCTAAAGGGTGACAGAGAATTTGTTGTCTGAGGCTCCACAATAAGGAACCTATGGACTTTCCTTTTATTTCATCCATGGGACATGGGTTGGCAACAGTTCCATCTCAGATGTGCTCCTTGATAGATGGAAGATACAGACCCCCTGGCTCCTCACTGCCTGTTAATAAAACATAAGCACCTCACTTTCATTTGTAACTTTATGAGTTAGAGTGGTGCTAGGTGGAAGATACAGACCCCCTGGAAGATACAGACCCCCTGGAAGATACAGACCCCCGACTTCTCACTGCCTGTTAATAAAACATAAGCACCTCACTTTCATTTATAACTCTATGAGTTAGAGTGGTGCTAGCTGCTATAACAGGTACGTCCCCAAATCTCTGGGATGCACACAATAGTAGTTCATTTATTGCTCAAGTTAAATCCAAAAGAAGTGTTCCTGAACATCAGGAGGCCTTCTATATGACCATTCAGTGACCTGGATGCTTTCCATCCTGTGGGACTCTGCAATTGTCTCCATCTGTTAAGACTGCTAAAACAAAACTGCCATCAAATGGGTGGCTTCTATACAGGAATTTATTTTTCACAGCTCTGGAGGCTGGGAAGTCCAAGGTCTAGGCATAGATTCTGCATCCAGTGAGGGTCTGTCTCCTGGTTCATAGAGGGTACCCTTTTGCTGTGTTCTTATGTGGTGGAAGAGGCATGGGAGCTCTCTCAGGTCTCATTTATAAGGGCATAAATTCCATTCATAATGGCTTCCTCCTCATGACCCCCCTCCCCCATCCAAGATCCCACCTCTTAACACTGTCACACTGAGGATTAGATTTCAACATAGGATTTCTGGGAGAACACAAACATTCAAATACTAACAGCCCTCTTAAACCAGTTCCAAAGTCACCCTAATGGGCATGAAAATAAAAGTGCTATGTGTGATCCTCCATTCTCTTTCCCCATCATGGAAACAAGGATAAAGAGAATGGAGGACCACACATAGCACTTTTATTTTCTATGCACCTGGCTTGAAAGTGGCTCATGTGGCTTCTGCCCTGTGGTTTCACTGGCCTGGACTCAGGCACGTGGCCACATTTCACTGCCAGGAAGGCTGGCCAGTGTTGACAGGCTGTTCCCAAGATGAAGAGAAGACAGGCTGGTGAGCTGTTAGCCAGCTCGGCCACAGTGGCCATCTGTCGTCCAGCCTGGCCTTCACCTACCTCTCCAGACTTAGATTCCACTGCACCCCTCCAAGCTCCCTATGCACTTCCCAGCCTGGAAGAGTTGCTATTCCTCAAAAGAAGTGTTTTCTTGCCTCTGAGTGTGGCCCATCCTAAAATGTCCTTTTCCCTATCTCCACCTGTTCAACTTCTATGCTTTCTTCGAGACGTATATTTCTCTATCAAGTGTTCCCCTAGTCAACATTGATCTCTCCCCCTTCCCATTCTTCATCTGTTTGTCTCTCAAAGGACTCACCACTTTTACCTCATTAAGGAACATGTCTGTCACTTCCATGAAAAAGCAAACTCCTTGAAGACAGATGGCCACGTCTTGCCATTGTGCCTCACCGAAGAAAACCTATAAGCACTACCTGTGCCTGACTGCATCCTTCACTCTGTCCCCATGAAATTGGTACAATGCCTTGGACATGGTAGATGCAGAGTGAACTAGAGCCCAACTCATGCTCTCTGGTGTCACCTGCCCCCGTCACAAACTGACCATGGCTATCCAACTCCTAGAATGAAATCTGTTGCATCTGCAGACACGGAGAGTGGGCTTGCCAGAATTTGTGGCAGACAGGGTTATCCACTAACTATGTACTTATCAAAGGCATGGTAGAACATGTTTTCTCCTACCTCAAAACCAAACTACAGGGAAGTTATTTTCTTTCCCACCTAGTGACTTTGTTTCTTTTCTCTCTTCCCTTCCAGTCTCTCTTCCTTCCTTTGATTCTTTTCTTCCTTCTTTTTGCCCTTCCTCCAGCTTCATTATTCTCTTGGTCTTTATTTCTTTCAAAACATTATTTACTTTTTTATCTGCTATGTGTACAAGACAGATCTGGATCAATAATCAGTAATGAGGTACTAAATTACATAAGCTTATTTTTCCCGCTTTGATCTTCTGCAAGCCAGCAGAAAATTTTCCAGAACAGAAGGGGTAGCATAGAATAGGAAAGTGAACCTGGTCCCTTTCCCCACCTGCCAAGAACCTACAGCCTTCTTGCTTGCAAATATGGTATGTGGCTCTATTCAGACAAGGTAGCCTGGATCTGCTTCAAACAGGCTGCCAATTGATGCTTTGCAGCTTGATGTAGATTATGCTGGAGCTGCTGATAAATGCAGTTCTGAAAGCAGCCAAAGTAGAAATAAATTTTCTGTATCCTCTCACTCAAAGTTGATAGCTGTGCTTGAAGAATAAAACATCAGGCTCCACCTAGCCGGCTTCTCTTCTTTGGCAGATGAACTTGTTAATATTTGCTTCCATCAACTTGAGACATCTGCATTGTCACTCCCGTCAATTGCTTTCATCCAGTTTCTGGACCAGAAAGTGAGAACTTTGGCTATATTTTCAGTCTTTGATGTGTCCTTGAACAAGTCACTGTGGGGACAAGAAAGCTGAGACAGTGTCTAGGGTGAAAGAAAGAACTTTTGCAAGGAAAGGCAGCCCCCAGTCAGCACTTAGCTCTAAGCACTCAGTTCCAACGAGCTCAGCCCCCAGTGATAAGTAAAGGAAATCTGAGGCTAGGCATGGGGGCTGTGACAACTGTCCCACAAGGATAAAAGACCAGGAGTCAGTACAGTTAGAAGCAGCATCCTATGGGGCAAAAGGCACAGGCTCTGAAAAGTCTGCTTAGATGGAATCAGTGGTTCTACCATTCATGAATGACCTGGGAAATTTGTCAAGGGACTCTGTGCCTCTGTTTATTTGTCTGAAGATTGGATAACTACAAGTGTCCGCCTCAGAGGCTTCTTGTGAGGATTAAAAGGAGATAATCCTTGCAAAGTCCTCAGCATGGCATCGGGCACAGAAGAAGCACTCCTTGAACACTGGCCACGTGTCTGAGACTGGCTAGGTGCTCACCACCTCCATCTGCTTATCTGGGCAAATAGGAGGATGATCTTCCCACCCTCCCTTGCAACCGAGGCTGTGCTGTGTGATTTGAGCTGACCGATGGAATGTGAGTGGGCATGGGCGCCACTTCTAGGCATGATAATAAAACAAACAAACGTGTGCAGTGGGTTGAATATCACCCCCCTAAACGATGTACCCAAGCCCTAACTCATGGAACTCGTGAAGGAGACCTTATCTGAAAAAAAGTATTTTTGTAGATGTAAGTTAAAGATCAAAAGATGAGATCATCCTAGATTTAGGGTAGGCCCTAAATCCAATGACTGCTGTCCTTGTAAGAGGCAAAAAAAAAAAAAAAAGAAGAAGATTCACACAGACACAAAGGGTGATGTGAGGATGGAGGCAGAGACTGGAGTTCCGTGTCTACACTCCAAGGAATGCCAAGGACTGCTGGCAGCCACCAGAAGCTAAGAGAGCCATGGAACAGATTCTCCCTCTGTCTCCAGAAGGAACCACCCCTGCCAACACCTTGGTTTCAGACTTCCAGCCTCCAAAACTGTAAGACAATAAATTTTTGTTGTGTAAACTATCCAGTGTGGAAATTTGTTATGGCAGCCCTAGAAACTAACACATTTTGTGATCATCCAAACTCTTTCTCTCAGAAGCAAATGACCCAAAGACATAGTCATCCAAGGGACAGAACCTGCATCCCTGAGTCACTGCCTGGATGGAGAGCTGCCTAGATAGCTGCACAAAGCTCATCAGGCTTCACAGGAGTGAGAACAATACTTCCTGTGTATTAAATCACTGAATGGTGGGGTTGTTAGTAACAGCATCTGGCATTGATTATCCAAGCAATATGACTATTATTCTTAAGGGATCTATAGTAGGGATCTAGATAGAGAGGAAAAGAAGCCTGGATATTAGGAAAGGTGGTGAATAACTAATTACAATGATTGAGTAACTGTAGTTAGCAGTTCCAGCCCCTCACCTTCAGTAGCATATCAAGTTCTGGACCTTTCTAGTGGATATGGGTTCAGGATAGAGCGACCCACACAGTCCTGCTAAGCCCCACATTATCCCCACAACCTACTGAACTAACTGTTGTCTTAGAGACTAAGTCAGACTTCTTATTACAAACAGAATGATAGAGTCCATGAACCCTATGGAAAGCCACTGGGGAGACCTCAGATTGGGAATGAGTGTGATTCCAGACCAGAGGAAGCCAAGAGAAACACCCCAGGACTGATTCAATCCAGAATGAGCATCCAGTTTAAAGCAAGTTAAAAATGATGTAATCTATCTAGATGGTAACTCAGCTTGTTACACTGCCCATAAAGGAAACTAGAAAATCACAGCATGGGACTTAAAAACTATAGGAAAAGAGGAAAGACAGGACCCTGGAAAATGCTGAGGGGCTACAGTGGAATCAATTTCACCCCAAACTGAATTGATTTTAGTTAGAATAGCTTTTCACAGTCCTAGACTAGCACAGGTGCTGGGAGGTGGGCTCTGCTATTTGCAGGCTATAGGGTCATGCCTCTCTGCAGCCAGGGTGGCTGAGAGCTTTTGTCCACCAAAGAACATTGGCACAAGGCATCAGGGAGCCTCCTGGGAAGCAGCTATCCCAAGGACAGAGAGCTTCAAGGTGACTGAGGTGACCAAACACAGAGTTGTTCTCAGGGAGTGAGGACCATTCCATGAATGGTCTGAGGGTAATGGGCATCCCACTGGGATGAAGCTTCCAGAAAAAAATAGAGACCACATCTCTCTCATCACCATACCTTCAGGACTTAGATGGATCCCAACACAAAGCAGTTGGGTCACACCCTCCTACTCTACCTTCCTTCCCTTCAAGGAAAGGGAATAACTCTTGATAGACATAAACTAAGTTAATGTCTACCCATTTTTATCTTAAGGCACTGATTTCTTAATTTAAAAAAAAGAGGTTGTGAAAAATAAGACATAAACAAACCATGGTACGTATGGTCCAGAATGCTTGGAACCTGAAGTTCTTCAACAGAGAACAAATAGGCAAGCATCAGGAAGACAGAGAGGGGCCAGGCCATGGGTAACGTGGCACAGGGAAGGGAGGGGATGAACATGTGCACAGAGCACATCCCTGTTTTAACCTGAGATGCAGAAGCAGATTCAAGATGTCAGCGTATCCCAGAGAGTGGAGCACCAAGTCACACATGCAAATCAGTAAAGAAAGCAGAGTCCCTGAAGCCACCGAAATGCATGTTCCACCAGCCTAGAAAAGCAGAGGGAGAGTTCGTATACAATTCCCAAGGAGGCAGAAGAGAGGGGTTCATGGCTGAAATGCCTGTGATCAAATAGGTGAGGCTGACGCAGCAGCACGTGATCTTGTGATAGACACTGAGACCCTCACTCTTGGGCTGAGGGTCCTTTCTCCTCCTCCTACCTCTCTGGTCCTCTTCTAGAAGCTTCTGCCTTCCCAGCTATCCATGGAGTCCTGTCCCTTTCTCAAGGACACATTTGCTTTTTCATAAATGTGAGCTTCACTGCGACACATCTTGCATTTTTCTCTCATGCTCTTAGCTGACCTCTCATATATATGTCTCTTAAGTCTCCCATTTGAATGAAGCTTCCAGAGAAAGTAGAGACCATGTCTCTCTCGTCTTCGTACTTCCAGGACTTAGATGAATTCCAACACAGAGCAGATGGGTCCTCCTACTCCACCTTCCTTCCCTTGTAGGGAAGCTTTTCCTTCAAGGAAAGGAAATAACTCTTGATGGACAAAAACTAAGTTAATTTCTGCCCACTTATATCTTAAGAGGCTGATTTCTTAATTAAAAAAACGAGGTTGTGAAACATAAGATGTAAACAAAACATATGGTGCATATGGTCCAGAATTCTTGGAACCTGGAGTTTTAGCTAAAAATGCCCACGTGTCTCCTTTGCCATATGTCTTGGGATGGGTTCTCCTAGATGCAAACCTTGAGACAAGCATTTAAATATAAGTGGTTTGTTTGGGAGGTTTTCTGGGGAGTATCAGGAGGGAAGTGAGCATGTGAGACACAGAGCAAAGCCCATGCAAAGTGCACCCTCCAGCAGTTTACTGCGTGTGACCTGGGGCTCACCCCTACAACAGAACTCTGGAAGGCAGAACAGTACAGCCTCAGAGTGATTTCACATAGAGAGCAAGTTAGCTGGGATATTTATCCTCCAAGTCCCACCAGGCATTGGCCAGGAACGGTGCTGAGCGGCAGGAATGCCAATCACTTCCAGCTGCCCTGTGTGCTGGCTAGGAGATGCATCAGCATTAGCTGGAAGGATGAGTGCTGGGAAGATGCGTGCATGGATGGAAACCATCTTCTGCCATTCCAATCACATGTCTCCAGGCCACACAGCACCAGGAGAATTGGACAGGTGTCAACCGTCTGGGGAACTCAGGCCACATGTGTGCCTATCTACCTAGTTTAGGCCACAAAAGATGGCCCATGAGGCAGAGACTGTGCTCTTCTCCGTCCATACTCCCAGTTGTCCACCGCCTTGTCCCCTTCCTGTGGCTGGACATGAATGCAGTGGTGATCCATCTCAGACTATGAGAGAAAGGGCAGGACATTAAAGATGGCCAGACAAGGTAGAAGTTCTGGTCCTAATACCAGGAAGCTGCTGCTAATCCAGACTCTTACAGATGAGACACATGAGCCCTGTCATTGAAGCCACCGTTACTGGGGGTGTCAGATAAAGCGCTGAGATTCCATCCTAATGGCCACATCCCTCCCCTCCACTCTTCTGAAATTCACACTGAAAAAGCAATGGAGTGGGCCACTGTTTGTTTGCTTTTGCTCTTTCTTCCATGTCTATTCCCAGGGAATTCAAGCAAGTGATTGGGCAACCTAGCCAGCAAGGGGCGTCTCAGGGCCTAGATGGACAAAACACAGCCTCCCATCTCTGGTGGAGAGTTGCAGATGGGTGGCAGCAGCCTTGCTGAGGGTTCAGCTGCATCAGGGTATGCACTGGCCCTGAAGGATGCTATGCCTGGGCCTGACCTGTGGTTGCAGGCAAGCGCTCCATTTCTCAGAGCTTTGCTTCACTTGTTTATAAAATGCAGGGCTGGATGAGGTCCCTAAGGTAGCTAGCAACATTCACGCTCTTTGATTTATAAACATGAAAACACATCAGGGAGCCAGTAGATGTGGGTGAGAGGCACTGAGTAAATGAGACCTGGATTGGGAGCCAGGCATTCAGAAAGGAGCTGAAGAATGCCTTTGTTCATTGAGACCAAGACAATCGAAAAGGGGGACCCAACAACTCCAATCACTGTCCCACGGAGTTCCCTCACCTTCACACACCCACAAGGAGGTTATCAAAGTCATAGAACACCCACTTTCTGCTTTACCACCCCACCGGTCCTTTACACTGGGTGGATGGGCAGCTCCTCCCCTGGGAGCTTGACAGAAGTGGGGCCAGGGAATGCAGGGAATGGCATGGTATTTCAGGCAGGAATACAAATGGTGCAGAGTCTTCACAGCTCCCTCTCGGCCTGCAGCTCTGCAATGGCACAGCCATTTGCATGGCAGCCAGATTTATTGGGTTGGCTCCGTGCCTGGGGTTGCAGAGGCTGCTGGCTTGGTTGCAAACAAATCACACGAAAGAGCCTGAGCAACACCTGAACAAGGAGAAAATTGTGGCCAGTGCTGGCCACAGGCCAGCCTCCAAAGCTCACCCACGGTTGTCAGGCCACAGCAGCTGACGAACCACGATGCTGCTGGCTCGCCTCAGCCCTTGGCACCTCCCTGTCCAAGGGGGTCCTACAGAGACTGTGGTATAATCATGTTGCTGCAGATCCCACCCATTCCCAGAGACCAGGGCTGAGGACAGTGTGATCTGCCAGCCATCTCAGTAGCCTCACCACCGTACCACAGTTTTAAAGACCAGAAAACATTTCATCAGCTCTTCTGTATCTGCAGTGTCCTCACAGAGAGGGATGTACTGGATGACTGTCTCGAGGGATGCTGTGTGAGCTGGGGTGATAGTAATCAGTGCATGCATAACAGGTGAGCTGCAAGACCACACCAAGCATTAAGGTACTAGAGACATGGCACAGAAATTACCACTGCATTATAATTTCCAAGCTACCACGAACCTAGTAGCTTCAAACAACACAATTTACTATGCTATAGTTCTGGGGCTCAGAAGTCCAAAATGTGTCTATTATAATAAGGTAAAAATCAAAGTTTTGGCAGGGCTGTGTTCCTTCTGGAGACTCCTAGGGAGAATCTGTTCCTTCCTTTTCTAGAGGCCACCTGCATTCCTTGGTTCTTGGCCCCTTCCTCCATCCTCAAAGCACATTCCTCCCACCCTTTTTTCCAATGCTGATCCTCTCTTGCCTCCTTCTTCGAAATATGCTTGTGATTACATTGAACCCACTCAGGCAATCCAGTACAATCTTTCCATCTCAAAATCTTTAACTTAATGACATCCATGAAGTCCTTTTGGGCATATTCATGTGTTCTGGGGTTTTGGACATGGACATCTTTAGGGGTCTTATTCTGTCTACAGTCATCACTATTGGAATGCAGAGGCAGAGGATCCCCAAAGGACTTGAATCATGAGAGGCATCATGGGGGCACTGGAGATTACAGAACCCAAATGGTGCCCCACATGGATAGGAAGCACTGTAAGTTACAAAACACATTGGTGTTCAATGCCTCCTACTAGATGAATAGGGTGTCAAAGACTTCAGGCTCTCAAGTCAAACCCAGATGCAGAATTCAACCTCATCTCTCAATAGCTGCATGACCCTCATCCTCTCTGAGCCTTAGGTTTCTCATCTGTAAAATGCGGATAAAGTACATCCTCTTTAAGACTATTAAGACTCAATGAAATAATATGTGTGAAGCCCTTAATAGCTTGCCACAACCTGATACACAGGAAGAGCTCCACATAGGTTGCTTTTAATCCCTCCCTACCATCCTGGGAGTTATGTCCATTTTATAGAGGGGAAGGTTGCGGCTAGAGGAAGTTGTGCTTCTTTCCCAGGACAACTCCAGTACTAGGCTGGCTGACCACAAGCCCAGGGCAGTCCACTGCCTACAGTGAGGGTAGGCTAACAGCAGGCATTTGTTCTATACAGAAAGAATGACATGGCCAGGCATGTTGGCTCACGCCTGTAATCCCAGCACTCTGGGAGGCTGAGGTGGATGGATCACCCGATGTTAGGAGTTTGAGACCGGCCTGGCCAATATGGTGAAACCCCATCTCTACTAAAAATACAAAAATTAGCCGGGCATGGTGGTGAGCACCTGTAATCCTAGCTACTCGGGAGGCTGAGGTGGATGGATCACCCGACGTTAGGAGTTTGAGACCGGCCTGGCCAATATGGTGAAACCCCATCTCTACTAAAAATACAAAAATTGGCCGGGCATGGTGGTGAGCACCTGTAATCCTAGCTACTTGGGAGGCTGAGACAGGAGAATCACTTGAACCCAGGAGGTGGAAGTTGCAGGTTGCAAAGAGCCTGTAAAAGAAAGAATAGCATGGAATAAAGTAGGATCCTGGGTTTGCAGTTTTCAGGTGCCTGTTGACCTCAAGACCACCATAGGCTTGGGGATTTGTTCAGCTTTTTGGGGGAATAAACAGAGGCCTAGAAACGTACCTGTGTCTTGGTGCCTATCTGTCCTGAATTCCACTCTATGTCTAGCCATTGTAAACTAGGATGACAAGAAAATCTACAGTGCAGTGGCTTTCTAACACCCTCCTTAGAGAGGAAAATGAAAAGCTGAAGCATACCGGCTGACTTTGGACTCTGACCAGATCAAGGTCTTCCTTGACTGTTTACTGAATGAAAACATTAGGGTTCCTTTATGTACCTCTGCCCTCAAATACACTGGGAAAGATGATTTCTGTAGAGTGCATGCCACAAATGTGGGCATGGATGTATTTATTCATTCTTGCTGCAAGTTCTTACAGAGCACCTGAACCGCTGGTAAAACGGGTGTCCCTGACCTCATGGAGCAGCATGGAGGAGACGAGTATTGACTGGACAATCACAGTGATGCCTGTGAATTACAGTTGTAATAAGTGCCATCAGGAACAGGACCTTAGGTGAGTCGGGTGAGTAGGTATGTGGGAAGGGTTGGGGTGTGAGGGGAGGGGGCTGTGGCAGAAACTGCAGTGATGCCCCAAATCTGCTTCCTCCACTTCCTGAGCACACAGGTGGACTGCATTTCCCTGCTCACCTGCACATAGGCGAGACCAGGTGTTTTCTCCCAGCCAGTGGAATCAATGTCAATCAGTCACTTCTGGGTTTAACCCATCAGAAACTTTTGACACAGCCTCCCGCATGGAAAATGCAGATGACTCTGGAGCACCAGTCTTGGATTCTGCTGCAAGCAAGAAATAAAGTTCTACTGGGTTCAGGCACCGGGATTTGGGGGTTTGTCTTTCCATCAGTTCGTTCTCCCTCAACTACTCCAGAAAGTAACAGGTCAGCTCAGAACTAAGATGATAGGAAGTACCAGATGCAGAGAAAGAGGGGCAGGGTGAGATTGAGAAGCAGACTCAAGCATCTTGATGTTGGGGCGGGCAAGAGAGCACATCCCAGGAACATCAGAAGCCTCCAGAACAAGAGGAGAGGTGGCAGTGTGGGTGCCACACAGAGGAAATTGGCTTTATCCTATGAGCACAGTTAAGACATTAAAGAATGTTGAAGTTTGAGGGGAGGTAAGCATGGAAAAGATGATAGGACCAGGTTTGCAGTTTTTAAAAATTACTCTGGTTGTTACAGAATATACTAGAAAGAGGAAATGATGTGGTGATATTGGAGGGATGGTCACTGAAAGTATCCAGGTATAGAACAGTGTTAGCTCTCAGGATTAGCACTGTCTAAGCCTTTGCACCTGTCAAGAGTTACAGAGTCAGCCACAAGTGATTTTGTCTAGAGCCAGACATGCCGCATGTGTGGTTCCCAAACCACAGTGCTTGGTTAGAAGGCCTGGGTACAGGTGGCCTGGCTGCAGCAGAGGGAGGAAAGCAGCCAGCCTAATATTTTTGGCATCAGTAAGGTTCACATAAGAATACAGCAGGAAGAATACAGCAGGAAGGCATGGACTCCTCCTAGTTACATCGAATACCATGTGATTTCACCTGAGTCTAGGCATTTCTGTGCAGGAATCCATCTCATTAAATCAAAGACTCAGCCTGGCTTTGAACAAGACAACATCTAACAACATAGTTCATGCTGTAGGTAGCCTAGAAAATTCTTACTTAGCTTGGGGGCTACAAGAAAGACCCCCAGTAGAAGCCCCAGAAGCACTAACAGAGAAGTACATCTCTCTCCTTTGTGAGCTGTCATGGTCCATGTGATGGTAGTAGCTCTTTAAACCGTCAGATGCCAGAGAAAGCCTGAAGCACAGGCATATAATATAATGAGTGGTTAGCTTTTTTTTTGGTGGGGGGCAAAAATTTCATATTCAAATCAGCTTTACAGGGCAGAGAGCAAGAACAGTGGCTCTACTTTAACAATCCTCTGGCGGTTTTATTCATAAAGCCTGATCAAGCCTTGCCCTCCAGCAGGTGCCCTCCAACACATGCCTCAGCCCAAACCCATCATCATCCCCTCTCTGCAGACTCCTAACTCCCATGGAGGGCACATAAAGCATAGCAGCATTCTGTTTACCCTTAATTCTTATTGAATTAAGCAACTGTTAACAAAAGAGCAAAAGACTTCCTAAAGGGCAATGGGGCACTGAACATAGTGCATTGTCACAGCTGTAGGGAAAATGGAGCCAGTCTTGAAGCAGCAACCAGAGGGGAAGAGTGGCAGGCAATGAGCATAAATCCACGTTGTGCAGTAAATCGATGGGCAGTAAACAAAGTCCAATCTACTGTTCAGTCTGATCAAATTACAGAAAATGAAGCCCAAGGGTGAGCTGAATGTTATGGACTGAATGTTTATGTCCCTTTAAATTCACATGGTGAATCTCTAACCCCCAAGATGATGATATTGAAGTGGGACCTTTGGAAGGTAATTAGGCTTAGATGATATCAAGAGGGTCGGGCCCCATGATGGGATTAGTACCCTTGCAAGAAGAGAAAGAGCTGGGCACAGTGGCTCATGGATGTAATCCCAGCACTTTGGGAGGCTGAGGTGGGTGGATCACCTAAGGTCAGAAGTTTGAGACCAGCATGGCCAAAATGGTGAAACCCCATCTCTACTAAAAATACAAAAATTAGCAGGGCGCGGTGGTGCACACCTCTAATCCCAGCTACTCGGGAGGCTGAGGCAGGATAATCGCTTGAACCCAGGAGGCAGAGGTTGCAGTGAGCTGAGATTGCACCACTCCACTCCGGCCTGGGTAACATAGCGAGACCTCCATCTCAAAAAAAAAAAAAAAAAGAAGAGCAAGTTCACTGTCTACCATGTTACCATGTGAGGACACAGCAAGAAGGTGGCTGTCTAAAAGCCAGGAAGAGAGACCTCACCAGGAACCAAGTCCTGCAGCACCTTCATCTTGGACTTCCTAGCCTCCAGAACTGTGAAAAATATGTGTCTATTGTTTAAGCCACCCTTGTATGGTATTTTGTTTTAGCATCTCTAGCTAAAAGAGTGACCAAGGGACTCTACCTTGATTGTCCATGATTTGAGCTGTAATCAAGTGAAATCTCCTAAACATGACATTTGTGTGAATCCTCATCTTAAACGCAAATCCTAAATAAGCCCTAACCCTAAACTCTTCCTGTTCAATCTCCCCTTACAATTATACTAATTTATTTAGGTTAATCTCCACAGTCTATAAAATGTGTGCATTCAAAGGTACAATAAGAGACTCATAAAACTTGAGAAAAGATGATCTTATGAAGTTAAAATCAATCAACCCAAAATAGCTGACCCATGCAAATGACAACCCGTGAGATGGTCTGTCACTATAACTGTTGAGACTGAAATCATGCCCAAGCCTCCCTCAACACACAGGAAGATGAGACAGAACAAAGAAAAGGAATTGAAAGTAGTCGGAAAGAAGAGACAAAATTATTGTTATTTGCAAGTGATAGGACCTGGAAATCCAAAAATATTCACTGGAAAATGATCAGGAATGTAGTTCAGTAAGATGAATGGTTACAGAGCTAAATCTACAGAAATCAGTAGTTCTTTGAGATAACAGCAACACCTACTAGAGAATGCTTTGGAAAAATATTGTGCTTACAAGGACAACAAAAACTATGAAACACTTAGAAATAGAACAAAAAGAAATGTGCAAGACCTATATGAAGAAAACTACAAAACCACCAAACGTCATAAAATGCTATAAAAACAATAATATAAAGACGTCAATTCTTCCCCACTGTGCCCTAGTTTATTTATAAATCTAATATAATTCTGCCTGCCCATGGTGTTCTGTTCTTTTCTTGGGTGTCTTGGATGTTCTATTCTTGGATGTCTGTGAGACCTGAATAATTCTCTCTTTTTTTAGCTAGTATGAGTGGGTTTCTATTCATTGCTACCAAATGACTAACTCAACCTAGGCTACCTCTTCATCTCTCATGGGCTCATGTACCTTGAGTCTCAAGTCCTCTCCTTCTTCCTGCACCTGTCTCCACATGGGCTTTTGCAGCTCCTTGAAAAAAAAAAAGTTTTTTAAAACCTTTTTTGCAACTTTTACCTGTCACCACACCAGCCTTGTCCCAGCTCAACATCTCCCTCACCTTAACTGGCTCAGCTCCCATGAAGGTTAATTCAGAATCACTAGAGAAATATTCAGACAGGCTGAGCCCACCCCTTGAGTCAAGTGCCTACCACTGGTCCAACTGGCTGTAGCCAAGGGAAACTGAGTCCCATGGCTTCAGTTGAGTGAAGTGTTGTGTGTTGCATGTTGATAAGGGAAGCTATGGTTGACTCTTTACCACACTGGTTTATCAATAATGACAGCTTACATTTATTAGACACCTACACTGAGCCAGACACTCATGCATTTTGCCTCATTCTAAATTCCTAACACTTTGCCAACCACCTTAACACAAAGATTTTATCATCACTTTGCTGTTAAAGAAACTGGCTACTTGAGGTAGGTAACTTCTCTGTAGTCATTTGACTGACTGTAAGTCAAAGATGGATCCAGTTTCAAGTCTCAAATACTTGGGTTCTTGCCTCCTGGCCTCCCCAAGTTCAGAGAGCAGAGTCACATCCCCCAGGCTGAAGTGTAATGATAAATTCAGCCTCTGGGATGGCAAAGTTGTGCACCTCCTTCTCAAGGACTTTGCCCAGACACTTCTTCACCAACCACCACCCTTATTTACCCAGGAACTCCTGTCAGCCTTCAGTGTACTGCCGGGCATGGCTGCACCTGGAGAAGACTTGAGTGATTGATTCTCCATGATCTGCCGTGCTGTGCCCCTCCTTCCATTCCAGCATCTGCTTATCCTCGTCCCTTCCCCACCAGACTGACAGCACCTTGACAAGGACTGTCCTGCTTTGCAGCCACTGCACCAAGTCCACACCCACAGCAGGAGTTGAATACACATGGCTGAAGGGACATTGAATTACTGATGCTCCAAATTGCTGGCACCCCATAGCACCTCAGGAGTTTCCTTCCTTTACCCTAAATAAATACTGTAGCCCATGGTAAGGAAAAGGTGCTCCCAAGCCTGGAGCCACAATCCCTTGTCCTTCTTCTGGTTTTATGAGACCATAGACTCAACATACCCAGTTCCTATGCTGATGGGGGCACATTTGGAATCTTCCTCATGCTGTTAGCTGAAGCTCTAGACCCTGATGAATCTACCTGGGAAGTGAATAGTTAAATTCATCCCCGTGTTTCAAAGGAAAGCCGTTATACCCCTGTCCTGTGATTGGAACAAGAGAGGCACATCACAATCTTTGAGGGACCTCTCCAAATTTCACGTCTCTCACCCCACTTTCATCCTTCTTCCCCCAATGGGCCATTGTTACTGAAAGAATATTCCCAGTCCCTTGGGGACATAGGGAAGAACCACTCCATTGGGATTTTCTGCTGTGCATGGAGAGTCCCCTCTAAAGAAAGCATCCTCATTATAAGCCAGATTAGCTTCCAGAGGGGTCAGCGTTGGGACAGCACTGGCCAGAGTGCAGCCAGTATAGACAGTGCCCCTACTTCCTTTAGGTGAACTATTCAGAGGATGGAGGTGCTTGAAGTATGAGGTGTGGTGAAATTGATCCAAAATATGTAAGTGTTTGTTTTGTTCCTGGCTTACTTTACATTGGTAGCTTAAGGGAACGCCAAAGAAGACTACATGGAGACCCATCTGATTTCTGTGGCATTCATATCTCTGCTGTCTCAGGAAGCTTTTCCTGGAGTGTCCCCTCAGCCTGTGGTCCTCTTTTCAGTAGGGACCACAGCATCAGGAGCCCCTCAGAGTCCTCGCTGGTTATCAGGGCCAAAGTGATCCTGTTTAGCTCTCTGATGATTGGAAATTCATCAGAATCTATGAGTTTTCCCTGTCTCTAACGACTGCAGGGAATTGTCTGGCAGGAGAGATTTCCTTACACAAGAAAATATGCACACTTTCAGAGGGATTTTTGAGACAGTAAATCACCCAAGCATGCCAGTGTTTCTTGACCTGTGCCTTCCTGACAATAAACGGGGCCCTGCCGCAGGAACAGCGGCACATCCACCTGCAGTCATTGCCTTGCCCATGCCTCACTCACACCATCCCTTACATCCACACACCCATGCACACACATGTGCACACACACGATGTCATCCCTCACCCCTTTTCCCATTATTCTTCATGCTCCACCTTGACCCTTTGTTAAGGAGCTGGCAAAGGAAAGACATGCAATGTCCCACTGTGTACGACAGCAGTCGTGGAGCATCTCAAACATCTCAGGAGGTTGAAGATGAGATGTGACTTACACATCACGTTATCATGTGGAAAAGTGCAAACAAAAGCCACAAGTGTCTCCCAAGGAGGGTACCCACCCAACCAACTGGCTCCCAAATCAGTGGCGGTGAGGTCCTCTCTATGTGATGGACCTCTCCTCACTGCCTACAAAACTACTTCGGGATTTACAGAACAGTTTACCTGCAAGGTTTGCATGGGAGAAGGTGGAATGGAAGAGAGGCCTGATAGCTTCTCTAAATTGCTACAGGTTGCAATAAATAACCCTACCACGTGGCAAATCACAGCATAGAGGAAGTTGGGGAGTTTAGAGAGGGTGCCAGTACCCTGGAGCCACACAGGTGCAGAGCACTGCAGGTAAGCTGCAGAATGGCCTATAACAGGCTAGAGTGTCCCCTTTGGAGATCTGAAATGGGTCTGCTGAGTAAATCTGGGGATGCTCCAAACACAAATGCATCACCTTCTCCCATTTTGTTCTCCTGAATCAGTCATAATTCCCCAGGGAAACTTCTGTCTTTGGCACCCGAGGATACAGGGCTCTATTCCCATGATAAGAAGAAAATACGTTGCCATCGCCAGCCAGCACTTAGGACTCTCCAAATGAGGCAAGCATGGCTGAAAATGGATCTCTCACTCTCAGCAAAAAAGCTCCTAACAGAAGACAATGTGTTACATCTCTGACTCCTAAGAGAAAGAAATAGACACCTGGCTCACAGTCACCTCTAACATCGGGTAAAATAAAGAGAGAAAGAAAGGCAGTCACTTGAATTCACTCATCGTAACTTCATTTTATTACAACATCAAGGAAAATAGTTGCAGGAGGAATGAAAATGGAGAGAAACATAGAGATTAAGCTACTCACAATTCCATTGTCTATACCTTCCTACAAGGGTATAAATATCACAGGTTTCTGTACATGCATTGGAGGTTTGCTATGCGTGTGTGGATTGTGTGTGGATGACTTCTCTCTAGGGTGTTGTTCTTTTAATTTCTTGACAGATGATGGTTGAATTTGGTGTTTTCAGGTGGACTAGGAGGGGGTTCTCCCACTAGGACTGAGACCCAGCCTTCTTCTTCTGGAATTTTCTGAACTGAGACTGAATGGCCACCGCTGCACGTTCTGTCTCTGGTGCATCCATGTCAATGTCAAATTCTTCTTGAACTTTCTTCTGTCCATCTGTAGCAAGACAAACACAAACAGAAGGCAATCACTGAGCTGAAAATAGGAAAGCAGACAGCCCCACTAGATAAGTGAAGCCAGGAAGTCCACCTTGGGGCACACACAGGGGCTTAACTTACACCCCAGGACAAGAGCTCATCTGCAAAGTAAAATCCAGTGGAGTGTTTTGACAGAGCTCAGAATCTACCACCTGAGCAGGACAATGAAACTCAAGGACACAGTCTCAACACTTCATGTATTTTCTGCACATGATTTTCTGTTCTCAGTGACCATCTTGATATATGGTTTTAATACTGGCTGTGCTGTTACTTTCTCCTGCTATCTCACAGAGGTACCATTTAATATTGCTAAGATATTGGTCCAATGATAGCTGATATTCACAATTACTGAGTCAGCAGAGTCATATACTGAGTTTCCGTGTATAATTCTGTGTGTCATTCTCAGGAAAGATTTGCTTATTGCAATCAGGGCTTCCATTTTTATCATCGTCAAGATGGGATGACACCATTTGACCTTCACAGTTCGACTGAACTTTCACAAAGCTTACATTCTTGTTCCTATGAGGTAGACTTGGCAAATGGCTTGCTGAGGTGGAGGGATTTCACCAATTCACACGGTGACAGGACACAAAGTGGGGGGTGGTGAGGAACGAAGGCTTGGGCCTCTGTGCTGTATACCTTACCACAGCACAGGGCCAGTGCAGCCAAGACGGAAAAACAAATAAATCAATAAAATTCTTCAGTCGTGGAAGGTAAATGTCTTTCAAAAGCCTCTAGTCTGATGAGACCCGGCGTGTTCAGGGTGGTATGGCCGTAGAGTGTATAGTGTATGCTGCTCAGGTGATGGGTGTATCAAAATCTTACAAATCACCACTGAAGAACTTACTCATGTAACCAAACACCACCTGTTCCCCAAAAACCTACAGAAATAAAAAACTAAAATAAAATAATAAATGCCTCTAGTCTGATGAAGGCTAAACATCAGATTCATCAAAGGCATCGTTTTTCTTTTTCTTTCTTTTTTTAAATACAGGCATGAGGGTCTCACCCCAGACTCAGGGCTTCCTCCTTGCACAGCCGCAGTGGGAAGGGTGCTCCTAAGAGCAAGATGGATGTTGAGAAATCCGTGTCCCTGTGGGGAGGCCAGACATCTACACTTCTTTTAAAAAGACTCTCAGGTGTGGCCAGAATTGAGATCCAAGGACAAAGGAGGCCTTGGAGTTAGCTCAAGCCAGAACTGGGGACAGAACTGACCTCTCCTGGGACCTGGGCCAAGAGCCTCGCTGCCACCCTGGGCTTGCACCTAGAGCAGAGGAGGCCAGCCCTGTGAGGAGCACAGCCAACTTGGAGATGGGAGAACTGGAGGCATTCTGAGGCAGAGGAAAAGCCCCAGCCAGTGAGCAGGGAGTGGGGCTCTATTCCTGAGTGTCACCAGGCAGCCTGAGTTCATCATCCACTACCTTGTTTAGGGACTTTGCATAATAATGCTCAGGCACCAGCTCTATCAGAGAGGGTGGAGGAAGCTGGGGTTCCTTGAGGACTTGAGGTAAGGCCTGCCTGTTCTATCCTGCTTGCTCTAGATAGATGATGATAGATAGATAGATAGATAGATGATAGATAGATAGATAGATAGATAGATAGACAGATAGATAGATAGATGATAGATAGATAGATAGATAGATAGATAGATAGATAGATAGATCAGAGAGACAGACAGACAAACATAAGTAGATGATAGACAAATACAGATAGACAGGTAATAGATAGATGAGAATCAGCACTTATTTCAGATGCATCTGCAGAGCTGTAAGCAGCCTCCTCTCAATTTTCCTAGATCCTAATCAGTTTCCACCTGGGACCCTTCAATCATCCTCTCACCTAGGAGGAGGGAATGTCAGCTCTGGCTTTGGAAGCCTTGTAGGACTGATGGAGCCATGACCCAAATCAGAGAACTGTTGTCTTCTATTTCAAACTTGCTGCCAATGCTCATAAAAGCAGAGATGTTGAGTGCACCAATGTTCAGGAATATTTCAGAGGCAGGGGATGGGGGTGCTTCCTTTTTAACCCAGGACAGCCCAAATGATAGACAAGTGGAACTGTTTCTCACACTCCAGGTAGCTATTCACATTGTCTTCTACATTGCCAGGGCCCTTTCTTTGGAGAAAAATAAGGGGTAGGATCACTGGGAGAAGTAAAAGTTTCCTGTGGCTCAAGTAGATGTTTTAAAAGTGGTTAATTAATGTTATCACATGAGCCTGGGACTGGAGGTCAAGTGTCTAGCAAACCCAGAATGCAAATGGCTCCAGTGTTTGTGCTCATGGCAATAAACCCTTTTGTACCAATAACATCCTTGGTTAGGTAGCATCTACAGCACTGGGAGTTGTCATTTTTCATAAGATGGTTTATAGTCCCAAATCCTTCTACTCCCAGAGGAATCCTTGCATCAACTGTACAGTGAGTGCAAAGGGGAAAAATTCACTCCTGATTCCAAGTAGGAGGGGAAGTTTCCCTTTTAAATGTAAAATGTTGCTGGAATCTGAAGTTTTTAAAGGGCCTGATTTGTCTTTTCCCTTTTATAATGATGGAAGAAAGCGGCAATATTATTTTTTGACAAATGACAAATGAAGACGCAGAAAATTATGTATATTAAGGAAATATATAATGAAACAGTGAGGACAGTTCACAGAAATCAATTTTGCACTTATATCTTAAACTGATATCTCAGCCAAAAGTGACTGATTGATTCCTCATTTGAAAAATATTACATTGTTTAAAAAAGAAACCACTAACATTTAAGGAATCGCTACTTTTCTGTATACTTCAGAGAGTCCAGTTCCCGGGGCGGCGGGGAAGGTCAGATGCTGTTAGAGGAGTGGCAGGAGCTCCTTCCGCTGAGCCAGTCAGGAGTGTGTAAGGAAGAGAATGGGGCACCCGACTGCAGTGGAGAAGGGACAACCAATTAGACTCGGTGGCACAGGGTTCAGTACAAATGGTCTGTGGCCCTGGAAGTCAGGAAAGTACAGTTCTAAATACCCCAGATTCAGCAGGCACAAAGGTAGGGGAGGAGAGTAAGGGAAGGGACCACAGCCAGGCACCCACTCCCAGAACCACTCTTCAGGGCCTTGGAGCCTGCCAAGGTTCCCCAAGGATGACCCCAGTGGCAGTGACAAGGCCACAGGAGCAGGGTGGCCCTGTGAGGAGCTTCCCCAGCCCCATCACTCCCGGGCAGAGGCGGGGACCCACGAGCAGTACAGGGGGCCCTTTCTACTGCTGATACCCACAGGGAAGCCCTCGGCCACGCCTGCTGGGGAGACTGAAGAGCCCTAGGAGAGGACATTCCCCGAATATGTCCCCTAGGGGCACGCCACACCCCCAAGCCTGCATTGCAGTTCTTCACGGTGCAATTGCTACCCATGACTTTACTTCTTTGTTTCCTTCTCTGGTTTGTCCTCGGTCTTCTACGCTAGAGCGTGAGCTCTGTGAGGCCCGGGACTTTGTCCGCCTTGTTCCAACAGCTTACATAGGATCCAGCGCACACACACAGTAGGTGTTCAATTAACAACTGTTGATTGCAAGTGAGCCATTAATTAATATGCTAGGCAGCTGTCAAAGGCATGCCTTTATCTGGAGGACTAAACAAGCACGGTACCCTCCTTGGTAACCATTTAACTTCAGTCTGTGAGGCGAGTCCTTGTCCTCACTCCCTGCAGCATTGTCATGGAGGAGGGCCTCAAGGGGCCTCCAAGGAGGCATGTAGCTGGGAGCTGTCCTGAGAAAGCCACTGTCTGGGCAGCCAGAGGGACACAGCCCACAGGGGGCACTGTAAGGAAGATGGGAAACCTGGCACCTGAGAATGACGTCAGGGAGCACTGCTGTTTCATGGGGGAAAGCCTCAGGAAATGCTCAAGGCTGAATGGAGAGAAGAGGGGCACAGGTGTCCAGGGGCAGACGTCCAGACCTCAATAGGCACACAGGGAAAGAGGAAGGCACAGGTGTACCCTCATGCCCCTGGGCCAGGGCCTGTGGCCCCAGAGGAGCCTGTGGGGACCCAGCAGAACAAGAGAAGCTCCAGGCGGGTTTCTAAGCCTCTTCTTGCCTAGAACAGAGCCTGCCACCAATAGCTGGCCAGGGAATAAACAAAACCCGGGGCCAGGTGTGGTGGCTCATGCCGGTAATCTCAGCACATTCAGAGACTGAGGTGAGAGTCTGAGACCAGCCTGGGCAGCATATGGAGACACCGTTTCTACAAAAAGTTAAAAATTAGCCAGGAGTGGTGGCAGCTAATTTTTACACAGAGCTGAGCATAGTCCCAGTTACTCAGGAGACTGAGAGGGGAGGATCACTGGAGCCCGGGAGGTGGAGGCTGCAGTGAGCTATGATTGCACCACTGTACTCCAGCCTGGGAAACAGAGTGAGACCTGTCTCAAACAAAAACAAAAACAAAGAACACAGGCCTCGTGTCCCAGCAGCCAAAGCCCTCAGTCTCCTTGGGGATGAGAGGCTGCCTCTCTCCTCACACCTAGATACTCTCCGCACTGAGCCAGGCACCCTGCAGAAGTGGGTCTATGGATTTCAGGTAAAATCTGAATTTGGGGATTGCCTCTGACTGCTCTGTGACTCTGAAAAAAGTTCTTAGCTTCTCTGGTGCTCAGTTTTCTCATCTGGAAAACAAAAGCCTGTGCTACCTGGCTCCCAGTGTTAGGTTTATGTTCAGATCAACACTCGGTTGTACCTTAAAGCACAGGCCACACTGTACTGGGCATGGCGTGGCCAGAGCTGCAAAGGCCAGTGAAGGGGACGTGGGCAGTAAGGTGGCTCTCCAGCCTCAGGGTGTCTGTGTCTGCTCAGTGGTGAGATTCATGGATCACTCGGGCCCTCATCCAGGGAGGAAGGGGGCACTTTCCATCATGGCCGCCCGCATGGCCATCATGGTCAGCTGTGTTTGCTGGGCTTGTTGCAAGATGGCCCCAGCTCAGAAATACAAGGCAGAAAGAATATCCTTAAAATTTGTTCAAAAGAGAGACTTCCCACTGCCGACCGATACAGTCCACAACTCACAAGTCATGTCACTGTAAAGCTTAGACAATACAAAAGGACATTCTCCTTAGCTACGAGGGCACACACCACGCCCTCCTAGTGGCCTAGAGGCCTTTGCAGAGCTTCTGTGTCCAGGAGGGAGCAGGGCGTCTAAACGAGTGGTATGGACGAAACGAATGCCATTGTCATGTCCAGATTGCAGTACAATCATTTCCGTCATGTTACCACTTTCTCCTTCACACAGATGGCTGAAGGCTTAGGTCTGGACTGGGTGGCCTCTCCCTGACATGTGCACATAGGATTCTGCCGCGTGTACTGGAAAATCACTTTGGCCACGCCCACTCTCCATGGAGGCTTTTCAGTCTGAGGGAGCAGCATTTTAGACTAAATTACATTTGGCCTGAGGATGCCTCCATACTCCAGTCCTCAAATAAAAACTACAGTCTTAGTACAAAAACTAACTAGAAGCCTAACTCAGGAGTACTGTACAGGCATGCTCTGGTCAACAAATAGTGGGCTCTCCATCAATCACAGCAGCCCATTTTCAGTCAATCACAGGTGGGCAACTTACTCAAGCAGGGCAAAATGCTGCACTGTAACCAGTTAAGCTGCCTCGGTGCCTCACGTCTGCTTTCTGCCCATCAAGGCTGCCTGACCACGTGGCAGGCTGGAGTTCTGAGAACCTGTTCTGGTTCAGAGAGACGCCTAATTCTGGAATCATTCTTTGCTCAACTCCACTACATTTGACTTGTCTACGGCTTTTCCTTTTAAGAAGTATTTCACCAAAACACCTTGTAAGCCATCCAGGGCTTCACAGTTGTCATTACTTGTATTTGCCGCAGGTCCTGGAATTCTACCTTTTCCCACTCTGCATAGACATTCTGAAATTTTCAAGCTGACCACAGAACAGTCAAGAGATATTCATGCCAATTAGCAGATCTGATGTAAGAGAACAGCAATTCCCACTCCACTAGAAGACGAGGGGAAACCCGACTTATTGATCACTATAGCTCCAAAAAAATGGTCCCATGATTCAACGTCCTGTGTGCCTGGGGGGCCATTATCCCTCACAAGGCCTTCAGACATCAGCCAAGTCCATCACCTGTAAGATCTCACCTCAAAGGAAGTGACAATCAAAATCTATCAGGCTGGGCAGCTACGTGAACTGCTACATTATCTAGCTACCTGTCCATTACCTGTGCACCTGTCACATTGCCCTTTCTCAACAAACAGTGTAGTTGCAAAATGGCTCCAGGCAATGAGGCTTTTCCCTCTGAGCAGAAACCTCATTAAACCACCAGGACCTGACACAGAGCTCTGCCAATGGCCCTTGAATAATGAAGAAATGATGCTCCCTGAGGCTTGGAAAAATAATGAAGAAATGATGCTCCCTGAGGCTTGGAACGTCCCCTGATTCAGTTCTGCCATGACCTCCACTAGGAAGCAAAACAGTCCTATTCAAGTTTAAACTTTGCACTAGTATAGACATTTCTTATGCTACTTTCCTGAAATACTGCCTTTCCCCCACAGAAACTGAATAGAAGGTGGCCTCTGCAATTATATGTTTTATTATGTCACAAGAGAAAGCTCAGGCAGCCCTTCTTAAAGATGGAATGGTAATAAAAACCACTCTTTATTGAGCATTAAATAGATCCTCCCTCATATACTCAAGTAGATTTTATTTTACAGATCATTTGATGGGCAAATATAAAATAGAGAATCATAAATATAAAGGTTAGGAACTATTATACTACCAGTTGAAGACAGTCCCAAATGAATTTTACGAGTCTCAGGGCCAGGCATGGTGACTCACACCTGTAATCCTAGCACTTTGGGAGGCCGAGGCAGGAGGGTCACTTGAGCCCAGAAGTTTGAGACCAGCCTGGGCAACATAGTGAGATCCTGTCTCTATTTTTTTTAAGTCTCTGGTATTGTCATGAAAATCCAAAGAACAGAAAAATGCTTTGATAAATTAAAATTCCACTTGCATTTATCTATTCTGATACAACAGAGTTTGGTGCTGGAGCAGAGGTTCTCACATCAGTCCCATAGTCCATCAGCAGATACTTGTCGAGAAGAGTATGAGTTTGCTCGGGCTGCCATAACAAAATACCAGAGACTAGATGGCTTCACCAATGGGAATTTATTTTCCCACAGTTCTGGAGGCCAGAAGTTGGAGATGAAGGTGTTAGCAGGTGTGGTTTCTCGTGAGGCCTCTCTCCACCTTTTTGCTGTGTCCTCACCACATGAGGACATTAATTTAACATTAATCAATTAACCATCTCTTTAACCATCTCCAAATGTAGTTACAATCTGGGGTACCAGAGGTTAGAGCTTCCACATATTAATTTGGGTGGGGAGACGACACGGCTCAGCCTATAACAGCACCTGACCTAATTTGGAGGCTTCATAGGTTTTAAAGTTGCTTTGCATCATAGAGAATCAGAATTTAAGATTCCCTATTTTACAAAGAGAATTTGGGCTTCTGTAATCTGTAGTTTGGACTTACGTAGTCATTTATGAGAGCTGAGGAAACATTCATCATCCCCGTTCTAGAAGGGCCTCGCTTAAGATCACCTCGTGAAGACTGGCCAAGCCTGACTTGGGATCTGGGTCTTGTTCCAAATCTTGTTTTCATCCTGTGGGGTTGTGCTACTTCATCTCCTTAGATGTAGACCAAGCTGACAGACTTCTTTATGGACCAGTCAATATAGCTCTGGGGGAAAAGCATCTCTTGGATGGTCCAAGTCTAAACACATAATACAGTCAACCAGCTTGCAAAATCTGCTGGTTTACCAGGCTGTCTGGGGGAACTATACCAAATTCATGAGTTCGGCGAGTGGTCTGAGAGAGCCATCCCTGTCCTGGGGGCTGGGAGAGAGCAGAGAACAAACCTAGTCCCCTCCCTCCCCAGGAAAACAAATGGAAAGGTAAATGCACAAGTAAGTAATAGAATTTCAGAGATTCAAAGAGCAAAGCAGGCCGCTGGAGAGTGTGAGGTAAGATTGTCAGGTGGGGCCTCTGCCAAGGAGCCATCCTGGGAGGGGCACAGCCCCACAGTGAGGCCAACCAGGATGGGGGCGGCAGCCAGGGCTCTTCACGGATGGTGGGAAATAGCACTTCCAGAAAAATGGTCTTCATCTGTGCATTCACAATCTAAGAGGCAGGCTTCAAATAATTAACATAAATTCCTAGGAAATTAACAGACATGAAAAGTCACCTAGGGCATGACAGAGCTATTCATGGATCCTGCAACAGTCCCAGAAAGGATAAAAAGTTTGAAACACAGCACAATTCAAAAATATATTAACCCCTAAACTTAGGAAAGGAAACTCTCAAATCTGTTTGTTTCCCAGTTGATGGCGATGAAAGGTCATTGCTCACGTCATCATGGTTAGATCATTGGAGGAACCAGCAATAAATCACCACAGCAGCTTTTACTTTTAACACACAGACACACACACATACAACACGCCACACACACACAACAGACCGACACATCCACTCCCATCACACAGTCACACACCACACACACTCACACAAACACACCACGCACACACCACACCAAACACACATCATACCACATATGCAAACACACCACACACATACCACACACACATCACACATCACACATCAAATACACACCACACACACACACCACACACACTACACCACACACACACACCACACCAAACACATATCACACAAACACACCACACCCACACCACACCAAACACACATATCGTATCACACACAAACACACACCACACACATCACACATCACACATCAAACACACTACACCACACACACCACACACACAAACACCCCACACACAGACCAAACACACACACACATCACACACACCACACACACACAAACACACCCTACACACACACACCACACATACATACCTACACCCACACACCACACACATCACACATCAAACACACCCCACACACACACCACACACACACCAACACACACCTCTCACTCCACACACATGCACTCATACACAAACACACCTCACCAGACACACTCCTACACAAACACAACCCTCACCACACGCACTCATACACACCACACACAAACACACCACACTACACACACAAAACACACAAACATACCACACACTCACAAATACACCACATTACACACACAAACACATACCACACATACACAAATACACATTACACACCACACACTACACATACATACACACCACACACACACAAACCACACACACCATAGACATACACACATTAGACCACACACATCACACCACATACACACTCATACACACCACACAAACAGGTAAATGCTTTAATTTACATATTTATCACTCTTCATATTTTAAGATTGATTTGATAGAAATGAATGACCTCCTAACGCCTAATGCTGTAGATCAGAAATTTGTGCCCAAGAAGTAAATTGGGATATAATAGTCCCGAGTAGGAGTCTGCCTTCATTAGGAGTCACAGCACATAGCGTACTATAAAAGGACCTAAATTTTAGCAAGCTATAAAGAAATAACAGTCATTTAACTTAAGTATGCCTTGCAATTGGGGTATTGTAATGCCAAGGTTCTTAGAATGTTCTACCTTCTTTCAAAGTACAATATTAACTTTGGAAGAATTAACATCTGTCAGCTGTGTTGCCCTTGATATCATTAAGCTAATTGATGCGGAGTTCTGTGCTGCTGGGGCCCTCTTAGCTGGGATCCCCTCGGCCACACCGAGGCCACTCGGCCAAAGAGAGGGAGTGGGGTTCCCTCCTAAGGACCCAAACCCTTGCCCTTGAGGCAGAGAAAGCCAAAGAGACAGGTAACAAAGCAAGCAAGGATTGCACCTTGCTTTTATCCTTTACACCTCACATTGGATCAAGATATACTCAGAGAATAAGGCGTCTAGTGTTGGAGAAAAGGTCAATTCCTCCAGAGGAAAAAAAATTATAACAATAAATTTATACCCGTAGTACCTAATAATGCTGGCATACAGCATCACACTTTATGAAATGCCAATTTAAAAAAAGACAATAAGCTCTTTAAAAAGCTGGGAACAAAGCATGCAGAGAGCCACTGTGTCCTTCTGCCTGACTTCCTGAGTTGCAATCCCTCTGCAGCTTGGGGAGTGTGGGATTCCAACAAGCCAGCCCCACAGCCCAGAGCCACTTCTCGTTCCTGCCTGCTGGCTGCATATTTATCGAATGGGGGCTGCTGGTGCGGAGAATTGCAATTTTCCAGGTCTGTGCTAAGAGGCAGAGATTAATGAGCAAGTTCAGGCATTAGCAGTCCCAGGCAAGGGGACTTTCTGCATCTATTGTATTCCCCAAATCAAAAACACAATTCGCATTTCTTCTAGCTTTCCATTTACCAAGTTAGTGCCTTCTTTGGTACTTAAAGCTTTTTCCAAGAGCGAACAATTCTCTTTTGTCCTAAAATAGAAGTATTCTGAAACCCACAGTCTTCGATTGTTCAAATCAAGTTCTCATTAATACAAAGCCTAATTTGGTAGCCAAAAGTAAGAGTTTACTCTGAGCGCCTCTCGGTCATCTATTTCCTATTATTCTGTTTCTCGGGCTTCCATCCAGAGGCACCCTGGCTTATATAAAATGCCCATTGTGGAACTAGATAATCAAATTAGCACAAATCCATGCTTATCGATTACAAAGAATGAGAACTAATGAGATCAGATCTTCCTCCAAATTTATTAAGCGAGGAAGAGCACAAAAAAACAAGGTATAATCATCATTGAAGAAATACTAATTTTTCTGTTGAAAAGGCAAAATTCATTCCTATTTGTATGAATTGCTTAGGCTATCATGACAAAGTATCACACACGGGGTCACTTAAGCAACAGAAATTTATGTTCTCACATCCAGGAGGCTGGAGTCCAAGATTAACGTGTTGGCAGAGCAGGTTCCTCCTAAGACCTCTCTCCTGGCTTGCAGATGGCTTCCCTCTGTGTCCTCACATGAGGATCCCTTTGTGAATGTCTGTGTCCTCATCTCTTCTTCTTATAAGGACAGCAGCCAGACTGGATGAGGGCCCAGCCTGAGGACCTCATTTCAATTGAATTACCTCTATAAAGACCCTATCTCCAAATAAGATCACATTCTGAGGTTATGGAGATTAGGGCTTCAACACATGAATTTGATAGGGAGGGAGTACACAATTCAACCCAGAACCACTAGCCAAATGCCTACATTTTCAAGAAAAAAATGGAGACAATCAGAGAGGTATGATGAGAAACAGCTTGACTAAGGACAGCTTGAATTCAAGTCATGACTCTTGACTGTGGTCAGATTTGCCTTCCTGAGGTTCAAATCCTTGCCCAGGCTTGTTTTTCTCTGGAGAGCATGTGCAGGGACACAGTTTGTAAGGAGTAGAGGGCCATCCCAATGCAGAGGTGCATTGCCCAAGACGGCAGCCGGCAGCCTGGCTTGCCCAAAGCACCCTCCTTCCAGCTTCTCCCTCTACCACCAGGCTGAGAAGCTGGAGGACATCATTCCCCGATGTCTCAGGGGTGGAAGTCTGCCGCACAGGTGAGGGCTGGCCAGGCAGGTGCACTAGAAGGATAGGAGAGGCAGAAGTGCGCATCAGGGGCCAGCCAACCACAGGAAGATCCCACCTTCTGGTAAGCCCTGAGGCAGAGGTACTGGGTTTCTCTGGGGCAGCTGTGGGGACATCCCAGTGTCCTTTGCCTGGTGGCACATGCCAGGCAACATTAGGAGCAGTCAAGCATCTGCTAGAAAGATCTATCGTGTCGCTAAATATCTTCCATATGAATTGTTTCTGGCTGGACACCATCTAGGCTGAGCTCTCTGCCTCCCAGAATTTTTTTTTCTTTAATTTTTATTTTAAGCTCCAGGGTACATGTGTAGGATGTGCAGGTTTGTTACATAGGTAAACGTGTGCCATGGTGATCTGCTTCACAGATCAACCCATCGCCTAGGTATTAAGCCCAGCATCCATTAGCTATTCTTCCTGATGCTCTCCCTCCCAATAAGCCCCAGTGTGTATTGTTCTCCCCCATGCATTCATGTGTTCTCATCATTCAGCTCCCACTTATAAGTGAGAACATGTGGTGTTTCATTTTCTGTTCCTGTGTTAGTTTGCTGAGGATAACAGCTTCCAACTCCATCCACGTCCCTGCAAAGGACATGATCTCATTCCTTTTTTAGAGCTGCATAGTATTCCATGGTCTTTATCCAGTCTATTACTGATGGGCATTTAGGTTGACTTCATGTCTCTGCTATTGTGAATAGTGCTGCAATGAACATATACACGCTTGTGTCTTTGTAATAGAATGATTTATATCCCTTTGGGTATATACCCAATAATGGGATTGCTGGGTCAAATGGTATTTCTGCTTCTAGATCTTTGAGGAATTGCCACACTGTCTTCCACAATGGTTGAATAATGGTTGAGCTAAGACATACATAGGTTCAAAACAAAGGGATGGAGGAAAATTTACCAAGCCAGAAATTATTAAAGGTCTTATAATAAAAGCCCTTTCTTCCAAATCCAACAAGAGTAGATTCTGCTGTCTGCACCACCACCTCCTATAGCCATAACCAGTTAGACTGGGGCCAGGGGAGGAGAGAAATATTATATAAAGAAAAGGGGTAATCTTGTGCTTTTAGAGATCAGATTGCAAGATTTTAGTTTATTTACATAGAAAATATGTTAATATTTACTCGAGAATAACTTGAAGGAAAGTGGGTAAATGAAAATGCTTTTGGGAGTGAGAATAACATACCAAATGCCTTCTTCTCTCTGAGCACATGGAAAGAATTGAAATTCCTTCCCAGGAATCAGCAGCTAGCTGCCCCAACAGCAAACCACAGAAAAGCCACAGTTTGCCCTTCTTCACACTCTGACTAGGAAACATAGAAAAAAAATCTCTTCAGGCTGATTGGAGGGATAGAGGACAAATTAGTCATCCAACAATTCAGATAACCCCTCTGTGCAAGCTAACCAGCTTGTAAGCACCCAATAAACTCCAGGAGCAGAAAGGTGTTGTGGCTGAGTCTGTTCATTGCCTTTGTTTATCCCCTTTTTCTTAGTTCCAAAACCCCTGATCTGGGGCTGAGCACATGGTTATCCAGAAAACAGTTTCCAGCCTCCTTACTGTTGGATGTGTCCCTGCAACTAGGATTTGGTCAATATGATGTAAGTGGAAAAAAGAAATCTTACGATAAAATTAACAGACACCCCTTGCCCATTTTTTCCCTCTGTTCATATCTGTTTTCTGTTGGCTGAAATGTAGGTGCAATGGCTGGTGCTCATGCAGCCATATTCAACCATAAGTTGGAAGTCTTATGCCAAATATTGCCAAACAGTGACAGATGCTTGATGCTCCTTGAAACTACACAGACTCCCCTTGACCATCTACCTCCAGAATCCTTCTATATGACAGAGAAATAACCTTCTCTATTGTTTAAGCAGTTGTTATCTTGGGGTTTCAGCTTCTTTTAAATGAACCTCATCTTCTACACGTGTGTGATAATCAGTGTATAATTCATCAGGAAACATTTTATTTCAAGTTGATAATGGAAATTCACATGTATTTTACTGTGTATTGGATGGGCTCATTTCCTTCCCTGAACTGCACATTTTATCTTTTGCTTACGTGCATCCATTCAGTTTCTGAAATGGGTGGTCATTTCTTCATAGTATTTAATGCTTTAAAAATCCCAGAGATTTTTTTTTTTTTGCAGAAATACTTCCTTTATATTCAGTAACCTTTGGCAACATTCCCTCTGAGGCTTCCCTGCTTCATGTTATTTTTTTCTCCTTGTGGGACATTTGCTTCTCCTTCCATACCCTTCCCTTTGCAGTTGTGGAAACTGTGTAGTTTTTCAAGTGCCTGAAAACACAGGAAATTGATGTGAGCAGGTCCTGCTCCAGGGACGGTGACCTCCCTAGTCAGATTTCAGGCCACTCCCTTCATTCTGCACTAGGTCTATTTGTTTCTTCCTTTCACAGCTTTGGAATAATTGGAGTTTTCCTTTTTCTCTGATATTCCCTGGTTTTACCAGGTATCGACTGACTCTCCTGAGGGTGCTCACCACCTTCTAGGACTCACATGTGCCCCAGCTTCTAAAATTTCAAATACCAGATTTAAAGCATTAAACTCTAAAAATTTCACCACCATAGAGAATTTCATACAGTTCCCCAGTTTTTAAATAGAAAAAAAGTCAAATGCAATCATAATTACAGGACATTTTTAAGTAGTCTCAAAGGAACATCAATTAGCCTAATTAATATAAGAACCTCACTTGAACCCACTGAGTTTCTTCTAATTCTCCTTGCCCCATAATTCTACAAAGAATTTTACTTTCTTCTTTTTTTTTTCTTTTTTTTTTTTTTGAGACAGCTCTGTCACCCAGGCTGGAGTGCAGTGGCATGATCTCGGCTCACTGCAACCTCTGCCTCCTGGGTTCAAGAGATTCTCCTGCCTCAGCCTCCTGAGTAGCTGAGATTATAGGCACACGCCACCACACCCAGCTAATTTTGTGTGTGTATGTTTTTAGTAGAGATGGTGTTCCACCATGTTGGCCAGGCTGATCTCGAACTCCTGACCTCAGGTGATCCACTTGCTCCCAAAGTGCTGGGATTACAGACATGAGCCACCACGCCTGGCCAAAGATTTTGACTTTAAGAAGGAAAGGTAGAAGCCAAGGCAAATGGAGTGTGTTCCAGGGTTTTGTGAAGAAGGAAGACAAAGGCTGGTAAGAGCCCCCAAGAGCTTCATGAACAATGGGGAAAGCAAAGAGCAGCTTGGGTTGAAAAATCATCACATGTACATCAGAAAGGGACTAAAGCTGCTTTCAAAAGTGGGTACTCTGGGCCTTTTCTCCTTACAAATACTCTTTATTCTCTTTGGTGCTGTCTGATTTAAATGCCTTTCTCCCACAGTGTGTGTGTGCATCTGGCATCCTTCATGACACACGTTTCTGCGTCCTTCTTGGCCCTGGCTGTCAACTCAGCTGCTGGGCCATGCTATCTCATGGGGCACTTCCCGCCCTGGCTCTTCACCCTGAGCTTCTAATCCCTGCAGACAGGTGTTTCTCTTTGCGTATTTCCAGGGATTACAAGCCTTCTTAAATGCACAAGACTATTCGGTAGACGGGTCTGTTTTGTATGGAATTTCACGTGGGGTACAACTCTCTGGCAACTCCAAAGGGGGTCTGTGAAGCAAAGCCAGGGTCAAGTCCCTCCCAGGTCCAACCACGCAGCTGAGCTGATAGACGCCCATCACTGCTCAAAATCTCAAGCCTGAGGCTACCACCAACCTGGAATCTCCATTCAGTCATGGGTCCTGTGTTTCGTTTCATGCTCTACACTTTTCACGCATGGCAAGAAAATGGCAGAGCAGAAATAGACGCTACCGTATACGACTCTGAAGTCCCATATTTTCAAATACCCTTCAAACATGCTGAACATGACTGGGCATCCCACATCAGAATGTTGTCATAAGGACAGAGAGGGCTGTTGCCCAGAGGTGTGTGCCTGGATTTGTAAGTGAGTATTTTATGTCTAAACAAAGATGGGTGCTGATTTCTAGGGACGGCCAGCCCTGTGACAGTTAAACTTCACAATCTCTGCTTTCCTAATCCACAGCCACAGCCCCTCACGTCCCTTCTCTTTGTAGGTTTGGAGCAAAGACATAGCACTTCTATTTGCTTTTTTTAAAATGACACTATCTTAAGAGCTCATGGCCAGGCACTTGCTGATTTCTTGGAAATACCTTTTTAAAGATGGGTCATTTTAAGCTCTGTACCTTTTTCTACTTATCAGGAAGATGAGTTCTTATATTTATAAAAAGATACTAAAATTAAATACCCCAGAAGTAAAGTTATGTGGCATTCTAGACTAAGTAGCTGAACTACATATAGTAACCTGGACTCAAAAAGATTAACTAAGAGTAGAGTTTTGGTGTTAGTTTTAAGCAACAAGTAATAATGTCCTCACTTTGGGAGGCCTAGGCGAGAGGATCCCTTGAGGCCAGGAGTTTGAGACCAGCCTGCGCAACATAGTTAGACCTCATCTCTTCAAAAAATAAGTTATCTGGTTATAGTGGCCCGCACCTGTAGTCCCAGCTACTCTGGAGGCTGAAACAGGAGGATTGCTTGAGCTGGGAGTTCAAGGTTAGAGTGAGCTAAGATCTCACTACTGCACTCCAGCCTGGGAGACAGAGCAAGACCTTGTCTCTAAAAAATAAAAATAAAAATAGATTAAATTAAAATAATAACGTTCTGACACCGAATCACCCCGGAAAATGGCATTGGGAAGTTCTTCCCAGGGTTGTGAAAAGTTCTGAAGCTCCAGACTTTTTTTATATTGGTTCAGGTAGATGAACACCTAGGCAGAATTCAGATGGGGCCTGGTTAAATGTGACCATTTAACCAGGGCCTGTTTTATGTGGCACCTTGGCAGGAAAGCAAGGCTCCTGCCCTTTGTGGGTGCCATCGGAGCATCCCCATCCAAAAAGCTTTTACAAACCAAAAATAAAGTGGATTACTTTTATTCTTTTCAAGAAATTTCAAAGACAGAAAGAAATTTTCTGGGATCAGGGCAACAGGATCAAAAATTAATCAGTTTGGAAATACTTTAAAAAAAAAAAAAAACCTTTCAAAAGACCAACAATGAAATATCATCCCTTGACACATTCTAATTATCAGCAGAGGTAGTAGAAGCATTTCTGTCTAAACCAAAAATTTAAGCAGGGATAAAATACCCATTTGGAGCTGCCATGGCTCAAGGGAGCATTAACAGAGGCTGATGTCAAGAAACTGATGTCAAGAAACAAATTTAGATAGAATGTTAGAAAAAAAAATGTCTAACATCAGTCTATTAGAGATTGCAAACATCTCCCAGGAGCAGTAGCATCTGACCTTTTGCTAAAGTCATTTTAAGCTGAACTGAGGAAATACACAACAGGGAGTCATATTTCACCAGCTGTGAATGGCCGGGGTGACCTAATAGGCCGTTTCTAGCCCAGATAGGTAATTGGCAACGTTTTATAGTTTTGTTCAACTGTCAGATGTGTGAATAGAATAAGAATGAATATCTCATCTGCAGGTAGCTCATCTTGTCTTCTAAAACCCTATCTCCTTCTTCCACAAACAAGTCTGGATTATAATTTCAAAACTACGGTTCAACTCTTCCACACACAGCCATCATTTAAGGTGACAATAGGCTGGATTTATAGAAAAGACAAGTGAGGCTTTTTCAAGAAACAGCTATAACTCAGTATCCCATTGCCATGGGGCTGGGGAGCACCTATCCCGGCAACCTCTGGCTGAGGTTTCCCCTAGTGCTTGGTTGGTACCAGGTCACGTTGACGAGGCCCACAGGTGAAAAGGTTATAAAGTTTCTAAAGAATGTTGGCTACCTTCTGCCTGAAAGATCGCAGTCACACTTTAATTTCATGTATGCCAATTGCCACCAGAGGGAGGCACCCACTTCTTTTGTGTTTCTGTCGAGTGGACCACTGTTGTCTACACCTGTGCTCACCTCGAGGCCAGTCACTGGGGTGCCAGCCTCCTTTCTAAACTGGACATATGCTACAGAAAGATCCAGGAAAATAAACCCTGTTTCCCTGTTTTACTGTCAGATAGTTGGAAATGCAGTTTTTCTAGAGGAAATGTTAAATTTTCCCATTTTCACCCATTTTGTTGAAATAGTTGTTATTTCAACAAAAATAACTACTTGTTATCCTGTGTTCACAGCCGGTGACAATCCCATTCAGATCCCATCCATTGCCCTTACTTTCCCCTCCACTGCCTCCACCAAGAAAATACATCGTATTTCTCCTGTGGACTCATGTGCGATATCCCCTTGATGCTTACAGAAAATAAAATCAAAAGGAGTCAAATGTCCTACACTGTCCCAGGAAAGAGACAGCCACAGAATCATAAAGAGTCAGAATTCGACAAGCGCCCAAAGACAATGTCGTCGTACAATGCTGCAACCCAAAGAGATAAAATGATTCACTGCAGGTGAACCAGGAACAAATGAGTAAAGCATAGAATGGCAGGGACAGAACAAATGGGAATTCACCCAAGCCCCACCCTTCATGAGCAAACCAAGAGTCGGATGAGGTTTATTGGCAGGCCTTCAGGCCAAGCAGCTCAGGGGCCCTGCAACCGGGGAAATGGCTAAAGGGCGAGGAAGACCCTAAAAACAGTCAGCAAAAATGCCCAGCTCCTGCTGGCATGGAGGCAGCCTGGCATCAGCTAATCCATGGAAAACCCCAGCCAAAATCGGATGCTAAACATTGCTCTATCTTATTCTGAAAGTTCTATGAAACAATTACTGAGCTCAGAGTTACCTGGGAGGAACCTTCAAAGCACTTTCCCCAACCAGCAAATGCATTATAATCTACAACCCAGCATCTGCATGGACCATTTCTCATGGCCTGGCCCATTTTCAAAGCTCACTATAAAAACACTTTTTTTTTTAATGGACTGGTGGGAAATTGGATTTTGGTGAGTGCACATCCATCCAAACTGCCAAAAGCTTTATGTTTGTGTGGAAAGAGCGAAACTTGAAGTGTAAGAAAGGTTGGGTGAGAGGAGGATCATGGTCCCACGATGATTAGCCCCGTTTGCGATGACTGCTGTGGGAAGCGAGGTCTGCCCTCCTACACAGGCCAGGTCTGTTGCACTTGGATTTGGTGAACTGGTAGCAACTGGAGTCTGAAGTGAGACTTGCTTCACTCACATCAGTGCCCGGCCACTAAAGTGTCTCTCTGACATCCGAGGAGACTTTGCTGTCTAAATGAACGCCAGAGCATGATTCGATTTCCAATTGTTTTCAGGGTCTGGGATGGTAGAATAGTAGAGAGAGAAGAACACACCTTAGAAATATTGAAGAAGGCTTGGGAGGCCGAGGCGGGCAGATCGCCTGAGATCGGGAGTTTGAGACCAGCCTGAACAACATGGAGAAACCCCATCTCTACTAAAAATACAAAAATTAGCCAGACGTGGTGGCGGGCGCCTGTAATCCCAGCTACTCGGGTGGCTGAGGCAGGAGAATCGCTTGAACCCGGGAGGCAGAGGTTGCGGTGAGCCAAGGTCACGCCATTGCACTCCAGCCTGGGCAACAAAAGCGAAACTCCATGTCAAAAAAAAAAAAGAAAAGAAAAGAAAGGAAGGAAGAAATTTTGAAGAAGCTGCTTGCCAAGCACAAAAACAGCAGCAAGCATCCCCTTCACATAATCATAAGTTCCTGAAGGGAGAGTTTTCATAAACGTTGTGATGGAGGCCACGTCGCTGACTTCCCAGTTCCTCCTCCCGGCACACCCAGCCATATCTTGGTCTATCCAATCAATACGTATTTCCACTGATCACAGTTCTACACCATTCCACATCCCAAGAGGAAAAAAGGAAATGGCAACTGGAACAGAAAAACCATGACCAGAATGCAAGGAGATCCCAGCAGGTGAATAAGAAGCATCTGCTCCTTAGTGAATAGGAGAAGGGGGTAACTTTCAAAGGAAATACAATTTTAAAATTAAACCTAGTGATATGCAAATAATTTGGCTTCTTGCTCATGATGAGACTGAAGGAAATAACATGTCAGAAAAACAGAGCAGCGACACGGAACAACAGTCTGTAAGAAAACGGTGTGCTCAGCCTGAGCAGATACAGGATCTGCCCGAGGAAAAAGCGATAGTAAAAGAACAGATCAATATGCCATAATAGCCATGAGAAATTGTCATTATAATAACTGTAATATCTACTCCTTCGAATTAATGCTGGAAATAGTGAAGTCTATAAATGGCTGCATTTTAAATTCAATGATCTCACAGTACTTGTTATTCTTCTTCCTTCTTGAACGTTCAGAATGTACTTGACATTAAAGGGGCCCTGATTTCATTTCTTCACCATGGTGCAGAAAAGAGCAATTCCCCTGGTTGTGTCGGGGGAGGAGAGAGAAGAACTTAAAAGGAAATACGTGCAATTTAAATAAGGAGATGGTCATTTCTCATATTTTTAAGCAGCTGATCCTGCAGTCACAAATTTGAAGTTTAATTCAAGGTTATGAAGCCAAGATATCCAAGAGGGACCTGAATGAAAGCAGATTGGCTCCTTGGCGCCTCTCCACAGGGGTGGAGGCAAAGCTTAGCCTCTCCTCTGAGACCTCAGTCCTGCCTCCCAACCCAGGCCAACACCTACAGCCCCAGGCACAGTAGCAGCTACTCCAGCCTCCCAGAGAGCACCTGGAGCCGCGGGCACTCCCACCCTCCTCCCCACCTTTCCTTTGGGCCGAGGCAGCTGGGGAGTCATCCAGAGACTCTGCTCAGTGGGAGCAGAGCCTGGGGCGCCACTGAGCCCTTGAGAAAGCAGCTTTCTGGAAGCCCACAGTCTGTGGGTGTGTGGCTGGAAGCTACTCTCCTCCTCCCTCCTGGTCTGACAAACCCCAGCTTACAGGGGAGAACCGTGCCTGCCCAGTCCCTTCCCCATTTCCCAGTTGGCCTGCCATCTAGCGGGGCCTTCCGTTCAGACTGGGTGGAGGTGTGAACAGCTCTGTATCCACCCTCACCCACCTTCCAGCCAGCTTCCTCTTGTGTCTCCTCTTTGGCCACCTCCTTGTCCCCTTAAT
Organism: Homo sapiens; assembly: GCF_000001405.40. Lineage (NCBI taxonomy): Eukaryota > Metazoa > Chordata > Mammalia > Primates > Hominidae > Homo > Homo sapiens. Next base: position 39,908,330 of record NC_000021.9, on the reverse strand, counting down.
GACACCTGAGGAGGGATGAGGGGCTTACACCGACTGTGGGGAACACACATTAACCTTCACAGGGACAGCCTCATCGCTCCAGGAATGTCAAATATGTCATCCTTAAAAAAGAGATCTGACAGTTTTCTTTCCTTTAGAAATACTAAGCCAGCCAATTACACTACACAGTTAACATGAAAGCATGGTTTCAATAAACCACTTTTCTTGCTTTTTTTTTCTGAAGCCAATCCAGAATTTGTATACAAAAATCATTCCCACTTTGTCTTTGGGAAGCAGCAATCACTTATCGTATAATAAGCTACATTTTTTAATTAGTGGGGACAAACAGGGGAACAGGGTGACCTGGCCCAAAGGCCAGGGAGGGAAGTACATTGGCAACAACTGGAAAAAGGCACTTGGTACAATGGAACCCTGCATTTCTTGCTTCTCAGATTCACTCTCCTCTCTTCTCCTGCTCCACCTAATCATTGCTCTGTAGTTTTGGCTGGGAAAGTCCAACGGGTAGAAGTGATTAGAAGGCACTTTTTTTTTTTTGAGACAGAGTCTCACTCTGTTGCCCAGGCTGGAGTGCAGTGGCACGATGTCTGCTCACCTCAATCTCCGCCTCCTGGGTTCAAGTGATTGTCATGCCTCAGCCTCCCAAGTAACTGGGATTACAGGTGCCCGCCACCACGCCCAGATAATTTTTGTATTTTTTGGTAGAGATGGAGTTTCACCATGTTGGCCAGGCTGGCCTCAAACTCCTGACTTCAGGTGATCCACCCACCTCGGCCTCCCAAAGTGCTGGGAGCCACCACGCAGGGACTTTATTTCTTAATTCTAGCAACCTACTAGTCTCTGCAAAGTTGCCACAGCTTAGCTGTACCTTTCAACAGGCCAAAGCCCCTGTCTGTCCGCTCCTCCAGATAGGCCTCCCTGGGATTCTGGTTTCTCCTTTTCTGGGTCTGCATCTCCCCCGAGCTATGTTCTAGATTGGCTGCTAGAGAGCTTTCTTGGGTGACCCTGGGGACTTCTGCCCGGGGTCCGAAGCATGTTCTGTGGTTGCTCTAAGGGTATCCTGGAGACACGCCCAGGGCTGCAAGGCTGACTCTTCCCTGCCTCATGTGGAGGGGAGAACACATCTAGCTTGAGAGGGAGATCTACTCTTTGAGGACAATTCAGCCCACTCTGCCCACTGACAGCATTATTTTCCAAGGAGAAATATTAGCATTTTTCCGTGCTTTTGTAATCCCAGATGTACCTAATATGAAACCTACAAATTTAAACCATCTTATCATTTGGCCCAGCCTGAGATCTAGGTGGGGTTTTGCTTCTGAAAAACTGCCTGCTGTGCACATTAATTCTATAAATAAGATTATGAGTGTTTCACCTACTTAAAAGAGCAAAAGTGTTTTCAAGCGCGTGAGAAATACTATTTCCATAAAAGTAATTGACAAGCAGAACCTGAAACATTTGAAACCTGGAATATCTCCTGCTTGGGGCAGGTTTCCAAAGGCTAGAGGGATGCACATTTTCCTGGTTCAAGCTGCTTCATGGCCAAGATCTTGAAGATCTTTAAGAGTAATTCATTGAGAATAATGTATAACTTTACTTTTTCACCAAGGTGTATAAGCTTTCTCTGTATGATGTGGAATGAAATTCTATTTCAGCTGATCTAAAGCTGTCCACTGCTCAATCTCAAAAAGAAAGAAGGAAGAAAAGGATGAAAGGTAGGAAGAAAAGACGGAGGGAGGGAAGGAAGGGAAGGAAAGGGGGAAGGAAGGGGAAGAAGGAGGAGCGGAAGGAAGGAAGGAGGGAGAAAGAGAAAGGGTGAGGAAGAGGGCAGGTGAAATATGAAGAGGCTATAAATGAACATGTTGCTTTGATGTTTTAATTTTGAAAACTATCATGGCTGTCCCTATTATTAGTCTGAGATCACCCCTATTTGCCAGAGGCTAGTTAACTAAACTGATGGGATAATGGTACTATGGATACAATAGTTTCTGGTTTGGCTAAGATGTAGCCCATTAACTTTATTCTGTTCCAGGGGCTTAGACCACAGCCCATCCAAGTTGCCCATTTACAAACAAGACCCTGGTCAAGAGGGAAGTCAGGAGAAAGTGTAAATAGAGACAACCTGGTGTGTTTGGACTGTGGGTCAGATGACCAAAACTTTCCTCCTCTTATTTATGTGACCTTAGGACAATCCTGAGTTCACCAGCAACTTTGCCTGAGATCCTCTCCCAACCCACCTGCAAGGCCATGGTAACATCAAAGGGAAGACAGCATGGGGGAGCATTTTGAGACGGAGTCTCGCTCTGTCACCCAGGTTGGAGTGCAGTGGCATGGTCTCGGCTCACTGCAAGCTCTGCCTCCTGGGTTCACGCCATTCTCCTGCCTCAGCCTCCTGAGTATCTGGGACTACAGGCAGCCACCACCACACCCCCGGCTAATTTTTTGTATTTTTAGTAGAGACAGGGTTTCACCGTGTTAGCCAGGATGGTCTCGATCTCCTGACCTCGTGATCCACCCGCCTCAGCCTCCCAAAGTGCTGGGATTACAGACATGATCCACCGTGCCCGGCCACATTTTTTTAAACTATGCAAGCCTATAGATGTAAAGAATTGCAGCTAGAGATGGGTAGGAATCTCCGCTTCTGTCCACAAGGCTTCAAGCACTTTCACACCCAAGACTGATCAGAAGCACCATACTTATCCGAGGTGTTCCTTGCTCAATGAAGTTATTATAATGCTCACTCTGAAGGGCAAAACAAACAAAAAGTCACTCTTCTAACTGAGATGGATGTTAATAAATTCCCTCAGCACTAATCCCTAAAGTAACCTTCAGGCAGAATCAGCTCACTTGTTGAGCAATATCACCCATTGACTGGGTTTGTCTGGAGACTGCGATGGCTTTAAATGCCCGGCTTAATAAGCAATTCCAATGTCATTTTTTCCCCATCTGGATCAATATCAGAAGCAGCTTTGTGTGTCCATTTCTTCCTTCCAGAATAGAAACTCTTTAGAGTGTTTGGAGCCGAAAGCACAAAGGACCCCATCTCTTGAGCATCAGTCACTTTTGTTTTGATTTTTTTTTTTCTGATTTCTTCAAATATGGAAAAGGAAGGAGATAAAGGGCCAAGAACCTCCAGATGGAGACCGGAGCTGTTTGAGTTTTTACCTTGAAGGCGCCACCACCCATGTGCCTCTGGTATTCACAGCAGCACTTGCTATCTCTCACTATGGTGGATTCTGACCTTTAGGCAGCTCAGGGTTTCATTGCCCTAGCGGGAAACAGATTGAGAGCTTTCTAGCCTGGGATATGTTGCACACCTTAGACATTAATGACTTTAGGTAGGTGCTTTTTTCACAGCCAGTGCTGTCTGTGAAAGTTATAACCTTTCTGACATTTCTGACACACGTTGCAGCTGGATACTCAAAGTTGTCTCTGTTCCTTTTCAAAGAGGCTCATCTTGGCTTGTTAAGTTTCCATGTGGACTATTGAGATTTGTGCAGAATTGGCATATTAGACCCTCAGTGTGGACTCAAGCTTCACCTCCCCCTGGATTCCAGACACCTGCACCCTCTGGCCTACAGGAACAGCAAAACTCTGAATCGCAGGCTGCTCTGTCTTCCGTGTACCATGATCCATCCTCAAACTCTGATATGACCACAATCCACATCTGAAGCAGAGCAGAGCTGAGTCACTGCTGCAGGCAGGGGCAGGTGTATTCCCTCTGTAGCCTTTCTAGAATGCATTTCTTCCTCTTGCCTTCCATCCAGCCACCCTGTGCCCAGGAGCAAGATCAGCCAGGCAGCATCCTCTGCCAAAACTGACCTCCTCTCTCGGGCATGATAGTGATCACTCAATCATCCTTGGTTCCTGGACTCAACATCAGTTTCTTCTTACTCCAAGCTGATGCCCAGCCTTGCACACGAAGCCTTACTCCACACAATTCCACATACCAAGGAGAGTTGACAGATAAAATATATCCTAAGCAAAATCTGCCTAAGTCAGCACGTAGGTCTTGAAAGATAATCTTGCACCAAGAACACAGACACAAGTGGGAGGGGGATGAATGTCTACTGGGAGATATGGAGCCACAAAGGGCCAGGGGTAGGGGGTAGTGAAATTTCTTTGGAAATAAATTTTTGAATTATATTTTTCTATTTGAAAAATCACAGTCCATTTAATGGTAGCATGTACATCTGTCTGCCTATAAATGCAAGTCCTTCTTGGGACCTCTCTCTCTACCTACTTAAGAGCAGAAAAATAAGAAAGTGACTCTGTGTGTGTACATGTGTGTGTGTTTCCTCAAAATCCAAAGGTGAGATAAACTTAAACTTTTATGGTTTGGGATTGATTTAAAACAGGGAGAGGAAAGTACCCAGTACATTAACATTTCATCTTATTTATTCTTGGCAATCATATAATCATATCAAATCAAACTAAGTCTTTTTTTTTTTTTTTTTTTTGTTTTTTTTGAGACGGAGTCCCACTCTTTAGCCCAGGCCGGATTGCAGTGGCACAATCTCGGCTCACTGCAAGCTCCGCCTCCCAGGTTCACGCCATTCTCCTGCCTCAGCCTCCCGAGTAGCTGGGACTACAGGCGCCCGCCACCGCGCCCGGATAATTTTTTGTATTTTTAGTAGAGACGGGGTTTCACCGTGTTAGCCAGGATGGTCTCGATCTCCTGACCTCGTGATCCGCCCGCCTCGGCCTCCCAAAGTGCTGGGATTACAGGCGTGAGCCACCGCGCCCAGCCCAAATCAAACTAAGTCTTAAGTACTCCTAGAATATCCCCACACCTACTGAAACTTCTCAGGCCATAGTCTCTCTCCCAAGGAAGGGGCACAGGTATTCAAGCATGGAGCCCGAGCTTGTGCAAGGCTACTCACACTCAAAGAAACACAACGACAGTGAGTCCCACAGGTAGTTCAAAATAATACCTTTCCTCTGTAGCATTTACCTACAGCCTGGATGTGAGGGGATTCTTTTCTTAAAATCAGGTGTGTTCATACACCTTCCACCCGCAGAAACAGAGCCTTGTAGAAACAAATGCATCACAGCTCGCTAAGTCAAGAGAAATCCATTCCAGTTTTAGAAATTCAATTTAGCTTGGGTAAGCCTCCAAGCTCTGAAAGTAAGCCCCATCACGAGGTTTATTATTCATAAATCTCTTTTTCAGGTTGGAAGGCTCCCAGCAGCCACTCTGCTTCCAGTATTTTTCTGCTTTTGTGTGTCAATAAAAAAATTTAACTCTTGGAGTCTCTCCGGACAACCAGTATCAAGGTATGGATCAAGAAATCCAGCAATGTAGTTTCCCCCAAAAATCTTTCGGTTGTGTTCAAATTACTAATTTGTGGTGAATAATCTAGATTCAGATGGTTGTGTCTATATTTGTAAACATGTTTGAATTTAATTTAGCCATTTAAATGAGACAGAAAGATTTATAATGGAAGCTATGAGCTATTGTTTCTTTCAAGTAGAAAGTTATTTCCAGAAACAAATGAAATCTGTGGCTTAACTAATCAAATGATGAAGGTGCTTTGCTCATAGAGGAATGAAAAATCTCTGAACCTCCAAGCCCTGAAACGTTTATTTTCTACATTAAAAAAAATTATAACCCTAATATTTCTGAAAAACCTGTCTTCCTACAGCAGATGATACCACAAAATCTAGTTCTAGTAGAAACATCGGGTTTGAGTGTGTGTACTGAGGTTAACATCCTGGGAAAATGAGAAGGATTTTGAAACATTCTGGAGAGTATGCAGTAGGTCATATTTCACATCAATAAATACCATGTTGACAACAATAACAAAAATAAATATTGAATGTATGAGAAATTTCATTCCCAGAAAATGGTGCTCTCAAGATAATATTCAATGTAATGAAATGGCAGCAAAGCCCAGGAATCTAAATACCTTCTGAAGTTTTAATGTACCTGACTTGGGTCTTTTGTGATCCAAATAATTTCAAGGCACCTGTAGTTCACTCCCACAGTCTTTATTGCTTTATACATTAAATGGAGACCTCAACTAAATTTACAATATTTGGATTACAAACACCCTGACTTGTACAGACAATTAATACAATTGAGAATGTTCCTTTTATTATGAAGTGTTACTATCCAAATTTCATAACATTTTGATGGTTTTTTTAATACTTCATATTTCAATACTCAAGGGTCCTTGCTCCTTCAAGACATGTAGACAGCTTCATTTGATATTAATAGGAAATATACATTAACATAATAGATCTCCCTAGATACCTATAATGACAGAATAAAATCATTTGAATTTCAATGGAATGTAATACTAGGTTAAAATGGAAATTCCAAGATGATCGTCTCATATCAGGAATTTAAGAATAAAAAATTAAGTAACTTCAATTCTTTAGGAAAATGTTTTTTAGATTACTTCTAGAAGTTTTTACCCTCATCTTTCTTGGGCTGTTCCAGTTTTTGTCTTTGCTCCTTTTTAAAGGCAAAAGCACAGACTTTAAATTATAATAAAGTATCACGTACAAATATCATATATAGGCAGTTTTAGCTGAAATTAAAGTATAGCATGTTAATAATAATTTACATTTATACATTGCCATTATCCAGTAACTGTAAAATAATCTCAAATTCACTTTTCTACCCAAAAGTGACTATCATTTAATATCTAGAATTATCTAATGAAAAGCCTTATTCATAGCATCAGGAATATTTCCATTTAATTAATTTTTATACCTCCATAAAAAACCTCACTCAGTTTCCACTGGTGTGGACTGGTTTTCAGCTAAAAGAAATTCCATGTCTTTGAATGGCAGAAAATGGCATCACTTATAGTAGCCGGTAATTCCCTTTGGTGCAAAGCACTGAGCATGTCAGCATGGTTTGAAAGACCAATAGGATGTCAAGATAAAGCCAAGGGGCAGAGACATCGAACACATAGGACCTAGTCCTGGCTTCGTCACCATGTGCCTGGTCTTCAGGCTCCTCAAGGCATGACATGAGACATGCTGAGCAGTAGTTCCCAAAGTGTGAACCAGGTACCCTGGGGGGTGCCTACATCCTTTAAGGGAGCCCAAAAGATCAAAAACATTTTTGGTCTTATAAAAGATATTATTATTATAAAAGGTAAGAGTTTGATCTTAAAGGATATTATTTGCTCTTTTAAATCTCATACTCTCACAAGTGAGCAGTGGAATTTTCCATAGGCTACACATCACATGATATAACAGATTGAACACAGAAGCCAGTATGAAAATCCAGCTGTCCTCTGTCAAACCAGACTTTAAAGAGAGTTGCAGAAATGTAAAATTGCCACTTTTTACTAAATATCCTTTTCCATTTTGGAAAATATAATGACTTTTCATTTTTTAAAATGTTACTTACATTCACATGTAGTGGGTTTATTATTTTATTTTTAATAAATTAATAAGAAAAACCATTTAAAACTTTCTCCATTTTAATTTCTAATATAGGAGACAGTGTATGGCAGATACACCTGATATCAATAGCGTAACTTAAGCATACCCTGAGAATGACCCTATGGTCTAAGAAGAATGTGTGCTTGGAGTCGAGTTCCGAGCTAAGGAATCTGGGAGTGGCCAGTATAGAGATTCATTCTTATCTATGAGGAACATCTGAATTCCCAGCCCATCCCATGGGATGCAGGCCATACAGGGGATTGGGGACATTTGTTTTGGAATGAATGTAGATTGCCAAGTAGAAGTTGCTAGAGGGAGGGTGCTAAGTGAAAACGCTGTGTAAACTGCATGCTTGTTACAGGCAGCTGTGGTTCTTTTATCCAGCCCACCGCCACTGGACTGCCCTATAGGTAACTCCCCTCAATAAATCCTATGTCTTGTTCACTGGCTCCAGGTCTTTTCTTCAGTACCATCTCTATAAGAGTCAGTAGGGTTCCAGCATGACAAACATCAATAGATATCACCAACATAAACAAAAGTTCTTTGGGGTCCTCAAGAATTCTTTAAAATGGAAAGGAGTTGTGAGAACAAAAATGTTGGCTGGGTGCAGTGGCTCACACCTGTAATCCCACCACTTTGGGGGGCCGAGGCGGGTGGATCAGCTGAGTTCAGGAGTTCGAGACCAGCCTGGCCAACATGGTGAAATCCTGTCTCTACTAAAAATACAAAAATTAGCCAGGCGTGGTGGTGGGTGCCTGTAATCCCAGCTACTCAAGAGGCTGAGGCAGGAGAATCACTTGAACCCTGGAGGCAGACGTTGCAGTGAGCCGAGATTGTCCCATTGCACTCCAGCCTGGGCAACAAGAGTGAAACTCTGTCTCAAAAAAAAGTTGAGAATCACGACAATAGAGGATCTCTGAGAAGTCTTCTGACTGTAAAACTCTAATTCTAAGGTTGTGAGGTTCAGTGGAAAGGAACTTGCATGAACAGATGGCTACGAATGTATGAACTGGGAAAATCAGTGGAGGCTCACAGCGCCCTATGCTCCCCTATGGCAGGCAGTGGGTCCTTCCTCATATAGGCAACTACAATATTGCTCCTCCCTTTTAAGCCCCATCCTTTGCTCCTTCCTCTGCTTCCTGCCTTCCTTGCCAGTACCCCACACACCCACCCCAACTCACACACAGGAGACAGGAAAAGCCCTGGGCAGCAAAGGAAGAGCCATTGGCCTCATGGAAAACCTTGTTTCCTTCTTCTCCCAGCCCCCTAGCTCCAATTAGGACATTGTGGAGCCCCCACCTCTCTACTTATTGATATGATGACCCCTTTACCCAGGGAACACTGCACTCACCCTGCCCAATAGGACTGCCCTAAATGGGTGGGCATATTGGCAGGCTGCAGACGCAGAGCAACATTCTCATACTTGAGTCTTGCTCAGCTCAGACCCACCACAGAGGCTCCAAAGGGGTTGTGAGGCCCCAGGGAATTTTAACCGATGGTATTTGAGATTGGCATTATCCACAATCTGATTGATGGACACTAGCATCAATTTCATCTAGTTGGAAGCAAGAGTCATTTTCCATAAAAGGAGAGTTCATCTTGAGTTAACAGAAAGGAAGAACACCCAGAGTCTCACCTCACCGGAACTATGCTGTGGCCCTTGGTGCATACCACTGGGTATTTTTTATTATTATGCTTGTTCTTATGTCAATTGCTAAAGTTAGAGACCTGGGGTTCCAACTGGCTCTATTTCCTTCAGGATCCATGCACTTCCCATTTCTAGCTAAATCTCACCCCAATGCCAAGCCTCCATTTCCTGATCCATAAAAATATGATGATCATTCCTACAATTTAGGGTCATGGTTGAGATGGGCCCATGAAGAGGCAGGATGCAATGTTCCTGTCACTGCTATCATTTTTATTTGCTGGTGAATCGCTGCAGTGACATTCACTGACTCAGCACCTTCCAGTGGACCAGCACCGCATTGTGTGTGCTCCGGAGGGCTGAAGCAAGTTTTAAAACATCATTTCAGAAGTTGTGTACTTCACAGTTTTCAAATCACTTATCTCGTTTGATCTCATTTTATCCTCACAACAACTTGGATGATTCTCACCCACCCTAATGAAGAAAGCAGAGAACTAGATTTGCATTGTAATTACCATGTTGCCCAAAATGGGAGTCCTCCTATGGAAGGGAAACTTCTTATCACGGCATTTAGCTAGCTCAGTTTTCTTCATAAAACCAGACCTCAGTGCTCACTGTGAATTGCTAAAATCCTCTGTAAGCTGAAGCGCAGACACATATAGTAAGCTGTTTGGGATGGGATGTATGATCCGCACCTGCTGCATACCCAGGGCTGCAGATGGCAAAAGAGAAAGAACTTGGACTATTCATGTCCTCTTACCATTTTCACCAGATGTCTTGTCTTTTCCATTGGTTGCCCCAGCACCTTGTCGCTAAAGGCAAAAAATAAAAGAAAAAAGCAATTGTTATCAGATATACTCGGGATTACTTTTGTCTCTTTTATTGTTGCAAACATCTCTTGCATTATATCAAGTTCTATGTTACTTTAGCTCAGATGGCTAAAGCACTGTGCTAGTGAGAGTAGGAATGGATCCACCAAGAAAGGATGTACTGAAGCTGCACAGACCGGCCCCCTCATCCACATCCACTGCTCTAGGAATGCAGGTCACCAGTAACAAGAGAAACCAGGAGGGAGATCAAGCACAACTTCAATGAAAATATGAAGGCAACAGCCAAGGTTCTGTATCAGCTACAAGATCAGCATTGTTAATGCGTCATTTTGTTAATGACAGTCATTAGGCTGCTGTATTTTCGTTCCAGTCACCATGTCCAATGTCTTCTTTTTTTTTTTTTTTTTTTTTTGAGACTGAGTCTGGCTCTGTCATCCAGGCTGGAGTGCAGCGGCGCAATCTTGGCTCGCTGCAACCTCCGCCTCCCAGGTTCACACCATTCTCCTGCTTCAGCCTCCCAGGTGGCTGGGACTACAGGCGCCCACGACCACGTACGGCTAATTTTTTGTATTTTTAGTAGAGACAGAGTTTTGCCGTGTTAGTCAGGATGGTCTCGATCTCCTGACCTCATAATCCATCCACCTCAGCCTCCCAAAGTGCTGGGATTACAGGCGTGAGCCACCGCGCCCGGCCCAATGTCTTCTTTTTAAATAAATTTTAATCAACTAAGAAACTCTTATGTTTCCTCCTACTTATAAACTATTTTTTCTGCCATTGTTTATACTTGTCCTTTGCATTTTCATTTTACCAGGTTAACTAGAAGTATGAAGTCTTTTAAGGTTAGACTTAACACTTTGGGCAAGATTCTCTGGGTGTGAAGTCTGGGGAGCCGCGTGAAATGCACCACACATGTAAACAGAAAGGGTGTTTCCTCAAAGCTTAACGTGGTTCTAGTTATGGAGAGAGAAGCATTTTGTCAATCCCATTTTTTGGTTGTTATCAAAAAGTATGCTTTGAGTTGAAAAGGATTGAAAAGCTTATAAAGTCTCTAACTTTTTTTTTTTTTTTTTTTGAGACAGAGTCTCACTCTGTCCCAGGCTGGAGTGCAGTGGCAGGATCTTGGCTCACTGCAACCTCCGCCTCCCAGGTTCAAGCTATTCTCCTACCTCAGCCTACAGAGTAGCTGGGATTACAGGCACATGCCACCACCCCCGGCTAATTTTTGTATTTTTAGTAGAGATGGGGTTTCACCATGTTGGCCAGGCTGGTCTCGAACTCGTGACCCCATGATCCACCCGCCTCGGCCTCCCAAAGTGCTGGGATTACAGGCATGAGCCACCATGCCCAGCCAAGTCTCTAACTTTCAGATGAAGAAAATGAGGGAGGTAGGGAGCATGACTTGCCCCAGATCATGCAGCTAATGAGTGGCAGAGTCAAGACTGGAGCCTGGACTTCCTTGACCTCAGGAATTGCTACTGTGATGCCACTATCTGAATGGGATCCTAGAAAAAAACAGCAGAGCACCGAACAAGGAGAAAACCATGATAGGTGACTAAGGGATAAGGTACCCTCAAAATTCATATTTGGGTCCAGGTCTTTAGCCTAAAAACAATATCAGAAAAATAACAATCAGTTTCCTTTGACGTTCAACATTGCCATAAGAAATTCTCAGGTCATTTGTCAACCCTTAATTAATGGTAAATGTATCATCTCGGAAAACCTTGCTCTCAGAATCTGAGAGGTATAAATAAATAGAGTAAATGATCCAGATTTATATTAACAAAGTGAACCATCCTCGTGTATGCTTATTGCATTATGCAGACAATAACCCAATAAAGAAGCAAAGTAAAGCTTCCCACTTATTACGAATACCATTCACCTTCCATCTGAGTCAATGTAAAATGATTTAAATCAGGTAAACCATTTCTTAAATATAGCAGATTTGCAAGTAAAAATGCCTGCTTCTTTTTGTCTGTCCTTATGTTGATGCCTCCTCTTTTTAAACACAAGGCTCGTACGTTTGCTGCACTGGGTGGAAATCTGACTACTACTGAGTTGGACCAAATCCGAGATGGAACAGCCACCTCAGGTGATTAAACTCTGGCATTCAAATCCAGTATCTTTCCCTGCATAATTCATAGATGGCTCAAATAAAAGAAAATTTCACGGAATAAAAGAACAGTGTTTTAGAGTAGAATAAAGTCAAATTAAATGGAAGGCAAGTGCAAAATAGGTGCATGCTCAACCCCACAGTCTTTAAATGCCTTAAATATGGATGCCTTTCAAATGTCATGAATAACTTTTCCATAAAAGATCACTTTTTAGAAACCAGAGGAAAACCAAAATGAAATGTGCACAGGGGAGAAAAGCAGTCATTTTTTCGGGATTTCTAAGATGGGGTTTTTATGTCAGGTTCTATTTAACGGAGACACAATGAAGGTGATTTATGTCGTAGGTGAAGGTGTCTCACATCAAAAAATGATCCTGACAAAAAAAGAACTCGTTATTGAAAGTATTGAAAGTATCTCATTTCAGAATTCTTTGGGACCTTTTGACATTTTCAATGGAGGTCTGAGGGCAGAGGGGGAATTCTCCAAGAGCTGCCCCATTCCCAGGGTCTGGTCTTTACAATACCAGGCAGTTGCAGTTTCACTGAATTTATACTGGAGAGAGTCTACACCAGGCTGGGTGTCGGGTAATCATGGTTCATGCTGCTGGGGCCAGGCTTCAAGGGCGCTCAAGCACCATCAACTCATTGAGTTCTGACAGCATCCCTGATGGGGTAGATGCCCTTAGTGTCTTCATCAGCCTCACTTTACCAATTATATCCTGAGGCACAGAGAGGAATTTGCTCAAGCCCACGAAGTGGGGAAGAGGCAGAGGCAGAATTCAGCCCCCAAGAAGCTGGCTCTGGAGCCCTTCCTTTTAGCCACTGTACTTAAGCATCTCTCAGTACTGTGTGCAGCATACCTCCTGAGGGCCTCTATCAGCGGGTGGGGAGTTAGGAGGCAGTAAGATTTGAGTTTGAAGGTAAATGTGACTTCATTAACACCACAGGCTGGAGTTTTGAGAACACTTGGCTTTTAGGAATAAGCAGAGGCAAACAACAGCCAAGGGCTCAATTCCAGAAATGCTATCAGATCTTTGTTAATGTTTAAATAACATAAGCACCCAGAGCTAGGCTCTACTAAAATAAATAGCAGATGGATGTGTGGATGGATAGATGAATGGATGAGTAGTTGAATGGATGAATGGATGGGTAGATGAATGGATAGGTGGATGAATGGGTGGATGGATGGATGGATGGATGGATGGAAGAATGGATGGGTGGACCTAAGGATGGATGAGTGGGTGGATGGATGGATGGGTGGGTGGATGGATGAATGGGTGTGTGGATGAATGGATGGATGGATGGATAGATGAACAGATGAGTAGATAAATGGGTGGACGGATGGGTAGATGGGTTGATGGTCAAATGAACAGACAGACGGAGGTAGGTCATTCTCTAAGCAACCAACGAAAAGATTCTTTTTCATGACGTGACAGAAGTTAGCATCTTCGGGAAGAGGCTGCCTTTTCTCTCCACCCCACTCTCATCCCCAAATAGGAGAAGATGTGATCTCTTATCTCTGTTCTGAATGAGCTCCAACTACAAGTTCATCATCCTAAGAACATATGTTGCCGACTGAACAGAAGTAGTCATAGTTCAAAAGTATTATTTATTATCATTGAACTAATAAATGAAATCAAATATTCAAGAAACAGGGCACAATAAATTGGCTTCAGAGCAAACCCTGATATGAGATTCTGGAATCCTGAGCTCTTTCTTAGGAATTTCAGAAATGATTCAATGGTATCATGAATACCACCAATGTGTCATTCAGTTTAGATATCAATATAGCTTAATATGTTAGGTTATGCAGAAGGCAGTACAAGTTCTCCCTAAACAAATATGCATAGCCACAATGACCAATTTAATGCAGGTGTAGAAAATATGCTATTAGAATTATCTAGAGAACTAAGGACTAGAGTATTTGAGAGCTTCATGAATATGCATTCAGATATCTGCGAATTTGTCAGCAGATATCTTCTTTGATGTTTTCCAAGGGATCTAGAGAGTGAATCAGTTATGACTGCTAAGAAGAGCATGGGTTGATACATGTGGGATTTTGCTATCTTTTCTTCTGGGGAAGCAGGTAGTAGAGGGGTAGTAGAGGAAAAAGTCACATCAACTTCAACCACAGCAAAACCAGATCCATTAGATTGTCTAATAATTCCACTCCCAGGAGAATGCCACCATGAGTCTTGCAGTCTATATCACAATACTCAGCTCAGATGTTCTCATTCTTCTCCTGATCATCTCCAGCCCGACACCCACCCTAATGACTTCTCTTCCATAAAATGCTCCTGTTTGGGACCCTCCACAACACCTTGTCCCCATGCAGACACGGCATCTTCCTGGATGCTCACCAAAGAGTCTAGAAGAAGGACAGCCCCTTCCTCCTTCAACCGCCTGAAATCAGCGTCCCTGGTGCTCAAGCCAGCTCTGTGTCTATCTACATCATCAGAGACACTGGCCCTCCCTCTTTAAACATGTTAGAGCAATGTCCCTATTTTTATCTCCAGAGACCTCCACAAAAGACAGGTGGCCCTCTGTGAGACAGTGTATTCCACTTGGATTGACCTTCACAATCACAAATAGTAACACCACTGGGCTCTTTCAAACAAAAGACATATTTCCCTCACAATGACTTCCTTCAACATTGTCCTTATTTCACCATTAGAACATGCTACATACCCATCTAAGGTTCAACACCAGAATTCACAATCACAGCCTGCATCCTTGGCCCTGTGCCAGGCAGGTGGTGCATGAGCTGGGACTCTCTGGAGGGGCCACAGGAGGATCCAGGAGGCAGATGAGATGCCTCTGGGTTCTTAAACACGTGCCAAGCAATTCACACAGCTTCAGAAAGCGAGGTTTCCATTCTTGGCAGTGTTCGTGAATAAAAGTAGAGTGCTTCAGAATCTAATAAAACCCCAATTAAAGGGAATCTAAATAACAAATGGGTATATGAAGATCCTTGTGCATCTAACTGTTTCCTCTGATAATCTCATACATGCCCGGTATCCATAAAAAGGCAGGAGAGGTGTTTAAAGGTACAATTTTTTGAAGTAAATTTTCCTGACAGTTCTGTTGCACCAAGATCTGCAGGAAAGTAGTGAAGAATATATATTAGTCTGGGTTTCCCAGAAAACAGAGCATGAGGCAGATGTCGGTTGCACTATGGTTTTATTAGAGAAGGCAGTGCCAGAAGTGAAAGAGAGAGGATGGGAAGGTGGGGAGTGGAGAGGCAGCTGCTATGAGGATTCTTCATCAGACTGGCCATTGAGAGGTATAACCAAATGCTGATCCTCCCAGCCCCGGAGGGTAACCATCCTTCTACCCTCCGTGTCTACGAGTTCAATTGTTTTGATTTTTAGACCTGACAAGTACGTAAGAATATGCAATGTTTGTCTTTCTGTAACTGGCTTATTTCCCTTAACATAATAATCTCCAGTTCCATCCATGTTGTTGCAAATGACTAGATCTCATTCTTTTTTACGGCTGAATAGGGGAGGTGGGGATGGTTAATAGGTACAAAAAATAGTTAGAATAAATAAGACCTGCTATTTGATAGCACAACAGGGTGACGATAGTCAATAATAACTGTACACTTTAAAACAATTTAAAGAGTGTACTTGAATTGTTTGTAACTCAAAGGATACATGCTTAAGGGAATGCATACCCCATTCTCCATGATGTATTTATTTCACATTGCATGCCTATATCAAAATGTCTCATGTCCCCTATAAATATATACACCTACTATGTACCCACAAAAATTAAAACTTAAAAAAAGTTTTAAAACACAAAATTCTAAATGCTGATCTTGCAGTGTGGCCCCCGAGAGCTGTGTGAACTGTGTCTGAGGACAGAGGCTCTAGGGAGAAGACTAAAAAGTTATCCACCGTGGGGTGGAGGATTACCTAGGTGCCAAGGCAAGAGACTGAAGGCACAAACTGTTTCAGTATAATAAAGAAAATAGTTAGAATAAGGATAGTCATAATACAAATTAGATGTAGAGATGATCATGAACAATTATCAATCATTATTATAAACATTATTAATCATTAGCTTTTAATATTACTCTTTGTTGCATTACTGATATAACCTAGGAATAACCGGCGGACATGGGGTGAGGTGCTGAAGGGACATTGTGAGAAGTGACCTAGAAGGCAAGAGGTGAGCCCTCTGTCACGCCCGCATAGGGGCCGCTTGAGGGCTCCTTGATCAAGCGGTAACGCCAGTGTCTGGGAAGGCACCTGTTACTTAGCAGACCGCAAAAGGGAGTCTCCTTTCCTTGGAGGAGTCAGGGAACGCTCTGCTCCACCAGCTTCTTGTGGAAGGCTGGATATTATCCAGGCCTGCCTGCAGTCATCCGGAGGCCTAAACCCCTCCCTGTGGTGCTGTGCTTCAATGGTCACACTCCTTGTCCACTTTCATGCTCCTCCCGTACTCCTGGTTCCTCTTTGAAGTTCGTAGTAGATAGCAGTAGAAGAAATAGTGAAAGTCTTAAAGTCTTTGATCTTTCTTATAAGTGCAGAGAAGAAAACGCTGACCTATGCTGCCTTCTCTCTCTGCTTCGGCTACCTAAAAGGGAAGGGCCCCCTATCCTGTAATCACGTGACTTGCTTCACCTTGTCAATCACTTAGAAGATTCACCCTCCTTACCCTGCCCCCTTGTCTTGTATGCAATAAATAACGGCCAGCCCAGCCGTTCGGGGCCACTGCCGGTCTACGCGCCTTGATGGTAGTGGTCCCCCAGGCCCAGCTGTTTTCTCTTTATCTCTTCGTCTTATGCCTTTATTTATTACAATCTCTTGTCTCCACACACGAGGAGAATACCCGCTAAGCCCCGTAGGGCTGGACCCTACACCACCAGCTGCCATCTCTCGTTGATCCAAGGTGCTCCACAGAGCACCAATTCCCCATGCATCTGGACCATGCAAAGTCTTGCACCTTGCATCTGCCTGGGTTGATGAGGAAGCCCCAAGGCAAGGGGTGGAGGTGGAGGTGATTGATGTGGGCAGGAGATGACATGCTGTTACTGTGTACCTGCCTGAAGTCTGCAGAGCCCACGCTGAGGCAGCCACCCACGGGGGTCCTCAGAGAGGGCCTAGTGACACATGAGAGGTGTCTGACTCAGCACATAGACAAGGCTGGGTGACTATTTTTTTTTCACTAAGTTGCAAAATCACAAACAATCCCTTCATATTCAATACCCTGCTAGTTGAACAGACCACATCAAGTTCCACGTGAATAGTTGGCCTTGGATCCATTTCTGTCTGTACTTTGAGCTTAGAATGGACATAAAGATATGTCTGAACATAAGTATGCTACATTTAGGAGCTGTGCAACATCATCAATACCTAGGTCTTCAGTTCAGGGCTTGAACAGAAAATGTGCTGGCATCCCAAACATCACTAACAGTCCCACAAACAAATTCCTTTGAAAACAAAAAACTCAATTACTTCTCAGTCTACTATTCTTCCTTGTGAAATCCATTACAAAATCACAGTGTTCTTGAAATAGCCACCACTGGATAAGGCAAGCAAGGCATTTCCCCTGGGCACAAAATTTAAGAGGGCTCCAAGAAACTCAGTAATCAAAATAAATCATATGTTAACGCAATATTTTTCAAATAAAAAGTACTGCAAAAAGTCATGATGAACAAAATATTAAAATTTTGTCCAGGCACGGTGGCTCATGCCTGTAATCCCAGCACTTTGGGAGGCCGAGGTGGGTGGATCACCTGAGGTCAGGAGTTTGAGACCAGCCTGGCCAACATGGTGAAAACCCGTCTCTACTAAAAATGAAAATTAAAAAAAAAAAAATGAGCTGGGTGGGGTGGCAAATGCCTGTAATCCCAGCCACTCTGGAGGCTGGGGCAGGAGAATCGCTTGAACCTGGGAGGCAGAGGTTGCACTGAACCGAGATCATGCCATTGCACTCCAGCCTGGGCAACAAGAGTGAGGCTGTCTCAAAATAAATAAATAAATAGATAACGAAATATTAAAATTTGAAATAGACAGGATTGGAATGACCGATATTTCCTTCTGTCTTGGGCTTCAGTGTGGCTCAATCCAACTCTAGTCACTATGTCTCCCTGAAGTAAGGAAAAGATTGGAGAAACCCAGTAATTCCAAGCTTTCAGAAAATTATTCTAATACAGTCATTGAAACCTTTTCATTGTATCATGGGCCATGCCTGGGCCTGAAGGACTTCTGTGGTTGTTTTGAGAGTGTTTATTACACGACTTCTAGAATGCTGCAGTGGAAGGCCTCGCTTCCACCCTTTGTTGTCTATACCCATAAAATCAGTGTGCTATTCATACATCAGTTAGAAGCCAACTCACCCAAACCTGTTTTATCATTTATCATAACCCAGAACACGAGACAGATCATGCCTATTTGGGAAATAATTCAGCCCAGTACACTTTGTTCCATCTTTAGGATAAAATACAAGTTCCCATTAAAAGACACGTATTTTTCATTCCAGAGATTGAAGAGTATGAAATGTGAAATGAATTCCAGCTGGTTAAATTTGGGGTCCAAACTGCAGTCTAATAATATTTTTTTCTGAATGTATGCCTCTAGCATTTAAGTGGGTAAATCTGTATTCACTCTAAGAACTTGGTTTGAGGCTGGGCACGGTGGCTCACGCCTGTAATCCCAGCACTTTGGGAGGCCGAGGCAGGCAGATCACGAGGTCAGGAGATAGAGACCATCCTGGCTAACACAGTGAAACCCCATCTCTACTAAAAATACAAAAAATTAGCCAGGCGTGGTGGTGGGTGCCTGTAGTCCCAGCTACTCAGGAGGCTAAGGCAGGAGAATGGCGTGAACCCGGGAGGCGGAGCTTGCAGTGAGCCGAGATCGTGCCACGGTACTGCAGCCTGGGTGACAGAGCAAGACTCTGTCTCAAAAAAAAAAAAAAAAAAAAAAAGAACTTGGTTTGATATTTAATTTGGTGAGATATGGTTGGACTGGGCGGGGGGCTCACCACTTTTGAAGACCCCTAAGGGTTAGGGAATAAGGAGGCTTCTGAAGCTGTCAGGGCCCAGGTCATCTCCAAATTTCTTAGGGTGCCATACACTCCTCCCTTTCTTTCCCATCTCCCCAGTAGACTTGCCTATGTGGCCACCAAATATTCGTAAGAGCTTTATTCATGAATCTGGCTTTGGCAACACTAGAAAGAAAGAGAGCATCCTCATGCTGCCAGATCCACAGGGGACAAGGGACAACTGGACCCACAGAGGCCCCTGGCTCACAGAGGCGTTCCCTCTCGGCCCCGTGATCAAGCCACGCAGGGATGGAAGTGAAATGGGCTCCTCCCAGTCTTGCTGTCAGCCTCTCACGGCTACGGCACAGGAAAACTTCTCTAGTTAAAGGACTGTGGTGTCTCCCAGGCTAAGAAGTAAAGACTACTTTTTAAAGTGAAACGTAGAAATTAGGTACCTTTACCAATGTGCAAAGCTGTCAGGAGAAAAAGTCACGGGTACAGGGTCAGACAGGTACCCAGACTCAGCCAGGTCAGGGGACCAACTCCTGGACTGTTCATTTTTGCCTTTGCTGAGCCAGGTCCTGGGCTGGGCCCGAGGGTCCCAAGCAGAAGGGACCCACTGCTTCCACTTTGGTGGCTCACAGCCTGGAGGGCCGGGCAGAGAATAAAGCAACCATCTCAGCGTGGAGGGGAGGAGCTGAGACCCAAGAATGATTGACATCGGGGGCAGCGGGGGAGTCCCCTAACTCACACCGCTGTCAGCTCTTGAGGGAGGTGTGCCAACCACTGACTGTCCCCACCAGCTGCGTATCACTGGAGAAATTCCTCATTGAAGTCTCAGTTCCCTCCCTGCCAAAGAAAAATGATAATCCATGCCTCCTACTGGCCACATCTAAGGAGCCTGGACCCAGCAGCCACGCTCCCCCCACTTATCCATCAGTGACAGCGTTTACCACAACAGCCATTGTTGAGTGATGTTAAATGGGTGGTTTATGAAAAGAAAGGAAGTATTTGTTCCTGAGTCCTCTTTAAAATTTTGCCCCCCGTTCCCAACGTCTGACTTCTGTTGGCCCCTGTCTACCACAGAGTTGCTGAGATTCTGCAAAGGAAGGAAAATAAATCCATCTCGTTCTCATGGTGGCTTGAAAGCTCTTGTTAGCAAGTGCTACTTAACAGCGTCTATCCCCCGGTGCTGTGTCTTCTCGTAAGTTATTTTTCTCCACAGTGCTGTCTTCTTTTTGTGCTGTAGCATCCTGATATCAACACTTCTAATGGTTTCAGGGTTTTTAGCTCCCCTGGAATGGCAGCATCTCGACAAGCAGTTCCCTAGATGGATCATAAAAAAGGGGAAAAACACGAATCCGCATATCTTTGGTATATATTGCACATGGGGACCATGAAGTTTCAGATATTGCATATTCCTCGCACAATTAATACCCCACACAGCAGAGACACAAAATGCAGGACTGCCTCCAGTCACCCCAGTAAGCCCTTCTAAGGGTTTCTTGTCTGCTTTCTCTGAATCACCCTGTTTATAAAGAAACAAAAAGGCCTGTTACTATGGTATTATATGTAATGTTATTTTGACGAAGGCTAATCAGGCTCTTAGATGATCCATCTTTGAATGAACAGAGAAGCAAAGCACAGGGATTGCACAGTGAAATGGCATCAACAGCCGGGCAGGTAAGCACGTAGCTGAAGACTGCTTGAGGCCACCTCGATCATTAAGCAAATGGATTCTCAGGAACATTGAAGACCTATCATCAAAGGCAACTTCAAAATCAAAGTTGCTGAATTTGTCTGATGAGCAGAAGAGACTTTTATGCCTACATTTTGTGACAGAGACAGAAAAGATTTAATTTCTCGCCAGTGATATTTTTGTCATCTATAATTCTCCTAATAACATTCCAAAAATTGAGCATTAATTTAATCCCTAAAGGTGTAGAAATTCATGTCAAAAGAAAACTTCAGCTAGAAGGTTTTTTAAAAAAAAAAAAACCAAAAAACAAAAAAAAAGTTGGTTAAAAAAAAGTGATGGGATTTTCAATGACAAAGGCATTAACCTTTCTAATTCCTCCTCTCTTCTTTCATTCTCACCTCTGGAAGACCCAAAGGCTGAAATTCTGCCTCAAATACTACGTTCTATTCCTGTCATTTTTTTATCCTGACCTTTATGGTAAGAGAATTAATTAGCATCACTGCAGTTTAGGCAAACCATTTATAAACGTACCATCATTTTCAGGTATCCACGATTTATTTTATTGGAATTAATTTTATACTTTTTTTCACAGCTATATTTTTAAAATTCGCATTTTCTACTTTAAAAAAATTCTTCTTTGTGCCAATTTTCATGCTGAAGAACACTGTTTTCTATTTGCAAAAGTAGGATATGGCCGTTGTGAAATTTTTGGAACATAAATGAGCAAGGAAAAATGCAAAAAGCCACCTACAATTCAACTAATCAGAGTTAATCCATGTTAATACTTCAGAATATTTTCTTTTCATCTTCTTATAGGTGGACATATATATAGTCTCTCTTTTATAAAACCAACCACATGCCATATATATAATTTCATAAAGATATACATTACAACTTAAGGAACAGTTGCTATTTAATGACTTCTGTGTGGACTCTTCTAATTTCACAGATTTCACAGTGAAATGTCCAGCCCACACTGTTGAGTTCATTTGGAACTCCCTCTGACTTTTCAAATCTTACATATTTCATACTTGTCACTTGTTTATTTTTGAGATGGAATTTCTCTTTTGTTGCCCAGGCTGGAGTGCAATGGTGTGATCTTGGCTCACTGCAACCTCCACCTCCCAGGTTCAAGCAATTCTCCTGCCTCAGCCTCCCAAGTAGCTGGGATTACAGGCATCTACCACCATGCCCAGCTAATTTTGTATTTTTAGTAGATTTGTATTTTAGTAGATTTAGTATTTTTACTAGTATTTTACTAGTATTAGTGTATTTAGTAGATTTGTATTTTAGTAAAATAAGCCACTTGTTTATTCAACTTGGCTCAACAAAGACTCATGGTGACGACTTTTGTGTTGCTGTCAGTTTCCTGAAAATTAATATCATAGAAGGTTCTGAATGGTCCTTGACATTGGGCAGAGCTACTACCACTTTTGCAGTATGGTGGGCTGAATTGGGACCTCCACCCACAATTCACATGAGGAAGCCCTAACCCCAAGTACCCCACAGTGTCATCCTATTGGAAGATAACATCTTTGCAATCGAGTAAAGAGAGCTCATTAGAATGGGCTCTAATCAAATAGGACTGTGTCCTTATTAAAAGGGACAATTTGAACACAGACATGCAGAGGGAAGACAGTGTGGACACACAGGGAGAAGACAGCATCTACAAGCCCGGAAGAGGGGCCTGGAGCAGATTCTCCCTCATGGTGCTCAGAAGGAACCAACCCGGCAGACACCAGGATTGTAAACTTCTGGTCTCCAGAACTATAAGAGAATACATTTCTGTTGTTTAAGCTGCCCGCAGACTAATTAATACATTCAGACAGCAACATAGGAAAGAACAGACTCATCCACAGGAGCTGATAGAAGCACGCTCAGGAAAGAAAGCCGGGCAAAGTCTGGCTCCCAGGCTCTGGGGCCTGTCCTGGCGTCCTGTCCCAGGGGAGGGAGAGGGTGCCTGGCTTTGGGGGATGCCCAGGGCACAGGGGAGGGCATCTCCTTCAGCGCAGCTTGGGTGTGTGCCCTCTGCAGGGGGATGTGACTCCACGGGCATGGGCTGAATTCTCTCCTGAACCCCAAACCACATGGAGGTAGGACACTCCCTGGGCTAGAAAGAAGAGATGTGTCCTCCCTCAACCACATGCCCAGAACTGTTTCTCCAGCCCCGAGCCAGAGGTTTCCCCAGCCGCCAGCCTGATGTCCTTCTCGGCTGCCTTGTGAGGGCAGCGCCTGGCAGAGGGACAAGCTGTGGTCAGAGCAGAGGGAGGGCAACCGGGAGCTCCGCTGGGCCTCAGGCTCGCGGCTAGGCCTCAGGCTCGTTGCTTCTTAGCAACCAACACCTCCCACAGCCCTGGCTCCCCTGGGACTACATGGTTGAATAGCCCCCTGGAGCAGGAGCAGGTGGCGCTTGCTCAGTGTCAGTTTGAGAAGGAGCAGGACAGAAACCCATTTAACGGCTCTGGCTAAGGCTGCTGTTCAGAATCAAAAGCGTTCCCATTCATTGAATGCCCTCCCTGCAGTCAGAGATCCTGGCATAATTTACAAGGACCAGGAACATAGGTCACTCTGGTGTCATTTTGTTACTTTTCTATACTTCAGCTATTCATTATAAAGTAACATTTATAAACTGTCGCACTATGAGATTTAATTGACTTAAAAGCTGATATGATCATGCTATACTCAAAACGGTGTAAATACCTTGCATCGTAATTGGGCTTATTTTTATTTAAGGTGTGCTGGTGAAGAATGTGGGCTCTAGGGCCAAGGGTAGAAAGAAAGGACTGACTATAAGCACACAAATAAACTTTTCAGGTGATAGAATAATCTCTGTCTCTCTCTCTCTCTCTCTCTCTTTTTAAGACGGAGTCTCCTCTGTCACCCAGCCTGGAGTGCAGTGGCATGATCTCCACTCACTGCAACCTCTGCCTCCTTGGGTTCAAGCAATTGTCCTGTCTCAGCCTCCCGAGTAGCTGGGATTACAGGCACATGCCACCACGCCTGGCTAACTTTTGTAATTTTAGTAGAGACAAGGTTTTGCCATGTTGGCCAGGCTGGTCTCGAACTCCTGACCTCAGGTGACCTGCCTGCCTCAGCCTCCCAGAGTGCTGGGATTACAGGTATGAGCCACCATGCCTGGCCAGAATAGTCTATATCTCAATTATAAGACTGCATGTCAGCTGGGTGCGTTGGCTCACTCCTGTAATCCCAGCACTTTGGGAGTCTGAGACAGGCGGATCACCTGAGGTCGGGAGTTTGAGAACAGCCTGACCAACATGGTGAAACCCCGTCTCTACTAAAAATACAAAATTAGCTGGGCATGGTGGTGCATGCCTGTAATCCCAGCTACTTGGGAGGTTGAGGCACGAGAATTGCTTGAACCTGGGAGGCGGAGGTTGCAGTGAGCCAAGATCACACCATTGCACTCCAGCCTGGGCAACAAAAGAGAAATTCCATCTCTCAAAAGAAAAAAAAAAAAGACTGCATATGTCAAAACTCATCGAACATACAACTAAAAGGGGTAGATTTTACCACATGTAAATTACACCTTAATAAACTTAACCTCAAAAATAAGTGTGCTGGAATCCAACTACCCAGGTAATCCCAGCCCTGGTCCCCAGCAGCTGTGTGGCCCAGTTCAGGTCACTTAACTTCTCTGAGCCTCAGTGTCTGTTTTTATTACATGAGAATAACAATATACCCACCTCATTAATGTGTGAGAACTAAATGAGATAAAAACACTCACATTGCATGGATTTGGTTTCTAAGAAAAATCAGAGAGCAAAATAATGGTAAAACAGGCTTAAGAAGAGATGTTTCTCCTTTTTTTTTCATTGTATTCAACTTGCAATATAGTAAAAGTAATGAAAACAGTGCATTGAGCTCACAGTTGAAACACTGGGAGTAAATATGGCTGAATCACCACAAATAAATGATTCTGCTCCTCAAAGCCTTGGCTTCTTTATTTGACCAGTTTCTTTTTCATGGTGAATTAAAATAAAATAGAATACAGAAAATATGTACCTCACATGGATGTCAAGAGACTCCAAACAAAGAATACTGAGATTTGTGTCATTTTTCTCATGAAGGACGTAGGCTCTACCTGTGTTACGAAGTTGTTAATTTCAGCTGAAGTTTCCTGGATCTCTGATTCCAACGGATGCATTTTGTGTGTTTTGTACAAATCACAGCTCATATTTTTTTCTAGAAAGGGAAAATACAGGAGGAGGGAACGCTGATGACAAAGAAGAAATGTGGATGGAAGACTGGGAGAACTCAGTGGCCCTGTTACAAGGTGTGTGCATCTGCTCTAATCAGCAGCCTCTCCCCAAACCAGAGGTTGGGTCAAAGGGCCCAGGAATCAACATGCAAGCACCTCCATTTATGCCAGCTACAGCCAAATTCACCTGCACCCCCCAACCCCACCAAGCCACCCTTGGCAACCCCATGGATCTGTAGGATGCTAGGACAATGCATCAATGTAGGTGTCTACCACCTTCTGCATCTGAACTGTACACAAAGGAAATACTTGTCCATCCAACCCACTTCTTTGATTGCCTTCCTGAATTGGTGTTGAATCCTTAGATTAGTCTCAGAATAAAGGCTGCTGGTATATGAGCCAGATGCTAGCTAGAGCAGCTGCTGTGATTAGAAAAAAAATAACAGTGGGCTCTCGGACAAAGGCAAAGAGACCCAAATGTTTATTACAAGGTTATATTCTCACAGTCTACGTAGAAGTTGCCAGATTGAAGCAGTACAGAGAAGAATAGAAGAGATTCGATTTCTCTCCCCATCCCTAGAAGTTATGGCTGACCAGCCCGATGCCAAGAGTAACAGAGGGTGGAAAACTGTCAATGAAAGATCAGTGTAATGACAGAAACTGAGCCCTGCCTGTAACTCACCCATTTAAGGGTAAGTCTTTCTTACACAGACGATTAGGGGAAAAACCAACAGGCAGGGCCAGTCTTCTAGAACTAAATGAAACTGACGATGTAATCATTTCAAGAACACTAAGGATGCCTGCCTGTCCCTCCGAGGATGATGTGGTTCTTCTAGCAATTTTATACTTCAACTAGGGAAGCTGACATGAGATCAGAAAACCCACATGGGGTCTTCCCGGATTACAAAAACCGGCCACAGAGAAAGACACATCTTTTCTTTGCTTTCAGCAGTAATGCCAGCTTTCCATTCCCCCAGTCCTCCCCAGTACAGCTGGTAAAATGCCATGCCGGGTGTACTCAGATAAAAGCCAAAGAATGACCAAAGACCACAGGATGAAATGCCGCAACAGCTGGGAGACTCTTGCCCTGCCAGTCCCTAAGCAGTCATCCATCCTGAATGATCTCTCACCATGGCCACATTGGCTCTGCCACGGTTGAGCCAAGCGTAATGTACCGCTGCACTCGGCATCCTCATCAAGTGAACAAAAAGGTGTGAGAAAGAAAGCACACAGGCCAAACCTGCGGTTATTCAAGAGAAGCCCATATTTAGAGCTGAGTGAATAGATGAGACCTCCAAGTTCGGCAAAGATGTTTTCCTTTCTTTGCACCAAGTCACAAGGCTCTGTCTGCAAATGCAAGCAGCTATGTTTTTTCAGTCATAGTAAGAGCAGCTAAACACTCTCATGGAAACAAGCCTACTACAAGGTGGCTACTGCCTTTATCCCGACTGGATGGAGAGAAAACTTGAGACACAGAGAGGCTTAGGATTATGCCCAAGCATGTTACAGCTATGTGAGGGGGTCAGGGAATGGAATTTGAGTCTGGGCAGATTGACTTGGTGTTCTACTTGCCATTTAATCTTTCCGGTCTAGAAGGGGAAAGATTGGCTTGGAAGACGGAAAACCTGACTTGGACGCCCCCTTTCTGCCATCAACGATGCAGACATATTATGCCTCAGTCCATCTGGGTGCAGAGTCGGAATCACGTTTCCTGCCCTCTCTTATTTTAAAGCAACATTGTGGAAATGTATGACATCGCACAGGACTCTGCATTTGAAAATAGGTGGGCCATTTTAGGAAAAAACGGGACAAATGCATTTCACATTGTCAGGGAACTCAGTAATGCATCACTCAGAGTCCCGTGTCCGCTGTGATGTCAGAACTGCAGATGTACGTTTCATGCATCTGCGAGGACAGGACCCTGGCACCATGAAAACAGTTCTTGCTTCATAAATCACTCTGTCCAGGTGTCTCAATGTGTTTTTCATGTGTTTAACTGGCTTCCTAGACCCCCATGCAAACCCTTTTCCTATGGAGGCTAATGCCACTGTTCCCGCAATGACCTGTTGTAATGAAATGCAGGTGTGTAGTTTATTTGGCCCTGTGTGCTGCCAAACATGTTTCTCTAACAGTGAGTGCCCCAAGCTTCAGAAGCTGGAGACTTTCTTTTTTGGTATAATAATAAACAAATAGCCAGGTTTCTCCCCCCAACATTCAACTAGAACAAAAATAGCTTCAGAAAACAGTAGAAGCCCAAGATTGTATACTTTTGGAAGAAAAGGAATGTTTTGTCCTAAATCAGCTGTCACAGCCCAAGAAGTGGATTGAGACTCAGATTAGCAGACAGGTAAAAGTTATATGGGCCATTTGATCAGATGCTCCCCGCAGAAGTGAAAATTCTACTCTCCCACAAAAAAAAATAAAATGCACACACGACCACCAATACGAACAACCAACTCATCTAACAGCTGTGCCTCCTTCATAATAGATATTTGTTCCATATTTTGTTTCAAATTCCTCTGAAATCCAGAAGGATTTAATTGGCTGGAAAACAAACCCAATTCCAATTTAAACATTGTTTTCCAGGGACAAGGCACTTACAAATGGCCAAAGGTCACACCACCAAATTACTTCCTATCTGCACATATTGATCCCGGAATTACTAAGGTAGACCTCTTTATTTCCAAAGCCCAGCATACAAAAATGTTTCTTTAACTGAAAAGCCTAGTACGTCTGCATTCTGTTCCCTCCGGACATACTCAGGAAGAAGAAGTGAGGACCAAAGACTTGATAGAAAAAGACGTGGGACAAAACTGGCCAGCGGATGCTTTCACCTGGATAAACAACCAGCACTCGATAAAGACAGTTGGAATCAGAATTCGAGGACATTTGCACACAGAGTTTAGCATTTATATGGCCTTTAAACATATACACGTATACACACACACTCACACGCATGCACACACACACACTCACACACACGCACACACAGATGTACATGCACATACATATGCCAAGTGATTTTGAATCCATTTTATTACTTCATCATCAAAAGAGTCCTCAGCACCAGCCAAGCTGATGCTTGAACACAATAGTTTCTTATTCAAGCATGCTGCTAGGGAGGCTTCCTCCAAACCAACTTGAAAGCTCCCTTGGATTTGTGGGAAAGACCCTCCACCCACTGACCTCCATGGTCAGGCTTGGGCCATTTTGAGAGCTTCCACTTGGACAGGGAATAGATATAGATAGATATAGATATAGATATAGATATAGATATAGATATAGATATAGATATAGATATAGATACAGATATAGATATAGATATAGATAGATATAGATATCTCCAGACATTGCAAAGATAATGGAATTATGTTTCTTCAGCTCTGCCTCTTTTGTTTTTAATTTGTTCATTAAAAAGCAATTGGGATGCTTCTCATTTTGACCCAGGACTGGCCTCATGAGAGAGTGACCCATGCGGTCCAAGGGGGACCACTCTCAGAAGGGCCCTGGCTTGGTCTGATATGTTGCTGTCCCCATCTTCAAATTCTAATCAATGTTTAACAAGGGGCATCGTATTGATTTTTCATTGGGGCCACAAATTATGTCACTGGTCCTGCCCTACTCCCTGTCACAGGCTTTTATGGATGTCTGAACTCTGAGCTACGTTACCTCAAAAGAGGTTGAAGGCAGAGGGGGCCAGCAGGGCGGGTTACAGAACCATGATGTGTTTTTAACTGGACTCACTTCTGCCAGTATCTGCCTGACTCTTCAGCCCATGTCTCTTTTCCTTGTTGTAATACTAATGGGGGCATTAAGGAGCCAGAGAAGGGGCCTCCGACGCCACTGCTTGTACCTCTGGAGTTACATTTAGCGGCATTTATATTTTGTCATGTGAAATTCGAAATCCTCATCCAAAATGCAACTGTGGGGGAACTCTCATAGGAATTTCAGCCAATTCTGGCTCCTAGCAAGAACTCAGAAAAAAAGTGATGACATGGAAATTCATAGAATAGTGCCTGAGAAATGAAATGAATCATTTTTAAAGACGGCAAAGAAGGAACCTGGATGAAAAATAACTATGAACTTGAAGGAGGTATTTGGTGGAGGTGCTTGACAAATTGCTACATCTATTTTAAGAAACTTTCTTGGCCAGGATTGGTGGCTTAATGCCTACAATCCCAGCTCTTTGGGAGGCCGAGGCAAGCAGATCACTTGAGGTCAGGAGTTTGAGACCAGCCCGGCCAACATGGTGAAACCCCATCTCTACTAAAATTACAAAATTAGCTGGTCATGGTGGTGCGCACCTGTAATCCCAGCTACTCAGGAGGCTGAGGCAGGAGAATCACTTGAACCCAGGAGGTGGACTTTGCAGTGAGCTAAGATAGCGCCATTGCACTCCACCCTGGGCAAAAAGAGTAAAATTCAGTCTCAAAAAAAAAAAAAGAAAAAGGAAAGAAAAGAAAATTTTCTTCAAGAAGAGGTAAAATATCCCACATTTCTGAGGTATAGAACATTTCCAGAAATATTTGAGGTGTGGCACTGTATTATCTAGATATTTTGACAAGACTTAAGCATATGTGAGAGCAGAGTTATAAATACAGGGTTGAGCCCATCCCCTGAGCAAACTTCAAAGAAAAGACAATAATATAATGGTTAAGAAGCCACTAGAAGCTCTGAGATACAAAGTGCAATGATACTCTACCATGAGCAAGCACGGATAGATACTCTCACAAAGGGAAATAACAGACATACCTAAATCCATGTACACAGTTCTCACAATTGGATCATGTAAATTTTACAACCAACCAATGTGTGCACTTTCAAAAATGTAATTGACTGTCCTCATGTAATCTCTTTCCAATATACAGAAGACTTTTCACTTTTAAAGAAAGATGCAACAAGTCCCTAGAGCCCAAATATTCATTGATGTGGATGAGAAAATGTCCAACATGTTTAAAGCAATTTTTATCACCAGGCAGGAGTTCAGAATTAACTACAGTATCATAATGGACATGTATCTATACAATGAGCTTGAAGATTGCTAAATTCTCACATGGCTCTAAATTGTATGACTTTTAAGATTCGCAGAGTGCTATCGTAGTGCTATTCTTCAATCAATGTGTGCTGAGCCCCTACTTCTGTAAGCCCCGGCTGCTTTGGGAAGGTTACCCATTAGCATCTTCTTTCCTCTCCTTCCCAGCTCTGAGCAATGGCAAATTAACCCATGCATCCTGGCACTTGCTTTATACAGAGAATAGGCCTGTAGCTCTGCGTGGACACCAGAGTAGAGTTAATTTTATGTGATTCTGTCTCCCCCTACAAGTTCTTTAAGGGGTAAGGACCACGTCTTATTGATTCTCCATCAATGGGAGTTCAATGATATAGTGCTGGGAAGATGAAACGGTATAGAAGACATAATCTCTCTCTCTCTCTCGTCACAATCTAGAAGAAAAAAAGAAATGTGACTACAAAATTTGTGATGACTGATTATATATGCAATGGTTTTGGCCATAAAAAGGGCCACCATTTTCTGGACAAATGTTTTCTAAAAATTGTGTATGTTAGGGTTCAGAATGCTCTTCCTCATTCAAACAGAGCACTAGGAAGTAAGCAAGGCATAAAGGTGATTGGTATAACCTCAAAGTCAAGAACACTACCAGGCAAAACAAAAGAAAACTTTGCCAACAAGGGTCTTGTTTCTTTGATTGTTTTGTTTTGTTTTTGTATTTGTTTTTGTTTTGAGGCAGGATCTGGCTCTGTTGTCCAGGCTGGAGTGCAGTGGCATGATCATGGCTCACTGCAACCTCCACCTCCCAGGCTCAAACCATCCACCCATCTCAGCCTCCTGAGTAGCTGGGACTACAGGAATGCACCACCACACCCGGCTAATTTTTTTTTTTTTTTTAATTTTTGGTAGAGACGGGGTTTCGCCATGTTGCCCAGGCTGGTCTCTAACTCCTGGGCTTAACCAATCCTCCCACCTGGGTCTCCCAAAGTGCTGGGATTACAGGAGTGAGCCACCATGCCCAACAAGGGTCTTAATGAAACATTCCACAGGGAAGCATTATTAACATTTCTCAGCTTCTCTGTGTGTGACGGGATGGGAGGCTGGGGGTGTCAGGGTGGAAGCTGGAATCCCTAGAAATAGAGTGGAAGACCTGATGAACAAAACAATGGCTTTGTCAAGATTTCTGTGGCTGTTCTTTTTTTACTCAAGGCTAATAAAAATATTCAGGACAATTTTAATTTAATAAATTACTTGTGCAAACCCTAAGTGGAATTTGGACAGGTTTAAAAGAAATTAGGTTGTATCCAGAAAATGAGAAATGTAATAGCATGGAAAATGTGGAAAGGAAACTTAGGTTTTCTCTGAAGAAGCTCTGTGATTCTGCACAAGATTCATCGTTGGACACTCAGTCCCCTATTTTAAAATGACCACTTTGAATGAAATGACAACGATGCCCTTCTCTGATTCCCTGAATTCTAAGTGGAACTATAAAAACGACAGCCTTTCTCAAGGTCAACCGTCCTTAAGCAGGCTGACATCAACTCAAGGAAGGGCAGAGCCACCATGTTCAGTGGCATAGGTTGTTCACAGCACAACTCCAGGCAGTGCTGTTGGCACAGACCACAGTGTCAACGGCACCTCTGGGGTTGTAAGGTGCTTCACTGCCACAAACACTCATGGTAAAGAAGACTTTAGAATTTCTATTTATATTTGTGTAGGATCTAAGATCAATTTAAAAATTAGGTTTCATTCATAGCTAATATCTGGATTGATAATGACATCATCACTTGGTGGGTAGGAAAGAGTAGGAGTCCCACAATGGGAGATTGTCCCAGACACACTGCCTGTTGACTTGCTCTCAGAATATCATCATGTGATACCTTGCAGTTCCTTATGTTCCATTAAGAGGATTTACAGATTATACAATCTACCTTTAACTAAACTAATCTTCCCACAGTAGGTAAGTGGCTTTTAAAATGTCCTATATAGTCACAGGCCACAACATAGATGAACCTTGAAGACATTATGCTAAGTAAAATAAGCCAGTCACAAAAAGACAAATACTGTATGATTCCACGCACAGGAGGTACCAAAAGTAGTCAAACTGATAGAGGTAAGAAATAGAATGGGTTTGCCAGAGGATAGGGGCGGGGTAATGGAGAGTGGTTGTTGAATGGGTGCAGAGTCTTGGCTTTGAAAGATGAACAAGTTCTGTGGACCCGTTTCACGACAGTGTAAATGTAATTAATACCGCTGAACTGTACACTTAAAAGTGGTTAAAATAGTAAATCATATATATATTATTTACTATATATTTAATATATATTTCAATTAAATATATATTCAGATTTAATTGAAAAATTCTGCATTAAATCATAGACTGAAAATAATACTAACACCATCAGCACAAACACCAAGGAAACGATAGAAGCACTAACTAAACCTTCTTTTCTTAGGATGTCTTCATGGGCACCAATACAAGCTTAAAAACCTCAGCCATCAAATTAGACTCAAAAAGAAGTACAGTTACCAAAAAGTCTATTGGAATTACAGATTTCCTTACCCTTCCTTTAATGATTAACTCTTACTATATTGGCATATTCGCATGTATACATAATTGTAAAATAAATAAAAATTTGTTGTGTATACATGGTCAAATTTTTTCCCTATTAAGGTACACTATCAAAAACTTGGGAGTATTGATATCCTTAGTCATTGTGGACACTATTCCATAGTTCTGTTATGGATCTGCAGGAAGATTGAAAAGATAGTTCCCAAAACATTGATATGCTAAAACAGACAGTTGTTGTTAGAGCAACCACAATTGTGGAAAGTCATAGAAGGCAAGAGGATAAAATCACGTCAAGTCACCCTTATTGTTTTAAGGAGAAGATCTCACTATGGCATAATGGTTTGAAGTTTTGCTTGTTGCTATTTCCACCTAAAACTCTCTGGAAGATGCAGAGTTATGATCTGTAAAGGAAGGCTCCACACCATCGCCCGTCTTGGACATGGGCAGACTTGTGGCAGCACCAGTGTCTGTGTGTATGCTGTCACCCCTCAGAGATGAGGAGACCAGCACCCAGGATGCTGTCACACAGCCACACTCAGCTCAAAATTTGACCCATTCATTGCATCAGAGATTTCTCTGCATAACAAAAAAAAAACTGTGAGAAAATTTACAATTTGAAAAAGAAAACCCTAAATACAATTAGTCATTTTGCTGGGTACAAGAAAAAAAAAAGTGATATTTCTCTAACAACTCCTAACGAAACAGTGGCTATTATTTAATAAAGAAATTGCACACAGTAGTTCCCCCTTAACCTTCCTTGGTTTCACTTTCTGAGGTTTGAGTTACCTGCTGCTAACCACAGTCCAAAAATATTCAATGGAAAATCCCAGAAATAAACAATTCATAAGTTGCAAATTGCACACTCTACTGAGTAGCGTTATGAAACCGCTTGCTGTCTAAGAACATGAATCATTCATCTGCCCAGCGTATCCACACTGTCTACACTACCTGCCCGTAGCCACTTAGCAGCACTTTCAGGTATTATCGGATGGAAAAAGCATAGCATGTGTAGGATTCGGTACCACCCACACTTTCAGCCATTCACCGGGCATCTGAAGATAAGGGGGAGCTACTGTACATAAGAATCATAAATTTTAAAGCAGGTGTAACCTTTTAACTAGGTTTTTTTTTAAAATACTAGAACTTAACCACCTGATGAACAGATGCTTGTATTGTTTTTTAGAAAAAAAAAAAAGATCTTGAAAAAAAAGGAAGAAATTATATTATTTCTCCCTCTTGTGTTTCTGTGTTTCCTTGTTATATTTTTACTCTTATTTGATTAAGACACATGTTAATGGGTCTTGTTAACTTCTGGAGTCCTTTTCTCAGAGGTCATATAAAATTAAAATAACCATTACTTCATTCGATTATTGACCAAAGCACAGATGTGGTGCTACGGGAACAGATGACTGTGTCTTTTGTCATGCCACTATACCACAGACTTGGATTGTTATACCAGGAATAGCGTGATCTCAAGCCAATCTGGATCCCATTTTGCTATCAAACCGTCGTAAATAATATTTAACATTCAAAAGTTGTCTTTTGAACTACGAGGAAGAGGTCTGACTCGTGTATGGCTGGAGACGTTTTAGTCTCATCCAAGTCCAAGACTGTCCTAAAATGGAGGGCAGAAACCTTGAAGAGAGGGACTCCCCTGCTCTCTATTCTAGCTCCTTTGTGAGGAAAATTGCCTTATTTGAATGGTTGGAACAGTTCACAGCTTTTGCTTCCTTGCCCTTAAATGTTCAATTTGTGGATGATTACCTTCCTGCTTTATGAGTCTAATTTGTCTTCCTTTCATTTATAAAATGGCAGGTTAAGAGTAAAATATAAAATAATGGCATTTAGTGGGTGATTGATTTTTCTACTGGCAATGTCATAAATATGGGCCAAGTGTTTCCCTTCCAGAAATGGAATGAGCAGTAAATTCAGTGAGATTCTGAAGCATAAATTCAGAGCTCTTTGTGAGGCATAAACAATATACAAGCAGACCCATGCCTGGAATGTGTGGCTTATGCTAAATTGTTCATGTAGAATGGCCCCAACATGAATGTGGCATTTATAGGTTTGAGCCATTGATGACTGTGGCAAGCTTGCTTTGTTTGTGGCACAAAACAATCCATTATCGAACATTCCCATATCTATACCCCAAAGGCCCTTGTGCCAGGTGACTGGAAAACGTTTCTGTATTCATTGTTCACATTGCACCTCATTTGAAAAATGGGAAGAAGAATGGTAAATAGTTCATCCCTGGGGATGATAGGAAAGCAGAGCTCCTATCAGATTAATCACATGGGGATATGGACGTGCAATTCAGTTTCGAACTCCCCAAGAAAAGAAATTTGAATCCATCCCTTTTTGCATATAAATTTTCATATATTCCTATTTCAAATATAAATTTACTAAAATATTTAAATATTCAAATATCAATTATTTATTTTAATTAATATTATGAGTATGCTATTAAGAATTAATTTTAGATGATAATTAAATTATTTCCTTGCAATAATATGGAACTTGCTTTCCGCGTGCTAGATGTTTACCTTCAACAATATGCCAGAGTTTACAACTGGGCTGATGGAGATTGGGCACTGGGGCTATATTACTACAGATCTGCTTAGACTCTCTCTTATTCTCTTCTAATCACAGTCAAATTGGTTTTCTGTTTCAATACAGCAAACCACTTTCCAAGGTATTCACAGGCTCTGCCTCTCTGGCTACAGTCTCTTTTGCTTGAGTTTCATTGAGCTTATCTGAAGTGAGCTAGTCTCAATGGAGACAACAGGGAAACATAGGATATTAGAATTCTACGTCCCTTGCTCCGTTCCCATATTTTCCCTGACATTTTCCCAAATGTCAAGAGGTCCTTCTGTTGAGATCCTTCTTATTTTTTCTCATTTTCTTTTACTGTCATGAGAGCACTTATGTTGCGTATATAACAATGCACCCATTTCCCACATAAAAGGATTTACATGGCAAACACAGGTTTCAAACCAGGAGTAAAGAACAAAAGATGGAATACAACTTTCCCAAATGTATCCCAACCACAAGCCTCAACATTTAGAGAAGAGGGTGCCTGGCCTATTGATTACAGCAACTGATAAATCCACATCCCAAAACTTATTTATTCATTCAGTAACTGGACATTTACCAAGTGCCCAACCAGCAGTCAGACTTGTGAATGACATAAAATTGTCCCTTTTGGGAAGTTCACAGTCTGGGATGCTTCTAATCAATACTATGCAGCCTATAATACTTTAACAGCAGGATATTTAATGTTGTGTTTCATAAAAATATCATTAAATATAACATAAACCTGTATGCATGCATCCCCTAAAATTCTTCTTTTCTCCCAGTATGAAGACCTTTCTAGAAAGTCATTTTAAATTAATGAAAAGCCCCAGGCTTAGGTCCTGATATTATCTGTGCGTCCAAATAGTTCAATGTGTCCAGTGGTCTAAGAACAGAAGGACCATAGACAAATTGTGAATGCCTTCCCCCGATCACATCTCTAATGAAACACTGAGAGTAGAAATTAGAATTTTAAAAAATAACGCAGGTTGGGTGCGGTGGCTCACACCTGTAATCCCAGCACTTTGGGAGGCCAAGGCGGGCGGATCACCTGAGGTCAGGAGTTCGAGACCAGTCAGACCAATATGGTGAAGCCCTGTCTCTACTAAAACTACAAAAATTAGCTGGGCGTGGTGGTAGGAGCCTATAGTCCCAGCTACTCAGGAGGCTGAGACAGGAGAATTGCTTGAACCTGGGAGGCAGAGGTTGCAGTGAGCCAAGATCGCGCTACTGCACTCCAGCCTGGGCAAGAGAGAGAGACTCCATCTCAAATAAATAAGTAAATAAATAACACAAAGAATGTGCTCATCATAAGTTTAAGAAACTTTCCATTACAAAAACATGTTTTCTTTTCATCTTGATCGTACTACTTCACTAAACCTTTAATAAAATCAATAATGAGTCATTTATTTTCTTTTTGAAAAAAAAATATACATCTTGCATTGTGTCATTCTTAAAATTCAAAAGAGAAAACCTGAGACTTTTTAACCCCACAGCATTTCTTCATAGAATGCATGACTGGGGAAACAAGTTTTATGGCAACTCTTAACAATCATCGGCCCTGGGAAACACATATTCCTGCTTAATTTTGACCTCTTCTCTATTAGGAAAAGTTGAACTTCAAACCCAGATTGTAACTGGTGACTATGTGGACTTAATATCCCCAATTAGAGGAAAGAGTATCTTTCATGGTGTTGTCCAACGAAACTAAAACTGATCTTGCTTGATCTGTCAGAGTCCTTGCTGCAGGTACACCCTCAAATGGGGTTATAATTACATAAGAAGTTGAATTGTCATTTGACCTTTGTTGCTGGGTTTTGCAGACCATTTGCAAAACCCACATTTTATGCAGTCACCCTCAGAATCTGTGCTTAACAACTGGTCTAAAATATACAGCTCCTTACAAATCTAATCAGCCACCCATTAGCATCTGTTTGAGTTTACCCTTACGTTGTAAGAAGCTCAAAGCCATAATCTTTCTCTTCTTAGGATCTGTTTCGTTTTAACCTTAGTCCCTCCACTGGGCAATCGTGAGAGTCAACTATGTAAGCCCCAAACCACTGTTGTATGTATGATATTTTAAAATCAGTGGCAAAACATTTTTTTAATTCATGTTTTTTCTATGTCCTCACCTCACGAGTTAACTGCATGTAGCCTCCCGTTTGCAATCTCTGTCAAGAAAAATGCCATTTACAGCTTTCTTCTTCCTTTAGAGATTATTGTACGTTTTAACGTATACATTAAGTTCGACATGGATTCTGTTTGGGTGCTAAGAACAGACATGTGTATCTAAAGATTTACCCTTAAATGTCCTTGATGTTTTTCAAACCATGCCTTTGATGGGCATCGCCTTGCCCTGCGGCCAATGTCTAGACGAAAGAAAGAGCCACAGCCCTTGTACTGAGTTGCACTTTCCCATCCACGCCAAAGCAAGAAAAAAGCCCAGCCCATGACCGTGAAACTCGGGGTTACGAAGAGGCTTTTCCCAAAGGGGTCTCAAGTCCAATTAATAGCTGTCATTTGATTACGTGACCTGGAACGTCTCCAACCCGCACCCTAAACAGGGCAAGGGCGTCACGTTTTTAAATTCACGCTCAGATGTTTGTCCTTATGCCTTCCAACCTTGCCCCTAGCTCTCCTAAATGAGTTCTTTTGAAAAGCAACTTAAAAATAGACACCTAAAGGAGAACGTGGGACTGACTGTCATTATTCCAGGAACTCTTTTTTCAAAAGCTCTATGAAGTGGCTGAACAAAGGTAGTCATTTTTCTTGTGCCTGGGTGAGTACGATGAGGGAGAAAGAATGCACCTTGTAAACTGAGGCTGTGATGGTTAAGATTTCTGATCCAGCTGATAGACTTAAGCCTGCATTCTGATCCCTGCTACATTCTCTTCCAATTCATCTCATAGATTGCTCCAGGCACATCTGACATATTTTAATACCAAAATGTAAATCAGACACCCCCACAAACCACCTCCTCTCTCTCACATTACCCTAAATTTGGACTTTACTTTCCTCGCTGTACTTTACTTTCCTGAGCTGTTCTTTTCTATCACATGTCATTTCCCCTAAAAAGTGTTGTTACAGGAAATAAAGAAGACGTCTTGTTGTAAAGCTGCCCAGTTTAAAGCCAGTTCGAGGCTCCCTTTGCCACTCCACCTTTCCCTTAAAGGCGGGGAGGCCTGGAAGTGCAGAGCAGGCCCCGGGGAGTATATGACACTTTGGGGTCCTCTCCAGCCAGCAGGCTTGCCCACTGGCCTGGGTAAGCAGCTAATGAGCTCCGGAGCCTCTGCAGCAGGCACTCAGCCCTGGCACTGCAGCAGGCACTATTGGCCCACCAGACCCCAATCAATCCTAAGGTCAAGGAAAGTCTGGCAAAATCCATTGCTCTGGCTTTCTTTGGTAATTAGTCACACATGCAAGTAAATGATGATCTGAAAGCCATTTCTGCCTGAGAGTTATTAAAACTAGGAGCCACATTTAATTCATCCAACCAAAGAAACCCCTTGAGGGGTGCCATGAAGGGGGAATCGAGTTCTCTACCCAGAAAGGAGCTTCTGTTGCACTTTACTAAAGATTTTAAGCAGATTTGAGGTTTAGTCAAAGGACAAATTCCTGCTCTCCAAGGAGCACATGCCCAGGAACTTGGAGATCAGCCAGGAGCGGTGGCCATGCTGATGGTCAGAGGGAGGAGGCCTCATGTGATGTGAGGGGGAGAAGAGGGCAGGAGGGAGGATGAGGAGCAGAGAGCTGGGAGGGGTTTTGTGAGCAGCAAGGGGAGGCAGAAAAGTGGGATGTGCCCCTTGTGTGCTTTTATCCACATTAAAGGAACTAAGGCAAGAGCTCCTGCAAGAACCTGCAAATGTGTCTGATAAGCGCCATGGCGGGGCGGTGACTACAGAGCTGCCCTGATTACCCGTTCAGCAGGAACCAGGCTGTGACCCTAATCACAGGTGAGCTCTGGAACACGCGCTTTCTCCCTGGAGACCCGCACAGTTGAGTGAGCCCAGCAGAGCTGAGCATCCTGGAGAGCTCATGAGCACCTTGCTGGCCAGAAGCCTCAGCAAGTGACGGCATGACTGAGCCAGAATCCCAGGGTAGCTGACTTGACCCGAGAGGCCACCCCTCAGTGCTGTGCTGCTTTCTAAGTCCTTCTTCTATAGGAAACTCTTATTGGATAAGTTGTATATAAAGAAAAACCACTCCACGCAGCCATCCCTTCTTGTTGCAAGCAAGGTGAGCTGATGTGGACACAGAAGCTTCTGAAATATCTGTAGAGTCCAGCAGAAAGCCCCTCCTCCTAGCATGTGGGAAATGGAGGTCTCATCCTCATCATTCCATCTCTATTTCAGAGCCCCAGCTCCTTTCTTTCTTTCTCTTCACCTCCCCTCTCCTCCTCCAACCTCTGCCATCCCCTCTGTTCAGCAAATTCCATACACATTTAGACATCAAGATTCACCCGGCAGTCAACCACCCAGCATTGCAGCCCAAGTCTTGGCTCTACTGTTCTTTAGCTGGTGACCTCAAACCACTTAGTTCCCATCTCTGTGCCTCAGTGTCCTCATCTGTCAATTGGGAATAATAATGGTGCCCACTGCACGGAGTTGTTGAGAGGTTCAAAGAAGGTGACAGATGCAGAGACAGCCTGACACTGTCGGCACACAGACCATTAGGCAAGTGTTAGCTGCTGTTACAGGTACCATTGATTGTGGTGGTGGGAGAATTCCCATCTTCCACCCCACAGTTGGTCTCTCCCTGCCTCAAACCCCTGGCTTTGTCCTAAACCCCATTTCTAAGTTTTATAGTGCTTTGCTCTTCTTCTTGTCATGTTTACATCAAAAATCACCCATCAGAGAGATAAAAGCAGGGAGGAGGCATTTTATTTCTGAAGTTGTTAATTTTATCCTAGACTTCCAAGAAAAGAATCATCCATCTGTCAAAAAGAGACAGAGAAGATAAAAGATCTTTAAAAGTAATTATTTAAGTGCCAACCAAGAGGAAATGAAGATGCATTTGGCTCGGTTATTGAGTTGAATTAGAGAATGGTGTTGTACCACCGCTAATCTGCTTCATAGATGAGAAAAAAGGAGAAGATGATTTTAGAAAAACAAACGTGCTGTCAGTTGGCCCCAGTAAAACACATTCTGTATAAACAAGTTTAGAGAAGTGACTTTGGATTTGCAAAATTGTAGCTCTTCTTCTGCCGGGGCCGCCTCCGGTCTTAGAGCCACAGATCTATACACACGGATGTTTCCCAGTTCCTACTACTTTTTGCATTTCTTTCCCTGGTGCTCTGATTAACTGCAGAGGTAGTTTGTACAACTGAGCCATGAAATGCCACCCAACGGCCAGCCCTTTCCCCACCTTGTCCCCTTCCCTTCCATGGCTTGCATTCACCAGATGACCACCTGCCCACTCACATTCTGAAAGGTATCACCGCGGGAATCATGCAAAGACACGCATCTTCGTAAGAGAATAAAACATTTGGCTTTCTCTTCTGAGCTCTAAAACCCAAAGCACTTTTCAAAGTCACCATTCAATCAGAAAGCAAACCTTTCTCCTCCTCAGGCTAATTGTAGAAGTTGCAAACTTAACCAATTTCTGCACTTACCATTCAAACCAAGAGATTAATCCTGTCAGTTCTCCAAGCAAATAATTACAGGATTAATTTGTTCCTCAGCACTGCTAAGTCCCTCACATTTCCTGAGACTAATCCTTCAGCCGAGGTCCCTTCTCACTCCTAAGTTTCCCTCTCCAGGTCGAAGCATCACTCACCTCACTCATGTTGGCTCTAACTCAACAGCTCAGTCCCGCCGCTCAGCACAGAGAACACTGCTCAGGGGTCGCTGCTCCACCGGTTCTGGCTTTTCTCTTAAAAAGAGCTGCCCGGTGGCATCATGCCTCCCTGGAGCCAATGAGATGCATTCACCTGTCTGCAAGCCTGGCCGACATCTGAGAGCACCAGGGGCCACCTAGTGGTGCAAAAGAGAACGGCACGTTAGGTCGCTGCTCCAAATTCCGCCAGGATGGAAGGAAATGCTCGATTTCTTTAAAAAGTAATACACTCCAGCCTGGGCAGCAGAACGAGACCCTGTCTCTTTTAAAAAAAAAAAAAAAGTAAAAAGTAAAAGCTAAAGTTTCAAAGATCATCACAGGGATGCCATTGTGCGTTTTTCAATGAGTGCAAGATTTACATGCATGTAAAATACCTTTCAAATGTCAATGGGAAGGATTGTTTTTCTAAGGGAAGAGGAGCTCTGAAAATACCTGCGTGCCCGCTCACGCACTTTCAGGTTTTCCCAGGAGCTGTGTTTCCCTTGCCCTTTATAACACAAAACTCAGCCCAAGGACTTTAATATCTCTGCTGTCTCTCCCCTATCCCATAT
This sequence comes from Homo sapiens, assembly GCF_000001405.40. Classification (NCBI taxonomy): domain Eukaryota; kingdom Metazoa; phylum Chordata; class Mammalia; order Primates; family Hominidae; genus Homo; species Homo sapiens. Next base: position 39,866,899 of record NC_000021.9, on the reverse strand, counting down.
CTGTCGCCCTGCTTGTACCCTGAGCTGGAAGGATAAGAGTAGATGGACTGGGACATGGGAATGGGTCCCCACGACCTCAACAAAGGAGGCGAGCGGCTCCAGCAGCCTTGCTGATGTGCCCTCCTCACAACCACAGTGGGGCCAGGAAGGAGCCTGGGCATTGGCCCTGGCCTGGTTGAAGGTCTCCTTGCCTTAGTCCTGTTCAGCTTTTCCGGGAAGAGGTTCCATCCTTTGTTCAGTCCCAACATCGTGAGGCTCTGAAGAGTCTTCAAGGCATCAGAGTGGGCCCTCAACTGTCCCAAAAAAGCGTTGTGCAGACTGAAGGCACATTCACATCTGTTACTCTGCCAGTCCCGGTACAGGACTGAGAGGGTCTGGCGAGAAGATTGAAGCGTCTTGCCACCCGTCCCCAGCACCCCTCATCTCCCTGTGCAGAGCAGGCCACCAGACTCCAGCCCATCAACCCTCTCTCCTCAGCTCAGCAGCCCCACGCCCTCTGACCTGGACTGCCCTCCTTACATGCCCAGGTCACCGATGCGACCACATCCTCAGGTCCACCTTGGACAGCAAGCAGAAGGCCATGCGCCCCCAAATGGGCACCGGCGAGCACAGGCTGCCCTCAGAGGCCTTGGCCAGGAGCACCAGCTGGTCAGCACCCTCGCCCACAGCGTGGGAACACCAGCCAGCAAGACAGAGTCTCATACATGAGTTATTATAAAATAACCTATATTTCACAGAGCGACAGAAATGAACATTATATATATTATATAAAATATGTGTGTTATATTCGTTTCTTTTATATGTATATAAATTATTTATTTACATATCCTGACCACACAAATCATTTGCAAACTAATGAAGACAGCATCCTCCTTCTCTCACTCCCCTCCTCCTCCTTGCCCCCAATGCCACGCTTGGGAAGGCCCACGTGGGATGCCTTTAGGGTTGCCCAGGTGGTTAGTAGTGGGAGAGAAGGAGGAGGAGGGCAGGGTGAGGAACTGGAGCCATAGTGTCATCTGCGATGTAGGACAGATTGACAGATTGGAAGAAGGGTGCTTGCTTATCTATACTAGGAGACACCTGTGATTTCTCAGGGGCAAAAACCACACCCTCCCCAGGGGCCTCCTGCCCTGTTGGGGGCTGGACCCCCACAGCCTGGAGGTGTAGAAGGGGTCTCCCAGTGTGAGCCTCCATGGGGTCCCTGCTGTGGTCCTCCAGGCTGTGCAGAGGGCATGTGGAGAATCAGCCTGTGCTCTGCTGGCTGGCTCTGGAGCAGACCTGCATTTTCTAACAACACAAAGACACATCAAGGGCTGCAGCAGCCTGAGGTTGGCAGCACAGCAATTAGTGCTGAGGCTCCAAGTAGAGGGGCAGGATTGGAGGTGCAGGGCTGGGCTGAGGCTTTGCTGGGTAGACTCAGCAATTCTTTGGGACCAACCAAGGGACTATGAAGACTATTGGGGAGAATGGGTTATGGTCTGAGCTGATTGCCTTCCTCCAGAATTCATACATTCAAGTCCTAACCCTCAATATCTCAAAATGTGACCTTATTTGGAGAAAAGGTCTTTAAAGAGGTGATTAAGTTAAAACAAGGTCACTAGGGTGGGCCCGAATCCAATAGACTGGTGTCCTTATAAGAAGAATAGATTAGGGCACAGGCACTCGCAGAGGGACAACGCTGTGAGGATACAGGGAGAAGATGGCATCTACAAGCAAAGGAGAGAGGTCTCAGAGGAACCAACCGTGCTGCCCCTTGACCTCACACTTTCAGCCTCCAGAACTGCCAGGGGATACATTTTGGTTGCTTAAGCCACGCAGTCTTGGTACTTGATTCTGGTAGCCACAGGAAACGAACACAGATGCCATCACAAGCACACAGAGAAATTTCAGGGAAAGGATAGAATTACCTTAAGGGGGATTTTTCTCAAGGCCTTGTGGTATGCAATTTCATCCTACTTATTTCCCCAGGATATCTTTAGCAAAATAACTATCTCCTGTTAATGAGTCGTGGAGTTGTCCTGTTATAGAGAACACAAAATGAACGTTCAGTATTGCTACAAAGGGAGGGTCAAGCTGCCCTGGGAAATCGGTGCTCGCCAGTGACACAAGACAGGTCTGAGTGTGCAACCCACCAGGTCTCAAATGCAAGCATGCTAGCTGTCAAGAGGCACCCCAGCCTGAACACACATTGCATCCTCTCCCACAGATGGGCCCTGGGACGACATCTCCTCCCATTCATCCTCGTGGGACAGTACTACCCCAATAAGACCAGTTACCAGATCAAGAACGCCAAAGACTACCTGGACCTCTTCATAGCATATCCAGGGACAAGGACAGTCAATGAGCAATCTTTCAACCTTTTCCTGTGGTTCCGATGAGCAGTCAGGTTTGAGACGTGCTGCTTGACACAGTGATACTCTCTCCCTTTCCACCTCCTTTTCAGGCCCGCTTGGCTGTGGTTTACTTTTACACATGTATGTCAATAGCTTCAACGTGCCCCATCATTCGACTTTTCTCAGGTTAGCCAAACACTCTTACGTGACCAATGGGGTTCTGAACCAGAAGCTTAGAACTTGGATCCTAGATGTGAGAAATCATTTTCTGTATGACCTTGGCGAAGTTGTTCCATTGCTCAGTGTCTGATTTTCTCCACTGGTAATATACAAGTATTCAAGCCTTGCATCTGCCAACCTAAGCAAAAATATCTACATGAAATATATTGAGCTGGGAAATAAATTTTGAAGGAACTTCAGAAGAATTAGATCTACAGCTTCGTATATTAGATCTTGGGGAAAACTTCAGCCTGGCTGAATTAAAATACAGACATGTGGTTCTATAATTTATGGAAATGTATATATATAATAAGGACAGATTATTTTCATCTTCTTAGAAGCATGATCCTGCCTGAAGGGGCAGAGTTGGCCCAAGCTGTCTTTGAGATTATTTATAGGGACACTATATATTAATGACCTAGGGCTTTTCATCAGACTTGCATACCAAATGCATCATTTGTGTATAGTTTCTGGAGGTGTGGGGGACTTTGAAAAAGAACCTACCTTCTGCTTCATTTCCTTGCCTTTGCAGACATAGCGCTGTTTTAATCCAGCACAGATGAAGAAGGTGGTCATCCTCCTTGGAACGGAGACTGCACAGCCTGGCCTTCATGGCGAGGCTCCCTTCTTCTACCTTCACTGCTTCCCAGCCCGATGCCAACTATACACTCTGGGTGTCTACATGGGGAGCCTCAGCATCCCTGGCCCGATGGGTGAACCCAGGGGCTCCTGTCTTTGACTCCTCACCTCCTTCCCTGCTGCCCTGAGCTTGAATCTTCCTGCAGACTCTAGCCTGCTGCCAACCACTGGATGTGATGTGGCCCCGAGCCGGGAGGCTATGCAGGTTCTATCCACAGATATGGACATGCAGCCTAATTCTTTAAACCCCTCCTGGAAGGATGTACTTGTTGTAAGGATGCATGAGTATGTGTGCTTGTTTACTCAAGCCTTGTCTCCCACCTTCTGGACTTTAAGCCTCTTGAGAGAGGGAGAGGCCAGGCCACATCACCCCGCTTATTTTTTCATTGCCATGCCTGGCATGATGCCCAGCACTGAGTCGGCACCTGAAACCACTTCTGAATAAATAAATACCCAGCGGTCACTAAGTGTGAATGTTGCTGTAGGAAAGAAAGCTCTTTTGTTCTGTGAAATTAAATTCTCTTTCCCATGCCAACAGGTAAGAATTTTCTCTTTTGAAAATGAGAAAAAAGGGTATTTTAAAATCGGCTGTCAAATTTTAGTCCAGTTTTCTAAAATGTTAAAAAATCTTCCCACAAAACACACCTGTTTTAAACCTAGATAATTGGGTTTTACTGCCTTTCTGAAGAAAAAATAATAATTAACAGAAATATTTGGCTATGGTCTTCCAGGATTTTAGCAACTAATATTGCACAAACATCATTATGCCTCTACATCATACCCCATATCTTCTCCACACTACTGGTCACTCTTAATTAGCCACTCTGTATAGTAGGTGTGTATGTTTTTTTATTTCTTGAAGTTATTGAGAACCTGGTATGCATAACTTGTATTTTCTTTCTCTCTCTCTCTCTCTTTCCTTTACCCTCTATGTCTCCCTCTAATCTGAAATAATTTGGGTTTTATGCATGCAACCTTCCATCCCATCTTCACACCTAGGTGAAGTGACTCTTCCAAAAGGCACCAGCCAACAGGAGAGAAAGGAAGAATATGGGAGACATACAGGGACAGGTAAAATCCATTCGTGATGCTCCTACGGATCTCTGTCTTGTCACACCTTCTAATTCCAAGTGCTACGAACATAACTGAAGCCGCTCCTATTCTTAAGGCTTAAATTATTCCCTATGTATGGATGGAAAGGTCATTTTATAACTCATAGTTCCTTTCAGCCCAATTAAATGCCCAAGCCTGTCCTGCCGATGAGGACTGGCTGCCTGGCCTGCAGAGCCTGCGTGTCACCTCTGCAGCCCCTCTCTTTGATGAAAAGGTCAGTGGGTGTTTGTCTTCGAAGTGCCACTGCAGCTCTGAAGGCCGCACTGTGGGCTGGCTGAAAGGACCTCTCGATTCTCAGCAGCCTGACAGCTTTCAGAATTGGGCTTGGTTGAGTCCTTAATTATTTTCCCTGTCTCCACTCTCCACACAGGTGAACTCCTCCAATTCACTTTTCAGTAATTGTTCCCAAAATTTCAGATCCATGATTCTTTCTGCAGAACCAGCCTGCTCGTCTACAGCTACAGACCAGATCGTGTCCCTGCAAAATTCATATGCTGAAGGCCCGCCCCCCAACACAGCTGCATGTGGAGATAGGGCCTCTAATGAGGTTTAAGGTTCAATGAGGTATATAAGTGTTGGACCCTAATCTATTATGACTGGTGTCCTTATAAGAAGAAGAGCTTGAGACACAGACATGCACAGGGGGACGGCCCTGTGGAGACACAGGGAGAAAAAGCCAAGGGGAGAGATCTCAGAAGGAGCCAGCCCTGGCACCTTGACCTTGGATTTCCAGCGTCCAGAACTGTTAGAATGTAATTTTCTGTTGCTGACCCTCCCGACTGTGGTATTCTTTTAAGGCATCCTGAGGTGACTAAGACCTCTGACCAAGAGCTAAAGTTGGTTTCTGTGCTGGACTCCATAGTGGACCACCCCAATCCCCCACCCTCTGGGGACTGAAGTACTCATTGTCCCACCTGCTGAGAGTGTTGGTGATGGACCCAACTCTCAATTCTGAGCCCCTAAAGAGATTGCTGTCAGCCAAAGGGAGCTATGCAGGGGGCAGAACATATCCAAAAAAGGCCTGGCCCCCTGGTCCCAATTTGGAACAACTCTGCAGAATCTTCCATTCCATCTCCAAAGCTTGTTGTAGGATCCACGGAGGCATTGCTCTGCCTCAATCATGGCCTGAGTTCTGTCTCTGCCCCATCCTGCCCCATTCACTGCCACACAGTATCATTACAAGGCATGGCTCAGTATCACCCTGCATTCTCATCTCCACCTTAGAGGCAGCTTCCAGGAAACTGACCTGACAGTCACATCAGGAGCAGTGGGAGGAAAGCAGACCTTGGCACAGGGCTTGGATCTGGATCACCTGCCAGCCAGCTGAAAGTGTGGACCCTCAGTGCAGCGTGCAGGTGCAGCATGGAGCCCCACTGAAGTGCAGCAGTGTGCAGGTGTTAGGGCGCTCACCCTGGGGAAGTGGGGTGCTATACCTGTGGAAAGCATGCACGATGTGGGAACCATGACGTGGCTGAGTCAGATAGCCAAGAAATATGGGGGAAAGGGTAGTTATAAAGACAATGAAATCATTTAGCTGCTGCTGCGGAAATCAAGGCTATAGACAGAAATAAAGCAAGGCTGGGGGTGATTCATTAGGAACTCAAGGCTAAGTATGAAACCCAGGCCCATTTTGGAAGCTCTGGCTTATTTTATAAAAGTAAAGAAGACTCTTATTTCCTGTGGGCTGCAGGCAGAGGAACCTGAAGAAAGGCCCAAGCCTTATCATGAGCCTAGCAGAACACCACACAAATCTAAATCCTCAGTGTCAGCAGGTGTGCTGGGCCAAGGTCAGGGCCTGATTGAAACAGAAATGGATGCTGAGTCATGGGTGGGTGTGCTTGAAGATCTCAAATTCCCAGATCCCTCTGATGCCTCTGGGCTTGCAAGATTGGCCTTCTCCCTGTCGAAGGCTAGTGCCCCTGGTGCTTGAAGATGATGCAGAGTCTCTGTCTGGTAGGATAATACACACCTATCCCAAGAGAATTCTCACCTTCCCTCATGCCCAACAAACTCATGACTAAGCTAGAATCACCCATAAGCTTGTGGGGAAGAGTTCTAAGCCTGATAGTGGAGGAAAGGGCTCTCCCCAAAGGACCTTCAGGACTTGGCCAACATGTACAAAGAATGTGTAGAAGACTGGAATTAAGCATCAGATCAAGGCAGGAAGGCACTAGCAGGAGCAGGAGCAGGAGCAGAAAATGAAGTTGGGCAAGAGAAAGTTCATTGATACAGGAAAACTATCTGATGATACAGGACTTAACACTTTAGGAAAGACCTCAGGAGAAGATACCTAAAAGCTGCTAGGGTGGCTTTTGGAACATTGAAGAAGATGGTGCCCATATTGACTGAGGCCAAAATGCCAGACCCGCCATGGCAACAAGTGGATGTGGGAACCAAGGGCCTAGAGTTGAGAGCATGCCACAGTGGATACACCATGAAAGTCTGGAAAAGTGCGATGAGGGCATTGCCTTTACCAAAGCAACAAGGGACGTGCTAATAGAGGGACCTCAAAAGTAATGAGTAACACAGTGGTGTCCATCATCTGCAGGACAGGACTGGGCATAGGGGAAGCCACTACAGAACCAGGCTCCCTGATAGCAACAGGCATGGCAGGATCTAGAAATAATAGAGGCTGGGTGGCAACAATCACCCATCAAAAGCAAGGTGGGTGCAATAATCATAAAAGGGCAGGCAGCAGGCTGGCCTTACACCAAGCTATGGTAATAGATGTTAATAGAACACAGCACCCATACCAACAAGACAGAGGGCAGCCAACAAGTAAAGCCCTCAATCTACCCTTGTGGTTCCCAAAGGAGGAGCAGGGCATTTCCTCTTCTCTCCCTAGGGAGGCACTGGCAATGTCTGGAGACATTTTTGTTGTCACAGCTGAGGGAAAATATTTTCAGTTATTACCATCTGAACTAAGAGGACGTAAATGATATCCAGCGTGTAGAGAGCTGGGATGCTGCTAAATATCCTGCTGATATGCTTTGGCTATGCCCCCACCCAAATCTTATCTTGAATTGTAGTTCCCATAATTCCCACATGTCATGGGAGGGACCCAGTGGGAGGTAGTTGAATCTTGGGAGTAGTTACCCCTATGCTGTTCTCAGGATAGTGAATGAGTTCTCATGAGATCTGATGGTTTTATAAGGGGCTTTTCCCCCTTTGCTTGGCACTCATTCTCTCTCCTGCTGCCCTGTGAAGAGGTGCCTTCACCATGATTGTAAGTTTCCTGAGGACTCCCCAGCCATGCAGAACTACAAATCAATTAAACCTCTTTTCTTTTAAAATACCCAGTCTTGGATATATTTCTTCATAGCAGTGTGAAAACGGACTAATACAGTAAATTGGTACCAGGAGTGGAGTGCTGCTATAAGGATACCTGAAAACGTGGAAGCAACTTTGGAACTGGGTAACAGGCAGAGTTTGAAAGAGTTTGAAGGGCTCAGAAGAAGATAGGAAAATGTGGGAACATTTGGAACTTCCTAGAGACTTGTTGAATGGCTTTGACCAAAATGCTGGTAGCGATATGGACAATGAAGTCCAGGCTGAGGGTCTCAGATGGAGATGAGGAACTTGTTGGGAACTGGAGTTAAGGTAACTCTTGTCATGCTTTAGCAAAGAGACTGGCAGCATTTTACCCCTACCCTAGAGATCTGTGGAACTTCGAACTTGAGAGATGATTTAGGGTATTTGGCAGAAAAAAATTCTAAGCGGCAAAGCATTCAAGAAGAAACAAAGCAAAAAAGTTTGGAAAATTTGCAGACTGGTGATGTAATAGAAAAGAAAAACCCAGTTTCTGGAGAGAAATTCAAGCTGGCTGCAGAAATTTGCATAAATAATTAGAAGCCAAATGTTAATTGCCAAGACAATGGGGAAAATGTCTCCAGGGCATATCAGAGACCCTCACAGCAGCCCCTCCCATCACAGACCCAGAGGCCTAGGAGGGAAAAATGGTTTCTTGAGCTGGGTCCAGGGCCGCCCCCTGCTGTGTGCAGCCTCGAGACTTGGTGTCTTGTATACCGGTTGCTCCAGCCATGTCTAAAAGGGGCCAAGGTAGAGCTCGAGTCATTGCTTCAGAGGCACAAGCCCCCAGCCTTGGCAGCTTCCACTTGGTGTCTGTCATGCAGGTACACAGAAGACAAGAACTGAGGTTTGGGAACCTCCACCTAGATTTCAGAGGATGTATGGAAACACCTGGATGTCCAGACAGAAATCTGCTGCAGGGGCAGAGTCCTCATGGAGAATCTCTGCTATGGCAGTGTGGAAAGGCAATGTGGGGCCAGAGCCCACACACAGAGTCCTCACAGGGCACTGCCTGGTGGAGCTGTGAGAAGAGAGCCACTGTCCTCCAGACCCCAGAATAGTAGATCCACCAGCAGCTTGCACTGTGCACTTGGAAAAGCTGCAGACACTCAACCCCAGTCTGTGAAAGCAACTGGGAGGAAGTTCTGTACCCCACAAAGCCACAGGAGTGGAGCTGCCCAAGGCTGTGGGAGTCCACCTCCTGCAACGAGGTGACCTGGATGTGACACATGGAGTCAAAGGAGATTATTTTGGAACTTTAAACTTTAATGACTGCTCTATTGGATTTCAGACTTGCATGGGACCTGTAGCCCCTTTGTTTTAGCCAATTTCTCCAATTTGGAACAGGTATATTTACCCAGTGCCTGTGCCTCCATTGTATCTAGGAAGTAACTAACTTGCTTTTGATTTTACAGGCTCATAAGCAGAAGGTACTTGCCTTGTCTCAGATGAGACTTTGGACTTGGTCTTTTGGGTTAATGCTGGAATGAGTTAAGACTCTGGGGAACTGTTGGAAAGGCATCATTGTGTTTTGAAATGTAAGGACATAAGACTTGGGAGGGACCAGGGGAGGCATGGTATAGTTTGGCTGTTTCCCCACCCAAATCTTATTTTGAATTGTAGTTCCCCTAATTCCCACATGTCATGGGAAGGACCTGGTGGGAGGTAGTTGAATCTTGGGGGCAGTTACCCCCATGCTGTTCTTGTGATAGTGAGTGAGTGCTCATGAGATCTGATGGTTTTATAAGGGGCTTTTCCCTCTTTGCTTGGCACTCATTCTCTCTCCTGCCACCCTGTGAAGAGGTGCCTTCTGCCATGATTGTAAGTTTCCTGAGGCCTCCCAACTCATCCAGAACTGTGAGTCAATTAAGCCTCTTTTCTTTATAAAATATCAGTCTCGAGTATTTCTTTATAGCAGCATGAGAATGGACTACTACACCTACAGTATTCAGGACTGCCCCTGACAGCAAAGAATGATCTGGCTCAAAATGTTAATGGTGCCAAGATTGAGAAAACCTGAGCTATACAAACACACCTATACAAAGATCTATAAATCTATACAAGAAACCAAAGATGGACAATCAAGGGGCTGAGAGCCAACATCTCAATAAGAAGTCAAGATTCCTTGCTCTATTTTTAGATCTGAACCAGTTTTCAGATCCAGAAGCAATTGACAGAAAGCCAAGTCCCCAGGAGAAAGGATCTACCAACATCAAGCCTACTGTATGCAGTAGTAATTTTCCTAGTTCTTCCTCAAAAGGACCCATAGACATCTCCTTGAGTAACAATGCACCAGGGAAGGAGAACACTCAAACATCTTGAAGATTTTTAACTGTAGAATCCAAGTGGAAAGGGGGATCCAAAGCGTTGGCCTTCCTGTTAGAGAAGGGGCATCCAGGGGTCGAGTATAGATGGGATCCTGGCACAGGTACAAAGTGGATGGACTGGAAATAGATGTATTGGACAGTTGACAGAACATCCATATTAGACTCATGGCTTGTGGCATAAGAGTGTTCTTAGTTGGGAAGGCTAAGTAGAAGCTCTGAACTGTCCTTGCTCCAGCCAAAATAATAAATAAAAAGTAATATCACATCCCAATGAAATGGCAGAGATTAAGGTCACTCTTACATACCCACAAGAAGCTGGGGTGGTGATGAACCCCATCTTCATTTAATTCACCAGTGTGGGCTCTACAGAAACCAGACAGCCTGAAGGATGTCAGTGGAGTGCTTCAAACTCAGTCGAGTGGCAGCCCCAACTGCATCTGCTGCATCTTTGCTAGAGGAGAGCAACATGGCTCCAGGTACATGGTATGTGGTCAGTGACCTGGAAAATACCTCCCTTCCTTTCACAGCCAGGAAGGAGGATCAGAAGGTCTGAGCCCCTGACATGGCACCAGCTTTCAAGGAGACCAGCTTTTGGTTTCAAATTGAGGTCATTAAAGTCCTTCTACCCCAGAAGAGGCAATAATCCACCTTGACTGGAATTGACACATATTCTAGTGTGCGTTTCCTTTCCAATCCACAAGCCTCTATCGATCCAAATGCAGCAGCACCACCTGAGGCTCCGTGTGTGACCCACTGATACAGGACACTGAGTAGCATCACCTGGAACACGGGCCCACTCTATGTCAACAGAGGTATGACAGAGGCATACTAGAGTGGGTATACCATGTAAATCTGGAAAAGGCAATGAGGTCATCACCTCCACCAGGGGACACCAGGGAGACTAATTTTGCAAGACTCAATAGCAAAAAGAAGGGAGCTGCAGAGAGAGAGCTGCAGAGGTCTTCAGAGCATTTCCTTGAGTCTTTGAATACCGATCTGTGCGAGAAAATTCCCTGAAGCCAAAATGAAGGAAACCATCCAAGCTCAAGAAAAAGCTCCATGAATAATTCCCAGAGCTCCCATGGAATTGGAATCACTCATCTTCCCACCAGCCAAAAAGAAGCAACCTCAAAACACTCAGGCATGGGGTAGAGGCTCCACCCGTCTTCTTATTAGAATTAACGTAGTCTTTGACTCACCATGACAAAGCCTCAGATCAAACCTCAGCAGAATCAGACTTGTCCAAAGGTTACTTAGTTGCATGCAAGAAAAGTAAGTAATCCAACACTCTTTAAGGGAATATGATAAAATTTAGTACCCCAAAATATGAAATTCACATCTGGCATCCAAAATTACTAGGCATGCAAAAAAAAAAAAAGGTAAAAACCACAATCCATTTATTTCATAGAAACTAAAGGCAAAGAAGATGTAATTACTAGACCCTCCCTCCTATGCCTCTGCTCTATGATCCTGGACATAGAGCAGATGCACTCCAGCCTGGGTGACAGAATGAGACCCTGTCTCTGGGGGAAAAAAAAAAAAGTTTCATCATGGTTTTCCCCCACCACCTTGGATATATCAATATGGTAGAAACCATTTGTCTTCCATACTCAAAAATGGTCATTTTCCTGTATTAAGAATTATGTCAGACAATCAAACAAGACAAAAGTGTGTACGTGTGTGCCTATGTTTGTGTGTTATGGGTGGAAGCTAGAGAAAGGGGTAGATGTAAAGTAAACCCACCACAGTACACTCCCAGTGGCTACTGGGTGAAATTGTACAGCATTCAAATGGGTCACAAAAGAAGAACTATTAATAGTTACTCCTATGTAGACTTAATGCTTTCGTCAATAAAATACTGTGAAACTATGCCAACATCTTTCCAAATGAAAGCAAAAACGATATCCAGAATTGATGTCCTGCAAAAGATTCATATCATTTCAGTTATTTCAAGACCGTAAAACATTAGCATAAAAGGTGATAAGTTCATTCCTGTTAATATGAATCCTTGCTTTAAATAATTTCAAATATTAAATCATACTGAAGAACTTATTACCAATATAATAACATTAAAAAACTCCTCAGTCTATTAAATTCAGTCAACCAAAAGTCTTCAGAAAAATGTAATTCCCTAATTAAGCTGCAGCGAGGTGGGGACCTACAAGTCCTACTGTGTGGCAAGGTTTCCACCAGGGCGGCGCCAGGGTTACCAGCCACATGCATGAGCTGTTTCAACCAAGGCACAGCTGTGGAGAACGAAGCTGAAAAATGCATAAATGCCAGCATATATTTGGATCCCAAAAGGCAAAAGCATTTTCATCGTAAAGAGAAATTGGCCAAAAAAAACCACTTTTATTTCTCTTCTAAAAAATAGCTTTTGCAACCACGTTCCTGTGAATTTCATCCAAAGATATTCGGGGTTACAACATTTAATTCAATGACCCTACTTTGGCCTGAATATTCCAAAAGCCAGAATGTCATCTATAGCATCATCCCTACCCAAGACATTCGGGTGTGGACAAGCTCACTGTCCACTCTGCATTAAACACATATCCTTTAACAGTAATTGTAATGCCTTTCATATTGTCCATAGGGACATATCATTCTTTGAGGTCCTGGCATCCCTGATCTCTAGGGTCACAGAAAAAATACCTGAAACTTCATAAAAAACTAGAACTACCATAGGAGTGGGGCAGAAACATTCAAGAATACCAGTCCAGAGGACCAGAGATGGATAAATAGCTGCAGGAAGGGACATTCACTTTGGGAGAAGGGAAGGGTTCTGTAGTGGAGAGGGAGGAGAGGCTGTGGAAGGTGAGTGCACTCTTTGTGTGGAAAATTTGCATTGAGAGAACCAGGGACAAGAAGAGACTGATGGGAGAGTGGGGTCAAGACATAGAAACAAGGCTGGGTGTAGTGGCGCATGCCCGTAAATCCAGCGCTTTGGGAGGCTAAGGCAGGAGGATCATTTGAGCTCAGGAGTTTGAGACCAACCTGGGCAACATAGTGAGACCTTATCTCTACTAAAAATTTAAAAAAATTAGCAGGGTGCGGTGGCGCACACCTGCAGTCTCAGCTACTCAGGAGGCTGAGGCGGGAGGAGCTCTTGAGCCCGGGAGGTCAAGGCTGCAGTGAGCCATGATCATGCCACTGCACTCCAGCCTGGGCTACGCAGAAAGACCCTGTCTCAACAAAAAAAAAAAAAAAAAGAAGAAGAAAAAAACAAAAGAAAAGAAAAAAAGACATAGAGGAGAAGAGTCAGGGGAGATTACCCAAAAGGTCTCCCCAAGAATCACTGAGTGCAGAAGAGGGAAAGAGGCCCAGAGACAAGTTACAGAAAAGATATTAGATTGTGAGTAAGCAAATCATGCATCAGATTAGAGGAGTTAGGAAGAGACAGCTAGGTCAGCACCTGCGAGGCAGGAGACCAGGTTGCACAGCGAGGGAGAGAAGTAAGGTAATCAGGGGCCTCAGTCTGAAGAAGAAGAGCTGCATCTTATGACGCCCTGGATCGTCCTACTAGGCATGGAGAATTCTTACGGGAGAAAGCTGGGCTGAACTAGTAAGTTAATGGCGGTGGGGAGGGGATCCACGGGCACTGGTACTGGCTGCCCAAGCCCTGGCCCGGGGACACCTGCCAGGGATGAGTCACCCATCTGTGGCTGGAGCCATCCTGTCTCTCTGGGGGATGGTTATCGTATTGTGCCAGGATAGCTCTGGGGTCACTCGCCCAGGAAGTCAGGAAACCCAGACTGTATATTCCCAAAACAGACAAAAGGGAATCTCTCTCTCTCTGGACCCAGAAGCATGGGAAACAAGGAGATAACAAAAGACTGGATCCCTAGTCCCTGACTTCAGGAACATAGTGAGATAAGGTCTCACTATGTTGTCAAGTCTGATCTCAAACTCCTGAGCTCCTGATCCCACGATGGCTAAGATCTGTTCACCGTATCCGCATGTGAAGGGGCTCTGATTTGAGGCTTCAGGTGGAGTGAGACTTCTTGCAGTGAGGAGGAACCAAAGAGGAACCAGGAACGTTGACGGCACCTGGATGAAGCGGGTGGTGTGAGTCTGTCCCTCTCAGGGACCCCAGAGCTGACTGTTAGCAGTGTAAGAGCCAGAAACTTGATGGAACTGCATTGTCTTCTCCATGAGCTTATGAAAGAGAAACAAAGCCCAACACTAGTTAAAGTGGTAAGGATAGACTTTATTCAGCAGTAACTATTGCAGTAGAGAAGGGGTCTAGCATTAACTAAGCTCAACTTTGCCAAAACAACCATAAGGAGACTTTTACAGACTGGAGTGTGCTGAGGGAAAGGCAGTGCCAGGTGCTAGGCTGGACTGGTTCATGTGACCAGGACACCTGGGTTGGTTAATAGGCACTTATCCAGAGGAGAGACAAACGTCTCATGTCTTTAGGACAGGAGGTGGTGGTGCAAATAAGAGCAAGGTGCCCACCAAAGTCAGGGCCTCGCCATCGCATGGGGACAGGAGTGGAGTTATCTCCCTGAATGTTTGCATTTCAGTGAGTCAGCTCACAGGTCCTTGAGAAGACAGTTCTAGGTGGTAGAAGATTTACATCTCAAATGGGCAGAGAAAAGATTTACAATTGCAAGCTTTCTAAAGGAACTGCTCTTAAATGGGGCTCAGGGCCTATCTGCCTGCCACCAGGTGTTGGCTGGAACAAATGGTAGATCCTTCTGTCAGCAATGAGCTTTCACAAGCAGGAATTTTAGGGGCTGGAGTCATTGTCATCCCAGGGACACAGCCTTGAGCTGTTTAAATAAACACAGCCATGCAAGTGTTTATTTAAGTCTCTTAATGTAGGAGGCAAATCATTTGTGCTGAGAGTCTGCAGTTTTCACAAGCCAAGCTGGAGGCCTAGTTAAGACGACGGCTCAGAGGTGCCTGAGAAGAGCTTAGTCAGGGAGAATCTTGGCCCAGCTGCACTGTCTACTCCATGATTGCACCATGCCTTTCATGATGGCACCATCTTCTCCATGAGCTGCACCATCATCTCCATGACTGCACTATGCCTTCCATGATGGCATTATCTTCTCCATGAGCTACTCCGTCATCTCCATGACTGCCCCATGCTTTCCATGATGGCACCATCCTCTCTGTGAGCTGCACCATCTCCTCCATGAGCTGCACTGTCTCTTTCATGAACTGTCTTGGTGAGATCCTAGACAAGGCATGATCATCACTCAGTATCTAGTGCGCCCATCTGAAGGAGACGTAGCAAGGCTGAATGCAGAGCAGTGCTGCTTTGGGAGCTGCCTGGCAGAGAGTAGCTCAGAACCAGAGCAGGGTCTGTTCCTGCCAAGGGAAGGAGGCAGCACCTGGAGGGTCTGATTCCCTGAGCACATCCCAAGAGAGCTCCTCAGCTTGGATGCTGCTTTTCATGGTGGCAGTTGGCCATGGTGAACCTGTGGCACATGACTGGCAGGCAGCAGCTGTGGATAAGAATGAGCCAGAGCCAGAGAGGAAAGAGAGAAGAGACACAAGAACTCACTCATGCATGAGCCCAGGAGCCACCCTTCTGAGACTCCCAGGGATTCCTGGAGGTCTCTTGGACAGCTGTTCATTTCCAGCCCCGAGGCCAAGAGGGATGAAGTGACCAAAACCGATCATTGCAAGGGAGCGTGACATTATTTTTTAAGCCCCAGGCTGCTGAATCCTGGAGTGTCTGCATCTTCATCACAGTCTAACAGCCAGAATAGATGAGGTCAAACTCCACGGGAAACAGGACAGGCCCTGCGAGCCTCCGCTGCCAGCCCTCTCTTGAGATGCAAATGTTTAGGATCCTGTTCCTTCTGGGTTGATTCCCCTTGTGATGCCATCCAGCCATTTTAGATGTCTTTTGCACATGAATTTCCTGCCAAAGCAGCAGAGATTGCAGGAAAGGATGATTTTTTTCTACAGATGGCAGAGAGGGAACGATGTACCCAAAGGCCCACACGGGCAGCTGGGTTCCAGACAGAGACCTCAAGGGAAGACGGAGTCCTCTGGAAAAGGAAAGAAAGCTTAATTCTCCTTCCAGGGTCAGTCCTGGGGCCTCTGGGTTGTATTTAATTTTATTTGGGAAGATGGCATTTCTTTTTCACATCTGCAATGCGCACTAAGAGGATAGCCTTTCCCCTGGAGAAGCTGGTGGCCCTGTTCCGTCCCCCACCAGCCAGCCACCTCCACAGCCTCAAGCTCAGCAGAACTGGGAGAAGGCGGGTGCTGAAAACCTTGGACCAGGGTGGGAATGACAGGTCGTGCCCTGGAGCAGGGGATGTATGCAGGGTGGGTAATAACAATTGTCAATTCCTATGGAGCAGCCACTGTACTCAGCACTTCTTATTCAGGAAACCAAGGCTGGCAACTGGAAAGCACTGCCCACAGCCAGGGCTGGCAGCTGGAGGCTGAGCTGCAGGTCCAGGCAGTCTGCTCCAAAGCCTCAGCTCCCCACAGTGCGATTCTGCCTGGCCAGCCTGTCTCAGCCTCTGTCATCTTTGTGTGTGTGTGTTTGCCCTTGTCCTTGGCTGCTGGCTGTTTGAACATACAGTAAGCCCCACTGAACAATGGGATGGCATTGGCACAAAAAACACAAATCAAGTGATCAATGCCCCATGATTTGGCTCCAGGGCTATACCTGATGGCCCCTTGGCATCAAAGAAAGATCACAAGATCACACGATAAAAGTTTCCACTGCCAAGTATGTTGTTTCAGTTTCTAAAGCATGTTCGCAAGCCTTACAACACTTCATCCCATCATGATGTGGGCATAATTAGCCCCATTTTTAAATACAAAATGAGCTGAGGTTTAGTGGACTGTCTGTATTGATTTCTCATTGCTGCTGTAACAATTCACTGCAAACTTCGTGCCTTAAAACAACACAAATCCCATATCTCTTAGTTCCAGATGTCAACAGCCTAAAATGTGTCAGGGGGACTGCATTCCTTGTGGAGGTTGCAGGAGAGAATCTATGTCCCTGGTCTTTCCTGGGTTTGTGCCCGGTGTCACTCCCACATCTGCCTCGGCTGTCTCATCCCCTTCTCTCACCCTCCTGTCCCCTCTTCCATCTTAAGGACCCTTGTAACTACAGTGGGCCCACCGAGATAATTCAGAAAATCTTCTCATCACAAAATCCCTAACTTAATCATGCCTCCATAGTCCCTTTTCACCATGTAAGGCCCCACATCCTCAGGTTCCAGTGATCAGCACATGGACACGTGTGGGGAGCACAGTGCCCAAGCCCCACAACTCAGAAATGAAAGAGTGAGGCTACCATAGCAGCCGCTAAAAGGCCTGGTGCTTGAGAGATGGTCTTTGCATAGACATGGATGTATCGGGGTGTCTGGGCACACAGAGCTGCCAGCACAGACTACTTCCCAACCAATCCATTCCCCTGCCTTCCAACTCTCTCTCTCTCACACACACACACACACACACACACACACACATGCCCCCACACACACACACGCCCCACACACATACACACACACACAGGCACACACATACAGACACACACATATACACTGCCAACATGAGGCTTTGGACCACAAGAAATCTGACTCGACTGAACAAACCCTTCCCTCGGCCCCCAGAGGTGTGAGCAAATGACTGAATGAATGAAGTGGATCGAGATATGAAGAGCTGAGACCGAGACCCGAGGTACAGCAGGGCTCTGCAGGGGCCGGGCTATGGTTGCCAAGCGCTCCGAGTTATCTGACTATGGATGATTCACCTTGAAAGTCAACTCTGGCAAAAATATTTCAGGAAATTCTCAAATCTCAAAGAATTTTCCTACTTGTTTGAGGAGTTGAGCATCTGGTTCTCATTGTGCAACAGACTCAGTCCATTTGTTTCCTCATAAATTAAGTGTATTACTTTTTCAAGATGATGGGATCTAATACTTACAATTATAAAAATAAAAGAAGAGTAGAGTAAATGTCTGATGCTGTCATGATTCCTTTCAGCATCAGAAGATAAATTTTTTCATGTATAATTTTATTAGTCGATGCTGAAACCATTATTTCCAAGTAGTTCAGTGACTTTTCCAAAGATAAAGCCTTGGAGATAATTAAGCTGGAACATTTAAGCTATGACAATCTGCATACAAGGAAAATAGCTGCTCTTCTTGCCCAAGAAAAATACACAAAATTGACAAGCATTCATAGGTAATAGTTATCTAATACATAACTATTAAGTAAGAAAGCACCCAGGTTCTTACTTCAAAATGAATTTCAGTTCTGATGATGCATTTCCATTTTATTAAAACTAGCTGCACAACAGGTAAATATTGTTTGCATTTCAAGACAAATGACAAGACCAATTTCAAAAAAGGGTTGCAAGAAAAAAATCGTAAAATTTGGGAAACCAGGAAATTGTCTGATTGAACTTGTTTTAAATAATGATAGCTTCCAGATTCACAGATAATTTGCCTTCATAATTATGGAAAATTCATCTTGAACAATGACAGCTAAAGTTTTCTACTCTAAAAATATTAATCTCCTGTGGAGTCTAAGATGAGCATCTTCACATTTGCATTAAGTTTCACTTTTTATCTTCTAAAGGGGCTCTGAAGTGTGGTTCATTTTCCACATTTCTCTTATACTCGTGCAAGGGTAGACCTGATAGAGTTATCTTGCTTAGGCTTATTCTAGTTTCAAAAAACAGCAAACATTCCCAACAGGCTTAAGCCAAAGAGGAGGAGGGGTTGCAAGGAGACAGGGCTGGTTCATGGAAGCCAAGGACAGGAAGTCAGGTGACCCACGAGGAAGGCCCCTGGGAAACCAGGAGGAATCAATGGTGAGCTTCCACCCTCTCTCTTTGCAAACTGGCCTTCTCAGTCCCTCAAGGCCACAGGGTAGGTAGACGATGACCATCCACAGCCCCTGAGTTCACATGTGGTAGGGCCCATGTGTGCACGTGGTCAGATTTCCCACAGCCCAGCTAGGCCAGGTGCCCACCCACGGCTGGATCATCCCCACCTGGGGGATGTGAGCACACAACAGAATCATGGCCCAGGAGCCAGTCCTAAGCCGGGCGGGGCCAGCATGTTCCCAAAAGGGGCAGGTCATCCCACCAGGCAGCCATCGAAGCAAAGTACCGCCCTCGTCTGTTGGGATTTATTGAAGGCTGAGTGATTGGATTCCACTGTCTGAAGAAATGTGGGGTTCATGTGGGCCCATGTTTCTAAACAGGAAGCAAAAGGCATTTGGAGCAAAATGCTTGGTCATCAGTCAGTCTGACTCACACTGCAGGGGGCTTCTACCCTCTACCCCACCTACTATAAGCCAAAGGGTCTCCTCCCCAGTCTTCATGACACTAAACCACCCACCTTTATGTCACATGCCTCCTCAGAGAACAAGACTGCATCTTATTGAAAAGCACTGGGTTTTAGTCCAAGCCTTTTGAAATTCACAGTGAGGGTCCTGAGACCCAGAGCAAGATACAAAAGAGTACAAGCGATTTAGCATCAGACAATGGCCTCTGCCGGCCTCCTAACCATGCAGCCTTAGAAATACCTTCACATCCATGGACCACGGCTCCTCACCATCCAAAAAATGAATTCAATGGCACCTCTCCCATAGACTTATTGTAAGGATTAAGTGAAATCAGATGTTAGATTGAGCCATATGAAATGTCTGGATCTGTAGGACAAACAGTTGAATATCTTATTTCATATGGCTCACATAACACTCAAGGGCTCTAGCACATAGTAAGTGCTCAATAAATATGAATCCTACAGGGATGCAAATTAAACTCAGACTATGCAATGAATACAATGAAAAAATAACTTCTACCTAAGAGCACGGTATCCCCACCCCACCTCAACTTTGGACAGAATATAGCACATGGCATTAACTAAGGTAGAAACGATAGTGCTAAGAAAGTATCCTTGGGGGAAATTTTAATTAAGCACCATCTGTGACAGTTCAAAGAAAGGTGGTTAAGTGACAATAGGAAGGACAAAAGGAGGCATCATCCCAATGGAGCGGTAGAGCTGGTGGCCAAGCAGTCTTCTGCTTACAGAAGACACTGGAGAAAGCGATTCTCAGCCATCGTCCCCCAAAGACAACACAAAGCCTTGGTCTCCAGCAAGCAGGAGGTGGCGGACAGGGATTGGTAATTGGCAGGGTGGTTGACTTTGGGGTGGTATTCATATTTAACTGTTTCAGCCTTACCGTGAATTTTACATAAAAGAAATGGCTTTTATTTCAAGCTCCACCAGTCCCTAACCTGTCCCATGCATACATACACCACCCTGAGACCCTCCACTGCCTCCAGTTCTGAGCCCCAGCAGGCCAGCAAAACACAGAGTGCACGAACGGCCTGGGCACAGCCCAAGGAGTATCCTTGGCACTTTCCACTAGCAGTTAACTTTTAATTAAAAGGTAAAGAGACATTAATTATCAGTTAACAAATTTCAATCTCTATTCAGACAAGGGAATTAATGTGTTTTTAAAAGGCCTCAATAATTATTTCTTGAAGTTGAGAAAAGGGGTGAAGATAAAAAATATACCTTTGCCAACACTCTTCTCTTCTTATTTTGGAAAACTTGGGTGCAAGGGCAGCCACACCCAACACCTGCCTGCCGCTGCTCTGGATTTAAGGAGTGCAAGTTATTTCGCATAAGACAGCGGCCCATCTGTGGACTGAATTATTAACATCTTTGAAAGGAAGGGCATCAGACCCCCGCAGAAGGGGAAGGTGTCCGCAGGCTCTTGGTTGGTCTTGGTCATTTTTGGAAGACTTTGGAACTCTACACAGGAATGTCTTTCTCAGCTTGCTCCTGCCCTGTCCCCATAGAGCTTGGCTTTCCGAATGCAGGTGGAAATAGCTTCTGCTGCTCACCTCTAAGTCCAGATGGATTTTTGCCACTCGCAAAAAGTGTCTAGAGGTCAAATAAAATTGTTCCCAGGAAGGGGAAAGAAAGGGTTCTCTTGCCATCGTGACTTTACAGTCATCATGTTGGCAGAGCTTTGTGGTGGAGGACAATGATTTTCTACTGCCCTTGTTGAGTTATTTGTAACCTTGTGATTTTTTTCTCCCCAAAACCTCCCTCTGAGATATTCTCCTACTTTTTTCCAGAAAGGTCATTTCCTTTCTTTCCCTGGGAGGAAAATTGAACTGGTACGTCTTACTTGAATTACTCAGCCTCTGAGAATGGAAAGTATGAGGGAGATCAAAAGGCTTTAAGCTCCGCGGATTAAAATTGCTCCAAGGTAGCTCTGCCAGATGGGCAACATGCTGTGAGGTCATCTGCCATGAATAAATTAAAACCTGGGTCAAATACAGAAAGGAAAAGAAAATTCATTTGAAAGACCCCAGTGTAGGTTGAGCTTTCAGCTCCTCCACGGGCCCACAAACACAGTTCATAGTAACAGAACCAAAAACTCCTCAGGACTCCAACCTTGCAGGCCAAGGGGTTGAGGAGCAAGTTTTGCAAATGTTGAAGCAAAAGACAGCACCAACGCACTATTGTCAAAGATGCTCATTCCTCAGAAGGAGGGGACAAGAGTTCTAAACAGACCAGGGCCTCTGTGTACGTGAGTGGTGCCCTCAGTGTGGATCCCATCCCTGGCCTGGTCCTCCTGTCCTCAAATGTCCTCTCCTCCTCCCCCTCCTCCATCGCCACCACTACATCCTCAGAGAAGCAAGGGCTACAGCCTTTTCCCAAGCGCTCATAACTCCACAGACCCAGCACCAGACTGAGGGTGTCTCCTGGGTTAGAGATCATCCCAGGCCTGGTCCTCCTGTCCTCAAATGTCCTCTCCTCCTCCTCCTCCTCCATCGCCACCACTACATCCTCAGAGAAGCAAGGGCTACAGCCTTTTCCCAAGCGCTCATATCTCCACAGACCCAGCACCATACTGAGGGTGTCTCCTGGGTTAGAGACCATCCCAGGCCTTATCCCACACAACTGTTGGTCCCAAAGGCATCCTCATGAAGAGGGAGAGGGCGGAGTCAGTCAGACTCACAGGTCTTCCCGGGCTTTGGGGACTGCGTGACTTTGAGAAAGCTGTGTGACCTCTCTCATCCCTACTCTCTTTTTTGTTTTTTCTTTTCCTTTTCTCTCTTTTTTTTTTTTTTTTTTTTAGATGGAGTCTCACTCTTTTTGCCCAGGTGGGAATGCAGTGGCAGGATCTTGGTTCACTGCAACCTCCACCTCCCAGGCTCAAGCGATTCTCCTGCCTCAGTCTCCCAAGTGGCTGGGATTACAGGTGTGTGCCACCACCATGCCCGGCTAGTTTTTGTATTTTTAGTAGAGATGGAGTTTCACCATGTTAGTCAGGCTGGTCTCGAACTCCTGACCTCAAGTGATCCACCCACCTCAGCCTCCCAAAGTGCTGGGATTACAGGCATGAGCCACCACATCCAGCCTGATCCCCACTCTCCTTCCCTGCAATCAACCGGAACTGGAAACATCAACTTCATGGGAGAACTGAGGAAGCCTCCACAGAGTGGAGTCAACACATCTCAGTTCCCCTTCCACACCACACCCCAGCCCTGAGACTGTGCTCGCTCCACCTCTGTGTCCCCAGCACCAAGCACTGACCAGATCCATGGTAGATATTCAGTAAAGAGACAGTCAATGGACCCGCCCAAACCCACAGACACCAAAGTCTTTTTTACCTCAGACACCAAAGTCTCAAGATAACAAAGACAATCCCAGGTAGAATATTGGATGAAATGATGAAATTCGCTTTGCTTGATTCTGGGCTCACCAAGCACATGTTTTTATTTTTATTTATGTACTTATTTTTGAGATAGGGTCTCACTCTGTTGCCCAGGCTGGAGTGCAGTGGCATGATCATGGCTCACTGAAGCCTCAACCTCCTAGGATCACGTGATCCTCCCACCTCAGCCTCCCAAGTAGCTGAGACTACTGATGAAACAGTGTTTCACTGTGTTGCCCGAGCTGGTCTCAAACTCCTAGCCTCAAGCAATCCACCTGCCTCGGCCTTCCAAAGGGCTGGGATTACAGATGTGAGCCATGGTGCCCAGCCCCAAGCACATATCTGATTTTCATCTTTACTTCCCTTCCGGAATAGAGCACAAGTCTCTTAGCCAGTGAAAAGGAATGCTTTCTCAGGTAAATTAATGAAATATGTTCTTGGACCTTAGCCTGGCCCTTAATAGGAAACCTCATATTCTAGATATTCCTGTGTTGTGGCATCACTCAAATTGAGTTGCTAAACGCAAAAAGTGTGGATGACACCCCAGATGAGTGGCGGCCGCATCAGCCACAGACCTCTCTCCTTCTCCTCCTCCCTTCCTCTTCCTTCCCCTACACTGTTATCGTCTCTTGCACTCCCTCCTTCCTTACCACTCTCCAAACCTATTTTCCTCTCTAAATCCCAAATCACCTGCTACTGAATCCCCCAAGAAGGTAGATTTGGGGATGCCACAGCCCCATCACAGACTCCCTCTCCCACTTAGTGGAATCACATTAGCTGAGCAGAGGACAAGCCACCTACAGCTCCAGATGACAAAACACACACACGACCATGTACGCAGAGAGCTGATGAGAACAGAAAACTTCCCTAATTCAGCAAAGTCTGGAGCCAGACTGAGACCCAGACCCGCAAGCTCCCCAGGGCATCACAGTGCCCTCCACACAGATGGAGGACACAAGAGTCCGGTTTTCTTCTCGGCCTTTCACTCCAATTTGTGATCTTTCTCAACTTGATTAGATCATTTGTTTATATCTTTGGTCTCTAGTCTTCTGGAAATAAAGAGGTTAGACAACTGTTAGGCAAGAAATGGAAAATGCACTATTTTAAAAACAAGCAAATAAGCAATGACAACATCAATTTCTAGAACGTCCACTCTGTACCAGGCTCCTTGCTAGAAAATGAAAGTAAGCCTCAATTGTTTTCCTTAAAGACTCATGACTTTTTAGGACAATTTATGTGTGGATGGGTGAGTGCGATCTGCTGTGGCTTCATAACACAGGCAGCTAAGGAGCAGCCAGATGGCCTGCGAGGGTCAGGGAAACCCATGTGAGCTGGGGCTTAGCGTCATCCAGAGTTACACGATAGTTTAATATGTGTAATACATAACGTTACACTGTGTTTCATCATCTAGAGCTATAGGAGGAATGGGGTGAAGGATGAGGATGAGCGATGGGGAAGGGAGTACTGCAGACTCGGTGACCACAGCGAGCTAAGATACAGAAGAACTGACAATCCCAGTGTTCTGTTATCTGCCAGCAGCTGTGGAGAGAGGGCATGGTACATAGATGAGGCAGGAGCCGCTGAGGCCGAAGAGAATTTGGAATGAGAGAGTGAAAAACACCACCTATCCCTCTCTAGGAAGGTGGCTTGGGTAACAGGAAGCCACGGATTGCTTTGAAGTGTTCTAAGAAGGAACTCTCTTGGCAGTTCAGAAGATGAGCTCAGAGGGGCAGGAGAGATGTCAGCAGCAAATTATGAGCCCTTGGAAATATTGATAAAAATTTTAAATGCATTTCCCCACTTCTAGGAATTGACATTATACGTATGCCTGCACAGAAGTGAAACACATCTGTTCATTGTGCCATTGTCTATGTTGGTTAATAAAAAGGGAGAAAGTGTCCATCAACAGAGGACTTATTGAGCAAACTCTAGAAAACCTGCAAAATGGAACACTATGCAAACATCAAAAAGAAGGGAGAGAAGGAAGGAGGGAGAGAGGAAAGAAAGGTGAGGCACTTTATGCAGTATTAGGAATATACCTTCAGGATATATTGTTCAGTGAAAAGCGTGCTATCTTTCATGTAAGAAAGGGGGAAATAAGAATACTTATGCAAGCCCAGGCAACATGGCAAAACCCTGTCTCTACAAAAAATACAAAAATTAACTGAGCATGGTGTTGTGCCCTTTTAGTCCTGGCTACTCAGGAGGCTGAGGTAGAAGGATCACTTGAGCCCAAGAGGTCAAGGCTGCAGTGAGCCACGAGTGTGCCACTGCACTCAGCCTTGGCGGCAGAGTGAGGCCCTGTCACCAAAAAGAAAAAGAATATATATATGCAAAAGTTTCATGTTTACATAAGGAAAAACTAGTACCAGCAGTTACCTATAAAGTATAAAGAGTGGTAAGTGTGTCATACAGGGCCTGACTACAAACTGTTAGGCCACTCAGATGGTTTAACTGGAGAGTTGAATGTAGAGATGATATACCCAATCAATACCCGTCAGTGTAGAGATGACACACCACGTCTGCAAGCAGGAGTAAGAGAACCATAGAGGAAGTTAAACAGCCAGGGACTAACAGCTTCAGAAAGCCGTTTCCATCACCCCATCCTCCTCCCATCGCCCCCTTGCCTGAGGAACAGAAACAGTTACCGGAGTCCCATGAGAAGGGGATTCACCCAGGAGGCCACCCCAGAGAATGGGGTGAATGTGAGAATGTAGCTGACACCAACAATGGTGAGGCAGAGAGGGAACAGGAGGGGGAGGTTATGGAACCCGCTGGGTTCCCTCGTCTGGCTCAACCCCATGCCCTGTCTGCATCTCCCACTGGCTAAACAAAGCCCAAGAAGCGGGGCCGGTGCACTGTATGGGGGCAGCTTCCTGGGCTGAGCAGGGCATGAGGGCGGAGATTGGACATTGAGGTTGTGCACCTTTTATATTGTTTCAATTTTGAATCATGCAGATGTGTTCCCTGTTCAAAAAATAATAATATAATGCCAAAATATTCAAATAATTCAATCACTGGGACCCAGAATGACAGAGAAAACAGCGTGCCCATTGCCCCTCCCCCACTGGCCCATGCAAACAGGGAGGAGAGGAGAATCTCTCCATGCCCAGAGTAGAGTCAAAACATCAACATGGAACCAAAACAGAAAAACAAAGACAAAGAGTCGTGCACAGGATTGAGTGTGGGGCGAGGGTCTTACTCTATGATAACTTCTAATATATTGAAGTGTCTGAACTGGAAATCACCGCCACTGCTCTAATTGCTGGGGAAGGTTTGGAGGTAAAATCGTCTTAGAGCAGCGTCCTCCTCCCTGTGTGGCAAAGACAGGCTCATCTGCAGCCAGTGAGGAGGCATTTGTAAGGGAAGCCCGTCCTGGGAAGATGCCAAAAGCTCCAGGGAACGACGCAGGGCTTGTTTGCGAGGGTTGACACCAATGCCGTGCAGCAGGAGTGAGAATCTTTTCGCTTCGTTGTGTGAGGCTGACTGTGTTGCCTCCGAGAAGAAACAGTGCTCACCCTGGCAAGGCGTACCTGCTTTGCAGGTGACAGGAAGCAGGCAGCTGCCCATCAGGCTGCTTGCGAGATGGAACTGGAGGTGAGGCATCTCCTTCACACTCACTGTGGAACCGCCTGCACCCTTCCCCCTGGGGCCTCAGTGGCAGTGACAGTCTCTATCCACCACCAGCCCAGCCTGGAGGCACTCAGAAATCAAGATTCATGAAGGGAACCCACGAAGGGACTAACTCGGTCCTTGTAGGGGAGCTCAGGGGCCTCCGAGGGAGCGTGGGGTCAGTGAATTCAGGACCTTGAAAGAGGCTGTCCTGTAAGCGGGGAGGGTGGGAAAGGAGCACAGGTCATCGTGAGGAAACTCCACGTGTGACAGCCTCCTCTCAAGACCTGCATCCTCACACGTCTCCCATGGAGGGTAGAAGGAACCCCAAGCTGCACAAAGTCCCAGCCTCACTTCTTTCAGCTCTGCACTCCTCTTCCCTGATCAACCTGACCCTTCAGTGAAAAAACTCTGTATCCCTCCTTCACCATCGAGGATGGGTTCAGAAAAACAGTATACCATGGAGAAGATAGTAAAAACCCCAAAACTGTATTGTCCTGATAGGAAGGTTTAGGGCCCCTCCACCACAGCACCAAGCCCCTTTATAAGATAAATCCATGCTTCCCAAATCAAATGAAAATGACAAAACCAGGCAATGCTCCTGAACCTTAAATAAATATATGATTTTGAAAATTCTGATTGCTCTAAATTAAATGTGCATTTCATTCCTATCACTCATGCCCTGTATTTTTAAAACATAACTTGGTAAACACCGTATCACCTGAAGCTTTGTGCATTATTCCTTCTCTATTATAGAAGCCTTATCATTGCATTATTTCCAATTGATTTGTGCAGTTCCCTCACACAAGACACAAAAAAGATAACACCCCACCATCTTGTGTAGATGAAGGTCAGGCCTTCAAGGCCAAGTGCGGCCTCCTAAATGTGGGGCTTGCAAACTTGGAGGACTCACAAGGTCTTCGTGACCCATGAGGGTTAAAATTCCTTCCCCTTTTCAGCAGGAAGTGACCCACTTCATTGCCCCAGCAAGGCTGGAATTCCACCTCTCCATCCAGTGTATGGATACGCAATATTAGTTCTCAGCATTCATGTGAGTGGCATTTATTTATTATTTGAAGAGCCATGCATTAACCTCTGCAGGTGCTTTATAATGTAGGGAGCTAGGATCCTATCCTAATTAGGCGAACAACCCACAAATTAGGGACAGTAGAACCCATAAGTAACTGTAGCACAAGATTGAAATTGCCCAGCAAGAGTCGTAGATAGGTATATTGCTATGCTAATTTTTTTCTGCAAAAATTTGAAAAACTTCAAACCTCTGAAAAAAGTCAATGATTACAATCAACACCTATGCACCCTTGACCTCAATTCACCAGTTGTTAACATTTTTCCACATTTCCACATTTGCTTTCTCCCTTCCTTCCCTTTCTTCTCTCTTGCTCTCTCTCCCTTTCTTCCTCTCTCAGTCTCCAAATCATTCAAAAGTAAGTTGCAGTCATTGTGATACTTTTATGTTTCATTTTACACAAATGTTTCTTCTAGGAAAAAGGATATTTTTCCTATATAACTTGAATATCATTATCCCACCCAGGAAATTTAACATTGATCAATAATATTACCAAATGCACAGTCTATATTCCAATGTCCCAGTTTTCCAAGACCTTCTCAAGGATCATGCAATGTATTCAATCTTCATCGTTCTTTAGTGTTTTTTACCTAGAACAGATCCTTTGCCTATGTTTTTGTTTTGTTGGTTTATTTATTGTAACATATTTTTTAAGAGTCCAGGCCAGTCATTTTGTAGAATGTGCTAAGTCTGTATTTGTCTGACTGTGTCCTCACTAACCTTAGATTCCAGTTAAGGGCTTTGGGCCAGAATGCTAAATATTTGACGGCATGCCCTCCCCCTCGCATCACAGTGGGCAGCCCGTGATGTCAGCTTCTCCCATGATGGTGATGTCGATAGACGGCTGGGCTAAGTGTTGGACCTCTCCACTGAGAGGAAATGTTTTCCCTTGTAATTAACAAATAGGGAGGGAGTGACGCTCTGAGACCATGTAACCAGCCCGTTCCCAACAACTGCTCCTCCCAGGGTCTTCACCTGACTCAGTTACAGCAGCAGTTGCAAAATAATGATTTTCTCATTCCATCATTTTCCATCTAATTCTTTCTCTTTGTTTTTTGTTTTTGTTTTTGTTTTTGTTTGCTTTGTTGTTTTGCTTTTGCTACTTGGAAGTGAAGAAGGGAAGAGACCATCACTTGCTGGGGTGATGAAGGAAACCTCAGGAGAGAGAGGGCGTTTGGAGATGTGGAAGGAGACCTAAAAAGCTGCATTTGCTGCCTTATATTAGGAAACAGATGTTTCCTAATAAACACTAAAAAACCAAACAGAGCATCCTGGCTGAGCTAGGCTTAGGTAGCCTCCTTTTCTCATGGATTTACTCCCATCCATTAGTTTGTGAGGACACAAGTGAAGAACCACATGGGGGGAGGTAGGACTAGAACTGTGTCCACAATCGGGGCAACAGGTTGCTAGGCTCCTGAGCAGGAAGAGAGGATTAGGCTGTGGTCCTCGTCTTCATGCATGGAACACTCAATAAATCCTCTGCTAAACCCCTTCCTTTGATACTGTGCTGCTCTGCTGGGCTAATGATTCACCAAATACTGAGGAATCTCAGACACACAACTGCAGAGTCCATGCACTTGACACAGCATTCCAAGGCACTGATGCTACTTAAAGGTTTAGGGGAAAAGAGAAATTTTGTATTAAAACACGTAGGAATATGATTAGAACACAAATTGCAGGCAAAATGTTCAGCTAAAGCACGAGATTTCACAAAAATGTTGTACTTTCGGTAAGCCATTGTGGACTTTGGTGAGCCCCCAGAATCCCAGGGACACACAGCTTCTCCCTTCTGCTGCAAAGACAAGATTGAGAAGAACATTTGGGAAATATACTCAAAGTCAATTAAGCAATGAATGAGCCACAAACATCAGATATCAGGGAGCAAAAGTAGGTAACAAGCAGATTCGATGGTGCAAATGTTGACTGCTGTGGGATCCATAGTATACTCATGCAAAGGGGTATTACTAACACATATGTTAACACTTCGTTTCTAATAATGTCATTATTTGTAACAATGATTCTAAACCATTCTAAATTGGCCTTTGTTCTGATTCTCATCAATGATAAGTCTTCTTTGTCTTATCCTAGAGTTAACTGGATACTTCATGGGGTGTGTTAGTAAACAGAAGAAAGGTTCTAACTTTCTTTAGTGTGTAAATTCTGTATTCTGCAGAGAGAGAGAGATTAATAAAGAGAAAACACTTAGCGAAGGAAATCCATTGGAATAGAATAAGAATTCCAGGGCCTTATCAAGATTTGGAATACAGCCTATTATTTTATAAAATGAAAAAAAAAAAGACATTAAAGCTTTAAAATGAATAGAATGAGGTCTCTATCTTTATGGAATTGCTGGAAATCCAAGCTCTGAGGGCTGAAATTGAGTTAAACCATTTGTAAACCTTGCAAGAAGCAAATGAAAATTATTAAGGCTTTTTGAGTGTATATTTTTATGAATTGGAAACTATACTCAATTTTATAACTATGAAGCAGGAGGCTTCTTAGGCTCTGACCATCAATTTCAATTCTGAGCTCTCCTAAATATTTAGTTCACTGCCTCTTTTGAACCGAAGTCTCAGTAGCTAAGACTTTAACAATGTTAGAAAGGACTCCCTATGACTCGCCCAGTGGAGTGTGTTGGGTAACAGACCACGTGCTCACAGAGAGGAGCACTGCATTGCACGAACTCAGAGCCTCTGATGCCACTCAAGCAGCTGATGACCAGGTGCAGGGTCCTTCCTCTGAGGGACATGTGTCAGGGAGAAGCACCCTGACAGACTGCAGGGCAATGAACAAGTTCAAAGCTCCACTCCATCTCTTCACTTGTGGATGCTTAAACCCAATCTATACTATGTCCTTCCTGCGCTCTTTTTATCCAACTATAATATCTATCACAGTTTATAATTTTCTCTTTATGTGTCCAAGATATGTCTTCTCCACTTCACCAAAGTTCCTTGCAGGAGGGGCTCATGCTCTTGCCTGCCCCTAGGGACCCAGCACCTACAGCCTACCTTAGAGTACATGCAAGTTCAGCATTTGTTAATGAATGAATGAATGGCTCCCAAGTAGGAATCATATCTGAGAGTTTTCTCCCTTGCCTAGGTATTGGTCACTTGATAGTTGGAGCTGCAGTCTACCTGGATTTTTATTTAACCAAGTGAGTAGATCCAAGACTGTCCTATAGCTTCAATCATTCATCCAGCTCATGTTCTCTGAGCCCTTACTATGTCCTAAAGACTATTACAGGAACTGAGGATGTGAAGATGAATAGGACATGTACACATGAGTTAACATATCAGTCAAATCAAAGCCTGCTCCCAACAACTCTTTCTTTTCAGGGTCAACCAAGCACATTGAATCTTTTACTTAACATGCAATATGAAAAAAGAGAGAAATTATAAATTTAAGAAGATAGACAAAAGAGATGGTGACCTTGACTCACCAGTATCCAGGCCCAAAGAGGAGCATGTTCTCTGATTTCACTCCCTGGAGCCCCAAACTTTCTTCTTCTTCTCAAAGCAGCAGACATTAAGAGAGACTGCTGAATTTCTTATACATAGAGACCCTTGACAGCCAAAATTGCAAGTGAATTTAAATTCCAAGGCCAACTCTATTGATTGGTATTGTTCTCCTCCAGCCGTGGGTTCAGAAACTACTACTAGACTAAGTGAGAAAGGCCACCATCAGTTAGTGATGTCTTCCATTGGTGCTACATGCCATACTTTTGTTAGTCTTTCCCTCAGAGGTGGACATTACTATGGGGCTGACAGGGAGGAGATCACAGAAGCAATTTCTACCATTGCCTTAGCACAATATAGGGCATACACTAGATGCTAAAGAAAAATTTAAGTAGATCGATAATAGTCTCTGTTCTATCAATGTTCTCTTTGTGAGATTCATGCCACACTTTCTGTACCACTTTGCAGCTGAAGTCTATAGGAAGGCTATGATTTTGGGATGAACAGATTGCACATGGCCTTTGTTCTGATTTTCATCAATGATTATCCAATAGGGTAATACTTTTCTAAGTCTTCTGATTCATGCAATAGAGTTCAAGACATTCTTGATTTAAATTATGCCAGAGATTATCTGTGTTTGCCCAGGACAACCGTTACTGCACTCTGGTATGATCATTCATTTATTCATCTGCAAGTTCTGCAGAGACAGTAACAACTACTAATTCATTTTTGTTTTGTCAACCCCAAGAGTAGTGCTCAGTGCATCAAATTAACTGTTAATTAAGTAAATGAGCTGAAAATTTTATACCAAGAAGATGGAACTTTTGGCTTAACAGATAGGACATCTCTTAATAGAACAGGTGGATATTGGGTGACATCTTAGTTTTCCCCATATTACAGAGTAGTAGAATAACTGAGGTGTCTCTGAGTTGGAAAGAAAAGGATAAATTATATTTAAAGTAAGGCAGAAAAATAGTATCTGTCATAAATTTTTAAATCAAAAATAGCACAAAAATACTGTAATATTAAATATATAGAAAATCATGGGGAACTCAGCAACAAAAAAACAACTCCATCAAAAAATGGGCAAAAGACTTTAATTTAGCAATTACTCCAAATAAGATATACAAATAGCTGATAAGCAAATAAAAAGATGCCCAAAATCACTAATCATTAGGGAAATGCAAATCAAAATCACGAGATTTGTTCTGGACTGAATGTGTGTCCCCAGAAAATGCATATGTTGAAATACTAACTTCAGTGTATAATAAGAGATGGTAACTTTGGAAGGTGATTAGGTCATGAGGGTGGAGCCCTCATGAATAGGACTAGTGTCCTGATGAGGATAGACGCATGAGCTCGCTCTCTCGCTCTCTCTCTCTTTCTCTCTCTCTCTCTCTCTCTCTCTCCTCTTTGCTTTGTGAGAATACACAGAGAAGTGAGCCATCTGTAAACCAGGAAGAGTGTCTTTACCAGACACCAAACATGCTAGCACCTTGATCTTGGACTTCCCAGCCTCCAGAACCAAAGCAATAAATGTTTGTTGTTTAAGTCACTCTTTCTATAATATATTTGTTATAACAGCTCAAGATGACTAAGATAATATACCACTTCACACCCATTAAGATAGCTATTATCCAAAAAGAAAACCCAGAAATTAACAAGTATTGGTGAGGATGTAGGATGTAGAGAAATCAGAGTTCCCACCATTGCTTGTGAGACTGTAAAATGGTGTAGCCACTGTGGAAACCATATGCTGATTCTTCTAAAAATTAAGCATAGAATTACTATACGATCTAGCAAGTCCACTTCTGGGAATATATCCAAAAGAAGTGAAAGCATGGACTAGAACAAATGTTTGTACACTAATGTTCACAGCAGCATTATTCACAATAATCGAAAGGTGGAAATGATTCAAATGTCTATCGATGGATGAATGGTTAAACAAAATGTGTGTATACAAACAATGGACTATAGTTCAGCCTTTAAAAAGAAGGAAATTCTGAAACATGTTACATGAATGAAGCTTGAAGACATTTACATAGTGAAATAAGCCAGACAGAAAAAGAATATATTGTATGATTCCACTTGCGTAAGATACCTAGAGTGGTCAAATTCATAGAGATGGATAGTCACATTATGGCTGATAGGTGCTGGGGAATGGGAAATTAGTGTTTAATGGGTACAGAATTTCAATTAGGGAAGATGAAAATATTCTGGAGACGGAGGTTGGTGATGGTTGCACAACAATATCAATGTACTTAATACCACTGAACTGTACATTTAAAAATCATTAAAATGGCAAATTTTGTTATGTATATTTTACCACAATAAAATATATTTTTAAAAACAACAAATGCATATGCCCTTAGGATTCTATTTCACTTTTGTGGAATTCTTTCCTACATATATAATCACAAATACATAAAATGACACACAGACCATCCCTGACTTGCCATGGTCTGACTTAGGATTTTTTGACTTATGATGGTTTACCGGGACATAGCCCCATCATGAATCAAGAAGCATTTATATATATAAAGTGACGTCTTGCAGCTTTGTATATAATAGCAAAATATTGGAAGCCATCTAAATTGCCTTCATGAGAGGACCAACTGGATATATTATCATTCTAATCATACAATGGAAAGTTTTACAGCTGTAAAAATGTATCAAGATGCTCTGCATAGACTTATGTGGAAAGTTTACCAGGATATATACTTGAGTGGAAAAAAAGCAAGGTGCAAAGCAGAGTATGATATGCTATAATTTGTGTTTTAAAAACACGGGAAGAATATGTCCTTGAATTGTTTGTAGATGCACATGATTCTCCTGGAAGAACACACAAGACATGAATTTTAAAAATGTCTGTGAAGAGGGGAAACAGGAGCCGGGGAAGGAGGAGGTCTTTTCATGTCATTTCCTGCTTTGTTTTTAATTTCGGAACCATATGAATGTACTGTCTGTTCATATAGATTCCTAAAAACTAGTTTTTAAAATAAAAATAAGCTATGTCAACAGAAGAAAAAGCAATTCTGCGGAAATTTTACTTATAGTAATCATCTGTGATAGCCAATTATTTAGATTTGCTGTATTAAATCATAGGGCTGCCTTAACAAATGACCACAAACTGCCTGCTTTATAAAAACAGGCATTTATGCTCTCGCTGTTCTGGAGGCCAGAAGTCTGAAATGAGTGTCAGCAGGAACACGTTCTCTCTGAAGCCTCCAGGGCAGGATCCTTCCTTGTCTCTTCCAGCTTCTGGTGGTGGCTGCAATCTATGGTGCTCCTTGGCTTGTATACGCATTACTCCAATCTTCACCTCTGTCTGTCTTCACCCAGCATTCTCCCTGTGTATGTGTCTCTCTATTTCCAATTTCTCCTTCTTTAAGGACTCTATTCATGTTGGATCTAGGGTTCCCCCTAATGACTTCATCTTAACTTGATTGCATCTGCAAAGACCCTATTTCCAAATAAAGTCACATTCACAGATTCTGAATGGACATGAATTTGGGAAGACAGTATTAAAGTCAGTATATGCACTGAAGATTATATCGGTGTCTCAATGTGCTTATGTAATTACTATCCTCTTCCCTGGCCCCATCATAGGGGCCTCCTGTCTTTCTTTCTCCCCAGAAGATTGCTGTAGAGATGTACCCAAAAGGAACACCTAAATGACCTAACAGGACAGTTGATGTCCACTCTTCTTATTATTATTTCCATCGTTCTCTCCTGCTCAATCCCAATCCACCATTTTCAGATATTTCTATTTCAACCAATATCCATTGCGGTTATTTTAATAGTAATAGTGAACTAAAGGACTTACTTGAGAATAACACTCATGCTGCAATAAATTACTGAGAATATCAAGTGAGTTGTTAAATCAGGAATAAGATACTAATCATGGACACAAGTACAAGTTGGGTTTTTATTCTTATTTTAGTTCCCTAGGAAATAAATAATACTTTTCTAGCTGGGACAGCAGGTTGGTTTTGCAGGCCTGATCTTCTCATCTCTGGATCATGACCTGATATCTTAACCTTGGCTGTACTGAGGAGTTAATGGCTCACTCTTCATTTTATTCAACATCCAATTGTTCTGTTACTGGGCTCTGCTACTGCTGCCAAAAAATGTTATGGGCTATGGCCTCACTTCCTCCTTCTTCTGCTCCTTTTCTTCTCTCCATTCTTTGTATCTTCTGCAGGTGTGGCCCCCAGCAAGCCCTGCACTGTGCTGTGTTCTCTTGCCACTATTATGGGTGAGTAAAGACAGATAAAATAGTGGTCAAGACACAGGATGTAGCATCACACCCTCAAGGCTCAGATTACACATATGTTACTTACTAGCATGGTAGCCTCATGCAAGTTACTGGACCTCTCTGAGCCTCAGTTTACTTATCAGGCAAGGAAGAGAGGCTCTCTCTAAGGAGGTGACATACCTCTGAGACCTGAATGGTGTGAAGATGTGTGGAAACAGTGCTGAAGGCAGAGGATCAGCAAATGCAAAGGTCATGAGACGGAAAGAAGATCAACCAATGTGGGGAAGGCAGGTAGACCAGAGAAGCTGCAACATGGTCATCTAGTGCATATGTGTGCTGATGGGGTGGGCAAGGGTTGGGGGGATAACTGAAGTCAGAATAATTAGGCACACCCAGGTTAAGAAATCTTGGAGGATTTTTTTCTTTATGTATAATGGGAAGCCACTGGATAGTTTTAATAAGGAAATAATATTATCTGATTTACATTTTTAAAGACTCTTCTTGCTGCTAAGAGAATGACACGTACTGGAGGTAGAGTGAAAGCAACGAGACCATAAAGAGTCTAGGGTAGTTTTCTAGACAAGAGGTGATGGTGGCTTGGACCTGCATGGGAGCCATGGGGATGAGCCTAGTGGATGAGCTAAGGAAATGTAGTATCAAGGTAGAGTTGGCAGGACTTACTGTGGATTTGTATGTCACAATGAAGGAAAGAAAAGAATTAAGATCTACTTCCAGATTTTTCTCCATATTTTATACAGGATCAAAAGTTCTGTTTTGGACATTTTACTTTGAGCAGCCTAGTAGACATCAAAATAGAGATGTCAAGGGGACATTTTATATACAAGGCTAAGATAAACTGGGAAGCTGTTAGCATATGAGTGGTATGTAAAATCATTGGACCATAAAATATTACCTACAGAGAGAGTGTAAACAAACAGGAAAACAAGGACAAGGGAAATGGTCCTCCAACATGCAATCTTATAAAAACAAGCACTAAAGAAAGCAATTTGAAGTAGCAGGAAAATCAAGAAAATGAGGCAACATAAGAGCCAACAAAGAAGGTGGCTCAGAAGAAGCAAGTGGTCAAACTTAAAGAAATCAAAAACATGATACAGAATGTGAAAGGAAGAGTCTTTGGTGAAATAGATAGCATAAATAAAAAAACAATTACAACTTCTGGAAATCAAGGGCACACTTAGAGAAATGCAAAATGCACTGGAATGTCTCAGCAATAGAATCAAAGAAAAAGAAAGAACTTCAGAGCTCAAACACAAGGTTTTGAATTAATCCAATCCGTCAGAGACAAAGAAAAAGGAATTTTTAAAAAATAAACAGAGCTTGCAAGAAGTCTTCTCCAGACAAATGCTGAGAGAATTTGCTACTCCCTTTATAACATAACACAATGAGGAAAAAAAAAAAACAAGGTGTTCAGGCAACAAATAGCATGATGAAGCATGATGAATAGAACAGTACCTCACATTGCAATACTAACATTGAATGTAAATGGCCTAAATGCTCCACTTAAAAGATATAGAAAGGCAGAATGGTTAAGAATTCACTAACCAAGTTTCTGCTGTCTTCAGGAGATTCACCTAAAACATAAGGATTCATATAAACTTAAGATAAAGAAGTGGAAAAAGATATTCCATAAAAATGGACACCAAAAGCAAGCAGGAATAGCTATTCTTGTATCCAACAAAACAAACTTTAAAGCGACAGCAGTTAAAAAAGATAAACAGGGATATTATATAATGATAAAAGGACTAGTCTAACAGAAAAATATCACAATTCTAAATTTATCTGCACCTAACACTGGAACCTCCAAATTTATAAAACAATTACTACTAAACCTAAGAAATGAGATAGACAGCAACATAATAACAGTGGGAGACTTCAATACCCCACTGATAGCACTAGACAGGTCATCAAGACAGAAAGTCAACAAAGAAACAATGGACTTAAACTATACCCTACAACAAATGGACTTCACAGATATTTAAAGAACATTCTACCCAACAACTGCAAAATAAACATTCTACTTATCAGCACATGGAGCATTCTCCAAGCTAGATCATATGATAGGCCACAAAACAAGTCTTAATAAATTTAAGAATATTGAAATTACAACAAGTACTCTCTCAGACCACAGTGGAATAAAACTTGAAATTAACTCCAAAAGCAACCTGCAAAACCATGCAAATACAAGGAAATTAAATAACCTGCTCCTGAATGATCATTGGGTTAACAATGAAATAACGATGGAAATTTAAAATTTCTTTGAACTGAACAATAATAGTGACATAAACTATCGAAACTTCTGGGATACAGCAAAAGCAGTGCTAAGAGGAAAGTTTATAGCATTAAATGCCTACATTAAAAAGTCTGAAAAAGCACAAATAGACAATTCAAGGTCACACCTCATGGAACTGTAGAAACAAGAACAATCCAAACCCAAACCCCACAGCAGAAAAGAAATACTGAAGATCAGATCAGAACCAAATTTGCAGAAACTAAAAAAAACACAAAAGATAAATGAAACAAAAAGCTGGTTCCTTGAAAACATAAATAAAATTGATGGACCATTAGTGAGATTAACCAAGAAAAGAAAAGACAAGATCCAAATAAGCTCAATTAGAAATGAAATGGGAGATATTACAACTGATATAGGAAAGAAATAAAAATAGAAAGGATTATAGAAATAGAAAAGATTATTCAAGGCTACTATGAGCACCTTTATGCACATAAACTGGAAAACCTAGAGGAGATGGATAAATTCCTGGAAATACACAACCCTCCTAGATTAAACAAGGAAGATATGGAATCTCTTAACAGAGATCAATAACAAGCAGTGACTAATAACAAGCAGTGAGATCGAAATGGTAATTTTTAAACTGCCTACTAAAAAGTCCAGGGACAGACAAATGCACAGCTGAACTCTAACAGATGTTCAAAGAAGAATTGGTACCAATCCTACTGACAGAATTCCAAAAGATAGAGAAAGAGGGAATCTTTCCTAATTATTCTATGAAGCCAGTATCACCCTAATACCAAAACCAGTGAAGGACATAACAAAAAAAACTACAGACCAATGTCCCTAATGAACATAGATGCAAAAATCCTCAACAAAACACTAGTGAACAGAATCCAACAGCATATCAAAAAGACAATCCACCACGACTAAATAGGTTTCATACCAGGGATGCAGGGATGGTTTAACATACACAAGTCAATAAATGTGATACACCACATAAACAGAATTAAAAACAAAAAATCACATGATCATCTCAATAGATGCAGAAAAAGCACTTGACAAAATCCAGCATCTCTTTATGATTAAAACCCTCAGCAAAATCAGCATATACAGGACATACCTCAATGTAATAAAGCCATCTATGACAACCCACAGCCAACATATACTGAATGGGCAAAAGTTGAAGCTTTCCCCCTGAGAACTGGAACAAGACAACGATGCCCACGTTCACTGTTTCTATTCAACATAGTACTGGAAGTCCTAGCCAGAGCAATCAGACAAGAGAAAGAAATAAAGGGCATCCAAATTTGTAAGCAGGAAGTCAAACTGTCGCTATTTGCTGATGATATGATCATATACCTAGAAAACCCTAAAGACACATCAAAGAAACTCCTAGAACTGGTAAACAAATTCAGCAAAGTTTCAGGATACAAAATCGATGTACCCAAATCAGTAGCTCTGCTATATACCAACAGCGCTATTTGCTGATGATATGATCATATACCTAGAAAACCCTAAAGACACATCAAAGAAACTCCTAGAACTGGTAAACAAATTCAGCAAAGTTTCAGGATACAAAATCGATGTACCCAAATCAGTAGCTCTGCTATATACCAACAGTGACCAAGCTGAGAATCAAATTAAGAACTCAACCCATTTCACAATAGCTGCAAAAAAAAAAAATACTTAGGAATATATCTAAGGACATGTAAGACCTCTACAAGGAAAACTACAAAACACTGCTGCAATAAATCATAGATGACACAAACAAATGGAAACATATCCCAAGCTCATAAACAGTTAGAATCAATATAGTGAAAATGACCACACTGCCAAAAGCAATCTAAAAATTCAATGCAATTCCCATCAACTACCACCATCATTCTTCACAGAACTAGAAAAAAGAATCCTAACATTCATATGGAACCAAAAAAGAGCCCACATAGCCAAAGCAAGACTAAGCAAAAAGAACAAATCTGGAGGTATCACATTACCTGACTTCAAACTATAAAGCCATAGACACCAAAACAGCATGGTACTGGTATAAAAATAGGCACATAGACCAATGAAACATAATAGAGAACCAAGAAATAAAGCCAAATACTTGTCACCAAAACAGCATGGTACTGGTATAAAAATAGGCATATGGACCAATGGAACAGAATAGATAACCCAGAAATAAATCCAGATACTTTGATCTTCCACAAAGCAAACAAAAACATAAAGTGGGGAAAGGACACCCTATTCAATAAACGGTGCTGGGATAATTGGCAAGCCACATGTAGAGACATGAGACTGGATCTTCATCTCTCACATTATACAAAAATCAACTCAAGATGGACCAAAGACTTAAATCTAAGACCTAAAACCATAAAGATTCTAGAAGATAACATTGGAAAAATTCTTTTAGACATAGGCTTAAGCAAAGACCCCATGACCAGGAACCCAAAAGCAAATGCAACAAAAACAAAGACAAATAGATGGGACTTAGTTAAACTAAAAAGCTTCTGCACAGCAAAATAAATAATCAGCAGAGTTAATAGACAACCCACAGAGTGGGAGAAAATCTTCACCATCTATACCTCCAACAATAACTAATATCCAGAATCTACAAAGAACTCAAACAAATCAGCAAGAAAAGAAACAAACGATCCCATCAAAAAGTGGGCTAAGAACATGAATAGACAATTCTCAAAAGATGATATACAAACAGTCAACAAACATATGAAAAAATGCTGAACATCACTAATAATCAGGGAAATGCAAATCAAAACCACGATGCAATACCACCTTACTCCTGCAAGAATGGCCATAATCAAAAAAATTTAAAAAAATAGATATTGGCATGGATGCCGTGAAAAGGGAACACTTTCACACTGTTGGTGGGAATGTAAACTAGTACAACCACTGTGGAAAACAGTGTGAAGATTCCTTAAAGAACTAAAAGTACATCTACCATTTGATTCAGCAGTACCACTACTAGGTGTCTACCCAGAGGAAAAGAAGTCATTATACAAAAAAGATACTTGCACACACGTTTATAGCATCACAATTTGCAATTGCAAAAATATGAAACAAGCCCAAATGCCCACCAATCAACAAGTGGATAAAGAAAATCTTATATATATATATAGAAAAAGGATAAAGAAAATGTTATATATATATGTCATACATATATGATAAATATATATATACACACACACACTATGGAATAATACTCAACTGCAAAAGTGAACAAAATAATGGCATTTGCAGCAAATTGGACGGAATTTGAGACTATTATTCTAAGTGATGTCACTCAGGAATGGAAAACCAAACATCATATGTTCTGACTCATGTGGGAGCTAACCTATGAGGATGCAAGTGCATAAGAATGATACATTGGACTTGGGGGACTTGGGGAAAACAATGGGGGATGACAAGGGATAAAAGACTATGCACTGCCCACAGTGTACACTGCTTGGGTGATGTGTGCATCAAAATCTCAGAACTCACCATGAAAGAACTTATTCATGTAACCAAACACTGCCTGTTCCCCCAAAACCTATTGAAATAGAAAAAATGGTGGGAAAAAAAGAAGCAAGTGGTCAAATGAATCAAATGCTGAGGCGAGGGAGGGGACCCATGTGATTCTCTTGGATCTTGACAAGATGGTGGTCATGGGTAACCTTGACCTGAGCTGATTCAGTGCTATGATGGGAACAGAAGCCAGAATGAAGCTGGTGGAAAGAGAATGGAAGAGAAGGGACTGTGCCTATATAGTGCTGTTCTCACACAGAGTCTGGCACATAGTTGTCTCCAATAAATGTCAAGGGTTATTGTTACCCATCACAAGGCACTTTTTGAATGCAGCTCAGCATGGCTCCTGAGTTGTAGATCACGACATATGAAATCCTAAAGTCAACGTGCACTAGAAAATGCTGCTTGATCCTGGACTTGACCAGAACAAAGCACTATTTGGTCAAACTTACAAACTCATGACGTGAACAAAGAAGGTGGAGTTCTACTGTGCAAACTGGGTCCTGAAGCACAGGTGGGAAGAAGTAAGCTGCAAAATGGAAAAGTCCTCCTCACAGGCCCAAGGACACATCTGCCAGACTCACCTCCCTAAACAAAGGGGTTTGTTCTATAAATAAGTATTTTTTAGCATCATATGCCCTTGTCAACATTTTAGTGATGTCATCAGAAATGAGAGATGCTGGATGCCTGACTTAATCAGAAGATCATGCTTGGTGACCTCTCCCCCAGGTGGTGACAGCATGGGACCAGCTCACATTGTGAGTGGAAAGAGGGGAGAATCTTCTTCCAGTAATCATCATATTTGAGAAGCATGTAGGTTCAGCAGAAAACCAAAGAAGCAAGAAAAATGTCATGAACTCTTAAACGCCTGAGCCCCAAAGTCCTGAGGCAGCAGCTGACCAGGCCTTCAAATGCTCCTCGTTTGACTTGTCTCAGGGACCCTAATTCTGCTGTGTTGGGAAATACACAATGTGCCAGCCGACTCATTCAGCAGTACTGCCTTCTGTAGCTCTACAGAGACCCTGCACCCAGTGAACTCACAGATGTGGTGATCAGCCTGATAAAGAATTAATCATTTAGAAAATTCAGTGTCTCTCTTTACTCCCTCTGCCAAACATGTGAGGCATGGAAGAGATGGATTCATTGAATCAAAGGCTCAGACACCCTAGCCACACTCTGCCCTTTACCTATTCATTCAACAAAAACATATTGAACCCTTCTTATATGCCAGGAGCTGTCTAGCCAGAAACACATAATACAGCAACACAGGAGACAGAATTTTCAGGGACCCTCATGAAGCTAGCTTTTGGGAACAGAGACATACAATAAACTAGTAAAGAAATGAATCCATGATACTCATTTCAAACACAAATAAATGCTACCAAGAACAATGCAGCAGGTGAAGAAATAGAGGTGACAGGAGTGGGACATGGAGTGATTTTATATACGGTTGTCAGAGTTCCGCTGATGGAGGAACCATGGAAACACAGACCTGAATAAAATGAGGAAACAAACCTGGTGAGTATCTGGGGAAGGAGTGAAGATTCAAGGGCAAGGGTGCTAAAAGGATAAAAGCCCTGAGACAGGGATGAGCTTGGTGTGTTTGAGAATTTTGCAAGAAGACCAGTTTGGCTGGAGTAAAACAAGAGAAAAGAATGGAAGAATGCAAGATCGTGTTAATTTACGCAGACATGCAAGCATCAGACATGCAGAGATTTATGGGTCATGGCCAAAAATTTGGGTTTTATTTAATGTATTGGTAAACTTTTAGAGGTTTCTGAGCAGGAGAATGGCATGATCTGATTTACGTTTTAAAATATCACTCTGGGCTGCGCATCGTGGCTCACGCCTGTAATCCTATCACTTTGGGAGACTGAGGCGGGTGGATTTTTTGAGGTCAGGAGTTCAAGACCAGCCTGCCCAACATAGTGAAACCCCATCTCTAACAAAAATACAAAAATTAGCTAGGTGTGGTGGCGGGCACCTGTAGTCCCAGCTACTCAGGAGGCTGAGACAGGAGAATCACTTGAACCCATATGGTGGAGGTTGCAGCGAGCCAAGATCGCATCACTGCATTCCAGCCTGGGCGCCAGAGTGAGACTCCATCGCAATAAATAAATAAATAAATAAATAAATAAATATCACTGATTATTTTATGGAGTAGAAGCAATCAGTTGACTATTGCAGGGGAGAGATGATGCTGGCTTTGATGGGATGATAGTAATGGGGGTTATATTAGTTGTCTATTGCAGTTGTGACAAGTTGTCACACACTTAATGCCTTAAAATAGCACTAATTTATTATCCTACAGTTCTGTAGATCAGAGGCTGATATGGTCTCCTGAGACTAAAATCAAGGTGTGGGCAAGGTTGCATTCCTTTTGGGAGGCTCTAGGGAATGACTTATTTCCTGTTTGAGTTGTGAGAATTCAGTTTGTTTTTGGCCAAAGGACCAAGGTCTCTGTTTTCTTCCAAGCTGTAAAATGACAGCTGTTTTCGTCTTTTAGAGGCTGCCACATTCCTTGGTTGTGACCCTTTTTCTTCAACTTTAAAGCCAGCAGCAGCAGTTCAGTCCTTCTAATGTCATATCTCTCTGACCCACATTTCAGCCTTTCTCTTCTACTTTTAGAGGCTCATGTGAATTAGGCTGGACTTACTCAGATAATCTAGGATAATCTCCTGTCTCAAGGTCTATTACCTTAATTACATCTGCACAGTCTCTTTCGTCATGTAAAGTAATAGTTACAGGTTCTAAGGATTAGAGCATGAACATCTTTGAGGGGCCACAATTCTGCCTACCACAGAAGGGATGACAAATAGATGAATTCCAGATGTATTTTAAGGATATTACCAACAAGACAATGAATGAAATATGTAAAGAAGAGAACCAAAGCCAGGTAGCCTGACTACTAGCAGCACCATTTACTGATTTGAGGGGCAGTGAGTTTGGGAAGAAATCTGATATTCCTATGTATACCGAGGTGTCCATTCAATATCCACATGAGATGCCAAATAGCAAATTGGATAACAAATATTGAGTTTAGTGCAGGAGGTCAAAGATAAAGAAAAAACATGAAGCTATCATCATATTTATGGTTTTTAAAGCCATGAGACAGTGAAACTACCTAGGGAGGAGTTGTAGATAAAGAAGAGAAGAGAACAAAAAACTGAGTCCAGAATGACTCTTAGTCCAGTCTCAACCAATATTTAGAGGTCACAAGAAGAGGACAATCCTAAAAATAAAAAGTATAGAAAGAAAAGCTAGTGACATGGGATGGGGAGAATCGAGGTTCATAGACACCAAATGAGATTTCAAGAAGGAAGTGATCAAGTGTATCAAATGTTGCTGGTGCATCACACAAGATGAGGACTGCAGATTGTGCCTTGGATTTGACAAGATGGAGGTGGTTGATGACTTTGACAAAAGTGATTGCAATGTGGAGAATTAATCCTTCATAGGAATGGAAAGAAGGGAGCCTGACAGACGAGAGAGTGGAAACTGATTTGGGGAAGTAACTCTTTTGAAGGTTTTGCTGTAAAGATCAGCAAATTAAGTTCGTGACTAGAAGCAGATGAGAATTCAAAGAACAACATTTTGGTATGGGAGATCATACAGCATGTTTGCTGATGAGAGTGATCCATGAGAGAAGAGAAAAGGGATGATCCAAGGAAGCCAGCTGTATAGACAGAAGCAGTGATATCCAAGGCACAGTTGGAGGGGTTGGGCTTAGACACAGCAGGCCCTGTATCACAGGAGCAAAGGCAGAGTGCATGAGACGGACAAATGCTGTTGGGTTAGCAGATTTGGTGGGGAAAACATAAGGTAGATCTCTGTTGATTGTTCAATGAAATAAAGCAAGGTCATCAATTGGGAGTGATTATTATTCAGCAAATATTCGC
The DNA here is from genome assembly GCF_000001405.40 of Homo sapiens. NCBI lineage: Eukaryota > Metazoa > Chordata > Mammalia > Primates > Hominidae > Homo > Homo sapiens. The sequence continues at coordinate 39,822,204 of NC_000021.9, read as the reverse complement.
TCCCTTTCCCTGCCATCTCCATCTGAAGAATATACTTTCCCACCTCATTGATGTGGGACTTGGCCTTGTGACTTAGTTTGGCCAATGATATTTGAGTAAATATGAAGTGAACAGAGTGCTTTTGCCACTGTCAAGAGAAGAATATGCCCTTGGCAACCAGGCGGTACCAGAATAATGAGAGACACATGAAACAAGGAGCTCCAGCTGATGCATAAACCTGTGAGCATGATTACAAATCCTTACCACTGTATGCCACTGGGATTGTGTCCTTGCCCGTTACACAGCAAAAACTCACTGATACAGAAGGATATTGGCATTTTGAGGGTAGATAAGAAAGTATGAAATAGTTGTTTCTGGGTGTGGAAAAAAATTGACAACAGAAAGTAACAGGTTAGTCAGGCAGTGCTGAGGACCTACATGAGGTTGTGTTACGAATTCAAAGTGGAACCAGTCCATGCTGGTAGCAATTGTTTCTAGCCAACTTCAGTTGCTTGGATGCAGGTGTGAAATGGCCAGAAGTTTTAGCCAAGGCTGAGTTTTGCCAAGCAAAGTCAAGAGGAGCAAAACAGCTGAGGATGTTTTCAAAGTAGTGATTATATTTAAGGACTCTGTAAACTCTAAACTGGGTCAATAAAAAACAAGAAAAGAAAGAGCAGACATAGAGGTAATGACGAGTGAAGAAGAAATCGGATTCATTGGCATTCCCAAAGTAGATGAAGTGCTGTTGGAAGAGAATGATTAAGATAAGTAAAGAAATGAGGGAGATCTTGGAGAAAAATGCTTATAATTAAAATTTTGGAGGTCTAAGGAATAACCGAAGGAGTAGGATGTGGCTGAGATAGAGCAGAGAAAAATTTGTGCATGCAACAATGAGGAAATGAAGAAACTGGGGAGCCCAAGTGTGGTGGTTTGACATGAATGTTGAATCACCAAAAATGCTAGGAAAATTCTGGGAGCAGTTTTGAAGACAAAGTGAAGTGTTTTGAGCAGTTTTGAAGACAAAGTGAAGTGTTTAATATTTATATTTGTTCGTATTAAGTTGAAAAGACAGATGTTCTGAAGCAAGAACAGATTAATAATTCTTACTTATGCCGGGCGCAGTGGCTCACACCTTTAGTCCCAGAACTTTGGGAGGCCGAGTCGGGCGGATCACAAGGTCAGGAGATCAAGACCATCCTGGCTAACACAGTGAAACCCCATCTCTACTAAAAGTACAAAAAAATTAGCCGGGCGTGGTGGCGGGCGCCTGCAGTACCAGCTACTTGGGAGGCTGAGGCAGGAGAAAGGCGTGAACCCAGGAGGCGGAACTTGCAGTGAGCCGAGATCAGGCCATTGCACTCCAGCCTGGGGGCAACAGAACGAGACCCTGTCTCAAAAAAAAATAAAATAAAATAATTCTTACTTACAGTAACCATACTGTTCCCTCCATGCTTTATTCTTACCCGTAAGGTGGTGCAATGAAAGCCAGATCAGACATCACCCTCCATATACCATGCTCTGCAATGACATCATAAACCTGGGTAGTTACAGAGGCTGACTTAGAGAGTAGCCCTCCTCCGTTCTGAGACAGAGAAATAATCTCCCTAGGTAAATAAATTTTCTTTAGAAAATACCCAGGGATTTTACACTTCAGAATATAAATAAATGTTTCTAAAAGGAAGAGAAGACTAGTGTCTCCAGATTTGGATCCCAGGAATATGTCCATGGTCCCAGGTCTCATCCCCCTTGAAATGTAAACACATGCCTTCAGGAGGATAAATCTCTCTGGAAAGTCTGTCAGTATCTAATCATTCTTCAGCTTTCAAGTCATATTCTTTTAAAGAAATTTTAATAAAATTTGCCCAGAAAATTCTAACTCGAGAAACACAAAAATATTTTCTCTATAGTTCCCTAGCTAGTAAGAATGACATGAATGTTATAACCTTTAGCGAGCAAGGAGAAGTAACCAGAAGATGAGCTGAGGCCTGTGACAAGTGCAGAGTGATGGTTAATTTTAATGTGTCATTTTGACTGGGCCACATGGTGACCAGATATTTAATTAAATTTTTCTTCTCTATTCTCATTTTAGCCATTGTTCCAATACTCCACTTATCCAAACAATAAAGGATGATATTTTAGGTGTCGGTGTGAGGGTGTTTCTGGATGAGATTAACAACTGAATTAGTAGACTGAGTCAAGTAGATAACCCTCCCTAGTGTGAGTAGGCCTCATCCAATCCATTGAAGGTATGAATAGAATCAAAGGCTGAGTAAGAAGGAATTCTTTCTCTGCCTGACTGTCTTTGAGCTGGGACATTGATCTTCTCCTTCCCTTGAACTTGAACTCAGACTAAAAATTATATCATCAGTTATCCTGGTTGTCATGCCCTTGGACTTTGCCTGGAACTTACACTATTGGCTCTCCTGGTTCCCAGGCCTTCCAAGATGGGCAGCAGGAACTATACCATTTACTCTCCTGAGTCTGCAACTTGCTGACCACAAATCTTGAACTCATCCTCCATAATAGCATGAGCTAATTTATTACAGTAAATCACTTGGTAGAAGATATAGATAGATGATAGATAGATAGATAGATAGATAGATAGATAGATAGATAGATAGATAGATAATAGATAGATAGATAATATAGAGATAGTAGATAGATAGATAGATAGATAGATAGATAGATAGATAGATAGATAGATAGTTAGATAGATAGCCTATTGGTTCTGTTTCTCTGGAGAACCCAGACTAACTCATATGGTAATGGCAGTTACCTCAAAGGACCAGAATTTTTTAGGAAAGGGGGAAGAAAATGATCAAGAAGAGATCATGCAAATCAGAAAGGATAACTCCCATACTTCCCAACTCTATACTCCATGCAGAATGGGAGAGGAAATAGCCACCATTCAAGAGGACTACAGGAGAAAGCAGGGTCCTCAGGGGAGAGCAGATCTCAAAGAAGAGAACTTTCTGAGAAAAGACTGGACGTACACGGGGTTTTGCTGATGATAGTGCTGATTCCAGAGGACACAGTGGAAGTATCTGCTTGGTAAGGAAGGGCTGGAAGATTGAGTCCTCTTAAGGAATGTGAAGAACCTCCTGAGGGCACAAGTCAGGGTATGGGGAAAGTGTCTTCTCAAAGGCTTGACATTCTGGTAGACGCTGAGAAGTACAGAGTGATGAGATTATTTCTCATGGTCTTTTAGGAGAAAGTGGATAAGTAGCCCTAATGATATCCTCAGACCGGTAGAGAGGCTGGGGAAGGAGAAGTCTTGCAAGGATTACTGTGCCCTGTGCACCCCTTAAACGCTTCAATGAGAGGTGTGCCAGAGACAGGCAGTCTTTCTAGGAGAAATCCCTAGCTATGCACTTGGCAGTACTGAAGAGACTCTTGTCTGGAGACCTGTTTCCATGCAGACTCTGCTCAAATCATTAATGAGTGGACTTAACAACCAAAAAATGGGAAGTGAAACTTGGACTTCAGTTACACAGTGGAAGATGATGTATGGTAAAAGTGCTCTGAGGAGAATCTGGCCATTCAAAACTACTCATTTCCTCAGGAGATTCTCAGTAACACATCACCCACGAATTACCAAAGACCTTCCCCTAGGGTAGGTCCTTAATAATATTTTCCATGTTCTTTATTCTGGTTCATCCCTGCTCATCATTAAAGCCTGTTTCGCACTAGATCATGTGTCTGCTGCCTGACTTCTCTTGGGCTATACCCTGACCTCCTCTTCCTCTTCCTATTACTTCTTTCCCCTCGGATCTCTCCAACATCTTTCCCTCCCATAGTGAAGGGCAAAATCCACCACCTCCATGTATTTCTTCAACCTTCACTGGGCTTCTTCATTTTACACATCTACATCTCTCTTTATCCATTAATTCAGCGTTATTAAGAGCAACAACTTTTGCTAGATTGCCTAAAGTACGTATTCTTTTCTGGAAATGCCTAAAGTATGTGTTCTTCTCTGCAAAATGTACTAAGTGCACTGCTGACCACAGTTTCATCATCTTCAAGTCATCTTTGGAATCCCAGTCTACTCATCTCCAATCCCCTATCATTATCTCATCCTAAATTTAAGCAGTCCTTGAAATCCATTTATTCCAAAAAAAAGCTTACTACTATGTGAAAACGATGGCAAAATCTCCCAGCCCACCCTCCCCAAAGGAAACATGAAATCTCATAACAATACTCACTACCTTGCTACTTGGTAATGATGTTAATAGCCTGCTTTTTAAAACATTCATTTAAATGTTCACCTGGTTGACTCTACATTATTTCATTTCTAACCTCAGTAATCCGTTCAGTATTTTAAACTTTTAAGAAGGCATAAATCACAGCTTGATTTTATGTAGTGTCACACTCGGACACATGTTATTACTTATTTTTATCTTAATGATGGAATAAAAAGTCAAGAGTATTCTGGAGTTATCCTTAAACATGGCCGACCATAGTCAATGCTCTTACTACAATTTGTCTTTGTCTTGGAAGGTTAGGGTTGTGCATTTTCCAGAGAATATACATAAATGTTGCATTCTTGCAGGCTGCTATTGCACTTGCCCACAATTGCCCTGAAAAAACAAATATGTTTAAAGCATGTCACATGCACTAATTTTAAGTCTAGCTATTCCTACAGATCTGTACAAGAAGAACCAATTGCATATCAAGAACAACAGAAGAATGTCCATTAATACCCCCAGATTTATTAATTTGTTTCCTTATAATTATCATAATCAAAGAGTAGTTGCAAGTGTAGTACAATTTCTCAGCAGTTTACCAATAAAACAGAAAGACTTAAAAAGTCAACTCTTGGTTAATTGACTCAGTTCTACATAATCATGGCAGAAGACAAAGGTAGCAGGCAAGAGAGCTTGTGCAGGGGGAATTCCCATTTATAAAACCATCAGATCTCATGAGACTTATTCACTATCACGAGAACAGCATGGGAGAGACCCTCCCGCATGATTCAATTACCACCCACCAGGTCCTTCCCATGACACGTGGGAATTATAGGAGATACAGTCCAAGATGAGATTTGGAGGGGGGTACAGCCAAACCATATCACCCATCTTGCATTTTGCAGCATCTCACCTCAGATGGCCACCTTGGGTCTTTCACTTTTGCCTGCTCTGGAGTCTTCTCAGTAGTTGGGAGCAAGGGAGGAGGAGGTTAATATCCCCAACCAATGGGAATGGGAACAGATGAATAAATGTTGCACCCTCCTGTCCTTCAAGCAGACCTTTCTGGGAGGCATCCCATACTCCTTGCAGGGGCTCCACTGGGCTTGAACCCTCATCAACTACAGAAGCAACCCCTATTGGCTTTATGTATTATACTGATAACATATGAGGGTACCCTTGTATGACAAACCCTCTGTCAATCTCCCTACTCTCTAACTCTTGCTTTCTGGAATCGCCTTATTTGGTGGGAGAGGAGACTCAAACTAAAATCCTCCTCTCCATCAATTTTGCTACTACTGGGTCACATGTTTTGTCAGGAAATTGAATGATAAGGAAACTGAATTTAAGAGCCAATTTTAATTCCAAGTAACTGCTATAGGTTTGAAAAGTTCATATACTGGAAATTTAATCTCCAATGCAATAGCATTGACAGGTGAGACCTTTAAAAGATGATTAGGTCATGAGGGCTCTGTTGTCATAGGTGGATTCATGCCATTATATCACAGGAGTGTATTATCACATGAGCAGGTTCCTGACAAAAGGATGAGTTCAGCTGTCTTCCCTTCCCTTCTCTTCCCTTCCTTTCCCTTCCCTCCCCTCCCCTCCTCTCCTCTCTCTCTCTGTCTCTCACAAGGATGCTCTCTTGTTTTGTCTCCTTCTCTCTTTTCCTTCCACCTTCACCAGGAGATGACACAGCACAAAGGCCCTCACCAGATGCCAGCACTATGCTCTTGGACTTTGCAGCGCTCAAAACTATAAGCTAAATAAATTTCTGTTCTTTCTAAAGTATCTATTCTCAGGTATTCTGTTATAGCAGCATGAAACAAACTAAGACAGTGACAATTTTGGATCATCTGAAAATTTCACTAATACCTCAAAAAGTCCTGACCTGTACATTGGCTGCAAGAAAAATAAACTAAATAGAGAAGAAATATAAAGTAAACAGACCTGAGAAGCAAAGAAATTTTTCTCTTTCAGAGAGTATTAGCTCATGTGAGAACTCAAATGCAAGTCCACAGGGAAAATTGCAATCATCATTCAACCTTAAAACAACAATTTGACAAAACCAATAACTTGAAAATTCTATGAGGATAGCACTTTATTCTTTATGTCCTAAGAAACCTTGGAAGATTAATAAATGTTTGTTGCCTGACTTTGAAGTAGCTTCTATCAAAGATAATAAAATAAATGTTCTGAACAAAATTTGGCCTTCCATTGACATGATACTTCTGGAGTCCCAGAGAGGCCATTTTCTAGCGTGAGTCAGGGTTTATCTTAGAAGTCAAATCATCCAACTATGGTAAATCTCTCCTTGGCTATTCATTTTTAATTTCTGTATAATTTTCACTCACAGTATTTGCTGACTCACATGAAAGAAAAATGTTTCATTTAAGTTTTCCTCTCCCTTTTCTAAACTAACACAAATTACTTAACAGCAACAAGGATTTAACTAACGCTTTTTGTGTATTAAGATACATATAAATATGCTTTAGAAAAATGTTTATGTTAAAATACTTATAGGGGTTAGGAATGAATTTGTATGGCCTTAGAGTTTTTTATTTGGGGTTTGGGGTTTGTTTGAGTTTTTTGGAGGGAGATGATTTTTATTATGTGTGTGTTTCCTGGTACATGAACAAGATTATCCAAGAAATAGAGAGAAAAAGAGAAATATCAGAATTAGAAGGACTACTTTGTTATTGATGGGCTTAAAGATACAAAATATATGATTTTGAATTATTGGATATTAGTGCTAGAATCTGACATATAGCTTTGTAAATTATTTACATGAGGGAGTGCATGTGAATTGTCATTTACAGATGACAGAAAACTTAATTTAGAAGGGATAAGTACTAAGAAGTTTATACAAACACTCAGAAAAAAAGGCAGATGGCTGTTAATGTAGGCAAGGGCAGGTTGATACATTTTTTGAAAAGTAATGCATATAAAAGGGGTTACATTCATTTGCTTGGACTCACACAGAATACTGCAGACTGGGTGGCTTAAACAAAGAAGTTTTTTTTTCACAGTTTTGGAAATTAGAATTTTAAGAGCAAAATGCCAGCAAATCCCATTCCTGGTGAGGGCTCTTTTCTTGGCTTACAGACAGCCACCTTCTTGCTGTGTACTCATATGGCAGCTGGAGACAGAGAGCTTTTGGGTGTCTCCACCTCCTCTTATGAAGTCACCAGTTCCATTGGCTTAAGGCCCCACCCTTCTGAACTCGCTTAACCCTAATTACCTCCCAAAGGCCCCATCTCCAATACCATCTCACTGGGACCCAGAGCTTCAATATATGAATGTTGGAGGGACACAATTCAGCCCATGACAGGAGTCATGCCCTTTGATGCAGTCATTTCTCTTTTCAGAACCTATCTTGAGAGACTATTCCAAACTATGGGAAAAGATGTGCATGAGGATTTTTCTTTACGGGAAAAAAATGGAACTAACCTAAAATGTGCAATGATAGAGAAAGGCATAAGTGAAGAACAAGAAAGCACTCAAAGAAACCATCAGCAGCCATTAAAAATGGCAGCCATGACGACTATGCAGCAATAGGGAAAATACCTACAGTGATAGGTGATTTTTTTTTAAGACAAGAAGTGGCATTGAGTAAATCTAGTTAGGATTGAACTGCTTTAGGTTTTTGTTTTAGCTATGGTTACTATTATGGACTGAATTCTGTCCCCTCCCCAAAAATTTCTATGTTGAAGCCAAATGTGATTGTATTTGGAGATAGGGTCTTTAAAGAGGTAATTAAGTTTAATTGAAATCATAATTAAGGCTTAATCCAATCTGACTGATGTCTTTATTAAAGAGAACAGGGATGCATGGACACCACAAAAAAGCTGTGTGAAGCCACAGGGAGAAGATGACCATCTGCAAGCCAAGGAGAGAGGCCTCAAAGGAACCAACCCTGCTGACACCTTGATCTCAGACTTCTAGCCTCTAGAACTATGAGAAAATAGATCTCTGTGTTTTCAGCTACTGCAGCCTGTGGCACTTTGTTACAGCAGCCCTAGTAAACTTATACAATTACCATCCCTGTGCCAAAGCTTTTGCAACCCATTAACAATGCTTTAGCTTAGGATGGGGGCTTTAGTGCTCAGAGGTTTTTCTCACTGATCTTACTCCACTAACTCAGCTTTTGCACAATCCTATGTGCCAGCCTCACAGAGGATGTTTCTTCAAGTTCCATCCTTCACCATCAGTAGATGCTGCTGTTTGTCACTCAGTATTTGCAAGGCTGGTGGCAGGTTGCAAGCAGATCTCTGTTGTCCTAGGCTTGCATCAGTCTTAGATAGTCCTTGTGTGTTTGGGGCTTAAGAATATAGCATAATGAAGGAAAATGTTTTGCCCTCTACTCTCCTAGGTTCAATGGCTGGGGTCAGGGAATCAGACTGATAAAAGACAGATTAGCAAGAGGAAAAAAACCATTTTAATTATGAAAAATGCTTGGGAGTTCACAAAGAAAAAAATCCATCTCAGGGAGGTGCCAGATGATTGAGGCTTATATACCATGTTATACAAAGGAATGTGGGTAAGGGGAATATGGGGAGTGGGAAGGGAAGGTGGCAAGTTATGGGAATTGGACCAGAGAAAGTAAACAAAGGTTATTTTGTTAGATTTGCTATGCAAATTTGAGTCTGCATCTTCTCCATTGATAAAAGTTAAGAGTTCTCCTCTTCCTGGTATGGGAGATGGAGACACATTTCCAAATGGAAATTTCCTTTCTAAATGCAAATTTCTTTTACATAAAGAAAACTTTGCCCTATTTTTAGAGCTTTTTCTGCATCTGCTGGTTGTCAGTGGCCTTTAGCTCAAAATAATCCATATGCTAAAGAGATGTATTTTAGGGTGGAATATCCTGGCACCCTCCAGCAGCTTTCTAAGTGTCCCCGACCCTCCTTCCCATGAAAGCCAAGCTCTGCTTTCTGGCTGTTGTGAGCCTTCCTACCCTCCCCTAGGGATAGGAGATCCTAATGGTGATGGAATAGTATTCTGGCTGATATTGTCTGGAATTTTAGTCCCCTCCAAATCTCATGTTGAAATTTGATTCCCTGTGTTGGAGGTGGGCCTAGTGGGAGGTGTTTGGGCCATGGGGGCAGATCCCTCATGAATGTCTTGGTGCCATCCTCATGGTAATGAGTGGGTTCGCATGAGATCTGATTGTTAAAGAGTCTGAGACCTCCCTCCCCTCTCTTACTCCCTCTCTCCCCATATGACTTTCTGTTCCCCCTCCACTCTCCGCTCTGAGTAGCAGCTCCCTGAGGCCTCACCAGAAACCAAGCAGATGCCAGCATCATGTTTTTTGCACAGCTGCAGAATCATGAGCCAAATAAACCTCTTTTCTTTATAAATTACCCAGCCCCAGGTATTCCCTTATAGCCGTACAAAACAGACTAATACACTAGCCCAAGGCCTTTTCTGTCCCAGAGTAGAAGCTTTGTCTTCTAGCCTTCCCTTAGCAGCAATGGGTCTGTTTCTATGCCTTGGAGGCTACAAATTCCACTGCCTCCTCTGTCAACAGCTAAAGGCTTTTGCAATGAGGGAAGCACCAGGCAGAAGGGTGGGGTTTTCTGCTTCTTCCCCTTCTCCCTGCCACCCAGGCCCCCTACCCCTTCAGTGGTGCCAATCATGCCCTATAGACCTGCACTACCAAAGACGCTCTCTCCAGCTCCCCTCTGCAATCTTTCTGAGGGGTCACTGGTGGAAGTCTACAGAAGAGTCTGTGAGTGAGTGTGAACCCCTGTGGCTGGTACCCCCAGGGTGCTTGTGCACTGCCTTTTCTTGGGGGAGAGACTCTCCTTCCTTGATGGCCAGCTACTTGATTGCTCTCTGGCTCTCTGATGGGTTCAGGAAAAGCCATGATTTGGTAGTTAATCTGGCTTTTTCTCCTTAAAGTCTGAATGACATTCTTTCCAGTTTTCTACATCCTAGGCAGACACAGAACCCTTATATCATGTTAAATGGCAAGTTTTGTTGCATGTAAATGCTAAATTCTGCAACTGGAAAAATCTATTTTGCAAACAAGACAATGTCAAGCACAACACAATTCCCAAGAAGCTTTGATGTCACTGGTGCTCCTCCATTGCTCTAAAAGTTTTCAATAAATATGCAAATATTCAGTTAAGAGGAAGAACAGATGGAAGAAGAAGATATCGATACCTGAACATGCTAATTTTGGGTTTTCTCTCTTTTCCCTTTGCCAAACCTCCTTTAGAAATCAAATGTGGCATTGTGGAATGGAGAAAAGGCAGACATGTTTTAAAGCTAAAAGGATATTCACATTCAGATCGTCTAAAGACTCCAGTGCTTTCCAATGCAGCCTCATTTTGAATAGCAATTTTTTGCAATGCTTATTTTATGATTCTGAAATTAATTGATTAGGGAACCTACCTATATACCTAAACTTCTAGACAAAAAACTCCAACGTGATTCACTATGTTATATAAAGCAGACATAAAAGGAAAGTTGTTTATGATCTAGCAAATGCAGCGTTCGATAGGTCTACACCAGTAGACACATGAAGTTGTCAAATCTATACTTGGAATCACAAGAAATGCAACAGTTATAAGTTAAATGGGTATATGTGTGTTCTATTATCAACCCAAGACTACAAGTGGCAGTGCTATTGGTGATAAGTTTTCTAAAATTGCAAGCAATTCTTGATGAAGCTCCTAACAAAGCTAACCTTCCCTTGATATTCCTTCCCTTGATATTCGAGGTGTAGCATTCATGGAATGCCGTCCTTTCCTATTTAACCTTCCCTGATATTCGAGGTATTATATTCATGGAAAATTCAGAGTACCTTACATGTATGAACAACATATTTTATATTTTTGTATATGGTGAAATATTTATAGTGACAAATTATCTCAGATAAGCAGGCTTATCAATTACATCAATGTCTCTGGGGATATTTGAAAGTTTTGCAGGCTTTTCTTATGTATTGTAGGACATCCAGGAATCCTCCCTCCAACTAAAAGTTCACAAGCACCCATCAATAATTAAGAAACTCAAGGACCCATAGGCACACTGGGAGAAGAACCAGGTCTTTTACCAATAAGCATGTTGCTCAGATGAGTGAGGTGACATGCCCAAGGCCACACAGCAAGTTGAAACTAGGCTCAATCTCTTCTTTCCAGGCTCATTCCTCTGCATCATGCTTCTGGGACTCCACAAAGGGAAATTCCAACTCTACAATGACCTTCTGGCCAATTAAAAAAACAAACAAACAAACAAACAAACAAAATACATAATGATAATTACCCTAAATGTGTGTCTTTCAGCCACATGGGGATGCCTGTGTCCCCCTGTTTTGAGAAGCTGGGGCGCCAGGTGAGCCAGCGAGTGGAAAGTGGCCACTCAAGTGCACTTGTCAATGGTTCTAGACAGCTGAGAGATTCTGCAAACAATGTGAACCACCACTTAAAAGCAAAATCAATGTTCATGTCCCCTCTCTGCTTTTAGAATAAATCATTCATTCTGTAAGTATTCTGCATAGAAAATGCATGCTCTGATTTAAGTAGCCATGGTAGGGACAAGGCTGGCATGGAGCCTACCCACCTTCATGGAATTTAAAGGGAAAATAAGCATCCAATAAATAATTATGCAAACAGTTATGCCATTAGTGATCAGCACAGTTGAAGTAGAAGTCTAAGGTGACATAGTAACAGAGGCACTAATCCAGTCTGGGGGTTGGTAGGGCACAGGGAGGGTGTATCCGTTAGAGTCCCATCAGGAAAGCATTATGACACAGATGATATGTGTTGAGCGATCTATTATAGGAATTAGCCCTCATGCAATCACAGGACATGCTGGGGAAGGAATAAGCTGCTGACTCTGCATCTGGGAAATGGCTGCAGGGGGATGCCCAAGCAGAAGCGCCAAGGCCCTGAGACAGACAGGGCATGGACGCCTGAGGGACTTTCTGCCCTAGAGGGACAAGAGTGTGATTTCTGGGGAGAGAAAGGTGCACAGCCAGGGTTGGGTTGGGGCTAGACCTGGCCAGGCCTCCTAAGCCATGGTAGGATTTCAGATTTTTTTTTTTTTTTTTTTTTTTGAGACAGAGTTGCATTCTTGTTGCCTAGGCTGGAGCGCAATGGCATAGTCTCAGCTCACTGCAACCTCTGCCTCCCAGGCTCAGCGATTCTCCTGCCTCAGCCTCCCGAGTAGCTGGGATTACAGGCGTCCACCACCATGCCAGGCTAATTTTTGTATTTTTAGTAGAGACAGGGTTTCACTATGTTGTCCAGGCTGGTCTCGAACTCCTGATCTCAGGTGATCCGCCCGCCTTGTCCTCCCAAAGTGCTGGGATGACAGATGTGAGCCACCGCATCTGGCCTAGATTTTATCCTAAGAGTGATGGAGGTTGAGAGGGAGGTGTCACCCGGCAGGGAGAGTAGACAGTGTGCCCATCGTGGAGTCTGAAAGACTCAGACCAGAAGCTATGTGACTCCAGGCTCCTGCCCTTACCTCAAGCATTGGTACAGTGAAGACAAAAAAGCACCACAGGATTAAAGGGGGATTAAACGAGATAAACCATGAAAAGTTCCCATGTAAGGAAGACCAGGGGCTGGCACACATTTTCTGCAAAGGGCCAGGTAGTCCATTTTTAGGCTTCATAGGCCACACAGTCGCTGTCACAACCACTCAACTCTGCCATTGTCGCATGACAGAAGCCACAGACTATGTGTGAATGAGCACTAGTCACATTCCCATACACTTTACTTGTGAGACACTGAAATTTGGACTTTATATAATTTTCACGTCATGAAATATAATTCTTCTTTTGATTTTTTGTCAACCACTTGAAAATGTAAAAATTATTGTTAGTTTGCAGACCATATAAAAATAAGCAGCAGGCTGGACTTGGCTTGTGGACTATAGTTTGCTGACCCCTGTGGCAGACACAAAACAAATGTCTCTCTCCCTTCCTTGCTTTTCACACAAAGACACACACACACAAGCAAACACACAAATCCCCACAAACACACATATACAGACCATATATGCACGCACACAGAGACATACAAACACACATACACATGCATAGACAAATCATATAGACACACACACCATACATATATGTACATACACACATATATATGCTATGTATCATATACACACACATACATAGACACACTCAGCCACACATCCCATATATTTATACACACACACATGCAAATTTACACAATGCACATCATACCACAGACATATAAACAGACACAGCACACAGCATATATATACATGCATGCATACACACATACACGACAGCATACATACACAGACACACCATATCCACACACAAACATAAGCAGAACACTCCCAAACATGCACATATACACACATATGCACACAAATACACAGGCACACATGCCATGCAACTGTGAGGAGCCAAGAAGGCGGGCATATTCTTCCATCACCTGCTCCTGCCATGGTGACAGCTGTGTTAGTCCATTCTTGCATTGCTACGCAGAAATACCTGAGTCTTATACAGAAAAGCCTCAGGTTTATCAAGAAAAGAGGCCTATTTTGACTCACGCTTCTGCAGGCTGTACAAGCATGACACCAGCATCTTTTCAGCTTCTGGTGAGGCCTGAGGAAGCTTACAATAATGGCAGAAGGTGAAGGGGGAGCCAGTCCACCACATGGTGAAAAAGAGAGCAAGAGAGAGGGGGGAGGAGGTGCCACACACTTTTAGACCAGATCTCACATAAACTCAGAGCAAGAACTCACTCAAGAATTACCACAAGGAAGGCACCAAGCCATTCATGAGGGATCCACCCCCATGGCCCAAACACCTCCCACTAAACCCACCTCCGATACTGGGGATTACATTTCAACATGAGTGTCAGGAAGACAAACATCCAGATCATATTATTATACCTCTGGCCCCCCAAAGCTATGTCCTTACATTGCAAAACACAGTCATCCCTTTTCAGTAGTCCCCCAAAGTCTAAACTCATTCCAGCATTAACTCAAAAGCCCAAAGTCTCATTTGAGACTCAAGGCAAGTGCCTTCCACCCATGAGCTTGTAAAATCAAAGATAAGTTATTTACTTCCAAGGTACAATGTTGGTACAGGCCTTGGGTAAACATTCCTGTTCCAAAACTGACTTCCCTGTGCATACATTCTTAAGGTTTCTGAAGAGAAACAGAATCAATACATTCTGTACTACATTTCTCCATAGAGTTTCCTGGAACCTTATCAATTTCCCACTGCGTCAACCCAGTATTCTTAGAAGGCAGAGCACGAACGTCTCAGTCTGAAGACATTGATGGGGCAATAATTCTCACAAATCCTCCCCCCAGTCCTGAGGTTCAGAATCCCATTGTATTTTTATAAATGACATGGCTCCCCCAAGAAAAGAAGAATGACAATTATCGGGTTGCTTTCAGCCGAGGACCCAGCCTGCTGCCCCACACTCTGCATTTTGTAGAGGTCTGGGCTTGAGGTCAGAGCATCTGCTTCATAAATGTTGGAGAGTGGGTTTTCCCTGAGGCTATCACCACATGTGGCATGATTTACACACTGTGCTAGGTGAGAATTAAATATTTACCATCCGCAAAAATACAGTTCCCTCCCAATGCGGCAGGGACAAGGGATGCTTGCACGCATTCAGACAGCGCAGCCTCAGTCCTAACAGCTGGGTCATGTCAGGTGAGGATGAGTGTGTGTGCGTGTGTGTGTGTGTGTGTGTGTGTGTGTGTGTGTGTGAACATCTCTATGAAGATAAGTGCCAGAAAGGACTTCAAGGGCCCATCATCCAATCCCCTTGTTCTCCTGAGATGGAAGTGGGCAACAAAGATGGGAGCTACCCAAGTTCAATGCAGCCGAATTCCTTTCCTCCCAATGATGCTCTGTTGGGCCTCAGAAAACAATACCCTAAAGTGAAGGCCTCAGAAGCAAAAGTTTTTATTTGACCTTCTCCTGCCCTCTTGTCTCTCAGTCTCATTCTTTCCCAAGGCGAGCTAAAACGACAATCCCTCTTTCCCAAGGCAGGCCATAGAAACCAGAACTCCTTTTCTCTAAAGCCAGCCATAAAACTTAAACATATTCTATGTAAAAACTGGCCATGAAGAAATTATGGGACCTATCTTGCTTGACTGCAGGTCATAAGGCTCCCATTCCACACTTTTACACTCTTGGTGGGACTGTAAACTGGTTCAACCATTGTGGAAGACAATGTGGCCATTCCTCAAGGATCTAGAACTAGAAATACCATTTGACCCAGCCATCCTATTACTGGGTATATACCCAAAAGATTATAAATCATGCTGCTATAAAGACACATGCACATGTATGTTTATTGCGGCACTATTCACAACAGCAAAGACTTGGAACCAACCCTAATTTCCATCAATGATAGACTGGATTAAGAAAATGTGGCACATATACACCATGGAACACTATGCAGCCATAAAAAAGGACGAGTTCATGTCCTTTGTAGGGACATGGATGAAGCTGGAAACCATCATTCTCAGAAAACTATCACAGGGACAAAAAACCAAACACCGCATGTTCTCACTCATAGGTGGGAACTGAACAATGAGAACACTTGGACACAGGAAGGGGAACATCACACACCGGGGACTGTCATGGGGTGGGGGAAGTGGGGAGGGATAGCATTAGGAGATATACCTAATGTAAATGATGAGTTAATGAGTGCAGCACACCAACATGGCACATGTATACATATGTAACAAACCTGCACGTTGTGCACATGTACCCTAGAACTTAAAGTATAATAATAAAAAAAAAAAAAAAGACTCCCATTCCAGAGTGAGTCCTGCCCACACCCAGCAGGAAGGAATGATACTCAGAGAGGCCAAGAAGAATCTAGGCAGACAGGTCATTCTGGATTTCCCCACTCAGTTTATCAGCATTAGATCTTACCCTTTTTGTCCAATCATATTTTTACATGGCAGTCCATACTTTGTTAAGCCTAAGCATAGAAACAGACAATTTCCCCTGCATCTTTGGGTCTTCATTCTGAAGGCTCCCTTGTACACACATTAAATAAATTTGTATGCCTTTTCTCCTACCCATCTGCAACGTATCAAGGACTTTCAGCAAACTTTCAGTGAGCTGAGCTCTTAGCCCCTACACCTTTCTCAGTAAATGGCTTCATCCCTAAGGAAGGTAAGCAGTGGAGCACACTACCAGGCAAAAGGCCCTTCCTTCTGACTTTACATGGATCATTCATTCTCCTCCCATCCCCTTTATATTCTCCATTCAGCAATTTCTCCTTGCTAAATGCTCTGCCTGCCCTCCACATCCATTTCCCACCTTCTGTATCCAGCACAGTCCTCCCAGGGGACTGACCCATACGGACTACACTGATGGTCTCCAGGACCTCTGGCTCTGGTTGGGCGTGATCAGGGGGAGGCACAAGCAAGAGACTGAAAAGAGAGAGTGGATGGCCAGAACCCTGTCACTCTGACTCCCTCTCTGCCATATTTCCATGGTGTGGCCACAGCAGCAGTCAGAGGCCCTCTCCACACCGGCCCATCATCCTCTCCCTGCTCCCTTGGTCCAGTGGATGGTAACAGTTCCTCAGGCCCACAGGCATGGCTCCCGGCCTGCTGGACCACCTGCCTGTCAAGACCTTCACCTCATACTACCTTCCCCTGAACCCTTGCTTCCTGTCCTGCTCTCCACCTGATTCTCCCATCTCTGAACTCTTCAAGTTTTCATGTGTCCCACGGAGCAGACCATCCTTCATCTTCACACAGGATGGTGTTCTTCCCAAAGACATCAACAAGCACTTTAACAGGGGGGGTTCAGGTACTGGCATGGCATCTCTTGTTTGCTCTGAAGCATCTATTGACCTTTTTTTTTATTTTTTTGAGATGGAGTCTCACTCTGTCACCCAGGCTGGAGTGCAATAGTGCGATCTCGGCTCACTGCAACCTCCACATCCCAGGTTCAAAAACTTCTTGTGCCTCAGCCTCCCGAGTAGCTGGGACTACAGGCATAGTTGGCTACTTTTTGTATTTTTAGTAGAGATGGGTTTCACCATGTTGCCCAGGCTGGTGTCCACCTCCCAGCTTCAAGCGATCCGCTTGCCTCAGCTTCCCAAAGTGCCGGGATTACAGGCATGAGCCACTGCATCCGGCCTCATCTATTGACCTTTTATGTCATTAAACTCTTAGGAACGTGCAACCAACTTTAGTGTCCCTAACAGTTTTCCAAGGTCAGGGCCACACAGAGCAGAGGAAGCTCTCAAGCTCTCCAGTTATCTTCGAGGTATTGGCATTACCACTTAGGTCCTTACCCTGAGTAATATGGAAGAGCCTTGATTGCATGGGTCCTGCTTGGAATCTGACAGACAAACCAAAGTAAAAGACCACTGGGAGGGATGGACAGGTATGGTTTCCCTGGTTAGGGTTTTATGGCATAAAATTTTGAGGGGTATTTGTTTAAATAAATTTGCAGCCCTCATCGGCCATTCATTAGCAGAGAGCTGCATCTTCCCGAGAAATAACCTTGACCATGAAGTTTTGCTTTGATTGACTCCTCTCATTCCACCCCCTTGAGCCTGCCACAGCTCTCTGCACTGTGGAAGTGAGATAGGAATTTACCACATCAGCAAAACACCATTTTCGGTTGAGAGCTGCCTTGGGTGTTGCAGGATTCCTAAATAGAAACTGGCTGAGTGCACAGACATAATGCTGAAGAAAACACAGATTGTGTGTTTGTGTAAAAGGATAAAGCATATGAAGATGATATGACACATCAAGGTCATTTCCAAGTAGCTATCTCTAGATGAGCACTCCTACAGAACTTGCTGCAATAATGGAAACCTACCATGCGCATTGTCCAGTAGAGTAGCCACTGGTCACACGTAGCTATTGAACCCTTGCAATGTGACCAGTGCAACCGATAAAATGAATCTTATATTTTATTTAGTTTAAATAACTTAAATTTAAATAGCCCCATGTGGCTACAGTATTGGACAGTATAGCTCTAGATAGTTCTATTCAAGTAATGCATCTACCTAATGTGAAATAAAAACTGGCCAGAGGATCCCTCTGAGAAACCTTACTCCTGGAGTAAGATTCTGTAAGAAGAGCCTATTTATAAGTGACACCACAAAAAAAAAATCCCATAATCTGATAAATGAAAAAAATATTTTGAGTGTGACTCAACAAACGTGTAGTAAGTTGGAGAAACTTCTATGGAAATTATTTACCATTGTCCTCCAGATTTCAAAACTTAAATTTCAATTATATTTTATATGCAACCCCCTTGACTCTCAAAATTGCCACAAAATATTATTCTTATAGCAAGCAAATGATAAATATTTCTTGTATTTAATATATAGGCTTTCTTAATATTGACCTGTTTGATTTCAATATTTACTGAACATTTACAGTATATCAGGTGCTGTAAAAGTTACAAAAGGCATAAATAACATGGCATTTGCCTTATCTTAGGATCTGAATTCTGTGGTTGTTTAAGGAGAGTAAACTATTAAGTGAAGAGTATGGCATTCACCCATTTAGCTCTGCCTAAAGAGATTCAAGAACCTTCTTGTCTTTCTCTTCTCCTTGTAGCCATTCAAGGACGGTAGTGGAAAGACAGAACCACATTGGCAGGGAATAAAAAAATTAGTATAATAAATGAGTCTCATTTTTATCCAGTTGAATTGGCAATTGTTTCCCTCGAAAAGACTCTTGGGAATATGATATAGCAATATTTATGGGTTTTTGAAATTTTGCATTTCAGTTCTACTCCCTAAAATCTAGCCAGCCAATTTTCTCACGTTAGGGACATGGTCCTAGGAGAGATTACCTTTTTTTTTTTTTTCAGGATCCTCTAAGCAGAGATGATATTCAAAATAGATGACAACCAGTAAGGCATGAACACTGCCCAATTAGAATAGATATTGTATGGGCACTGACCAATCAGAATGGATACAGTATGAGCATCAGCCAATCAAAACACATGCCTGGCTCCAAATGGTACCAGGAAATACCCTTTGATATGGTTTGGCTGTGTCCCCGCCCAAATCTCATCGTGAATTGTAGCTTCCATAATCCCCACACGTTGTGGGAGGGACATGGTGGGAGGTAATTGAATTATAGGGGTGGGTTTTTCCTGGGCTGTTCTCATGATAGTGAATAAGTCTCATGAGAGCTGATGGTTTTGTAAAGGGCAGTTCCCTCTTGCCTGCCTCCATGTAAGATGTACCTTTGCTCCTCCTCCGCCTTTCACAATAATTGTGAGACCTCCTCAGCCATATGAAACTATGAGTCCATTAAACCTCTTTTTCTTTATAAAATTATTCAGTCTGAGGTGTGTTTTTGTTAGCAGTGTGAGAACAGATTAATACACCCCTTCAGTTAGTTGCTGGTTTATAGGACGGTCCAGGGTAGGGCTGAATGTGATTTAAGATTATAAAAGTATTTTATACATCATGGTAGTGTAAGACTTCTCTACCATTTGTTGGATTAGCAAGCAGGAGTGAGTGATTAGAAACACCATGACAAATTTGCATCTATTACTAAGTATCCGTAAGGAATTCACTAAAATCCTGACATATTTTAAAAGTCAAATTCTGCTTTAGCAATAGCATGGTTGAGCTTGAGGGACTCAAAGCAGTTGCTAATTATAACCAGCATAGAAATCTGCACCAACCAGTTCAGAGTACGGTCAAATCACAGTCTTGCCCCTAGGTTAAATATGAAGGGGTGGAATGGGCAGTTAAATTCACTGACTGTATCTACATGGAAAAAGAAAAATACTGGGGAAAGGCAGCAATTTATTCTTCATAACAACATTCATGTTAACTTTAAATGAAGTGAATGTACAGTCAGCAAAGATAATTGTGAAGATGTGATGGATTTTTGCAGAAGGCTCTTGTTTTCCTTCTCGGAAAAGGCTTGATTCCCGAATACTATGATTCTTTAAATGACCAACTGAATAGTGAAGAGTTAAGAAAGGCAATACACATTTTTGGTGTTTTTATTAATTAAAGACTACAATGCCCATTTCCAGTTTTTTCACGGTGTGCGGAGTAGGTGAGGTCCATCCTCTGCAAAGCATAGGCCACATCTAATTCATTTGAGGAGATGCAAATAGGTCTGATAAAGGGGCAGATAAAAATGAATGCCTTCATGTAAATATTCAATCATAAGATATTTAGGAACGTGCACATCCATGTTAGAATTGAATCTTACTTTAACTGAGCTCAGTTTTGACAGTCAATTGCAGATTTCTGGTTGACCCTAATTTTTATACTCGTATTTCACTGATAATATGTAATAATACCCCTACATATTAAATATACATAAATATCATCTTCATATGCTTTCAGATAATAAAAACTTTTGAAAGGCATGGTAGAATACAGACTTTTATCTACCATTTGTTGGATTAACAAGTAGGAGTGTTGAATGTTGAGAAAAATTATGATGAATTTGCAGCTTTTACTTAGTAACTTCATGGAATTCACAAAAACCATGAAACCTCTTAAAAGTCACATTCTACTTTGAACTCTGGGAAAATCGATTCCTTCTCTCACTGTCAAGTATCAGTTCTGATGACTCCGACATCTCCTCTTCAGGTAATGTTGGCAAAGCTGCAGGCCAGTCTTAGGATGGAAAGGAAGGATGCCATCGCCGTGTTTTGAATTGTCAGCCAAGTGCTCAGTGGAGCTTGGGGAAGGCTTTGCTATACTACAGTTGTATTACTGACCTTCTCAGGACTGGCCAGATTAAAAGAAGCCTGTGGATGACTTGCTGGCCTGGGTGGACGTTGATCAGCCCGCTGGCAACAGAGGAGGAAAAAAGTCAATTTAATGGGTTGAGATCACTGTAAAATGCAAACTTGAAAAGAGAGCTTCACTCATCTGTTAAGATAAAATTAAGGTACGGAGAGGAACAAAAATGTTAAAATAAGCTCTTCCTTTCTTGCATTATTTCTGGTAACACACAATATAGAAGTTTTCCAAGTTCAGGCCCTAAAGGGCAATCCAATTCCAAGAATCAGTATTTGTTTTGACTAAGGCAAATTACCACGACTCATTGTTTTGTTTTGTGTTTCAATTTTCCTAAGGAAGTTCTTGCTTTACTGGCTAGATTTTTTATGAAAATATAAAATATTTCTAAACTTCTTAAAGAGCGTGCATTGTTTCTAGAACAGGGGGACAAAATTGAAGAACTGACTCCAGATAGATCACCCACCTGTC
The DNA here is from genome assembly GCF_000001405.40 of Homo sapiens. Taxonomy (NCBI): domain Eukaryota; kingdom Metazoa; phylum Chordata; class Mammalia; order Primates; family Hominidae; genus Homo; species Homo sapiens. The sequence goes on along the minus strand of NC_000021.9, from coordinate 39,800,840 downwards.
TCTTTTCCCTATCAGGGAGAAACATAGTCTTCCCTGTTCTCATTCAGAAATGTAATCCCAAACAAACCATTTAATCCTCCAGAGTGGCCAATGCCTGTCTCATAATATTGCCTTATTAAAATGTGTGCAACACTTTTTTCCTGCCAGTCCTGAGAATGGCAGCTCAGGTTCCAGGGCACAATAGCTGCACTTAACATCTTAAATAATGTAACTGGGCATGATAAATTATTCACAATGTGATGGAATGCTAGCAAGTCTTGAGGATAGAATTACTCTGGCTCACGCTCTTAATTTGTTGACTCCCAATAACACAGGGAAAACTGGACAGCGGATGGAACTATGTCAGCAGTGCTTTAAGACATGTGCCTTCTGCTGCTAATATGCTAGAGATTCCTACTGTCGTTTGCTTTTGTTTTCACTGCTGGGTTGTGCAAACATCGCTGTTTTCTAAATTTATCAAGTATGTATTTCTGTTTGTCTCAATGAGGGGGTGATTTGTGGGGAAGGCTTGATCCAGGTCTCAAGTTGTTTATATGCCCATCTTCTGAAAATGACAGAGACAGAGAATTTCCTAAAACAGCCAGGAAAATGCACTGACAGTGAGTTAAGGCACAGGACAAAGAGAGGAAAAGGAGGATTCTTTGTTTTAAATATTCGCCAAAATAAAAAACATTTGCAAATCCCCTGGCTTCATATTGAAATAAAAAAGCATGCCTTTCCCAGTAATTGGTTATTTTAGTAGGAATTTCTAATTTTACTTATTACTTTTACCCTAATGTGTTTCAGCTGCAGTTGCACCCAAATTCATTCTGTTTCACCAACAGGGAAACTCTTGTCTAGAAAACCATGTCAGTACTACATATTCTAACTGTAGATTCAGTCATCAGAGAAATAATCAGAGAAGAAAATTGTCATATTGTATATGACAGTTTTGAAAATGAATCTCTTTTTTCCTTCTGACCCTTCTTACAATTTAATCCATGATTGAGATCTCTACAGTCTAGGTTTCTATTTTTTCATTTACGTTGAATGCAATGTGCTTTAGGACCCATCTAAAATATGGAAGGGTTAATTAAGAGTGTCCCTGGTAGGATGCCAGGTGGACAGTGGAGTCTTTGGTGTCAAGACCTTTCACTTGGCATTCATCATGGCACCACCGTGAGCATCTCAAACTCTTCTCTGTGCTTTGCAGCAAGGCCGGTGGAGCAGGGACACGAGGTACAAGTAATTCTAAATGCACAGTTGTAGGAAGACTTCTAGAAATCAGAGAGCACCCTCCCTTAGAAACAATGCTATACATGTCTGTGGAGTTTTCACACTGGGACAAAAAAAAAAAAATTCCTCAAAGCAGATCACCTGGAGAATGATAAAAATACTGATTCTTTGGCCCTATCTCCCAGACATTCTGATCCAGCAAGCCTGGCGGAGGCCCAAGAGTGTGCATTTTAACAAGAACCCAGTGTGTTCCTGGCACAGGGCTGTACTGAGAGCTGCTGCTACGCCAGCAGGGTACCAAGGCAGCGGTATTTATAGGCGCTGGGTGCACCTCCGTGTTCAGCAAGCATTCTTTAGGAAAACCGGAATAGAGAATTCCGGAAATACATCCACCATTTCTGCCAGGTGGTGGCAAGAACAAGGACTGCCCCATCTCTTGAGCAGGAAGTCTCATGTTCAGGGAAGAAATTGGCAGGAGAGGGTGCTTAGAGGTGGAGATGAGCAAAAGGGGGAGCTCCAGGCAGCCTGGGGACCAAGAGGTCTAGGAACTGGTGCCTCTTCCCATTGTCTACAACCCAGCGTCCCCCTGAGGACCTGGCCTAAGTCAGCCATTGTGCCTGTAGCTCCTGGCCACAGTGTCTGGCCTTTGGTGGTCAAAACTCCAGCCCCAGCCTGTCCCCCATGACACTGCTCCTGAGACATGCCCCCACTTTTCTGAAATTTTCAAAGGATTCCCAGCACTGAAAGCATCAGGGGATAACTAACGGTTTGAAAAAAAGGTTTCACCACTGCATCTTGTCTTGCTCATCTCCGTGGCAGTGTGTGCCTTTGGCATGCTGGACCTTAACTGAAAGGATGCCAAAGGGGCAGGAGTTATGGGAGGCTGGTGCAGCAGCAAATTCTGCCATTTCCTAAAATATTAAAGTTCTAGTTTCCTGTTTTACTAACTGTTGGATGTTATTAAAATTGAGCTGGGTGATTCATGACAAAGATGACGTATTCAGAGACCCACGGCAGCCTTGAGATGTAGACACAGATGTGTACAACTCAGGGAAGAGAGATTGAGAGTTGTGACATTGAAGATGGGGGCACAAGTAACCTGGAAACCTGCTGCTCCTCCTAACGCCATACACCGCCCTGAGCTGGGTGCCTTCCCAGACTCCGGATTCAGTGTCCAGACACTCCTCTACTTGCGGAAATACAGCTGACTCCCGGCAGAGGGAGAAAGAGCATGGCACTACCAACCCCAGTAGAACCCACTCCAGGTGGGCAAGCACAGGCCATTATGAAGGCCTCAGGATGCTGGGCAAAGCAGAATTGCTGAGTACCCATCGTGCAGGGTGAAGTTATGGAGGAGGCAGATTGGTGCTTGGGGACCTGCCACTCTTCCCTTTCCAAAACTCCTGATTCCCCTCTTGCTATAAGGTAACCAATAACCCTTAAGCCTAGCCACATTGAGTTCTCCTAAAAAGCAGAGCTGCTTAAACACCTCCTCAGCCCTCTGAGTCCTGATGTCTAGAGGTGAAGACCATAAATCTGAACTTCCCAAGGGCCTCATCAGTGACCTGTGGGCCAACCCTGGCACATCAAATTTCCCCGTCCTGGGGGCATATTTAAGCAATGGGCCCCTGAAGAAAACAAAGTGCCGCTGATCACAAAGGCGTGGAAAGGCAGTTTGATATGAAATTATTTAACTTTTCTAAATGACCCAAAACGTGATGTTATTTTTAGGTTGTATATTCATCTATAGTGATCTAATCATATTTTTGTCATAACTGATTGGGATTAACAGCAAAGGAAGTAGGGGTCAGGTGCAGTGGCTCATGCTTATAATCCCAATGCTTTGGGAGGCCCATGTGGGAGAATCGCTTCAGGCCAAGAGTTTAAGAACAGCCTGGGCAAATAGTGAGACCCCCATTCCTACAAAAAAAAATGTTTAAAATTAGCTAGGCATGGCAGCAAGTGCCCGTAGTCCTAGCTCTCCGGAAGGCTGAGGCAGGAGGATCCCTTGAGCCCAGGAGTACGAGGTTACAGTGAGCTATGATCGTGCCACTGCAATCCAGCCTGGGCAACAAAGCAAGACCATGTCTCAAAAAAAATTTTTAAAGGCCGGGCAAGCTGTCTCACGCCTGTAATACCAGCACTTTGGGAGGCTGAGGTGGGCAGGTCACCTGAGGTCAGGAGTTCGAGCCCAGCCTGGCCAACATGGTGAAATGCTGTCTCTACTAAAAATACAAAAATTAGCTGGGCATGGTGGCAGACGCCTATAATCCCAGCTACTCAGGAGGCTGGGGCAGGAGAATCGCTTGAACCTGGGAGGCAGAGGTTGCGGTGAGCCAAGATCACACCACTGCACTCTAGCTTGGGTGACAGAGCAAAACTCCATCTCAAAAAAAAAAAAAAAAAAGCAAAGGAGCTTTGTCTATCTGCACATGCACACACCTTATAGTACCTTGCTTGTGACAGCATAATGCTGGGCATGGAAGGTATTCTCCACTTTAATGAGTAACTGTTTATTGAGGACCTAGAAATGCTGGACTAGCCTGTGTGTAGTCAACAGTCATCCATTAGTTAAGTCCTCCTGAAATTGCCGAGTGTTAACAGATCACCAGTTTCAGCAGAGGAGGATGCAGCATGAGCAGAGAGCGAGTGTATGTGGTCAGCAGTTGCCGTCCTGTTCACAAAACCAAAACTATCCTGTTCTGCGATCTATTAAGACAAAGCAGGAGCTTTAGTTGCTGTTGTGCCTGCCGCATCTCCATGGATAGGCCATTTTTCTGACCCAACTAGCTCTTCAGCAACCACGATCGGAAAAGTGTTTGCTTCAGGCTGGCTCACAGCTTGGGATCTTTCAGTCTAATCTACAGGCTTTTCAGGACCTGAGCTTCATGCGGGGTTTCTGCAAAATAGTGCAATCTGTAGTCAACAACCCTGAACTCTAACAAGCCAGCTTCTCGGGCAGGAGCCCTGCTGGGCCCCAGCTCTGGGCCTGGGAGGCCTGTGTGCGCAAAACATGCGGCAGCAGCTCAGGAGGCTCTGACAAATTGGAGTCATACTGAGGCATGCGGAGAGGAGGATGAAAGGAAAACTGAGACGGGACTCTGAATAGCTCTCAGCTGTCTCTCCTGGGCTCTATAAGGAACTAAGGCTTATTGCAGAATGGAGAAAGTTTTGAGAAAAGAAGGCACGACTGCATTGTTTTCACACCTTGGACCAAGGCATTCGGAATTCAGAGGTCCTCATCACCCCACACAGCACGAACCTGGTGACATAGGCCTGGCAGGGCTGCAGGGCTACGGGGCCTGGTCTGGGGAAGTTCTTAAAAGGAACCTCTGTACCAGCGTCACCCTGACTGCTTCTACAAGCTGTAGCTTCACTATTCTGGCAGCTCTCAAGTGGCCAGTTGACCACAACAAGGTCTATGTCTTCTCTGGACCAAGGAAATGGAAGGGAACGGCTGTGTCCCCAGGCCCAGCCTTTCCACTGTGGCCCATTTTGCTCATTCCTCCTCTAAGTGCTTCCCAGGAAACACGGCCCATGGTACATCCTGCATCCAGGCTCTCCAAATGGGCAACGTGGAGGCCGTGCCTGGGCCCATGACGGCAAAGTCCTTCTTTGGTCATAATCAAAGATAGACCTCTTCTTTAGGACTTTGTCCTAAAGTCCCCCCATGATGAGTAGAAAGATCCAGTTATTTAATAACCCTCATTAGTTTCTAGCCCAGACAAAGATAATTCAACTTCCTAGAGTCCTGATTTGTTTCTTAAGGGCCTTGGTGCTCTCTGATGAGGTGCCCGGCTCCCCTAGAAGACGACAAACCCTTCAGGAAATAAGAAACACGAGACTACGTTACCAGTCCCCAGGGCTCAGCACCTCGAGGGTCACTGTTCTTTTTCCACCGATTGATTATTTAGCTGGGTACATGTTTCAGTAGCAGAAAACTCTTAAGTTTCTCTCCCTGTGTATATTCAAAAAGAACACTACAAACATCAAGAAGCATCCACTCCGAGCTCCAAAACGTCATTCTCCACTCAGGTATCCAAATGCACCTCACATTCCCCTTCCTCCTCATTCATACTAGATGTATTTTGAAGAGAATTATGTGGCATGACCCTATTCTGAATCTCCTCCCAGCTTATACCCTCCCCACAACGCCAGACCTGAACACTTTGGCTTGTCTGATAGAAACACACTTGATAGACAAAGATAACCACGGAAGGGCTGTGGAAATCATGGTTGGCTTAAATGTGCTATTGGCTGTCCGTGCTTGGAGCTGGGGTGGGAGCGAGCCCCTCAGCCAGCCACCCCACAGCCCAACAATCACTCCCTTCCACTGCCACCTTTCACTCAGAGACTGGTCCTTCTAAAGGAAACCTGTTGCATCATCGTCCCTTCCAGCTCCAAATTAAATGCATCAAAAGATGTATGTGCCAAAGAGAGCGGCCCTGATGGAAAAAACATTACCTCTCCATTTTCCTGACACCCGGCCTGAGGAAAGTCACTGGAACTTGTACTAGGAGCTAACGATTTGTTACTCAGGCACAGTTGCCTTTATGCCCCAGGCCCCTCATATGTCTTGTTGTCTGGCTACCTGTGTTGACACTAATATTAATAGTATCACTTAGGTTTTCCCAATACATGACTGAGCATCAATCAGCACTCCCTTCCCCCCTACAGGCCTGAAAAACACACATCACTGGCAAGATGTAGGTTACTGAGCTGAATCCCAATTGCAGGGAGGAATATTATTGCCCAGAGCTCCCTGGAAACTCAGGTAAATACCTGTGCCAAGAAAGAATGATCAGGGGCCACACAGGCACCTGCTGGGCACCGTCGCCTCAGGTAAAGCAGCTCCTAGCAGAACAAACCCAACCCATCTGGCCCAGTGTGCTATCCAAAACCCAGCCTGCAAGTTTACCTTTTCCAAAAGCTAAAAGAAGATAACATCTACACTTATTGGGGACACAATCACAGAATCGCATTGAAATACTTCTTGTCTGAAGTTGCATTTGTACAGGTCAGAAAAGGGTGTTGGTTATATATATTCTACCTAATTTATGATTCGGGATAGAAAATGAACTCTCATTCATTCATGTATGATAACCAATGCTGACTCTATATCAGCAAATTAACATACTATGTTCTCAGTGCTGCCAGTTGACCGTTTACTTAAGTGAACCATCCTGTGAAAAGACAGCTCCCATCGAAACATTGCCAACCAACCAACCAGTATCTACAGCTAGTACCTCTCCCTGGAACTGCAGACTGGTGAATTTAACTACACCTTCAGCATCTCCATGTGGACATCTAACAGAGACCTTCAGAATCTACAAGCTCCAATTAGATGTCTAATCTTTCCCCCTAAACTGCTCCACCCATAACATTCCTTATCTACGTTAATGGCAACTCCAGCCTCTTAGCCGTTCTGGCCATAATCCTTAATCATCAAGGACTCCTCCTCTCTCCTCTAAAATTCTAACCCCGACAGGATTTTTTCAGCCCTCAAGCTTATCAGCATAGAACTTGCATGCAGAGCAAACTACATTTTCTCTGTCCTGATCCTCAAACCCAGTGCATCCTTCCATGAGTCCAAAGGCCCCAAGGGTCCAAGTACAGATGAGCACGTGGGAGCGGGTAACCAGGAGAGCAGAATGGACTTGAGTCCTGGGAGAATATGGCTCAAAGAGAACAAATGGCACATTATATATGCTGCTCACTCTTATGCCAACTCAGGCGGATACGTCCCAAATCAAGTCGCATCCTCCCAAAATGTGAACCCAGAGCTGTTACCCAGAACCAGCCTTGATCTTAGAGCAACTGCTACTGAGGGCAAGAAACAGTCCACGTCTCAGCCCCATCTCTCCATGCTGACCAGCTGATATGGAGGGGAGGAAAGGCAACATGCCACCATCATGAATACACAACGCGCACCATTTTATAATCACCCACAACAAGGTAAGAATTTTTAAATAGCCAAAAAAGTCCAAAAAGGGGGAAAATGGTCTAAACTACCTGGTGAGGAGGGCCACAGCTACTGTTTCTTTGTTCAGGATCACTGGATTCACAGGATTTGGGAGGGAGAGAAGCGGTGTCTGCAACAGAAGAACAATTTTAGAGTCATTAAGTGGCAAAAACCAAGCTGTGTGCTCTAACAATTCTGATTTATAAAGAAACACATTTGCTTTTATGTAGTACCGCTGGCATAATCCTTAACCATGAACACTTTTTTTAAATTCCCTTGAGATCCCATCTCTTTAGAATGTTATTTCTTTAAAGAAATAAAAATATGGAAAACTAACTCAAAATCCATTTCTTTCTCGACACATTAGTTTCACCCAGACACTAAATGATCCAAAGCTTCAACAGCTGATCAAGGAAAATAAATGCCAGACAAATGGAGATAAAAGAGATAGAGATGTTTGATTTGGGCCATGATTTTTGTCAAGATAGTCAATTGCTCAAAATACTAATGAATAAATATTCACTCACAGGAACCTGCAAGAAGCTGTGGTCAGATTATCAAAGGAAACAGTCCATGCTCTCTGGAATTTTTTTCAATCTGAAAGATGCAATCTGGAATACACATGGGAGGCAGCCATGGTAAAATCAAAAAAAATGGGGCTGCTGAAAATAGAGCTCCAATTTTTGTGGAAAACGCAGGTGTTTAGGCCCCTCAGCAAGGACTGATTGGCTGAAAACCTTCCCATGGAATTTGGTGTTCCCAGCAGCCTGTGAGGGCAGGTGTCCTGTTCATCCTGCAGAGGAGGAGTGGGTTCAGCCTTCCCCTCTCATCGGCCTTCAATACTCAACTGCTGCTGCTTCCTGGTGATGTTGTCTTAGAGATGCCCTCACTGCATTATCACTCTGTATTGTCTCATAGCAAGAAAATGAGATACTACAGCAAGACTCTCCAAAAGTAGGTCTAGTTTTCCAGCATTCCCAACTCCCTGTTACATTCAAGGGGAAGAGATCTCTTACTTGACTCTACTTGAAATTGGGAGGAAGTTACCCCCAATGTATTAAAATACCTCCCCACATGTTTTAATGTAGAGGGCTTTAAACAAAAAAGAAAGCATGGGGAAAAAACAATTTTTTTTATTATACTTTAAGTTCTAGGGTACATGTGCACAACGTGCATGTTTGTTACATATGTATACATGTGCCTTGTTGGTGTGCTGCACCCGTTAACTTGTCATTTACATTAGGTATATCTCCTAATGCTATCCTTCCCCCTTCCCCCCACCCTATGGCAGGCCCCAGTGTGTGATGGAAAAAAACAAAGTTTTTTAAAGCTCTCAGGGTTCTTCCTCACTTTATTTTAAGCATTAGACAAATAGGTGGATTTTTACTGTTAACCTACTCCTAGAGTATTCCAAGTTCTAGAATTTCTTCTTCTAAAATTTATCCAAAAAATAATAACCACCATTGCCAAGTTAGCCTCCCTGTGCAGCTGGTATCTAGCAAGCCAGCCCTTCTTCCAGCTCTCTCTTTCCCAGGTCTTTTCACCACCCCTCTTGTCTACTCACCTGTGGTCTTTTGTTCATCTGAATTGTAGCCGGAGTTTTCATTTCCACTTTCTGTCTCAGTTTCTTTGTTTGTCTTCTCTTTTTCAGATTTCCTACAATTAGACCATTTTATGTTCATGTTAATTGTTGGCATTAACATTGCCAAATGTTAATTGGCAATGGATACCTACGTAGTTCACGTGGTTACTCTCAAGAGTATGCTTACACATTGAACTTAACACAGGAAGTCCATAGCTTTGCCGCTGCGTTGCAGGTATGCACGCCTGCCTACTCACACATTCCCATTATGGGGAGAGATGAAAGTTTATCCTGGTCCATGGACTCTACTCCCCAGTTGTTACTCAACTCTCAGAAACCATTCACCAAATAAAACAAGAGTCAGCAAGCTATGACCCACAGGCCAAATCTGACCCACTCCTTGTTTTTGTAAATAAAGTTTCATTGGAACACGGTTACATCTATCAGCTCACATATTGTCTATGGCTACCTAAACATGTAGCCATACTCATGTTATAACAGCAGAGTTGAGTCCTCATGACAGAGACCATATGGCTGGCAAAACTAAAACTATTTACTACAGGGCCTTTTATGGAAAAAATGTGCCAACTCCTGAAATAAAGCAAAAGTTGGTGCAGCCTCCTAGGGTTTGGAGGCTGGAAGGAAGTCTGGCAATGGAACGCCAAAGAATTTTAAATAGTCACACTTGACCTCTAAGGATGTATGCTAGGGAAACAATCAAGGATATGTATAAATATGTACTTGAAAGAATGTTGATTCATGAGCTATTTATAAAAGCAAACTGCAAACAACCGAGTGCCCAATCAGGGAGGACTAGTAAAATAAATGATGATGGTTCTCTAAAATGGAATTCCATGGCATCTGTCAAAATTATTACATATGAGAGCTCTCACACACTGCTAGCGGGAGTGTAAGCCTGTACACCTTCTTTGGAAAAATGTGGCACTGTCTAAAGCTGAAGATACGCTACCTTCTGGCCCAGCTTTTAGGACTAGATACAGTCTCCCTTGGTATTTGTTAGAGATTGATTCCAGGACCCCTGCAGATACCAAAATTTGCAAATGCTCAAGTCTCTGATATAAAATGGTGTAGGATTTGCATATGCATATAACATACACACATCCTCCCATATATTTTAAATTATGCCCAGATTATTTATAATACCTAATACAATGTAAATGCTATGCAAATAGTTGTTATACTGTACTGCTTCTTTATTTTGTATTACTTTTTACTGTTGTATATTTTTTCAAATATTTTTGATCCATTGTTGGTTGAATCAGAGGATGTGGAACCTGCAGATAAAGAGAATCAGCTGTATTTCCCCACAGAACCAAACAGAAATGAGTACTTATGTTCACCAAAAGACTCCTACAATAGTACTCAGAGTAGTTGTTTTTTGACGTTGTTGTTGTTGTTTCTTGGTGACAAGGTCTCACTCTGTCACCCAGGTTGGAGTGCAGTGGTGTGATCTCGGCTCACTGTAACTTCTGCCTCCTGGGCTCAAAGGATCCTCCCAAGTCAGCCTCCTGAGTATCTGGGACTACAGGAAAGCACCAACATGCCCAGCTAATTTTGTACTTTTTGTGGAGATGGGGTTTTTCCATGTTGTCCATGCTGGTCTCAAACTCCTGGGCTCAAGGGATCCACTGCTTTGGCCTCCCAAAGCGCTGGGACTACAGGAGTGAGCCACCACGCCTGGCCAGAGCAGTAGTGTTTGTAATGGTCCCAACCTGAAAACTATTCAAACACCCATTTAAAGCAAAAGGTAAAAATAAATTGCATATGTGCCCAGAATGTAATATTACATAATAATGAGCCACTGACACTCACGTGCCACGGTATGGATCAGTCTCACAGTGAGAGGCTCAAGAAGGCAGACATAAATGAGTATACACAAAATGACGCCATTGATGCATGCACCTAATCTCTGGGGATGTGGGAAAGATGTCAGAAGAATGTCACCTTTGGGGAGGAGGGGTAGGCAGCAATTTGACCGGGGTCTAGGGGGCTTTGGGGATGCTGAGGATGTTCTAGCTGTGAATTTCTGCCATCAAGCCCAGGCATTTGTGCTTTTTGTGAAACCTGATCAAGCTACACACCTGTAACGTGTGCACTTTTCTGTACTTAAAAGTATCTATCTAAAACTAGCAAACAAATACTACAAAAATGCTGTGGGCAAGTATTTGTTAACAGAAATAATCTTCAGAATGTGCAAAGTGAAAAGAGCAAGCTATGAATTAATGGTTACTATAATCCAAATTTCACAAAATGCTTTGTGTGCATATCTATGGGTATATACATGAACATTTGAGTACATAGGTACATACATAGTTAGTTAACAATAATTACTTTGGAACTATAGAAGTGTGGGTGATTTTTTTAAACTATTTCTTGTGCCTATCTTTATATTTATTTTTTCTAAAAATAAACATGCATTGATTTTTTTCCATAATAAACATACAACTATATACATATAATTTTAATTATTTTAATGCAAAAGAAGTCCTCAAGCAGCTGGAGTGAGCACCATGGACATCGTGAAAGGGGAAAGCAAGTGGGGTTGGATTATTCAGTGGGCAACCCCCATTATCCCTCTGGAGCTTAATGCAGTCTCACCTAAGTTCAAGGGCTGCACGGAGACAAAGGTGCCCAAGCCCTGAGGTGGGCCCGTCCAGTTCACATTCAGACAAAAAATTCTACAAAGCATGCAACAGTGAGTACCTGGCATGTACATCAGGCACTCAAGATATACTAGCTTTTCTCATGCTCCCAGTGTCATATTCTATAGTTGTTGTTATCCTCTACCCATTATCCTGAGTAGCTATTGATCACTTTACTGTGCTTTCAAATCACCTAAGACCCCAGAGAACAGAAATGGAAGATGTTGGCACAGTCAACAATGGTGAACCGAGAGTCCAGGCTTCCATTCCGCTGGTAGTAGCAATCAAGAGAAATGCCAGAATAATTATCAGGGTCTATTTTTCTTCCTCTTCCCTTGCCCTAAGTCAGGCCTCAAAGGAGAAATATTTTCAGACTGCTGCTTGGTGGTGTCCTCTCTCCAAACTTCACAATTGCCAGGGGTCAGAGGGAGAAGGGATAACCTTTGCCACATGGTGATTGTCCATATTCATTCACAGAATGTAGCCAAAAGGTATTTTAGAATCTCAGCACTTAAAAATGTAAATATTCTAATAAAATACTGATAACTACATGTGTTGTTATATTACCCACAACAAACAACGTCTGTCTAAAAAACCCTCCCCTTGGTGCACATATGGCTATGTTAACATTGCAGACATTTAAAAGGGTTACTGGCTACTTATTGTAAGTCCTTGACACAGTTACCTTAAAAGTGCTTGCAGCTACTTCTGGGCAGCCTGGGAATGAAAGGAATTTTTCCGTCCTGTCCGCTCCCCACGGCTGAATGAGCACCGAACACTGCCTAATTTGTCTGCCTGGACAGTTTCACGTGACTTGCAGGCATCCGGCTTGGCTCACTGCTCTCCACTATCCCAGAAATTCCAGCAGGACCTCTGCCGGTGGCCCTGGCCTCCGCCCACAGCAGGCGGGATGATAGTCATGGTGCACAGTGTCCTCTTGTGGAAAGAGCTGCAAATGCCAGACACTAAGAAAATCTCCATTTCCCTAAGGGAACCAGAGCAAGTCAAAGGTAGGCAGTGGCAACCCATCTGTTTCATCCCACAGTTCATGTTGCCCTATGAGTTTGTGATCGGCATACGTGTTTTTCAGCATTGTCTACCTCTGGTACTTAATTCTGGATAACATAAATCCAAAAATCCCGCAGTTGTGTGTACGTATTGTTGTTATTATTGTTGTTGTTCAATTTTTTTTGTTTTGTTTTCAGAAAATAGATGTGGTTTCAAACTTACTTTTGAAATTGAATACGAAATCCTGCAAAAAAGAACAAAATTACATTGGAAAAATCGGGATACTTATTCTAAAAATCGAGTCTCATTAATTTTTATACACTCCCTTATTTTAACAGACCCAACATTAGTATTTGTGACCCAAGGAGCATTATTAAGTTTTCCCATACCAAATTATCAAATGACTTCCCAGCATAGGAAAGTAGAATTCACTGTTAACTATTAGAAAAATAAATAATTCCTAGGTACCTGAAATACAGACTGTATAGTACTTACTATATTTCAGTCACCCAGGGGTATTTACTTATTACTTTGTGACTATTGAATTTGATGAGTGAGACTATACAGACTCCATAATACCAAGAAGAGATGTTCTGTGTTATCAATCACTGCTGCTTTTCATTCAATTTTTACCATGTGCCAGCACCAAACGGGCTCTGTGCAAAGTACTAGCTCATTTAACTGTTATAATAACTCAAAAGTAGGTGTTACTGTTATTATATTTTTAACAGACTAGACACTATTATATTAATATTACCATATTTCTTTAATTCAAAGATACATTTTCAATCAATATGTACCAATGGTATCAATTGATACAGTTGTGCCCCCACCCCACCAAAAAAAAAAAAAAAAAAACACTGTCATTAAATTGCTAATGTTTTTAGTCAGTGGATCCATAGACTGATTAAAAGGAATCTAGGATTTGAAGGTGGGGAGTAAAAAGCCACAGATCAAGTCCCCAACCTTTTGTCCCAAAAGCCTGTGATCTTTACAACCGAGCTTTACTGTCCAGGCCTTCTATATATCAAGCTTGATTAAGATTTTTTAAATACTCATTTTCCTTAGTTTTTAGATAACGTTCTCAGGTATTTTCAATTCTAATAACACCTGCCAATTTACATCCCAAACTAAAACAATTCTATCTGGATTGCAGAAAAGAGACTATCAGGTAAGAGATGAATGCCCTCCAGCAACAGGGGAATGCCTCCAACGCCACCAGCGTAAGCACAGTTTGTAAGAAAGGATCTTAATTAGATCCCATTTGTCAATTTTGGCTTTTGTTGCCATTGCATTTTTTTTTTAATACTTTAAGTTTTCGGGTACATGTGCACAATGTGCAGGTTAGTTACATATGTATACATGTGACATGCTGGTGCGCTACACCCACTAACTCACCATCTAGCAATAGGTATATCTCCCAGTGCTATCCCTCCCCCTTCCCCCTACCCCACAACAGTCCCCAGAGTATGATGTTCCCCTTTCTGTATCCATGTGTTCTCATTGTTCAGTTCCCACCTATGAGTGAGAATACACAGTGTTTGGTTTTTTGTTCTTGCGATAGTTTACTGAGAATGATGATTTCCAATTTCATCCATGTCCCTACAAAGGACATGAACTCACCATTTTTTATGGCTGCATAGTATTCCATGGTGAATATGTGCCACATTTTCTTAATCCAGTCTATCGTTGTTGGACATGTGGGTTGGTTCCAAGTCTTTGCTATTGTGAATAATGCCACAATAAACATACGTGTGCATGTGTCTTTATAGCAGCATGATTTATAGTCCTTTGGGTATATACCCAGTAATGGGATGGCTGGGTCAAATGGTATTTCTAGTTCTAGATCCCTGAGGAATCGCCACACCGACTTCCACAATGGTTGAACTAGTTTACAGTCCCACCAACAGTGTAAAAGTGTTCCTATTTCTCCACATCCTCTCCAGCACCTGTTGTTTCCTGACTTTTTAATGATTGCCATTCTAACTGGTGTGAGATGGTATCTCATTGTGGTTTTGATTTGCATTTCTCTGATGGCCAGTGATGGTGAGCATTTTTTCATGTGTTTTTTGGCTGCATAAATGTCTTCTTTTGAGAAGTGTCTGTTCATGTCCTTTGCCCACTTTTTGATAGGGTTGTTTGTTTTTTTCTTGTAAATTTGTTTGAGTTCATTGTAGATTCTGGATATTAGCCCTTTGTCAGATGAGCAGGTTGCAAAAATTTTCTCCCATTTTGTAGGTTGCCTGTTCACTCTGATGGTAGTTTCTTTTGCTGTGCAGAAGCTCTTTAGTTTAATTAGATCCCATTTGTCAATTTTGGCTTTTGTTGCCATTGCTTTTGGTGTTTTAGACATGAAGTCCTTGCCCATGCCTATGTTCTGAATGGTAATGCCTAGGTTTTCTTCTAGGGTTTTTATGGTTTTAGGTCTAACGTTTAAGTCTTTAATCCATCTTGAATTGATTTTTGTGTAAGGTGTAAGGAAGGGATCCAGTTTCAGCTTTCTATATATGGCTAGCCAGTTTTCCAAGCATTCTTATACACCAACAACAGACAAACAGAGAGCCAAATCATGAGTGAACTCCCATTCACAATTGCTTCAAAGAGAATAAAATACCTAGGAATCCAGCTTACAAGGGATGTGAAGGACCTCTTCAAGGAGAACTACAAACCACTGCTCAAGGAAATAAAAGAGGATACAAACAAATGGAAGAACATTCCATGCTCATGGGTAGGAAGAATCAATATCATGAAAATGGCCATACTGCCCAAGGTAATTTACAGATTCAATGCCATCCCCATCAAGCTACCAATGACTTTCTTCACTGAATTGGAAAAAACTACTTTAAAGTTCATATGGAACCAAAAAAGAGCCCACATCGCCAAATCAATCCTAAGCCAAAAGAACAAAGGTGGAGGCATCACACTACCTGACTTCAAACTATACTACAAGGCTACAGTAACCAAAACAGCATGGTACTGGTACCAAAACAGAGATATAGGTCAATGGAACAGAACAGAGCCCTCAGAAATAACACCGCATATCTACAACTATCTGATCTTTGACAAACCTGACAAAAACAAGCAATGGGGAAAGGATTCCCTATTTAATAAATGGTGCTGCCATTGTTTTTGGTGTTTTAGACATAAAGTCCTTGCCCATGCCTATGTCCTGAATGGTATTGCCTAGGTTTTCTTCTAGGGTTTTGTGGGGTTGGGGGAGGGGGGAGAGATAGCATTAGGAGATATACCTAACATTAAATGACGAGTTAATGGGTGCAGCACACCAACATGGCACATGTATATATATATGTAACAAACCTGCACATTGTGCACATGTACCCTAAAACTTAAAGTATAATTTAAAAAAAAGAAAAGGGAACAATGTTGTATTTCTGATAGCTAAATAAATAATCTTATAAGTTAAAGGAAAAAAAAAAAAAGAAAGGAGCCTGGGGACCCTCTAGAATGCTGCCATCCCAAAGCCCCCAGGCCAGGCTGAGCAGAAGCTCAGCCATTCCTATGTGGTCAGTTAATCCGTCGGCTTACTGAGAAATCTCTGGATAGCAGCAGAGAACCAGAAAATACTTTCTGAAAATTTTTGATGTTTAATGTTTTTTAAGCATTGAAATAATCATCATAGAGAAATCCAGACCTTTACTCATCTTTCACACTTATGTAAAGGTATAGCATAATTTCCACTATGAATCACACCTGGTGGGGCAAGGTGGGCATTGTAAGTAGGCTGTGGCAGACCTGTTTGTAGCCTTATCTGGACTTACTGTGAATGGGGTGGGCAGGGGTGGGGTGACAGTTCACTCTTATAAAGGCTTTTCATCTCAAAGTTAAAGAAAAGATTAAATCTAGGATGGATCACAGAAACTTTTAATATACTTATTTAATTATTACTACCAATCTATAGGATAGTATTTATTCCCATTCTGTAGATGAAGAAACTAAAAATCACCTTCTGCATATCCTGTGTGGGCCAACAACCATCGGTTAATCTTCTTATGAGATGAGTATAGAACAGACAAAAGCTGAAGGGAACCAGGATGTACAAATAACCAGAATTTCTCCAACTACTCCACATAGCTCATGTTAGAAATAATGTTCTGAAGGTACTGAACAATCTGTAGTCACATCTCTATTAAAATCTAAGTCATTTAGTGGTTTTCCTTTAAAATCCAGTGTCTTCCATTTGAGTAACCCATCTGGGGCATATGGAATAATTCCCAGGTAAAAACAATTTCCCTTCTAATTTAGGTCCAACAGGAGTTTACTGCCTTTCAATTTCTGCTTCCCAGAGAATAAAGGTATATCACAGATGGAACAATACTGAGAACCCAGAAATAAATCCACGTATTTACAGCTAACTGATTTTTGGCAAAGGTGCCAAGAACATACACTGGGGAAAGGCTGCCTCTTCAATACACGGTGCTGAGAAAACTGGATATCCATATACAAAAGAATGAAATTAGGCCCCTATCTCTTACCATATACAAAATAAACTCAAAGTGGACACAAAATAAACTCAAACTTAAAGAATTAAATATAAGACACCAAACCATAAAACTACTAGAAGAAAACATAGGATAAATCCTTCAGGACATTGGCCTAGACAAAGATTTTATGGCTAAGTCTTCAAAATCACAGGCAACAAAAATAAAAATAGACAAATGGGACTATATTAAACTGAAAAGCTTCTGCACAGCAAAAGAAACAATCAACAGCAAAATTATAACCTACAGAATGGGAGGAAATATTTGCAAACTATTCATCCAACAGGGGATTAATATCCAGACTATATAAGGAACTCAAACATCTCGACAGCAAAAAAACAATGCAATGTTAAAATGAGTTAATGGTCTGAACAGACATTTCTCAATTTAGATGTCTTCTTAGACATGTAAATGGTCAACAAATGTATGAAAAAACATTCAACATCACTAATTCTCAGGGAAATGCAAATCAAAACCACAATGAGATATCATCTCACCCTACTTAGAATGGCTATTATCAAAAAGACAAAAAATAAAAATGCTGGTGAGAATGAACAGAAATGGAAACTCTCATACTCTATTGGTGGG
This sequence comes from Homo sapiens, assembly GCF_000001405.40. Lineage (NCBI taxonomy): Eukaryota > Metazoa > Chordata > Mammalia > Primates > Hominidae > Homo > Homo sapiens. Next base: position 39,783,323 of record NC_000021.9, on the reverse strand, counting down.
AATGTAAATTAGTACAGTCATTATGGAAAACAGTATGAAGGTTTTTCAAAAAAACTAAAAATAGAGCTATCATACAATCAGGCAATCTGGGTATCTCAAAGAATTGAAATCAGTATGTCAAAGAGATATCTGCACCCCCACATTTATTGCAGCACTATTCACAATAGCTAAGATATGAAATCAATCTAAATATCTATTAATAGATGAGTGGATAAAGAAAATGTGGCACGTGTACGCAATGGAATACTATTCCACCGTAAAACAGAATGAAATCCACAGCACATGGATGAGCCTGGAGGGCATTGTGTTAAGTGAAATAAGTCAGGCACAGAAAGATAAATACCACATGTTCTCACTCATATGCTAGGAGCTAAAAAAAAAATTGAGCACATTGAAGCAGAGATTATAATTGTGGGGATCAGAGGCTGGGAAGGGGAGGTAGTCGGGGGAAGCTAGGGACAGCTTGGTTAATGAACACAAAGTTACGGCTAGATAAGAGGAAAAGTTTCAGTGTTCTGCAGCACTGTAAAGTGAATATGGTTAACTATAAGGTGCTGTGTTTTCAAAAGTCTGGAAGAGAAGATTTTTAAATGTTCACCACACAAAGAAATGATAAATGTTTGAGATGATGGATAAGCTAATTACCCTGATTTGATCATTATACATTGTACACACATATCAAAATATCACTCTGTATGCCATTTTTAAAAAGACAAATACTGCATGATTCCACTTATATAAGATACTTAGAGTAGTCAAATTGATAGAAAGTAGAATCGTGGTTGCCAGGGACTGGGGGGAAGCGGGAATAGGGAGTTATTGTTTGATAGGTACAGTGTTTATTTTGCAAGATGAACCTAGATCTGTAGATGGATGGTAGTGATGGTTGCATAAAAGTGTAAATGTATTTAATGCTACTGAACTGTACACTCAAAAATGGTTAAAATGGAAAATTTTATGTAGATTTTGCCACAATTTTTTAAAATAAACAAGTTTTAACAATAAACATGCAAAACTAGCCAGAAGAACACTAAAACGGAAAGCTACAAGGCAGACTCACCCAAGGAGACATTAAAACATACTATAAAACTTCTATAATTAAAACAGTACAGTGTAAGTGCATGAATAGGCAAACGGACCAATGGAACAGAATAGAGAGCCCAGAAAGAGACCTAAGTGCATATGGAAATCAGTGTTTGATAAAGGTGGCATCTCAAACCACCAGGCCAAAGACAGAGATTTCAGTCAATGCTGCCGGGACAACTGCTTAGTTATTTGGAAGAAGATAAAATTAGATGCATACAACATATCACACAGAAGAATGAATAAAACCTAGAAAGACAAATAAATGAAACCATATAAGATATAAGCACCAGAAAAAAACTTCCATATAAGGAAATACTTCCTATGACTCAAAACGCAGATAAAGGGGGCCATCGGTCCTAACATCAAAAGAATTCTTAAAATTAGAAGGAGTAAAAAGCCCAAAAATCTGAGAGAGAAAATAATGAGCAAAAGATATAGAATGACAAGTTATAAAAACATATAAAAATTGTTCTCAATCATACAAAAAGATGGAACAGTAGTTCAACCTCACTTATAATAAGATAGAATCAAAACTATGCTGAGATACCATTTCTTATTTACTTACTTTCCAGGTTGGCATAAACTAAACAGTATGATGACACCCTGTTGGCCAGGCTGTGGGGAAACGGGAACTCTCATGTGTTGCTGGTAAGCATGCAAATTGTACAACCTTGCTGGAGGGAAATTTGGCAATCCGTGACAAAACTACATACACACGTAGCTTTTGACCTAGCAATCCTACTTCTGAGAATTTACCCAAAAGCTACACCTCCATAAATATGAACATACACAACATTATTCATTGCAACATTGCTTGTAATTGCAAAATACCAGAAATGACCTAAATGCTTATATATTGGAGAATGGTTGAATAAACCATGGTACATCTACACAATGGATAACCATATAGCTGTAATAAGAAAGGAAGGAAATCTCAATGAACTGACATGGATTGATTTCCAGGATATACTGTAAGGGAAAAAAAGTAAAATGCAAAAGAATATCTATAGTGTACTGCCCTTCATGTAAGGAAGAGAATATAAGAAAATATTCACGTGTCTGAAATTTTTTTAAGTTATACTACAGAGTGAATTGCCCAATCACAAACCAAATTCATCGAGGAACTAAGACTAGACCTTTAGTTTAGTTAAGGCTAGTCCATGCATTTTAGTGAGATACTCCATGTAAAAGAGTTAGCACAGTGCCTGGCACACACACACTAAGTGTTCATTGAGTGGCAGTTAGTGTTAATAAAACTTAAAATGTAGTTCAACTGACATGCAAGCTAACATCAAAACTCCGATCTTTAGAAAAATAATTTAACTGTACAAAATGTTCAAACAGGAGTACATGAAGTTTTTAACAAAAGGAAGAAAGGTAAGGACAAACACACATTCAGCACATGGAAAGTCCTGGAGCATTCTCATGATAAAGCATCCGTAGGCTTCTGAAGCCACAAACTGCCTAATGCTACGACAAGCCCACCTAGTGTTTATGTGCCCACCTCACCATTGATCCCAACCGCAAGCAAGGCTACTGCTTTCATACGATGTGGGAGTATCTCAGAGAATTTCATTCTAAAGAAACACGTAATTATTTTTATTAATTGTATTGATACTATTTTTTATTAACAGAAGATCTTATTTTTTCTTTCTACCACTCTATTAACATTCACCTACAAAGGGAGATTTAAAATTCTTCAGAATAGGAAACAACCATTTAATATGTTCAGATATGTAGATATGATTCTAAAAAACCATAGCATCTAAATGACATTATAATAGCTATATATCCTTACAAATAAGCACAAAAATCCAATAATCAGTGTCTTTGGTGAGAAAGGCACTGCTTCAATCACTTTTTCAAGAGCATGAAGATCTTGGTCTTCCTAAGGGGTTGCATCAGGCCCCAAAGAAACAGCTTCCTTCCTTAAGAAAGTCCTTTTCTTCTCCAAGAATTTGCCACCGTTTCTTTCAAGGACTCTTAAAGCCAATGTGTCTTTCATTGTGGTTTTTATTTTATTGTTATTGTCTGAGCTTTATTAAAACACACAGACAAATAAAAATTATGTGTATTTACAGTGTACGCTGTGATATTTTGAGCTATGTACATATTGTGAAATGATTAAATCAAGCTAATTCATATAACCATCATCTCACATATTCATCGCTATTTTGTGGTGAGAATATCTAAGACCTGTTCTCTTAGCAATTTTCAAGTACACAATACATGATAATTAATTACAGTCATCATGCTGTACAGTAGATCTACAGAATTTATCTTTCCTGTCTAATTGAAACTTTGTACCCTTCGACCAACATCTCCCCAACCCCCATTCCCACTCCCTGGTAACACCCACCATTCTACCTCCTGTTTCCATGAGCTTGGCTTTTTTAGATTCCACCTATAATAGAGATCATACAATATTTGCCTTTCTGTGTCTGGCTTATTTCACTTAGCATAATATCCTTTAGGTCTCTCCAGGGTGTAGCAAAGGACAAGATTTTCTTCTTTTTGAAGGCTGTCTAGTGTTCCATTGTGTCTATATACCACATTTTCTTTATCCATTCATCTATTGATGTACATAGGTTGATTCCATATCTTTGCTATTGTGAAGAGTGATGTAATGAACGTGGAAATGCAGATATCTCTTCAATATGAAGATGTCATTTCTTTTGGATATAGACCCAGGAATGGGATTGCTGGATTATAGGATAGCTCTATTTTAATTTTTGGGGGAACCTCCATACTGTTTCCATAAAGGCTGTAACAATTTACATCCCACCAACAGTGTGCAACCACAGTTTCTAATAGAGGTAAAGTGATATTGTAGTTAATCTATCTTTTGAAAGAGCTGATGAGTTCATTAACTTCAACTGCTTGTACCAAAAGTTCAGAAGTATGTACAAATGTAAATGAACAAAAAAATTACCTCTTTTTCTTCTACAGCAGAAACAACAACGGCAGCAGCAGTTGCAGCCACAACAACGACGGCGGCAGCAGCAGCAGCGTATTGTAAGAGTACACGTCGGCGTCAGAAGCATGGTGCCTGCTAGTCCAAGTCCAACTTTGCCCCAAGTAGGCAATGAAAAACCTAAACTCGGTAAACTTGATAATACACCTGGAATATTAATACCACCTCCAGTGTCTAAAGAAGAAAAAAATATATTTTAGTGATACTTGCACTGCCTAGAATCACAGATTCTGCCCCATTATAAGTTGCATTATGTTTTCTAGTAATATTATAACTATTCAGCCTGCTATGGCTAGGCGTCATAGGCCAAGTTTCTTTCAATGTGTTTAATTATTCAATACTCTACAGTACCTTCCATCACAATACTTATTTCTGCCAGTAAACAACTTCTTAGTAACCCAGTTCAGGTGTTGCTTGTTTAATGTCTCTAATATCCCTGAGAAGTAGATAAGGCAGGGCTGGGCTGACAGTCCCCTGAGGTTGGCATAGTGATGGTCACGTTTGACATCCTTTATTTAATCAAGAAATACTTTTTGAGCACTACTGCTGGACAAGACTGGAATAAAGACATTTTGTTCTCCCTTCCATGTCCCCACTCATTGAGAGTCCAGCGCCCAGAGGAAACCAGAATATTCTGAGGGACAGTCACTTCTAAAGGAACTTAGGTGCATGGCTTGCACCCTAGCCGCATCCAGCTCCCCGATCCTCAAATTAATTCCTCACACAGCAATTGCTTTTTCCATAGCTTTTCAGGAGACACCTTCCTTAGTGTGTATGTTGCACTCTTATTTTACCTAGTAGTCATGGAGGTGGGAGGAAAAAAGGGTAAGGTGAGGCAGAGCAATCAGGAAGCAAGAGGGAGGTAGGGAGAGAAGGAGAGAGGAAAAAGCCATTTTGATTCTTTTCCACCATGTCTTAAGCAGAGCTGTTGTGGCTTCACATGATCATCCAAATTCAAATTTAAGTTAATTAAAAGTATGAGTCATTAAATATTCAGTGCCTCAGTTGCACTAGCCACATTTCAAGTGCTCAGTCACCACAGATGTAGAACGTTTTTATCGTCACAGAAAGGGACAGTATGGGAACTACATTGATGTTCCCAAGAGAGTTTTCATCCAGCCCTTCACTTCTCCCTAGCGCACCACGCTGAAGTCAAACCACACACATTTAAGTTGATCTGTTTAATTGTGAATTGTTATTCAACAAAAGGCTGTCACTCAACCCTGCGTGCTTGGGTGGTATCTTAATGTAAATGCATGCTATTTTGTTAGATACTAGTCTTTAGAAAATACTGAAACAGTAGACTTCCTATGAAGGAACATGGGGTTTGCTTTGAAATCAATGGCCATCCACCACTTTGGAACCACAGACTGGAGTTCAAAAACAGCTCTTAGATGTTCTTCCTTAGAATTTTCCTGGAAAATTGACCTTGCAATAGTAGTTTGCTATTCCTGTGTCAATGTTAAATGACTCTGCATGGAGAATAGAAGTCTATGCACCAGGCAGTCAGCTGCAGCTGAACCAGGTCTAGGGATCACCTTTCTCCCCATAGTAAGATGCCCAGAGCAGAACTGTAGGATTATAAGGAAGTCAAACTACTTTCCTAATGCTGTCTATCTCCACATCTCCCACCATCCGAGATGAGCTGGAATAGATAGAGACTTGTAAAAGGCTCTCCCAAAAATGGTGAAGATGGAAGGAACAGATTACACCCTTCCCATTCCACACCTTCCCAGCCCCGGAGCTGAAGCACTAACACAAGGCAGACCCTTCACATGCAGAGAGCACATTTATCCCCTTGCTCCACAGACAGCAGAATCCCAAGCGTCACCTGGAATATCATTGCACATGCAGATTCAAAGCCCGCCTCCAGGATCACAGAGTCAGGATATCCCGAATGATACCCCAAGTGATTCTGATGCAGATAGTTGGTGACCCACATTTTGGGAATCCCTTGTACGCAGCCACAATGTAAACACTGCCCAAGCTACCCACGACATGACAGGATGCTCTCACACTCCCCCTCCCACAGATGTGATAATAAAATGGTGAAGTCCAGAGTTGGATCCATGATCTTCACAGTCTTGAGTTGAAGGTTGGACCACTGTGTGGGAGCTTTGTGACTGAGCGAGAACTTTAGGTTTCCTGTGGATGGAACCAGTGAAATCTCATGACCAGCATTTCTTGCTGCATTAACTTTGGCTTCTGGCTCACTTACCAATAACAACTCCTGTCCCACCAGGCTGTTCAGGGGTGTGTGTGAAAGTTCTGAGAATGCTGTAAGCTACAGTGCACAGGCTCAAGATGGCAGTGGTCATCCTATTTCCAGTTTAACGGACTCTTACGAACTGAAGTTTGCATATATAACAAGTTTTCTTAATAAGGGAGCTGGCTGGGGTTAACCAATGAGGTCTGGCTCAAGATTTAAGAGACAGGCTTGAAATTCTCACTGGCATAAGACAGGATGCTTGTTAACTTACTCACACACTCTCTATCAGTACTTTCCTTCCCCTACTAGACAGAAATACGAGTGTGCCAAACTTCCTGAATCTGGACATAACATTTCCTCTAATCTAGCCCAGAGAGAGCCTGCCTTAATCTAGGACAGAGAGGGCCTGCCTTATTTTCAGAGAATGCATGTTTAACAGAAGGGAAGGGACACTTTGCTGGGAATGGTGACTGAGTCAAGGGAGAGACTGAGGGCCAGAGGGACTTTAAACACTCTTTTGTCCCTTAATTTAACCACAAAGTTCAGAAAGTGATGCCTGCATTCAGTTAAAAGACCCAAACTCTGACAAAAATGGAACTGGTATTAGGAACCACATCACTTATTCTTTCACTTCCTATTTGTTGTGACCATGCTCCATTGGAAGGCAAATGTTCCAAGTTTTATGCCTGGGTGAGACTTAAGCTGAAGTCTCCCTTTAATCCACTGGAGCTCAAAGTGTAGTGTACGAGTCAGCAAGAGGCATGATTTAGTGCTGGGGCTACAAAGATAGACCTTTCTTATTTTCATAACCATTTAAAATTTATCATATATAATATATATTTTATATCTATACACATAGGTATACACACATGCATGTATATTTTTGTTTAGTATGGAGCTAATTTTTTTAAAAAGAGTGCATTTACTGTATACTGAAAAATAGATCATAGCCATATATTATTGACAAACCAAAAATCTGACAGTGGACAGAAAACACAGACTCTTGGAATGATGTCATCCATAATCCAATCTTTTCATCATGCAGACAAGACGCTCAGGACAGAGTGACTAAGTAAATGGCACAGGGAGCCCAGAACAGGAAGCCACAGGGCCACTGGCTCATATCTTTCCATCCTGCCATGTGTTGTCTCCAATGTAGAATAATCCTTCTGAGGAAAATATGGCCCAGGTATGACATAAATGTATTTGCATAAAGTCTACAGTGGGGTGCTGGTCTGTGCCTTGTACCCTATGGAGGGTGTGGGTGTGTCTGGCTCAGGTGAATGGCAGGTTTGCTGGAGAGGATGAGTATACTATACCTGAGTAACCCACACATAGTGACTAAGGAAGATTAGCTCCAAGGTCAACACTGCTTGCCTTTCTCCCTGCACTCCTTCACACCACTGTGTGCTTGTTAGGGCCTCATTACTGACTTTACCATGTGCTTTAACCTCCACTTGGAGATTGTCCTTTTCCCATCTGTGAAGAAAAGGAAAATAGCATTTCCCAGATGCTCTCAAAGGAATGCATAGAGTTTTAAAAAGGTATAGAATTTCTTAAAACCAAATGGATTAATATAAAATGTCACCACCAACACGTGCCAAGTACATATTAATACCAAATGTCACCACTATCATGTGCAAAGCATATCCCTGTGCCCACTAGAGGCGACACAAGAGATCTCCGAATCAATAGTGTGAATGACAATCACTCCCTTTCCAGTCCTATGTGCTCTGGAGCAAGGACCGTTCTAAAACTGAGGCTCAGAGAGGGTAAGTAATTTGCCCAGAAGACACACGGCTAGTGATTGTGTGAGCTGGGATTGGAACCCAGGCTGTCTAATGTCCAAGTCTGTGTAGACATAGCACTTGATCGGGCTGGAGGGGAAGGCTAGGCCTTAGAGATTTTTTTTTTCAGTTCAGTAGCCCCCAATCCTGGCTGCCCATTAGAGTAACTTGGGAACTTTTTTTACAATTGCAATTCCCAGGCTCCACAAAAACCAATGAAACAAAACCCCCAGGAGGAGGCTGAGCCTCAGCATATTTATAAAGAAGGCTCCTCTGCTGTCTCTGATCCACAGCCGGGAGAGAGGACTTCTCTATTCTTCTCCTACCCACTTTACAGGTGAGAAAACTGAGCCCTGAAGTTTGCTGACTTGCCCAAAGTTGCACCATCAGTGCCAGGGCAAAGGCCTAGGACTGTCACTTCTACTACTCTTCTCTGCACCCAAAATTGCCATTTCTCAAAACAGTAAGGTTATAACCAGGAATCACTACATTCCACAAGGTGCTCATGTGTCCTAAAAACATTACTTCATTTTAACCATTTCACAACCTACACACAAATAAGTGCACAAAGAAAACCACCCCGAGGGGCAGATGGCTCTGACAGTGCTTCTCCCAAGACAGGGTGAGACGGCCTCACTCTCCAGTTTTGGATACGTCTGCAATGCTCGAGGTTTGTATCATTTCTGTAGTTAAGAAAATCAATTTCTAAAAAACAGATCTGAAATGAATGTCAGCCCTCCCAGTATGTTTTTCTCTAAAGAAACCTTTTGAACTATAAACCAGGAAGTACTTCATACAACCCTGTGACTTGCCCTGACTGGATAAGCTTCCAAAGCTGACGTCATTCCTGTTTCAACGACTTGCAGGGATCATTTCAGAAATGAAAACAAATGCTTTGCACTTTTAGGAAATGGGTGGAAAAATGGATGTTTATATGATTCCTGAAGAAGCCTGAATGGGCACAGCCCCATTAACACTTGGCTCTCTGGAAACCTGGCTGTTCTCCTTACAGCCTCGTCTGGTCACCAGCTCCGCCAACCAAGGCTGCAATGAGGTCTTCAGCTAATAAAACTTACCTAAAACACACAACATGCAGCCAGCCACCAGCTGCACTGGATCTTGATGAATAATTTAGAAACAAATTACCCTGTTCCAAATGAATCCAATAAAGCTAGACTCATTGCAAGCACCCACTGAGCCTCCCTCTCCAGCAGCCATGCCTCCAGCTACCATCGTTAAGGCACTAGTTCTGGACTAAGAAGAATTCAGTGAATTTAACCTGACCAAGGGAAATTAAGTGCTCTCTTTCCCTTCCACTACAAAAGAAAACATTTGCAAGCAAGCCAGTCTCTAAAATCTATCTCTCTAAGGTACCATCAATCAGGCCAGAGCTCCTGCTGCATCGTTACCTCGTTAAGATATATGCTTTAACCAGTCCATTTTATTCCATTTGGTGCTAATGGATTTTTTTAAAATCTTCTCTTTCAAAGTTTGGACCATACTTTATCATATTTAAGTAGACTAACTTATGATATTTAAGGTTGGTTCTCTGGAGAAATGACTGATTCCAGGTGGAGACAGGGAAGTGCAAAGTGAGACTGGAACACCTTACTGGTCCAGGTGCTCAAAAACTAATAGGGGGATGTCGGAAGGACACCAGCACCAGCTTGGAGGGACACCAACTGACCAAGTCTGGAGCAATCTGGGTGTCAAAACGAAAAATGACAGGAATAGATTAGAATGTATTGGACAAAATTGAGTCCCTACTAAAACTGTGAGGAAAAAAAAAGAAAAGGAAGAAAGGGGAGGGAAGTCTTTTGTTTAACAAAAGAAAGCCAATTAAGAGATATGGAAAGAATAATGGAAGCAGGAAATCACTCTTTACAATCACCATAGAAGTAATTGATTCAGGCAATGATTTATCAATGAATGTAAAAGTTAGTAGGTAAAAAAAGAACAAAATCATCTCCTTTGCAAGGACGTGGATGGAGCTGGAGGTCATTATCCTTAGCAAACTAATGTAGGAACAGAAAACCAAATACCGCATGTTCTCACTTATAAGTGGGAGCTGAATGATGAGAACACAAGGATACATAGAGGGGAACAACACACACTGGGGTCTATCTGAGGGTGGAGGGTGGGAGGAGGGAGAGAAGCAGGAAAAATAACTAATGGGTACTAGGCTTAGTACATAGGTCATAAAATAATTTGTACAACAATCCCCTGTGACATGAGTTTGCCTATACAACAAACCAGTATGTGTAACCCTGAACCTAAAATAAAAGTTTTTTTAAAAAATTGTATTAGGTGAAAGGTTGTGGGTAAACAGGATATTCCCACAATATCTATTGGCTACATATTAATTATAAAGTCAAAAAAGGTACTTTTATGTTGGATAAATTCAGGGTATGCCACCTTCACCAAACGGTCAAACTTACGCCAATGAAAATTGTCATCCTGTGACCACATTACATTACCTATATCTTGCCAAAAATATGTAACCTAAGTCAAAGTATGATGAAAAATTTTAGACAAATCCAAATTGATCCAAATTGATCCAAACTGACCCAAATTGAGAGGCATCTTGCAAAAATAACCTGTACCGTTCAAAAGTGTTTATCTCAGAAAAGACCATAAAAAATGGGACAACACCAAGTAAAGATGAAGGCAGAGAGGAGGGTGATGTTTCTACAAGCTAAGGAAGATGGCCAGCAACCACAAGGAACAAGGGGAGAGGTAAGGAACAGAGGCTCCCTCCCAGCCCTCAGGAGGAACCAGCCCTGATGACACTTCCAACCTCCAGGACTGTGAGAAAATCCATTTCTGTTGTTTAAGCCACCAAGCCTGTGGTCCTCCGTTACGGCAGCCATGGGACCTCTTATACCCTCCAAGTGGCTGCTCACACGGTGGGCAGAGTTGCCAGGTGAGCAGTTTCTGGAGACAGACTGCCTGTCATTTACTCACTCTACAGGTGAGTACAGGTTGCCCTGTCATTTACTCACTCTACAGACGTGTGCACAATCCCAACAGCACTGTCCCGGTCACCTTGCCTTTACAATAGGAATAACAGCAACACTCATACGGCTGTAGGGCCGGTTAATTCTGTGAATACCTGAGAAGTGCTCAGAATAGTGCCTGATAACTTGGTAAGAGCTATAGGGTGCTGTTTATTATCGTTACCATCATTATTTGGCTTTGGCTATGGCTTTGTTCTGAACTTTGGAAGATCTCAGGTAAAGGTGTTTTCATGGTGGGAAAAGCTTTAGACACGAAAAGAAAAGCTCTTCTCAGCTTCTAGGCCCAGCTCTGCCACTTTGGCTGTGTGACCCGGATGAAAGCACAGACTTTCTCCGGGCCTCACTTCCTTTTTTGTAAAATGTTAAGTTAAAGTCAATCTCCAGCATCCCGGGCCCACCCTGTCCAGGCTGACTCAAAGCTCACAGGCGCTATGGGCCCCTTCAAGGAATGTGGTTAGAGTGTCTGGTACACCAAAAACCCCACAGGAGATTCTTTAGGGGGATCTAAACTTTAAAGTTCTGTCATTTAGTCAAGTTAAACTATATACATATAGACTTGACACTTTCAAACACATTGTAGATTTGGTGGGGAAGAAAATGAAGCATTATAATTCCACTAAGATTGGAAGAAATCCAGGGAGACCTGAACACCCTCCTCCAGTATGAAGACCTGCTTCATACTGGCTCAGGGGGTGGGATCAAACTGAAACAGTGGTAGGTAAAAGCTAGAAACACAAATGTTTAATTCAAGCATTTGTCTCCAAACTTGATGCTCTTTGATGATAAATAATTGGCAAGATTCTAAATGGTTTTCAAATGTAATAGGAGAAAAAAAACTTTAAGATGGAATTTAAAAAGCAGACGAGGGTATAAGATTATTAAGCTGACAGCAGATGTGATTGGCCTTATCATCCCCACCCAAAATCAAGGTCGCCATATGATTTTTCCAGGCATCGTGGATGAAGGAGCATTCTACGTAATATTGAAGCATGAAATAATCATTCATTTCATATAAAGCAGAATGTCTTCACTTACCTTGGGGACACCGAATCACAGTGAGATTTACAGTTGCAGACTTGCGGGCCTTCAGGCTCTTCCAGGTAGCCACGCAAGTCAAAGTCCCATTGCTCTGTGGGGTCAGAGCCAGGATGCTCACTGCACTTTGAAGGTCGCTGGGCTCCGGAACAAAATAATAGCTTGAATGGCTGACCAGGAGACCGAGCTCCCAGGAAATATCCGGGAGCCGGGTCCAGTGTGAGGGTAGACAAGTAACTTCACAAGGTTCATTCTCAGCGACTACAAGATTAACACTGGGAATGAACAGCTCTCCCATAACTAAAGAAGAAAAGAGAGAAACACATTGAAGACATGACCATGCCTCTCGCTTCTAAGTTTTCTTTTTTTTTTTCTTTTTTTTTTTAAGTTTTGCTTCAAATTACATTTTGTGAGACCTATTTTCCCAAGCCCAAAGAGGCTGTGTCTCTACTAGGAAATCTTAACTCAGATTTTATCTGGGTCTTTTTTGTACACCTGCCAGAGTCTCTGAAGAAGGTGAGGTTGCTCACAAGAAAGCAAAGTTACATAGAAAATGCTTCATAAAAGTCAGAAACCAGGGGGAAATAATTATGTGGGAAAGAAAAGTGCATGCCATAGGGGGGTTATACAATCCCTGAAGTGAGCTACAGAATTATCTTGGGCTGTCGAGGGAGCAAAGGGAAAAAGAGAAACGAGCTTCACCTTCTTCTCACTGTGACGAGGACACAGCCCAGGGTCAGACGCAAGTCTCCCCTGGAGTTTTGGTCAATCAGATACATTTTTATTTATTTCTAGGGTCATATGGTCTTAAACATAACTTCCTAGGGTATTGCCTTAACATAGGTTTCTCATTACAAATTAAATCGAATTCCAATCTAATATTTACAGAAATAACTAACCCAAATCATGTGCCAGAATAACTTAGATAAGTTATTTTTTTATTAAGAACACTCTCGCATAGGTCAGCATTCATACTGCAAACAACCCATATGAAAATAGTACTTGTTTTCACAAGTGTGACTAAAACAACCTGAGGATTGGCCCCAGTAAAGACACAGCCTTAGTGAAATGTGTATACATATATGTCCAAGAAAAACATGCTGAAACTCTGGACTACACAACATAATGGAAAGAATACTGAACTAAGAAATGAAAAAATTTGTTCCCAATCTTGGTTCTGCCAGAAAATTGTCATCACTTTGGGCAAGTCACTGAATTTTTTTGGCTCTCTTTGTTGTACTTACTGAATGAGATAGTTTGACCAGATCAGCACTTCTCAAACACTTTGGTCTCAGTACCTTTTACACTCTTCAAAAGCATTGAGGACTCCAAAGACCTTTCATTTGTGTGGGTTTTATCTACCAATATTTATCATATTTGAAATTAAAGTTAAACAATTATTTTAAACATATATTTTAAAATAATAATTTATTACATGTTAATTTTGATTAACATATTTTCATGGAAACGAATCACATTTTTAAACTAAAAAAATTAATAAGATGAGTGACATTGTTTTATACTTATATAAATCTCTGTAATGTCTGGCTGGATTCTCATAGCTGTCTCTTCATTCAGTCTGTTGCAATATACTGCTTTGTTTGAAGGATGTAAAGAAAACCTGACTTCATACAGATATGTAGTTGGAACAGTGAGGAGTATTTAATAGCTTTTTCAGATAATTGTGGATATTCTTGAATACTGTACCAAAACTTACTTTTCTCTTTTTTTTTTTTTTTTTTTTTTTTGAGACAGACTTTCACTCTTGTTGCCCAGGCTGGAGTGCAATGGTGCCATGTTGGCTCACGGCAACCTCCGCCTCCCAAGTTCAAGCTATTCTCCTGCCTCAGCCTCCCGAGTAGCTGGGATTACAGGCATAAGCCACCGCGCCCAGCACTTTTTTTAAGAGATGGAATTTCACCATGCTGCCCAGGCTGGTCTCAAACTCCTGGGCTCAAGTGAGCTGCCCGCCTGGGCCTCCCAAAATGCTGGGATTACAGGCATGAGCCACCATTCCCGGCTGAGGTTTCTTAAATGTTTGTTACACAGTGGAATCTGAAACTCTATCAAGGAACTTTCATTTTCTGTTATGTTGAAACCCATTGCACTATCTGGCACTTTGAATGGACCTTTTATCCTTGCATGATTTTGTTACACTTCAGTCATCTGGAAAATTCTGAGGCATGCAGACCTTCCCAATGTATAGTGGAAAGCTCTCCTGTGCACTTGTGAGAAGAAGGGTGAAAAAGGCAACAATAATAGGAATCTTCATATTATTATGAAAACAATCATGACTTCATAGACCACCCTGAAAGGATCTCAGGGTACATCAAGGAGTCCCTAGACTACAGTGAACTGGGTCGGCTCTGAAAGATCTTTTTGCTCTGAAATGTTAGCTTCCCAATTATTCCTTCCTGAATATTCCCTTGGAATAAGAAAGGCACTTTTGCTAATTCAAGGGCTACTGTAAATGCAACAAGGAGTGGAGAAAGGGTTTGTCCCTTGAGTCTAAAGGGTTTTGTGTTTGTTTTGTTTGACAGAGAGACGGTTTAAGATGACAGAACTGGGAGGAATGATATTGTCTCAGTTAATAACAGAAGCTCTTGAACTCAAGTCCTTGCAGCCCTCAAAACATAAGAGGTCTAGAGTTTGGTGTGTGATTGATTGGTGGATAAGGCAGCAAGTGGACCAACTCAGCGATCTGAAGGATTTCCTTTTTCTGTATACACTTGGGATTCCACTTTCCCCCACTGGCTTTCACAAAGGTTAGCCAGTAGCATGACAAACCCTTTATACAAAAGTGATACTAGAATATTCACATGGATTTCAGATGACTCAATTTGGAGTTATGTCATCTCTATTTTGTTGACATATAAGGAGGTGAAAAAATCATAGAATAATTCATGGTTGTTTCCTCTTTTTTCAAGATTCTTTCTCCCTTGAGGGAGACCCTGTTGCTCAGAGAACATTTGCTCCTCTAGGAACTAAGTGCCATTCAGAGCAATGAGATGAGGATAAAGGGATGAAGTTCAGGCCAAGCTCTATGGGTTCCTCTCGCAATATCTTGGAGAAGTCTTTGCCTTCTCTAGATGCTTGCTCTTTCATCTGTATTAAAACCAAAAACTACCATAATTACCAATATATAAAAAGTCAGCGGGATTCAGACAAATTTGTAGACTTGTGACTTTGGGAAAAGATGCTACAAAACCACATGGTTTCTGAATGTGATGTGTCATAAGTACAGCAGTAATAAGCCATGCCTGTGATCCTGTGTTTCCCTGCTCCAGGGATGCCCTCCTCCTCTCTTGCTTTCCCATTCTGTCTACCATCTACAGACCTGGAAGGCACATCTCCAATGGCACCTTCTCCATGAAATCATCCATGAAGGCTTTATTGACTCTGTCAGCTCCCCTCCCGACTGGAACCTGAGCTTGCCTCCCTTCCATCTCACTTGCCAGCATCTGGGTGGCTGGCATCCCTATTATTTGTGCAACTTGCATTATCCACTCTTCTTGTGAGGTTCTAAAGAAAGAAACTGTGTCTTATTCTATTCCTCTTTGAGTCACTCTTAAATAACCAACACAATGGCATGCTTTTATTGGGAGCACAATAAATAATAGCAAATGGCCATACAGTGATTGCTATGAGCCAGGTGTGGTAAAGGCTTTACATAGACCTACTCATTTGACACCACGGCAGCCCTATGATGAGGACACTAGGACTCAAAGTCATTAAGTAATTGTGTCCCAGGTCACACATTGTCATAAAGCAGTAACATGGACCCAGGCAGCCAAGCCCCAAGTCTGCACTCCTGACCACTAGACCACTCTGGCTCCCAACTTAATGTGCAGGGAATTGAATCAGACAGGACTTTGGAGTCATCAAACCATCTTTAGCCATTTTTTCACCTGATCCACACAACAAACCCATGAGGTGGGCCGGGAAGATTCATCTCCAGGTTAAAGATGAAGAAATTGAGCCATCTCAGGGGTCTCTCTGATAGATAACTGATGAAGCCAAAACCAGAATTTATATCTTTGATTCTTTTTTCCTCTGTTCTTTCTCTTATATCACAAATTATCATAATAAGAATCTGGTTATGCAACATAGGCCAACAGTCCTAAATAGCCTTATAAAATCACTTATTTAGAAAATAGAATTGTGCCCCTAATTAAACTACACAAAATTAAAAACACACAAAAGTAAGACACACCAATTTAGCTAAATTTCTAAAATAAAAAACATTTTTTAAAACACAAATAGAAATAGGTAGACATGTCTCCACCAAAGGCTATCAAATCTGATTTAATAGCAACATAAATATGAACAAAATCTTTGGGAATTTCTTCCAGACAAGTAAATATATAGAGATAAGAAATAATTTATAAGATATAATATATTCTCTTATAAGAAATGCTGCCATGGAAATCAGGCACTCTATATCTTTAAATAGAGTATAAATACACTTTTAAAGAATGCAAAGTGATTAAATTTTGGTAAGACTATTCCAAATCTTTGTAAAGCATCCTTTTACTTTTTTACTGTGTAACATTATCTTCAGCACCTCCAAATTACCTCTAAAATGAAAAATAAGCTATTATTATAAATTTTGTTTATTCTTTTCTTTTCTCTCAATGACTTGATATATTTGGTGAACACACAACTTTGACTATAATGACTATCCCACTGTAGTTGGAGGCAGGGTAGAGAAATAAGTTGGGGGGATTCTGCTGGAAAGAGGAAAGAGTTAAAGCATGCTTCAGAGTTGATAAATGATGCAAGCAGAGAAATATAGTCATGTATATGGAAAAACTAGAGAAAGGGCAGTGATTGACAACTGTCTCTAAATCAAAGAAAAATGACTGCAACTGGCCCTAGAAGAATTCCAGGATACGTTTCCAGAAAGGCTGTTAAATACTAAAATGGATTCAAAGGGGAAGTGATAAAATCTGTCTCTATCAGTCTTAACCAGAAAAAAGGAAAGCAAAGATGGAAGGAGAAAGAGAATGAAGCAGGAAAAAGGGAAAGATGGGAGGAAGTGAGGAAGAAGGGGGATAAATCAACGAAACAATAAACATTAGTCCATCCAGAATAATTCTAAGCCTATTGCCAACTGAAGGCTAGAGCACACAGGAAGGAAGAGAGGGGGAGAAGGGAAGAAGAAGTGAGGAGGTAGGGAGAGCATGAGGGAGGAAGGAGGCGACAAATAAATCGCAAAACATTCATCAGTTCAGAATAATTGTAGGTCAACACCAACTGAAGGTAGACCACGTCTGCCATCATACGCGGCATGAACTTTAGAAGGTCCTTCCTGCCCTCTGACATTTAACCTGATGGACTTCAGAAGCCACCTGCATACACACCTTGGACGGTAAGGTAAGCAGATCCATGCAGGCGACTGTTCTGGAGGCTGCATCTGATGTTCCCCGAATCACTGGGCTCCACATTGTGGATGATCATCTCCGAGGTGAAGTTCCCGCCCTGGTCGTACCTCTGAGAGGTGAAGCGGTCATTGGTGATGATGGGCTCCATGGGCCTGACGCTTAGCACCACCATGTCACTGAGAGCCCACATGATGAGCTTCCAGCCCTGGGAGACGGTGCAGTTGAAGCGAGCCTGGGAGCCCTTCAGGACTCTTGCATTTTGGGGGCCTTCTATGACTTCATTACCAGACCCAGAACCTGGAAGGTAGCCAATTTTTCAAGTTGTTAAATGAATGGATCTCCATAAATCAACTGTGTGCTGTAACCTTTCTGTATTTACCAGTGGTAACCCCCAGGTTGTCCATCCAGTGACTCAGACTGTGTCTTTTGAATCCGAACACCAGCTCTCCCTGGCAGATCAGGTGCTTCCGGTGGAAGCCACTGCCATGCCCTCCTTTCCACTCTACCCCCTAACTCTACAGCTGTATTGGGTTGAATAGTATTCCTCAAAACACATGTCCACCGGATCCTCAGAATGGAACCTTTGAAAATAGGGTCTTTGCAGATGTAATTAGGTAAGGATCTCAAGATGAAATCAACCTGGGTTTAGAATGGGCCCTAAATCCACTCACAGGTGTCCCTATAAGAGAAATGCAGAGTGAGATTTGAGACACAGAGGCCTGCAGAGAAGAACATCATGTGAGGACGGATGCAGAGACTGGAGTGATGCATCTACAAGCCAAGGAATGGCAAGGATTGGAGCAACATCAGAAGCTAAGGAAGAGGCATGGAAGACCTTCCCTCAGAGCCTCCATAAAAAACCAACTCTGCCAGCTGGCAACATCCCAGGATTTGCATTCACAGCAGTGGGGCTGGGACCCAAACTCAGGCCTTTCACTCTGAATTTCGTACTCTTTTCCCTTCTGATGTCATTCAGAGTTTATAGCAAGAAGACACCCTGGCAGACCACATACCGTGGCTTCTCCTAGTTTGTGCCCACCCCATCAGTGACACTGCAACATGTCCTACTACCTTCTGGTGTTGTGGGATCCCTGTGGGTGAACCAGGTGGTCTGCCAACATATACACTGGGTAGCCCCAAAAACTGCAGCTCCTCCCTTTCCTTCTGCCTTGTAAAGTCAAATGGCAAGGTAGGCCAGGTGCAGTGGTTCACACCTGTAATCCCAGCACTTTGGGAGGCCGAAGAGGGCGGATCACCTGAAGTCAAGAGTTCAAGACCAGCCTGGCTAACATGGTGAAACCCCATCTCTACTGAAAATACAAAAATTAGCCAGGCGTGGTTGTGGATCCCTGTAAGCCCAGCTACTCGAGAGGCTGAGGCAGAGAATCACTTGAACCCAGGAGGCAGAGGTTGCAGTGAGCCGAGATCACGCCACCGCACTAGAGCCTGGGCAACAGAGCAAGACTCTGTCTAAAAAAATGGCAAGGCAGGTTCTAAAAGAATCTCATTATAGCCCTAAAGGTTTCTGGGGAGGAATCACACCGTTGGACACACAGTAGCACATTAGCACTTCACCTGTGTACCCAGGCACATTGTGGGGGCTAAACTGCCCCTGCAAGAACAACACGTGAAAGGGAAGGAGTAAGCCGCCACCAGGAACAGTCCCCTCCATAAGCAGGACCAGGAGGCGAGGATGCCAGGGTGGAGGAGGGGCCCACTGGCTTTAGGTCCCGGGAGAGGCAGAACTGAAGAAGGTGAGAGTTCACTAAGGCTAAGCCAGCATTTGGATAAACATGATTACTACTCTTTGTTTTGTCCCTGGACATCATTAAAAAAAACAGAAAGAAAGTATGACTCTAAAACACAACTCAGATTAGGTATTCTCCCTGACCTCAAGGCAAATCTCTCTGATCCAAGATCTCTTTGAACTTTGATTTTTGTTTTAAGCGTGAGAAATGGAATTTGAAAACAGTTCCCCCAGGGAAGCCGCAATGCCCTTTCCATGAACTCTGAATTGCTTGTTAAGAAGAAGAGAAAACAGCCGAGTCTGCGCCCCGAGGGTCCGTGATGTAATAACCACACTCCTCCTGCACTCCCACCTCGGGTCAATGGCAGTCAAGTGGACAGAGCCCAGCAGGGTGAGTGTGGGGATGATGGGGTGGGTGAGCCCCAGCCTCACCCTGTGAGAAGTCCGGGCCACACAATGCCAACAGAACAAGCATCCCTCTGAAACCCCAGTTCCTTCCAGTGCCTTGTGCGAAGTGCTGAGATTATTTCACTCCAAGGCCAGTCTTTATGTACCCCGGAGGCCACACGTGTCACTACGGAATCATACAATCTGTGCAGGCCAAATAACCCTATTCTGCAGCTGGGAGATGAAAAGGAGGGAGGAGGGAGCTACACCAAATGGAAACTTCTTGACCTTGATTTGACTTTCAGATGAAACAGGAGGCATCCAACCCTAAACACCAACTTTCCCTGACTGTGTTACCTGTGTTGAGCTAGGCATTTAGTTCCACCTGTTTAAGAGCCAAGATGATCAGTATTTTTCTATACTGCAAGGTCAGGCAGTGAGATGAGGAAGGCCAACCAAACATTTCTTCAGAATAAACACTGGAGGACAGTTAATGTCCTTGCTAGAACAAACCCTAAGTAAACCACGCCGCAGCTGTGCCTCAAGACTCAGGAGCTGTATTTCTGGTCACTTTAGGTCCCGGGAGCTCGTCCCTCTCTCAGCTGTGTCTTATCAGCAGTAACCTTCCCCTGTACAGAATAGGAGAAAACTGTAAAGAAGACCCTGAATCCCACAGTCACCTGCCTCACTTAAAACCTCCCTTTCCTCTTTGCTCTCCCTTTTGCTTTATAGAGCAAACAGCCAGATGGGGGGCAGAGCACTGGGAAAGATCAATGTCTCCTCCCGCCCGAGAACCTCCCTGTGGCCACTAGCTATGGTTGTCACTAAGGACCAATGGCTGATCTTTTTCTTCTCTTGCCCAAATTCTTATCTAAGGGACTGGGGAGTCCACCCTACAAACCCTCATCAGAGGGGTTTCATTGAACACTATATAGTGGGGGCTGCTTTCCAACCTGACTCTGGCATAGCATCACATGACAGGTAAAGAAGGAAATCAAAATATTTAACCCCCAATATGTTTTATTTGCCGTATCTTGAAATAGGCCTGCAAAGCTGACTCATGGGGTAAATTACCTTCTGAAGAGAATCCTCTTCCTTTTCCTTACTTTTTCCTGATCCAGGAGAGGATCAACTCTGATAAGAACATTTATGATCTATTCTCTCTGTGCCTGCAACCTGGAGACTTCCTCTGCATAATCGGAACCCTGGTCGCCACAACCCCTTATCTTAACCCAGACATTCCCCACTATTGTTTCCAGGTCCTTAGGCGTTTATTTAACTCTTTAAACCAATTGCCAATTAGAAAATCTTTGAATCTACCTATGACCTGGATGTACATCTTACATGTATTTGATTGATGTCTCATGTCTCCCTAAAATGTATAAAACTAAGTTGTAATCCTGATCACCTTGGGCACTGTCCTCAGGATCTCCTGAGGGCTTTGTCACGCACCATTGGCCACTCATATTTGACTCAGGATAAATCTCTTCAAACACTTTACGAAGTTTGACTCTTTTTGTCCACAGTCACCCAACACAACATCCTGGCCTCTGCTGGCTACACGATTTCTTTATAGGAGTTTATCCACTTGGAAGATTCTTATTTATGCCAACTCTCTCCAGTTCTCAAATCCACATCTCGAGCCCTGCCCTCTTGCTTTCTCTCCTGTCCTACCAGGCATCTCCGAGTAAACAACTGGTTGCCACCCACCATTGAAAAGATTCCCTTTCAGCTGGATGCAGTGGCTCACACCTGTAATCTTAGCACTTTGGGAGGTCAAGGCAGGAGGATCACTTGAGGCCAGGAGTTCAAGACCATCCTGGAAAACATAACAATATCCCATCTCTACAAAAAAATTAAAAATAGCCGTGTGTGTTAGCATGTGCCTGTGGTCCTAGATATTTGGGAGGCCAAGACAGGAGGATTGCTTAAGGCCAGGAAGTTGAGTCTGCCGCAAGCTATGACTACACCACTAAACTCCAGCCTGGGCGACAGAGCAAGACTCTGTCTCAAAAAAAGAAAAGGAAAGGAAAGATTCCCTTTCTCCTATTCATGCCATCATCTTGTACATCTTCTTTTGAGAAGTATCTGTTCATGTCCTTTGCCCATTTTTTAATTGGATTATTTGATTTGTGCTTGTTGATTTAAGTTCCTTGCAGATTCTGGATATTAGACCTTTGTCAGATGCATAGTTTGTGAATATGTGAATATTTTCTCCCATTCTGTAGGCTATCCATTTACTCTGTTGGCAATTTCTCTTGCTGCATGGAAGCTCTTTAGCTTAATTGGATACCACTTGTCAATTTTTGGTTTTGTTGCAATTGCTTTTGGAGACTTAGCCATAAATTTTTCGCCAAAGCCAATGTCAAGAAGGATAATTCCTAGGTTTTCTTCTAGGATTTTCATAGTTTGAAGTTTTACATTTAAATCTTTAGTCCATCTTGAGTTAATTTTTGAATGGTGAGAGGTAAGGGCCTAGTTTTATTCTTCTGCATTTGGCTAGCTGGTTATCCCAGCACCATTTATTGAATAGGCAGTTCTTTCCCCATTGTTTACTTTTGTTGATTTTGTCAAAGGTCAGATGGTTGTAGGTGTATGGGTTTATTTTAGGGTTCTCTATTCTGTTCCATTGGTCTATGTGTCTGTTTTTGTACCAGTGTCATGCTGTTTTGATTACTGTAGCCTTGTTGTATAGGCTGAAGTTGGGTAATGTGATGCTTCCAGCTTTGCTCTTTTTGCTAAGGATTGCCCAGACTTTGTTTGAAAGATTTCCATCATTTAGGATAAAAACAGATAATCCTTAACATTATCATATTTTAAGACTTGACAGCCAGGTAAGGTGGCTCATGCCTGTAATCCCAGCACTTTGGTAGGCCGAGGTGGGCGGATCATGAGGTCAAGAGATCGAGACCATCCTGGCCAACATAGTGAAACCCCGTCTCTACTCAAAATACAAAAAATTAGCTGGGCGTGGTGGCATGCATTTGTAGTCCCAGCTACTCGGGAGGCTGAAGCAGGAGAATCGCTTTAACATGTGAGGCGGAGGTTGCAGTGAGCCGAGATCACGTCACTGAACTCCAGCCTGACGACAGAGTGAGACTCCGTCTAAAAAAAAAAAAGACCTGACTTAGTCCCACATCAACTCTCTCTCCAGCTACAATTTTTCCCAAACTTCACCCTCCGATCACCAGACCTCCTTTAATTTATCAACCTCATCAACTCTTTCTGGCCTCAGGGCTCTCACATGTGCAGTGACCGGCCTGCAATGCAGTCTCTAACCCCTGGCCTGATTGTTCGGGGGTTACAATTGTCACAGTAGTTGTTTTGTATTTACTTTTGCTCACAATTAATGCCTGTTTTCCCTACTGGGCTCTAAGTTCTATGTCAACAAGAACAATGCCTGGTTTTGCTCAATCTTACATCCCAGTGCCTACAAAGAAGTGATCCATAACAACTACTCAGTGAATATGTACTGAGTGAATAAACATGGTGGCTGAGTTCTATATAACCCATTATACAGTAGGAATGGTGGCAAGGAGAGGTCTGGGAAGAGACTTATGGGTGCAC
Organism: Homo sapiens; assembly: GCF_000001405.40. NCBI lineage: Eukaryota > Metazoa > Chordata > Mammalia > Primates > Hominidae > Homo > Homo sapiens. Next base: position 39,760,130 of record NC_000021.9, on the reverse strand, counting down.
ACACAGGTTGATAATGGATATTCAGAGCCATATCTACAAATGAAAATGACTCCACCCATAAGACTTTCCAACATGAAGCATTTGAACGCTTTGGTATTCATTACAAATTTGCATTCATTACAAATTTTGGGATGGACCCTCAGGAGCTCTAGAATTAGCCCATATATACTCTCCTCTCCTGAAATAGCCACCTCCAGGCCTCAACCCAGATCCTCCATACCCTCAAGACAGCACGTATGCCTCAGCTTTTTTTTTTTTTTTTTTGAGACGGAGTCTTGCTCTGTCACCCAAGCTGGAGGGCAGTGTCACAATCTCGGCTCACTGTAACCTCTGCCTCCTGGGTCCAAGCAATTCTCCTGCCTCAGCCTCCCGAGTAGCTGGGACTACAGTTGCGTGCCACCACACCCTGCTAATTTTTTGTATTTTTTAGTAGAGATAGGGTTTCGCCATGTTAGCCAGGATGGTCTCAATCTCCTGACCTCATGATCTGCCTGCCTCAGCCTCCCATAGTGCTGGGATTACAGGCGTGAGCCACCACACCCAGCCTGCCTCAGCTTTTTCAGGAAAAAGTATCTCAGAAACACTAGACCCAGAGTTCATCCACTGCCCACCAAACCTTTAGAAGAGTTTTTTGTAACCACGGCTGAAATAGGCCCATACAGTGCCATATGCCTAAGATGTACATTAAGGGTGGTTTGTTAACCCTACAGTCAGTCCCTAAGCTCTACACAAGCAGGGACCTTGTCTTCCTCTCCATTCTACAAACAAATGTTTAATAAACACCTCCAGAACGTTTTGCATTGCTTACTACAGGACTTTAGAATATCTTCATCCCCAAACACATTTTGACACCACATTCTGGTGCTCTTAGATTTAATGTGTAAATAGACCCAAAGCCAAAATGTCACAAAACATTTCTTAGGCAGGCAACACACTCTGATACTGCCCATTCTATTTGATTCCATTTTATTCTTTCAAACACTGTCATGGCCAGCATTGTAAAACACATTGTCTAGCCACCTAAAATAGAGTAGATATGTTTGTAAAGTACAAAACAAGCAAAACATGTCTACACAGTTAGAAGTCAGAATGATGGTCACTGGGAGTGGGGTGGAGTAACTGGAAAGGAGTTGTCCACTGAATGCTCTTGGTCTCAACATCGATCATACAAATGTGCTCACTTTGTGAAAAGTCGTCCAGCTGTACCTTTATGACATGCGCCCCTTTCTGTATGTCTATTATTCTTCAAATAAATGCCTTCAAGTCACTGCCATCAGGAATGCAAGAGGAGTTTATAATCTAGTTGGGAACACAAAACTAACACCCCTGAAGCAATGGAAACTAAACAAACCTAATGAAAACCAAAGCTGGCTGTGAAAACCCCAGTTCCTCCCAGCACCCCTATGTATAGTATATAGACTATACACTATGCCTTTCCCATAGAAAGTAGTCTGACCAGGAGACCCAGGCCTTGCACACACAGGAGTTCACTCCAGCTGACACCGTTGGAGAGCGCTGGGGTGGTGAGGAAGAGGAAGTGTCACACACAACAGAACCCTTACCCTGTCAGTAAATGGAAACTGAGATTCTCGCCCTGAAAATGGCAAGGGTTAGGAGGCTTCAGGGAGGAGGTGATTTCTGAGTCAGGTCTTCCTCGAAGCCCAGATAGAAATTGAAGAGGTGAGAAACGAGGGAGGGGAAGGGACATTTCAGCAGGTGCAACAACTTGTGGGAAGGAACCTAATGCAGACTCCCAGGACAGTGATGGCCCTGGTGAGGATGGGGGAGATCCCCTGCACCTGAAGGACCGTTCTGGGAGTCGAGTCAATGCAGGAGGAAATGGGCCCCACAGAAGAGGTCACCATGGGAAGGGATGCAGTGGGAAGAGGCTGAGAAAGACCCTTCTGGCAGTTGTGTGTTCCAGCGGCCTCCTGTGGCCCTTGTCTTCCCCCTACACTCCAAGTGGACGTTGGTGAACAGCCCACCAAGCTCAGGCGATCCCTACGTGCCAGGACGACCAGCACAGTCAGGACAGCTTTCCCTCAGCCCTGCACCTCCATATGTTCTTCCTGGCCCCGGGAAAATAAAGCAAGCAGGCAACAACCCATCACTGACAAGCATCTACCGTTCAGAAGTCTTCTGTGCCCACCGCCACCTCCACCCCCCGCAGCTGGTGTGTGCCCGTGGACACATTGGATCAGCGCATCTCAGTGTGGACAGGGGCAGCCTCATCTGGGAAGTGTTAGAAAGCACAGTCTGGGCGCGGTGGCTCACGCCTGTAATTCCAACACTTTGGGAGGCCAAGGCAGGTGGATCGTTTGAGGTCAGGAGTTCGAGATCAGCCTGGCCAACATGGCGAAACCCCATCTCTATGGAAAATACAAAAATTAGCCAGGTGTGGTGGTATGCACCTGTAATCCCAGGTACTCAGGAGGCTGAGGCAGGAGAATCGCTTGAACCCGGGAGGCGCAGGTTGCAGTGAGCAGAGATCACGTCATTGCACTCCAACCTGGGTGACAGAGCGAGACTCTTAAAAAAAAAAAAAAAAAAAGAATGCACATTTCTGAGTCCACCTCAGACCTCCTGAAACAGAAACCCCTGGTGTGGGCCCAGAATTTTGGATTTAAAGAAGCCCTCCAGGTGATTCTGGTGCCTGGTCAAATTTGAGAATCACTGGTTGAAATCGTCTTACACCACCCGCCAGCCCACCTGCATCATGAAGGGATGCAGATGGTGTAGCCTCACCTCTGAATGCCTGACCAAATGCAGATCATGGGCTTATTACATTCGTTTCAATCACTAATCACTGAGAAAAAACTCCTGCCCTCATGAGCTCACATTCTCAAAAGGAAAGGCAACCGAATGAATAAATAGATGATATGGCCTATTAGAAGGTGGCAATAGGTGTGGGGAGAAACAGGGCAAGGAGGGGGACCAGCTACCACTTCAAACAGGGTAGTCAGAGAAAAGCCCCCGGGAAGGTGCACCATGCACAGCGAATGAGGTGAGACAACAGCCGCCGCATTGGACACCTGCAGGAAGAACTTTCCCAGCAGAGGAAAGAGCAGGTACTAAGGCTCTCGGGGGGACTGTGCCTGCTGTGCTTGATGAACTGCAGAGAAGGCTCTGTGGCAGACAGGGGTGGGTGGAAGGAGTGAGGTCAGAGTTCAGGGAGGCCAGGATAGATGGGGTAAAGCCTGGCCAGACCATTGACAGCACATAAGGATTCTGCCATGTATACCTCTTGTTCCTTCCTTCCAACCCCCTTTGTTCTTTGATGCCCTCTTGGTCACCCTCCACCCTTGCATTTTTTCCTTTTTGCTTTTTTCTCTCCCCTAGGAGAGGCTTATCCAAGACACTCCCCAGTACTGATGTATCCTCCTGGAAGATTCAGGGTTAGATCACCTATGTGCTGAACATGTCATGAACCACCCGCAAAACAACACTCCTTAGCCTCAGGAAAGGGTCTCTTTATTGCAAACATTCCTCCACAGCACCAATGAGTGGAGTCCAGTGACCCGGACGGTTCTCATTTCAGCTTTGGCATCTACACACATTCCACAGCCCTGCGAGTCTCGTCCACCCGTCCCTCCAGAATATGAGGTGACAGGTCCCATCAGGGACTTTGAGGAGAGACTTTATAATGTGCTGACAACGCACATCCAGGGCTCCAGTCTCCTTTCTTTTCTGACAGGCCCTAGAAGGCAGACCCCACAGCCAACCCAGAAGCAAAAATACAAGAATTGAAACTGTGATGGGAAAACAACTACCACACCTTGATCTGCGGACATCTCATCCAAGTTACTGAATGAAACCCACAGTGTCAGCGTGAAAGACAGCAAAGATTCTCAGGCCCATGACCTGCATTTAGCATTTAAGTGCATTACTGGGTATTCACAGCCTCGAGAAAGAATGTGGGGTTTCCACCCCTTTGTTTCTCTGAGGTCTTTAGAAAGCAAAATTCAACGTGTGCACTAAACTATAACTACTTGTGTCTGTAATTCTTTCGTTTGTTTGTTTGTTTGTTTGTTTGTTTGTTTGAGACCGAGTCCCGCTCTGTTGCCCAGGCTGGAGTGCAATGGCACGATCTCGGCTCACTGCAACCTCCGCCTCCCAGGTTCAAGCAACTCTCCTGCCTCAGCCTCCCAAGTAGCTGGAAGTACGCCTGGCTAATTTTTTTTGTATTTTTAGTAGAGATGGAGTTTCACCATGTTGGCCAGGCTGGTCTCAAACTCCTGACCTCAGGTGATCCGCCTGCTTTGGCCTCCCAAAGTGCTGAGATTACAGGCATGAGCCACCACTCCCAGCCCGTAATTTAATATAAGGTTTGAAATACCTGTGCTGCAGCACCATTTCACTGTGGGACCCAGCCCCTTGCAATAATCTACAATAGACTCAGCAAATCCCTACACATATGCCTCAGTAGCAAGTTGTACAACAGCTGTGCACAAACCAAAATGAAATCACAGCCTTCCCAGATTGATCCAAAATCCAGAATTATGAAGTGTCAAATAAATCATTTACTAATTTTTTTTTTTTTTTTTGAGATGGAGTCTCGCTCTGTCACCCAGTCTGGAGTGCAATGGTGCGATCTTGGCTCACTGCAAGCTCCACCTCCCAGGTTCATGCCATTCTCCTGCCTCAGCCTCCTGAGTAGCTGGGACTACAGGCACCTGCCACCATGCTCGGCTAATTTTTTTGTATTTTCAGTAGAGACAGGGTTTCACCGTGTTAGCCAGGATGGTCTCGATCTCCTGACCTTGTGATCCGCCCGCCTCAGCCTCCCAAAGTGCTGGGATTACAGGCATGAGCCACCGCACCAGGTCATCATTTAATAATTTTTAAGGTTCGATTAACACAACTCCACAAGTAGTCATCTGGAATGTCAGGCTCTAGCAGAGGATGAAGGAGAAATTGAGTCGTCCAGTTATAAAAAATTACATATTTTACCAAAAGCAGTCACTGCCAAGTGTGAACCCAGTGTTACAGAAAACGACACAGCAATAGATTAAGGTCTGTTAGGAAAGACTTCTAGTCCCCGACAAGCAGGTAGAGTCAGGCAACAGACTAAGAATAGATTGCTTAACTTACTCAACACTCCATTCTGCCAACACCCTCACATGTCATCCACATTTCATCTCTGTATGAAAGAGGAGTCTAGCAGAATCACAGGGCAGGCAGTGCAAAAACACCCTCAGAGCTCCAGGAACCAAGCAGTGAGGCTGCTACAGATATGGATTTGAGAGGGGATAGCATTTGAAGGGTGTATGCAGTTGGAACACTGTCATAAAGCTGATTTCAAGTTTAACTGAAATCAGACAAGCTGCTTTAATTAAAGACATATGCCGGGTATTGTTCATGAATATCCCTATGGGGTAGTCTGAACAGGACTTGAGATTTAACTTGTCTTTCATTTCATTATAGCAGACTTGAATTACCTACACTTAGTTGAAAAATCTTTTATTCTTAAAGTCTTTAGTCTTATTAAACTGTATTAAATAGACAGGATTTAGCCACCCACCAATTCCTCCCTGTCCTGACGAGAGGCAAACACACTCAGAAGATCAGCCAGGACTCACCAAGCTAGTCCTCTCAGAAAGAAAATTGGTGCTTTTGAGATCGCACTCAGCCCCTTATTTTTGGATTATTGGAAATGGCTTGATAATGGAATCTTCAAAAGTGGCAGAAAATGTCATGTTTGGGGCAACGGCAAGAAGCTCAAAAACAAACAACAGGGGGCAAGTGCCTGCTCAAGGTTGGTGGGAAATAGCCATACAGATTCCTCAGCAGAAGCCTTATAAGCCAGAAGGGATTGAAGTCCTATCTTTAGCCTCTTTAAACAAAATGATTGTCAGTCAAGAATCTTATACCCAGCAAAACTAAGCTTCATAAATGAGAGATAAAGTCTTTTTCAGACAAAAAATGCTAAAGGCATTTGCCACTACCAAACCAGCACTACAAGAAATGCTAAAAGGAGTTCTAAATCTTGAAACAGAAGTTTGATATGCACCCAAATAGAACCTGCTTAAAGCATAAATCTCACAGGGTCTATAAAACAATAACACAATTAAAAATAGAAGTATCTAGGTAACAACTAACATGATGAATACAACAGTACCTCACATCTTAATATTGACCTAATGTAAATGGCCTAAATGTTCCACTTAAAAGATTAAAAATGGCAGAATGGACTAAAAAAAAACAAAAAAACACCAACCAAATATCTACTGTCTTCAAGAGATTCAGCTAACACCTAAGCACTCACATAAACTCAAGGTGAAAGGTTGGAGAAAGATATTTCACACAAATGGAAACCAAAAGCAAGCAAAAGTAGCTATTCTTATTTCAGACAAAACAGACTTTAAAGCAACAACAGTTAAAAAAAAAAAGACAAAGAAGGGCATTATATAGTGATAAAAGAATTAATCCAACAAGAAGATATTACAATCCTAAATTTATATGCACCTAACAATGGAGCACCCAGATTTTAAAAACAATTACTACTAGACCTACAATATTAGACAGACAGCAACACAATAATAGTGGGGGACTTCAATACCCCAGTGATAACACTAGACAGATCATCAAGGCAGAAAGTCAACAAAGAAACAATGGACATAAACTATACCCTAGAACAAATGGAACTTACAGATATTTACAGAACATTCTTCCCAACAACTGTAGAGTATAAATCTGGAGGCTTCACATTACCTGACTTCAAATTATACTACAAGGCTATACTTACCAAAACAGCTTGGTACTGGTATAAAAATAGGCACATAGACTAATGGAACAAAATAGAGAACTCAGAAATAAAGCCAAATACTTACAGCCAACTGATCTTCAACCGAGCATACAAAAAAAATAAATTGAGGAGAGGACACCCTATTAAATAAATGATCCTGGGGTAATTGGCAAGCCACACATAGAAGAATGAAACTGGATCCCCATCTCTCACCTTATACAAAAACTAACTCAAGATAGATGAAAGACTTAAATCTATGATCCAAAACTCTAAGAATTCTAGAAAATGGCATCAGAAAAAATGCCTGGACATTAGCTTAGGCAAAGAATTAATGACTAAGACCTCAAAAGCAAATGCAAAAACTAAATAAATAGGACCTAGTTAAACTAAAAAGCTTCTGCACAGCAAAAGAAGTAATCAGCAGAGTAAACACACAACCCACAGAGTGGGGGGAAATATTTGCAAACTATGCCTCCAACAAAGGACTAGTATCCAGAATCTACAAGGAACTAAAACAAATCAGCAAGAAAAAAAAAAGAATAAGTCTATCAAAAAGTGGGCAAAGAACATGAATAGACAATTCTCAAAAGAAGATATACAAACAGCCAACAAACATATGAAAAATACTCAACATCACTAATCAGGGAAGTGCAAGTTAAAACCACAATGAGATGCTGCCTTACTCCTGCAAGAATTATCATAAAAGACAAAGCCATAAATGTTGGTGTGGATGTGGTGAAAGGGAATACTTTTACACTGCTGGGAATGTAAATTATACAACCACTATGAAAAACAGTAGGAGGTTCCTTAAAGAACTAAAAGTAAAACTACCATCTGATCCAGCAATCCCATTACTGGGTATCTACCCAAAGGAAAAGAAGTCGTTACATGAAAAAGACGCTTGCACATGCATGTTTATAGCAGCACAATTGCAATTGCAACAATATGAAACCAACCTAAATGCCCAGCAGCCAATGAGTAGATAAAGAAAATGCGGTATATATACACCATGGACTACTACTTAGTCATAAAAAAAAAGGAATAAAATAACATATTTTGCAGCACCTTGGATGGAGCTGGAGGCCATTATTCTAAGTGAAGTAACTCAGGAATGGAAAACCAAACATCATATGTTCTCACTTATAAGTGGGAGCTAAGCTATGAGGATGCAAAGGCACAAGAATGACACAATGGACTTTGGGGACTCAGGGAGGAACGGGGTGAGGGATAAAAGACTACATATTAGGCACAGTGTACACTGCTCGGGTGACAGGTGCACTAACGTCTCAGAAATCACCATTTAAGAACTTATTCATGTAACCAAAAACCACCAGTACCCCAAAAACTATTGAAATTTTTTAAAAGTAAAGAAAAAAAGAAGAAAGAAATAGCTGTAACAAAAACCACGCAAGGGACTAAGGAGCAACCTGGACACCGCCACGGCTCAATAAAAAGGTGCTGGCATTTCTCCTGCACTCGGAAGACTCCAGCTCTGAGCATCTTGCATTCAGGGTCGGCCTTCTCAGAACCTCCAGAGACTTTGGGAGAATTCTACTTTCCCTAAGGCTTCTCATTAGAGGGTGGAAAAGGCATTTACAAGCTTGTCCAATGAATGGCAGACGTCATGAGTCAGTCCTTTCCAAAAGCCCAGACTTCCCCACTGCACAATATCTCCATGTAACAAAACTGCATTTGTACCCTCGAAGTCGGTAAAAGTTTTTTTAAAAACTTTCTATTAATTGAATCCTGACCCCACCCCCCCCAGCCCATCAAATTTCAGCCAAGTCTCAGCTTTCAACCCATCCCAAGAACAGTTCACTGTGAAAGCGACACTCACTGAGTAGAAACCATCCAGAAATTCTGAACTTCTCAGAGAAGCCCACGCTTGTAGTTTTTAACTCTGTGGAAGTTGGAAAGCGAAGATCATGTGTGCAAATGTCCAGAACTTTCCTGGGAAACCCAGATAACGGCCTGTGCGGGGCTTGAGGGGCCCTATGGAGAAACTCACTTGACAAACACCTGTCACAGGGGAGCCACAAACTGGAGTTGTCTTACCCCAGATGACAGGTAAACCCTTTGGAGGGCTTCAGCAAGGGTGCTTCATTTCCTAAAGGCCTCTTCGTGGCTCTTGTCCTCTCTCCATACAAATGTAGAAACACACTCTTGTCTGGCCTCTAGAGAGTCCTGATGCTGCCTCACCAGAACCAAAGTTCCTCAAGAAATGGCTCTGTCACATCACAGACTGTGTTATAAATGCAGATGTGGCCTCACAGTCCAGGGAGGTATAAGCTCTTCAGAGTGCGTATTTCCTCATTAATCATCACCAAGCTCCAAACAGCAGCCAAACACAGGAAGTCCAGGCCCCGGGCTGGGAACGCAGAGGCCTCAGGGCCAGTCTATCCTCTCCACTCCGGCCTCCACTCCCTCTCCCTCCTCTTCCAAGTCCTTCGGAGTCAAGGCACTGCTCAGCTCCCGCCCTGGTCCTCTTCCACCAGCTGGAGGCTGACAGATCCTTCCTGCCCAAAACATGCTGCCTGGCTGACTGACCTTGCCTCCAGCAAAGGCCCAGCGGCTGGTGGAACTGGCTCCTTCTCCCAGCCAGGCACCTTGACATCCACAAGAACAAATCCTCTTAAGAAAGAAAAAAGTCCCGAGGGTGCGTCCTCTGGATGAGACAGCCATTAGGAGTAAGTGTGGCTTCCATGGCATTTGCTGGAGGACTGGTGGATAGGGCAGAGCTCCAACCCCCCACCCTCAAGTGCTAGGAGATGAACACAGGAACGTGGCTTTGCAGAGCACTGTGACAGTTCTGGAAGACTGTGTCCCAAGAACCTGATGTTCAGCACCATACTGAACTGCTTTTTTTTTTTTTTTTCTGGAGACAGTGTCTTGCTCTGTTACCCAGGCTGGAGTGCAGTGGCACGATCATAGGTCACTGCAACCTTGAACTCCTAGGCTCAAGCAGTCCTCCAGCCTCAGCCTTCCAAAGTGCCGGGATTACAGGTGGGAGCCACCACACCCAGTGAAAGGTCTGCTTTTTTAATGGTCCTTTTTGATAATCTTGTCAGGGAACTCAGAATCAAGGATTTCTGCATGTAATAGGCACCAATGGAAGATATAGCTAACATATTTAAAGACCAAGAAGCAAGTAAATGGGGCCAGGGGAGGCGAAGAATGCTCTTCCTTCCAGTTGAAGGTGTGAAAGGAAAATAAATCACGGGACCCCAAAATCACTAAGCCAAAGGGAGAAAGTCAAGCTGGGAACTGTATCAGGCAGACCTGCCTCCCATTTTATTCCTAAATAAGATAGCTATAAAGATGAAAAAGCTGCATACCTCCTTCACAATTTGCCCATGAGAAAAATTCCCTTGTGGGCCTCAAGATCTTTACCTTAAAAACAGTTCCGTTGAATTTCACCCTGGCAATGTAAATTGTAGCTGATCTTCACAGGTGCGGAGCAAAGGCCAGAACTCAAAGTCATCTCTCTGCTTACCTGAGACAAATGTGTATCTGATTGCTTTCTCTGCCGTATTGCTTAGTAAAAATACAGATTCATTGAGTCAGACAAGGCATAACTGCCTATTCCTCTACCCCTCTCTCACATGTAAATTGTGTATTCAGTGAGAGGCTGATCAACCTTGTGTCTCTTGTCTACCTACAACTTGGAAGCCCCCACTTGGAATTGTCCCACCTTTCCAGACCAAACCAATGTACACATTACACTTATTGATTGATGTCTCATGCCTCCACAAAATGTATAAAACCAGGCTGTGCCCTGACCACTTTGGGCACATGTTTTCAGGGCCTCCTGAGGCTGTGTCATAGGTGCGTCCTTAACCTTGGCAAAATAAGCTTTCTAAATTGATTGAGACCGGCTGGGCACGGTGGCTCATGCCTGTAATCCCAGCACTTTGGGAGGCCAAGGCGGGCAGATCACCTGAGGTCAGGAGTACGAGACCAGCCTGGCCAACATGGCGAAATTCTGTCTCTACTAAAAATACAATAATTAGCCGGGCGTGGTGATGTGGACCTGTAATTCCAGCTACTCGGGAGGCTGAGGCAGGAGAATCACTTGAGCCCAGGAGGCGGAGGTTGCAGTGAGTGGAGATCGTGCCACTGCACTCCAGCCTGGGTGACATGGCGAGATTCTGTTTCAAAAAAAAAAAAAAAAACCTATTTGTCTTTCCAAAAGAAACCTATTTGTTCTTTCTATAGGAAGCCTTTCTCCCCCCTTCTCCTCCCCTACAACGTTAGATATATAAGCCTTTTAACTCTTTAACTCTATTAATGAGCCAGCTACTTCCTTTGTTGGCTCCCATATGCATAAGGCATAAACATTTTTTTTCTCCCGTTAATTTGTCTTTTATGTTTCTTCCACAGGCGCCTGGTGCTGAACCTAAGAAGATAGCAGAAAAGTTAATTTTTGTGTGTGTTATACAATAACCAGACACTTGTCTCATTTGTATCCTTTTTGTCATCCAATGCAACTTTCTCAGGATGACTTCAGCTGCACGTCACAATTCAGTGAGTGCTGAGGCTTACTTCTAACCTCACTGGCTGTTTTCTGGTGGAACTTCAGTTGACCACAACCACTCCATTAAAATAAAAAAATTATAGTGTGAAAATCATTCCTTTCCACAACTAGCACATTATTTTCTAGCTTCTATAAACGGAATTGTGTTCCCCCGAAATTGCTATGTTGAAGCCCTCACTCCCAATGTCATGGTATTTAGAGATGAAGCCTTTGAAAGGTCATAAGGTCCTCAAAATGGAGCCCTCGTGATGGGACTCAGGTCCTTATAAGATCTCGTTCTCTTGAGAGGCCAAAGTGGGCAGATCATGAGGTCAGGAGTTCCAGACCAGCCTGGCCAATATGGTGAAACCCTGTCTCTACTAATAACACAAAAATTAGCCGGATGTGATGGCACGTGCCTGTAGTCCCAGCTACTCCAGTGGCTGAGGCAGGAGAATTGTTTGAACCCAGGAGGTGGAGGTTGCAGTGAGCCGAGATTGCGCCACTGCACTCCAGCCTGGGTGACAGAGAGAGACGCTGTCTCAAAAAAAAAAAAAAAAAAAAAAAAAAAGATCTTGTTTTCTCTTCACTTGCACACTTCAAGGAAAAGTCATGTGAAGACACAGCAAAAAGGAAGCCACCTGCAAGCCAGGAAGAGAGCCCTCACCAAGACGCTGACTCTGCTGGCACCTTAACCTTGGACTTCTAGCTTCTGGAACTGTGAGAAATGAATGTCTGCTATTTAACCCACCCTGCTTCTAGTATTCTGTTGTAGCAGTCAAAACTGACAGAGAGTAGTGTTTCTCCCTCCACAGAAAATGGCCATATCTGAAAATCTGGTATAATCATCAATTCTAAATTATGAACATTTAATCCTTCAGTGCTTCAGTGTTAAAAGCCATTTTTAACAGGAATCGGTTGTTTTTTTTTTTGCCAGAGTTTTTCATGTGCACTCTGTTTCTCTGGCTACTGCTCACTTAAACCATTTTCTTTCCAGAGTTGCCTTGTCCTTGGACACTAGCACTTAGCTGAAAATATCACACATTTAGGAGTTGTCACCCTAGCTCAACTGAATCAGAAGAAAAATGCAATAGGAAGCCCACTTGAAAAATGAACTGAGAGCACAAATTATGTTAATGACCTAGACTTCCTATCTATTCCTGTTAATTTAAAATGATACAACCACTCATTTGGTTTGCTCAAAGAACTCTAGAATTTTAGGTGAACAAAATTTTAGGTGGTCTCTTGCCTGGTTCTGTGGGTTTCCTTGTGTAAATAATGAATTTTCATCATCCTTATTAACTTGGAGGTAACTCCCGTCATTCCTAAGTAATTAATTCATTAAACAGTTCTGCTAAGTCAGTGTTGGCAGAGGAGCTTCTTCTTTGGTATTACAGTTAAGTCCACTTCCAGGTTCCTGGAACCCCCCAGGCCATGTGGCCAGGTGATATGGTTTGGCTGTGACCCCACCCAAATCTCATCTTGAATTGTCCTCCCATAATTCCCACCTGTTGTGGGAGGGACTTGGTGGGAGATAACTGAATCATGGCGGCAGTTTCCCCATACTGTTCTCTGGTAGTGAATAAGTCTCATGAGTTCTGATGGTTTTATAAGGGGAAATCCCTTTTGCTTGGCTCTCTGATTCGCTCTTGCTGCTGCCATGTAAGAAGTGCCTTTCACCTTCGGCCATGATTGTGAGGCCTCCCCAGCCACATGGAGCTGTGAGTTCATTAAAACTCTTTCTTCCCGGTCTCGGGTATGACTTCAGCAGCGTGAAAACAGACTAATTCACCAGGTTAGTTGTGTTATCCACTAATTTTATGCAGTGGCTATTCAGAGAGCACTTAACACTTAGCCTAGGCAGGAGAAAGCAACTAACCAAGCCAAGTGCCTGCCCTTGGGCTGACCTTCCTTAGGGCATGCTGGGGTCAGCCCTAGACCCTCACCAGCAGCCTGAATTTCTCCAAGGTGCTTTTGCCAGGCAAGTCCTGAGGAATGTTTTACTCACTTGAAGGGCGAATAGAGGCATGTTAGAAATTGTAATAGTAGGCAATAAAAACAATGATAGCTAATAATAATAATGATAACAATGGCAAACTCTGAGAGCCCTGACAGTGTGCTGAGCCCCCATTCCGAAAGTGTCTTATTATTCACAGCACGCAAGCATCAGGAGTCCCGTGAGCTGTGTTAACTGTTAACTGTGTTCCATCAGCAAGCAAACAGAACCCAGAGCATGCTGGGAGACCACCTTCTTTGGAAGACCCTTCTGAGTTGAATTATTGGGTTTTAGTAAGAATAATTATTCCTCAGTTATTGATTCAAAAAAATAAACCTCTATGCTGAAAGGGATTAGGATATGCCACCCCAAAATAAGCCATTTTGGCATATAAATTATTTTGAGCTGAAGATAATTGAGAAAAAGTAGAGATAGAAAAAGAGGGATGGGAGCAACCCCCTTTGGGACCCCTCCCTTTGTATGGGAGCTCTGTTTTCACTCTATTTCACTCTATTAAATCTTGCAACTGCACTCTTCTGGTCCGTGTTTGTTACGGCTCGAGCTGAGCTTTCACTCACCGTCCACCACTGCTGTTTGCCACCATCGCAGACCCGCCGCTGACTTCCATTCCTCCAGATCCGGCAGAGTATCTGCTGTGCTCCTGATCCAGTGAGGCGCCCATTGCCACTTCCAATCAGGCTAAAGGCTCGCCATTGTTCCTGCATGGCTAAGTGCCTGGGTTCATCCTAATCGAGCTAAACACTAGTCACTGGCTTCCATGGTTCTCTCCCATGACCCACAGCTTCTAATAGAGCTATAACACTCACCGCATGGCCCAAGATTCCATTCCTTGGAATTCGTGAGGCCAAGAACCCCAGGTCAGAGAACACGAGGCTTGCCGCCATCTTGGAAGTGGCTCACCACCATCTTGGGAGCTCTGGGAGCAAGGACCCCCCACCCCCCGTAACATTTTGGCAACCACGAAGGGACATCCAAAGCAGTGAGTAATATTGGACCACTTTCGCTTGCTATACTGTCCTAGCCTTCCTTAGAGGTGGAGGAAAATACCGGACACCTGTCGGCCAGTTAAAAACGATTAGCGTGGCCGCCTGACTTAAGACTCAGGTGTGAGGCTATCTGGGGAAGGGCTTTCTAACAACCCCCAACCCTTCTGGGGTTGTTGGGGACATTGGTCTGCCTGGAGCCAGCTTCCACTTTCAATTTTCTTGGGGAAACCAAGGGCCAACTAGAGGCAGAAAGCTGTCGTCCCAACCTCCCAGCAGTAGCTGATTGAGATCATGGCTCAGCCAGAAGTCTCTACTCAACAGTCGCCCACGCATGCGCCCTTACCTTTCCTTCTGACCCATACCTCCTGGGTCCCGAACACGACTTTCTTGAAAGTATAGCCCCAAAATTCTCCTTACCTCTGAATCTACTTCCTCTGATCCCTGCCTCCTAGGTACTAATGGTTCAGACTTTCATTTCCTCTAGCAGGTTGTATCTCCAAAGGGATCTAAGGAAGCCCTACGCTGCGTCCTCAGGCACCTAGGCTATAGCCCAGGGAGTCTTATCCCTGGCGTCCCTCCTAATTTAGGTATACAGCTCTTGACATGAGCAGTTATGCAGGACCCATTCCCCACCACCCTTGCCAGGGCCCCAAGTTTGTAATGGCTAAGAGAGAGACACGGAGAGAGAGAGATGGAGAGAGAGAGAGAGAGATGAAGAGAGAGAGAGAGACAGAGAGGCAGGTTCTTGGCCTCACGGATTCCAAGGAAGTCAAAGAGTAAAAGAAAGAAAAAGAAATAGTTAAAAAAAAAAAAGTGTGCCCTATTCCTTTAAAAGCCAGGGTAAATTTGAAACCCATAATTGATAATTGAAGATCTTCTCTATGAACCTATAACACTCCAATGCCACTTTGTTGTCAGTGTAAATAAGGGCGTAGCCCGAAAGCACTGAGGCCACTGACAACCCATAGCCTTCCTGTCTAAAATCCTTAACCCAGTAACCCACGGATGAGCCAAATGCATTCAGTTGGTAGCGGCAACTGCTTTGCTAAAAGTAGAAAAGTAACTTTTAGAGGAAACTTCGCTGTGAGCACACCTCACCAGTTCAGAATTAGTCTAAGTCAAAAAAGCAAAGAGGTAGCTTACTAACTCAAAAATCTTAAAGTATGGGGCCATTATGTTAGAAAAAAGTAATGTAACTCCAACCGCTGATAATTCCCTTAACCCAGCAGATTTTCTAACAGGGGATTTACATCTTAATTACCATACAAAGGTCCGACCAGACCTAGGAGGATCTTCCTTCAGGACAGGATGATAGATGGTTCCTCCCAGGTGATTGAGGTAAAAAACACAATGGGTATTCAGTAATTGATACGGAGACTCTTGTGGAAGCAGAGTTAGAAAAATTGCCTAATAATTGGTCTCCTCAAATGTGCGAGCTGTTTGCACTCAGCCAAGCCTTAAAGTACTTACAGAATCAAAAGACTATCTCAATCCTGACTCAAAAGGTTCGCTACACCCTCTCTGAAACGAATTTGCATAAAAACTGTTGTTTATGGGAATGCATCTTGATGGGGCAGCTGGGTTGTTATGAAATACTCAGGAACCCAGCCCAGCTCTAGGACTCACTCCTGAGCGCAAAGGCAATGTTGGGCACGCTGGTAAAGGACCACTAGAATCCAGCAGCCCGGACCCCTTTCTTTGTGGTCAAGAAAGGCGGGAAAACAGGTGCAGGACTGCTACATCGGTGAGTGTAACTAATCCGATAAGCAGAGGTCCATGGGTGGTTACGCACCCTGGAAAGGAATAAGCATTAGGACCACAGAGGACACTCTAGGACTAATGCTCATCAGAAAATGACTAGGGATGCTGGCATCCCTATGTTCCTTTTTCAGATGGGAAACGTTCCCCCCAAGGCAAAATTGCCCCTAAGATGTATTCTGGAGAATTAGGACCAATTTGACCCTCAGACGCTAAGAAAGAAATGACTTATATTCTTCTGCAGTACCGCCTGGCCGTGATATTCTCTTCAAGGGGAAGAAAGCTGGCCTCCTGAGGGAAGTATAAATTATAACACCATCTTACAGCTAGACCTCTTTTGTAGAAAAGAAGGCAAATGGAGTGAAGTGCCATATGTACAAACTTTCTTTTCATTAAGAGACAACTCGCAGTTATGCAAAAAGTATGACTTATGCCCTACAGGAAGCCCTCAGAATCTACCTCCCTACCCCAACATCCCCCTGACTCCTTCCCCAACTAATAAGAACCCCCTCTTCAGCCCAAATGGTCCAAAAGGAGATAGACAAAGGGGTAAACAATGAACCAAAGAGTGCCAATATTCCCCGATTATGCCCCCTCCAAGCAGCGGGAGGAGGAGAATTCAGCCCAGCCAGAGTGCATGTAACTTTTTCTCTCTCAGACTTAAAGCAAATTAAAATAGACCTAGGTAAATTCTCAGATAACCCTGATGGCTATATTGATGTTTTACAAGGGTTAGGACAATCCTTTGATCTGACATGGAGAGATATAATGTTACTGCTAAATCAGACACTAACCCCAAATGAAAAAGTGCCACCATTACTGCAGCCTGAGAGTTTGGCGATCTCTGGTATCTCAGTCAGGTCAATGACAGGATGACAACAGAAGAAAGAGAATGATTCCCCACAGGGCAGCAGGCAGTCCCCAGTGTAGACCCTCACTGGCACACAGAATCAGAACATGGAGATTGGTGCCGCAGACATTTGCTCACGTGTGTGCTAGAAGGACTAAGGAAAACTAGGAAGAAGGCTGTGAATTATTCAATGATGTACACTATAGCATAGGGAAAGGAAGAAAATCCTACTGCCTTTCTGGAGAGACTAAGGGAGGCATTGAGGAAGCATACCTCCCTGTCACCTGACTCTAGTGAAGGCCAACTAATCTTAAAGGATAAGTTTATCACTCAGTCAGCTGCAGACATTAGGAAAAAACTTCAAAAGTCTGTCTTAGGCCTGGAGCAAAACTTAGAAACCCTATTGAACTTGGCAACCTCGCTTTTTTATAATAGAGATCAGGAGGAGCAGGCAGAACAGGACAAACAGGATAAAAAAAAGGCCATCACTTTAGTCATGGCCCTCAGGCAAGTGGACTTTGGAGGCTCTGTAAAAGGGAAAAGCTGGGCAAATCGAATGCCTAATAGGGCTTACTTCCAGTGCGGTCTACAAGGACACTTTAAAAAAGATTGTCCAAGTAGAAGTAAGCCGCCCTCTTGTCCATGCCCCTTATGTCAAGGGAATCACTGGAAGGCCCACTGCCCCAGGGGATGAAGGTCCTCTGAGTCAGAAGACACTAACCAGATGATCCAGCAGCAGGGCTGAGGGTGCCCAGGGCAAGCGCCAGCCCATGCCATCACCCTCACAGAGCCCCAGGTATGCTTGACCATTGAGAGCCAAGAGGTTAACTGTCTCCTGGACGCCGGTGCGGCCTTCTCAGTCTTACTCTCCTGTCCCGGACAACTGTCCTCCAGATCTGTCACTATCCGAGGGGTCCTAGGACAGCCAGTCACTAGATACTTCTTCCAGCCACTAAGTTGTGACTGGGGAGCTTTACCCTTTTCACATGCTTTCCTAATTATGCCTGAAAGCCTCACTCCCTTGTTAGAGAGAGAGATTCTAGTAAAAGCAGGGGCCATTATACACCTGAACATAGGAGAAGGAACACCCATTTGTCGTCTCCTGTTTGAGGAAGGAATTAGTCCTGAAGTCTGGGCAACAGAAGGACAATATGGACAAGCAAAGAATGCCCATTTTGTCCAAGTTAAACTAAAGGATTCCACCTCCTTTCCCTATCAAAGGCAGTACCCCCTCAGACCCGAGGCCCAACAAAGACTCCAAAAGATTGTTAAGGACCTAAAAGCCCAAGGCCTAGTAAAACCATACAGTAGCCCCTGCAATACTCCAATTTTAGGAGTACAGAAACCCAAAAGACAGTGGAGGTTAGTGCAAGATCTCAGGATTATCAATGAGGCTGTTTTTCCTCTATACCCAGCTATACCTAGCCCTTATACTCTGCTTTCCCAAATACCAGAGGAAGCAGAGTGGTTTACAGTCCTGGATCTTAAGGATGCCTTTTTCTGCATCCCTGTACATCCTGACTCTCAATTCTTGTTTGCATTTGAAGATCCTTCAAACCCAACATCTCAACTCACCTGGACTGTTTTACCCCAAGGGTTCAGGGATAGTCCCCATCTATTTGGCCAGGCATTAGCCCAAGACTTGAGCCAGTTCTCATACCTGGACACTCCTGTCCTTCAGTGCATGGATGATTTACTTTTAGCTGCCCGTTCAGAAACCTTGTGCCATCAAGCCACCCAAGCGCTCTTAAATTTCCTCACTACCTGTGGCTACAAGGTTTCCAAACCAAAGGCTCAGCTCTGCTCACAGCAGGTTAAATGCTTAGGGCTAAAATTATCCAAAGTCACCAGGGCCCTCAGTGAGGAACGTATCCAGCCTATACTGGCTTATCCTTATCCCAAAACCCTAAAGCAACTAAGAGGGTTCCTTGGCATAACAGGTTTCTGCCGAATATGGATTCCCAGGTACGGCAAAATAGCCAGACCGTTATATACGCTAATTAAGGAAACTCAGAAAGCCAATACCCATTTAGTAAGATGGACACCTGAAGCAGAAGCAGCTTTCCATGCCCTAAAGAAGGCCCTAATGCAAGCCCCAGTGCTAAGCTTGCTAACGGGGCAAGACTTTTCCTCATATGTCACAAAAAACAAACAAACAAAGAAAAAAAAAAACATGAATAGCTCTAAGAGTCCTTGCGCTGGTCTGAGGGACGAGTTTGCAACCCGTGGCATACCTGAGTAAGGAAATTGATGTAGTGGCAAAGGGTCAGCCTCATTGTTTACGGGTAGTGGTGGCAGTAGCAGTCTTAGTATCTGAAGCAGTTAAAATAATACAGGGAAGAAATCTTACTGTGTGGACATCTCATGATGTGAATGGCATACTCACTGCTAAAGGAGACTTGTGGCTGTCAGACAACCATTTACTTAAATATCAGGCTCTATTACTTGAAGGGCCAATGCTGCGACTGTGCACTTGTGCAGCTCTTAACCTGGACACATTTCTTCCACACAATGAAGAAAAGATAGAACATAACTGTCAACAAGTAATTGCTCAAACCTATGCCACTCGAGGGGACCATTTAGAGGTTCCCTTGACTGATCCCAACCCTAACTTGTATACTGATGGAAGATCCTTTGTAGAAAAAGGACTTCAAAAAGTGGGGTATGCAGTAGTCAGTGATAATGGAATACTTGAAAGTAATCCCCTCACTCCAGGAACTAGTGCTCAGCTGGCAAAACTCACTCGGGCACTAGAATTAGGAGAAGGAAAAAGGGTAAATATATATACAGACTCTAAGTATGCTTACCTAGTCCTCCATGCCCATGCAGTAATATGGAGAGAAAGGGAATTCCTAACTTCTGAGGGAACACCTATCAAACATCAGGAAGCCATTAGGGAATTATTATTGGCCGTACAGAAACCTAAAGAGGTGGCAGTCTTACACTGCCGGGGTCATCAGAAAGGAAAGGAAAGGGAAATAGAAAGGAACCGCCAAGCAGATATTGAAGCCAAAAGAGCTGCAAGGCAGGACCCTCCATTAGAAATGCTTATAGAAGGACCCCTAGTATGGGGTAATCCCCTCTGGGAAACCAAGCCCCAGTATTCAGAAGAAGAAATAGAATGGGGAATCTCACGAGGACATAGTTTTCTCCCCTCAGGATGGCAAGCCACCGAACAAGGAAAAATACCTTTGCCTGCAGCTAACCAATGGAAATTACTTAAAACCACTCACCAAAACTTTCACTTATGCATTGATAGCACCCATCAGATGGCCAAATTGTTATTTACTGGACCAGGACTTTTCAAAACTCTCAAGCAGATAGTTGGGGCCTGTAAAGTGTGCCAAAGAAGTATCCCCAGGCCATACATTTGAATCCCTGTATCTTTAACCTCCTTGTTAAGTTTGTCTCTTCCAGAATTAAAGCTGTAAAACTACAAATCATTCTTCAAATGGAGCCCCAGATGCAGTCCATGACTAAGATCTACCGCGGACCCCTGGACCACCCTGACAGCCCATGCTCCAATGTTAACGACATCGAAGGCACCCCTCCTGAGGAAATCTCAACTGCACAACCCCTACTACACCCCAGGCCAGCAGGAAGCAGTTAGAGCAGTCATCGCCAACCTCCCCAACAGCACTTGGGTTTTCCTGTTGAGAGAGAGGACTGACAGACAGGACTAGCTGGATTTCCTAGGCTGACTAAGAATCCCTAAGCCTAGCTGGGAAGGTGACCACTTCCACCTTTAAACAAGGGGCTTGCAACTTAGCTCACACCCAACCAGATAGTAAGGAGAGCTCACTAAAATGCTAATTAGGCAAAAACGGAGATAAAGAAATAACCAATCATCTGTTGCCTGAGAGAACAGTGAGAGGGACAATGATTGGGATATAAACCCAGGCATTCGAGCCAGCAACGGCAACCCCCTTTGGGTCTCCTCCTTTTGTATGGGAGCTCTATTTTCACTCTATTTCACTCTATTAAATCTTTCAACTGCAAAAAAAAAAAAGCAGAAGAAAAAAAGAAAAAGAGGGCGGGACTCAATGGCTCATGACTGTAATCCCAGCACTTTGGGAGGTCGAAGTGGGCGGATCACTTGAGGTCAGGAGTTCAAGATCAGCCTGACCAATATGGCAAAACCCCGTCTCTACCAAAAATACAAAAATTAGCCAGGCGTGGCGGCAGTCTCCACAAAAAATACAAAAATTAGCTGGGCGTGGTGGCGGGCTCCTGTAATCACAGCTACTCAGGAGGCTGAGGCAGGAGAATTGCTTGAACCCGGGAGATGGAGGTTGCAGTGAGCCAACATTGCACCATTGCACTCCAGCCTAGGTGAGAAGAGTGAGATCCTGTCTCAAAACAAAAAAAAAGCTTCTGCCCTCCTCGTATCTGCCAGAGAGGAGGGCATAAATTTCCCTTGTGAAGATGTACCCTCATCCCTCCTATGAGGGAGATAAGAACGACCTCTATCACCAGAGAAGGAGACAGCACCGAGATGAGTCTGCATGGATTAAACCTTGCAAAATGACCCAATCTTTCACAACTTTCACCTGTGTGTCTACTCGCCCAGTGTCCACCCCTAGAAGCCCAAACCCCTTTTCCTTTGTCACCTCTCCGCAGTGTATTGCCCTTTGCTAAAATGGTATCTAAGCTCCCAAATCGAACCACTTGTTTGGGTCTCCACTTTCTTTGAAGGCCTCCACGCACATAAAAATTAAAATATTATCAAGTAAAATGTGTATGCCTTTTCTCCTGTGACTCTATGTTTTGTCACTTTAATTCACAGTTGCCAGCTGATATGGTTTGGCTCTGTGTCCCCACCTAAATCTCATCTTGAACTGTAGCTCCGTTAATTCCTGCGTATTGTGGGAAGGACCCAGAGGGAGCTAATTGAATCAAGCGGCTGTTGGGCGGTTTCCCCCATACTGTTCTCATGGTAGTGAATAAGTCTCACAAGATCTGATGGTTTTAAAAAGGGTTTCCGCTTTCACTTCTCTCATTCTTTCTTGCTACTGCCATGAAAGAGGTGCCTTTGCCTTCTGTCATGATTATGAGGCCTCCCCAGCCCCCTGGAACTGTGAGTCCATTAAACCTCTGTTTCTTCCCAGCCTTGGGTATGTCCTTATCAGCAGCATGAAAACAGACTAATGCATCAGCTGCTGAATGTAAGAGAGTAGAAGTGTGATATATAGATAGAAATAGATATCGATGACATAGATATATACACACAATAGGTTTCCACCCATGGTTCCTGGCTCATAACTCCCATCACCCTTCTGCGTACTCTCTTGAGTAAACAGAATCTCTCTCTCTGACCTACTCCCACTCTCCTTTCACCTTCCCATAGCCGAACTCTAGCCTGTTTGTGGGTCATAAGGCCCTCATTCCAGAAAGGGTCCTGCCGCATCCCTTGGAGGAAGGAATGCTGCAGAGAGAGGCCAAAAGAATGTGAACAGACAGGCCCTGCTGGGTTTAGACCAAACCCTTTTTGCCCAGTCTCATTTCAACACACCTGTCCACGCTGCAACGATACATATCCAATGACGTCTCCGGAACACATGGAGGTTCCTGGGGGGCCACACACCCAGGGAAGGCATGGAAGCTCCGCCCCCCTTCCCACATCCCTCGCCCTGCGCATCTTCATGGTGTGAGTTGCAATATCCTTTATCATAAGCCGGTAAACATAAACAAGTGTTTTCCTGAGAGTCATTCTAGCAAATGGATTAAACCAAAAGAAGGGATTGTGGGAACTCCAGCTTGAAGCCGGTCGGTCAGAAGTTCTGGAGGCCTGGACATGCAGATCGGTGGGAAAGTACAGGGGGTCTGTCTTGTGTAACAGAGCCCTCGCCCTGTGGGATCTGAGCTGTCTCCAAGTAGAAAATGTCAGAATGGAATTGCAGGACACCCAGCCACTGTCCAGTGCAGAGCTGAGTGCTTGCTCGGTGGTGGGGAGAACCCCACCCCTGCCAATTTGTGTTGGAGAACCCCAACCCCACCCAGAAGTCTGTGCTAGTTGTTACGGTGTTGAATGAGAGAACAGGAAAAAGCACATTGAGTGGTGAGGGGTTTTTTTTTTTTTCACACGAACAAGAGGAAATATTTTTTTCCCTTCTACTAGGAGCTGGTAAGAAAAATGGTGAACAAAGCAGACAGATCAGGGAGACAACATATTAGCCGAATAATCTCACAAATATACACAGGGTTGTAGCATCTTATCCATGGGCCATGTCTCTGCAGGCCTAGCATAAGTCATAATTCAAATAACTCCAGAACAATGTGCCATAGGAATAGAAATCTGAGGTCAGGGTAGTGCATTTGTGCCCTGTGTGCTTTGTAATCTCTTGGCCTCTGTCATCATGCGTCAGTCGGCACCAGGAGTTGTGAGGGCTGGCCAGCAAAGCACTGATCCCATCTGACTCCCCTCACCAAGATGCCCGGCCTCAGCCTCAGCCTCAGCACCACTACTGGAGAATATTGTTAGAGCTTCTGGAAGATGTTAAGTTATGATAACAATGAGTGCTACAACAACAATGCATATGCCTTAGTAATAGCCACTCTCGGAAGTTCCATAGCAAGTACAGGGTCCCCAACCCGGTGACCCCGGGCCGGGACTGTTTCTATTGACCAGTTACAGAGAGGCCACACTGGGGCAAGAGAGGAAGCCCTATTTACCACTCTTTGGAAATGCAGCTTTTTTTTTTAAATTATACTTTAAGTTCTAGGGTACATGTTCACAACGTGCAGGTTTTGAAATGCAGCTTTAAAAATGTACAGTCCTGGGAGAGACTTTTGCTTTGAGGTGTGTGTTTTGTTTTGTTTTGTTTTGTTTGGTAATTTGGGAGATTTGCATTATTTCAAAGTTTAAGCATAAAGAGAGACTTTACTAACATTTTTAGCCTATGCTATTTTAAAATCACAAAGTTTAGATTTGCATAAAACATATTCATGTTGTAATTTAAATTGCAGTCAAGGCCCTGAAGGAACTGTTGATGGAGGGAGAGAGGCCCTGGGAATCCCTGAGGAAAGGGGGTTTGTACTCAGGTGAGGGGCAGATTTTAGGCATTAAGTGGGTAGGATGAGGGGGCGTGGGGAGGACCACCTCTTGGGGCAGAGAGAATGATGGGTATCGAGGCAGCAGGGTGGGTGCCAGGGGGCCTGGGACCCCTTAGGAAGTTAAAAGAGGCTGGTACATACTGAATGCAAGGAAGTGAGAGTGAGGGGTGGTCTTAGACGAGCCCACAGAGGGGCCAGGCCCAAGCACACAGTCAAGAGTTTGCCTTTTATCTTCAGGTGTAAAAAGGAACATCAGGAAAATTGTAAAAAGAAGTTGAAATGGGCGAAGATTGTGGAGTGATCTGATTTAATAGGGCCTGAGCTGCTCTTAAGGGATTTACAACTCTAAGCTGTAGGAAGATGAGAGCAAGCAGATAGTTTGTATACCTGGAAATGCAAGTGAACTTTGGGGGAGAAGTCATCGATTTTTGCCCTGCAGATATTGACCAATTTTGCTTCTATTTGTAAATTTTTCAGCGTCCATGATGGCATATATATGCGTGTTCTTTGAGTTCTCCATTGAATCTCTTGTAACATCTTGCCCATTCCTTCATTCATGACTTAAATCCTTGGCAGGAATTTATTTAGATTTGTATGAGAACCATGATGTTATCTTTTTTAAAATCCTTTAACAAAAGGCTTTTGAGGAATTTCAAAAATTTAGGTATATGAGGAATTTAGGCATATGATTCCTGTAGAATATTTAGAAAATATTTTTAAAAGTAAGTTAAATTAAAGGGCCAATATTTAACTTTTTGTAATCTATACAAATAGCAGTTTTCTATTAGACTCAACATAAAGAAGAAAATAACAACTATTTGTAATTTCAGTAGCACCCATAGTTAAGCGTTATGAATTTTTAATGACTAACTTTTATGATTTTCTTTATTATAAAAGTGATACACAGTCATTATAGAAAAATTAGGAAAAGAAAGCAAAAAGGAGGAAAATTTTAAGACAGATTACTCATAAGACCATCGTACAGACACAAGCACTGTTACCAGCATAGCATATATTTGTTTTTTAAAAATGATTATCCTTTGGCCAGGTACAGTGGCTCATATCTGTAATCTCAGCACTTTGGGAGGCCAAGGTAAGTGGATCACTGCTTGAGGCCAGGAGTTCGAGACCAGCCTGGCCAACATACTGAAACCCCATCTCTACTAAAAATACAAAAATTATCCAGGTGTGGTGGCACACACCTGGAATCTCAGCTACTTGGGAGGCTGAAGCAGGAGAATCGCTTGAACCCAGAAGGCAGAGGTTACAGTGAGTTAAGATCATGCCGCTGCACTCCAGCCTGGGTGACAGAGCAAGACTATATCTCAAAAAAAAAAAGATTATATTTTACCTGCTGTTTGACAACCAGATGTTATTGACTTAATGTATGAGAAACCTTTGCTTCCTATCAGTAAATACATTATGTTTAGTGACTAAGTGTAATCCCATCAATTTGATAACATCACTTACAAGTAGCTTCCCACAGACGAAATTCAGTTGCTTTCAATTTCTACCATTACAATTGGTGGCGAATACCAGCATCACTGAATCAAAAAGGATACACCTAATGAATCCCTTAGAATTAGTTCTGAAAAATGCAATTGCTACCATGGAGTCAGTTTAAAAAAATCAGTGGTTATCAGGAGCTAGAGGAGAGAGAGATAAATAGGTGAAGCGCAGAGGATTTTTTAGGGCAACAAAACTATTCTGTATGATATTATAATGAGTAATGAGTGTGTGTGTGTGTGTGTGTGTGTGTGTGTGTGTGTATTTTTTTTTTTTTTTTGAGACAGAGTCTTGCTCTGTCACCCAGGCTGGAGTGCAGTGGCATGATCTCGGCTCACTACAACCTCCGCCTCCCGGGTTCAAGCGATTCTCCTGCCTCAGCCTGCCGAGCAGCTGGGACTACAGGTACGTGCCACAATGCCTAGCTAATTTTTGTATTTTCAGTAGAGATGGGGTTTCACCATATTGGCCAGGCTGGTCTCGAACTCCTGACCTCGTGATCTACCTGCCTTGGCATCCCACAGTGCTGGGATTACAGGCGTGAGCCACTGCACACAGCCATCATTTTTAACTTTGTATTGAAGTAGTAAAAGTAATTTTACATATTGAAAATCTATTTTTTCACTTCATCCACTAGGTTGAATAGTATTCACCCAAAATTCTTGTCTACCCAGAACCTCAGCATGTGACTTGATTTGGAAACAGGGTCATTGCAGATGTAATTCATTAAAGGAAGGTGAGATCACACTGGAGGATGGTGGGCCCGAATTCGATATGACTGATATCCTTATAAGAAGAGAGAAATTTGGTCACAGAGGCACTCACGGAAGGCAGACATTGTGAAGACACATAGGGAGAAGGCTGTGTAACAAAAAAGGCAGAGATTAGAACGATGGCCAGGGAAGGCCAGGAATTGCCAGCCACCACCAAAAACCAGGAAGAGGCAAGGAAGATTCATCCCTAGAGCCGTCAAAGGGAACATGGCTCTGCCAATACTTCAATATCAGACTTCTGAAATCAAGACTTCTGACCCCCAGTACTGTGGCAGAGTGCATTTCTGTTGTTTTAAGCTTTCTAATTGTGGAGCTCTTCCCAGGCAGCCCTGGGAGGCTAATATGACCACTTAACCAAGTAGCCTAAATGTTTTTCCATAAGTTTCTGTATTATTATGAAATAATTTTAAGTCACTAAACAATATTATGTTTTATGGATGTACTGCCAATTATTTAAAGAACTATTATTAAACACTAAGTTGCACCACTTTCGCTATTAGAAGCATTTTACTTGGACACCTATGTGTACTTTCATGTATTATATAGTAGAATATAATTTGTATATATAATTTTATATCCTTTTTAATTTAACACTACATTATAAACATTGTT
This sequence comes from Homo sapiens, assembly GCF_000001405.40. Taxonomy (NCBI): domain Eukaryota; kingdom Metazoa; phylum Chordata; class Mammalia; order Primates; family Hominidae; genus Homo; species Homo sapiens. Next base: position 39,733,317 of record NC_000021.9, on the reverse strand, counting down.
ACATATCCATTAAAAACCATTCATGAACATTGCTTTAATGGCTTCATAATAATATGCTACATTTATGATACAAAACATAAAATCATTTTAAATACATCATAAGAATACCCATGTGGTTAAGCATTATGTCGTTTGCCATTTTTCAATATTGCAAATAATACTGAGATGAATTTATGTATGCATAGAGGGTTATTGTTTTCTTTTATTTTGTCTTTGGTACTATATCTTTTTTTCTTTTTTCAAATACTGCATTTTAACTTTTTAATTTTTTTAATTTTATTATTATTATTTTGAGACAGGGTCTCACTCTGTCACCTAGGCTAGAGTGCAGTGGTGTGATCATGGTTCACTGCAGCCTTGACCTCCCAGGCTCAAGTGATCCTCCCACCTCACCCTCCCAAGTAGCTGCGACTACAGGCACGTGCCACCACACCCAGCTAATTTTTGTATTTTTAGTAGAGACAGGGTTTCACCATGTCACCCAGGCTGGTCTTAGACTCCTGAGCTCAAGCAATCCACCTGCTTCAGCCTCCCAAAATGCTGGGATTACAGGTATGAGCCACCACTCCCGGCTTGGAATTATATCTTAACTATATTCTTTAACTCTTTTAATTAGAATTATATGTCAAAACATTTCTCACTTTAAAATTATTGATAGAGTTAAATTAGTTTCCAGAACTATGCCAATTTACAATCCCACGTTTTGTGTCAGAGATAGCTTATTTCATCACACCTTCAACAGCAATGCTTATTGTCATTTTCATAAGGGTGGTATATTTGGGTACAAAGTTGATAAATCCCCCTATATCTAAGAATTTGCAAAACATTCTCTGTCCATTGCAGTCCTTGATTCACAAAATCCTATGAAGAAAGCAGGTTAGAACAATGTGTACTTACGGTTGCAAGAGCTGTTTTTCCCCTTGGATAGGAATGTCACATTGTCACTTAATGGTCTCATTTAAGTTATCCTGGACATCAACCATATTACTAGAGACATAATTAGCAATTTTGGTATGAGGATGAGCAGCAGAAAATTTGCCCTCTATTTAAACCACCCCAAAAATTAGTGATTTCAAATAAGAACAACCATTTATTTTGCAATCTGGGCAGGGCTCAGTGGTAATGTCCTGTCCTGCTTCACATGGGTCAGCTGGAACAGATCAGCTGGGGCTATAGGATTCACTTTCAGGGTGGCTCATTCACAAAGCTGGAAAGTCAGTCCTGGCCATTGACTAGGAGCTTGGTTCTGGCTGGGCTGAGGGTCTTACTCTCTTTGACATGGACCTCTCTGTGGGGCTGCTTGGGCTTCCTCACAGCATGGCTGCTGGATTCCGGGAGCAAATGCCCCAAGAAACAAATAAAAGCTACAAGTCTTTTGCAGCCCGAACCTAGAATTGGGCACAGTGTCACTCTATTAGTTTTCCATTGGCAAATAACAAACTATTACAAATTTCATGCCTTAAAACTATACCTATTTATTATCTCTCAGTTCCATAAAAGCCTGGGAAGGTTTGACTGGGTTCTCTTCTTAGGTAGGGTCTCATAAGGCCAACATCAAGGTGTTAGACAGATGAGTCCTTTTCTGGAAGCTCTGAGAACGATTCCACTTCCAAGCTCATTCAGTTTGTGAGCTGAATTCACTTAGGGGCTCTTCTCAGCTTCTAAAAGCTACTTGCACTGGTTGGCATGTGGCCCCTCCATTTTCAAAGGCAGCAACAATGCACCCTATTCTCCTCCTGCTTCAAATCTCAGACTTCCTTGTTTGCTGCTAGCCGGAGGAAAAACTCTGCTTTTAAAAAGTCCATGTGATTAGACTAGGCCCACTCAAATCATATCCCTTTTGCTCTAAATCACAAGAGTAATAGCGCAGCATTCCCAGACTCTCCCACACTCAAAGAGAAGGGAATATGGAAGGACATGCATCCTCAGGACTTATACCACAGCCACACCCAAGGTGCTCTATCAGCCACGCACTCACAGGGTTCAGATTCAGGGAGAGGGGACTTAGACCTCTTAATAGACCTAAAAACAAACTGCGATAAACCGACCTCTCAACAGAGAAGTGTGCAAGAAGCGATAAACCGACCTCTCAACAGAGAAGTGTGCAAGAATTGGGAGATTATCCTAGATTATCTTATAACACCACCACATCTTCAAATTACTTTGGCTGATAGGGGAGGCTATGGGGGAGTGGGAAAGGATAGCCCATGCATTCAAAGACATTCCAGACAAGCAAGCTCCCAGCCTGATGGGCCTCGGGTGTCAGCTGTCTGCCAGGGGACAGGAGACCTTGTCAGGACACTCTGGTTTGTCCATGGAGAAACAGTGGTGCTTGCTGATAGGCGAGAGGCCTTTAAAACATGCACAGTCTTTTAAAGCATTCATTTTGGGGCCTTTTGTTGGTTTCTTGGCTCTAAGCCAGGAGTTCCCATTAGTGACTATTGCATGCCCGAATAGTTGGACAAAAAGCAAACTCAAAGGGGCCTTGAACGTGAACTTCGATTTTCAAAGACAAATGAAACATGTTTTGAAAATGAATCCCAAAGCACAGAAAAGTATAAATTGCCTTCGGAACATTATTATCTAATTTACTCTATTTTATTTTTACTGGAGAATTCTCATTTTTGGCACGTCAACATGGCTTGCCACATCACAGGTGTGCATGGCCGAGAAATGACTACGCTGGCCTTTTTTGGCAATTCGTGCTATGCAAAGAGCTGGTCGTTGCTCAAGAAACGAACTCCCTGGATGTTATTGTTGGCCTTAGTCGTGGAATCTTTCTTGCTTCTGAGGATGAGAATTAAATTTACTTTGACATCAGCTATGAATATCCATCAAGCAAGCTGGTATGGGTTGAGTTGTGGCCCCCAAAAAAGACATGTTGAAGTCCAAACCCACAGTTCCTCAGAATGTGGCCTTATTTGGAGATTCTCAGGGTCTTGATAGAAGAATCAAGTTAAAACAAGGTCTGTATAGTGGGCCCTAATCCAATCCAATGTGACTAAGGACAATGTGATTGTCCTTATAAAAAGGGGCAATTTGGACTCAGAGGTAGAGGCACAGAGACAAAAGGCAATATGAAGAGACACAGGAAAAAACACCACGTTAAGACAGAGGCAGAGGCCAGAATTATGCTGCCACTAACCCAGGAACATCAGGGGATAGCAGAAGCAGGAAGAAGCAGGGAAGCATCCTTCCCTCCTAGGTTTCAGAGGGGCCATGACCCTGCCACACTTAGTTTCTAACCTACAGCTTCTGGAACCGTGAGCAAATGCCTTTCCATTGTTCTAAGCCACCAGGTTATGGTGCTTTGTTATGGCAGCCTAGGAAACTGATCCACACTGTTGGCTGGACTCACACCTCCTCCAGTTGCTCTGCCCAAGTCCTTGAAAGGCTGGGATCCCATTCACCTTTGCCGCCCTCTTTTCTCTCACGTCACACTGCTTTATTCACCTGGTGTGTTTCCTCCAAAAATCGAAACCAGGCTCAGTGGTTGTTGGGATCTTTCTGTAGTATCCCAAGACTTCAAAGGACTGCTTTTTAGGAGAGCTGTATTCCAAGTCTTGAACAGTCTTAACATTACTTCCCCTTCCTCTCTTTACTTATTTATTTGTTTATTCTGTGTATGCTCCTGGCCAAGACCTGCTGACTGATCACACTTGGATTTCTATGCTCCTCCTTTCACAGTATTCTCGCCATTCTGTAGTCCAATCGGCAATCTCCACCAGGAAGGAAACCACCTTTGCTGTCTGCTTCTTCTGAAGTCAGAGACTACAATGTGCTCCTCTTCGTGCTCTGCATAATGCCTGATCCACTGTCAAAGGCAAAGAGTGCCCCGTGAGCACCAGCTGCCATGCCCCCATATCCACTTTCCCCGATTCTATGGCAACCGCATCCCTACATTTTAGCTGGGCACAGAATGCAGACTGCATTTCCCAGCTCCTCCCCTCACCTCACCCCTTGAATCTAGGCATGGTCATGGTGGAAATTCTGATCAGTGGGATGTAAGGAGATCCTGCAGTGAAGAGAATTCTGTTCTTCTCTTTCGCTTTTCTCACCTTTCTACTGGCTGGAGAGTGGAAGTGGCGTTAAGCCACCAAAAACAACACTTGGCAGAGCAAGTAGACAGGAGGAATCTGAGCTTCTGTGGGCCCTGAGGAGCAGGACTGCCCCATATGTAGCTTTCTGTAAAGAGAAATACACGTCCATCTTGTTTAAGTCACTCATATTTTGGTCTTTGTCACAGCAGCCAAACCTAGATATCAACTAATCCAGGTGGATACATAAAGAAAAGTTGGAACCTACAGAGAAAGTAAATTATTGGGCAAAGATTGGGTCCTAGGTATTTAGAAAGAATGTAGATTTGGGGTCACAAATAGTGCAAGTCTCCCAACCTCCATCAGACTCAGTTTCCCTTCTATAAAATAGGATAATAGCAGCTACCACATGGGATGATACTAGATTAGACTTGATATGTTTGTAAAGTGCCAGGCACATAATAGGCGGTCAGAAAATGGTAAATGGAATTATGATTAACTGTATCACCAAAAAAAGAGTTCATTCAAAAACTAAAGTCTCATTTAGACAGCAGTGTCTCCCTCTTTGCACAGCGTAGAGGTTATCCTAGCTTGGGTTTCTAATAAAGAAAACTCTGGAAAAATGGATTGTGACCAGGCAGTTTATTGGAGAGGTCACCCCGGGAGCACGAGAGAGGAAGCAGAAAGAGCGAGTGCGTCATCTCCTGAGGCTGCCATGACCACCACTGGGCAGCTCAAACAACAGAAACTTGTTCTCTCACATTTCTGGAGGTTGGGAGTCCAAGATCAAGATGTGGGAAGGCCAGGCTCCCTCTGAAAAATGTAGGAGGGAATCCTTCCTGGCCTCTTCCTGGCTCAGGTATTTGTTGTCAACCTTGGCGCTCCTTGGCTTGAAGCTGCATCACTCCAATCCCTGTCTCTGTCTGACCATCACACAGTCTTTTCCCAACATATCTTCACATTGTCTTTTTATAAGGACACCAGTCATACTGGATTAAGGGCCCACCCTAATCCAGCCTAACCTCAGCTTAAGTTGATTACATCTGCAGAGACCCTATTTGCAAATAAGGTCATATTCCCAGATACCAAGGGTTGGGACGTGAACATATCTTTTTGGGGACACAATTCAACCTGTAACAGTGAGACTGGGGAGGAAAAAGCAACAATATTGCCAAGGAAACTGCTGTGAACAATGGGCGCTCCATTCTGCTTAGACATACTGAGAAGGGCACAGAAGGCTCTAGAACAGTCCCCCCAAGAAAAACAGGAGGTATGAGCCTTTACTTACCAGCATTTTTCTCTAGGAATATCAGCTCCAACAACTGTGAACTTTCCCCATTCGTGGCATGAGAGGAATCCTGATGAAGAAAGTAAAACCTTGCAGCCCGTGCTTGAAGTAAGCCTCTGTGAGCATGCAGCGACTTAACCACGGAACAGAAACACACCCCATCTCTGCTGAAATTAGAGGTTAGGCTGAGAGGGCATGAGGCAGAGCACCACATGGGTCTGCAGCAGCTCCCCCCCTCGTTCTTCTCAGATTGTTCTGTCACTAAGCCTGCAAGATCGTGGCCAGCCACCATCTCCAAATGACTCCAAAGAGAAGGCGTGGTGGACACGCCACCTGCAGCTAACCAGGGACCATGGTTGGGACGTGTCATCTCCCTCCTCCACCGCACGTCCTAGATTTCTATCAGCGCTTATGATGGTCTGGGTGACCTGCCTGAGCACTGGCTGGCCTTTTCACCGCTCAGGGTCTGAGCTCTTGGTTGCCTTGTGTTTATCAGGCTCTGATGGCTGCCCAGTCATCATTATCCCCAGACTTGGAAGCACCAGAAGAAGCCACCGACAATCTCCTCAGTCTCAGCTGTGTTTCAGTCCCCTGGTAGCAACCATAGCCCCATTGAGAGCTGGAATTATCTGTCCCCTGATGGTGGAGTAACTTCTTTCTTTGCCTGCTCGTCCACTAGTGGGCCCAAAGGGACCCAGTGATAGTCATATTTGGGTTCAACAGAACCTTTACTGTGAACCTCAGCAGAAGCTGCCCTGCTTCATCCCAGGAACCAGGATCTCTAGTCCTGTGGAATATAAGTTCTCAGGGATAGGAAGCAAAATTCTACTAGTGGGTCACTAGGAGTTACACGGAAAGCAACCAATCCTACTTCCAAGATTTGGTTTCCAGACCCGTGTGTCCTGACAATTGGTGTCAAAGCATCATAGGTAGGCTGCAGGTTCAGCACCACACTGGCTGTTGTTACAGCACTGTGGCCACCCTCGAGGCCAACCCTGGGGAGCATTGGCCCTCAGCTGGCAACTTTGCTGAGCCATCAATGGCCTTTCCATTGTTCATGTAGGCTGGCAGCTTCCAAGTCATCCATATGTGGTCAAAGCAGTGGATCCCACAGTCATGCATTCATGGCACACCTCTTTGATGATAAAATGGGTCCTTGGTTTGGGCTGATGTTATGCAGGTTTCTGTTTGAGATGTCATTCCTCCTGGAGGCCCTCAGGTAGGGGTGCTGGCAGGAGAACAGGCAGAAAAGGCAAATCTGTATTAGCAGCAGGTGTCAATTCCAGTAAGGGAAAATCACCTCCAGCTGCAATTGAAGGGGCCAGATGTAATCAACCTGCTATCAAGTGTTTGCTGGTCCCCCAGGGCTAGAAGCGTAGGACAGACACAGTGGAGGCAGCAGCTACATCAGCCTTGGTGAGGGGCATGCACCGCCTCCACCCTGCCCTGCCATCTTGGCTCCTCCATCCACAGCCACTGCCTGAGCACTGGTGACTGAGGAGAGAGGCCAGCTAACACCACCGGATGCGGCACCCAGAGGCCCTGGTGGACCCCGACATGAGACAGAGGCCTGCGTGTCTTCTGCGCACTCCAAGCAGCCCATCCACATGCCACTATCCCAGCCTTTGTAGACTCCAATCTTCCAATCTTTCTTCTCCCAGGCCTCCACTAGAGGTCTCCATCTAATTTCTGAATTTCTGGTTAATTTTTCAAAATGCTGAAATCCACAGGCTAAATCATGGAGAAAACTCTTTCAAAGTCCACACAGGAATCAAGGTCTGACTTCGTGGTCTCTCCTCCTACCCTAGCGAGTTCTGCCACCCTGCCCATGAGAGGTGAACACACATAGACCCACACACAGTTAAAACTGACAGTAATGAGAGGGGATTAGGAACCAGACAACATACCGTGGAGGAAAATCACAAGCCCCATCTCTTGTTATTCAGATGGGCAGACAGAGACTTCACACATCAACCACTCTCTGAGACGCTCCTTGACTTCGCCTCCATTGGGACCCGCAGGTTGCTGGAGCTCAGGTTCCTGAGGCCATGCTGTGTAACATCTTGCCCCAGTTTCATCTTCCAGTCCAGCCTCTGAAACTTCCATCAGTCACCCGCAGCCAAGATTTACCAAGGATTATTCTTTAACTTGATCTCTAAAACACAATTAACGGCTGTTAATTGCACACAATTAATTAGGCCTCCTCCTAAGCAGTAAGATCCGTATAATTATGAGCATGATGTGCTAGTTTTTTTTCCAGATCCACATTAAAATAAAATCCTAATAAATAAGATCAAAATTAGGTGTTTGTGTTTCCTAGAAGTACTTGTGCACCACCTGTGGGAAAAGTTGTCATCTGCTTCAAAGTCAGGTTTTATAGACTGAACCCTGCTTTGTCCCTGAAGGAGGAAACTTGTCTTCATTCGGATTTGCTGAGGTGTTTAAAAACATGGGGTTTTGGTTCACATTTCAAGACTGTCCGTAGCCCTTTTGTTTTAACCAAATCCAAGAAGAAGAAAGAGGCCCTGCTGCTTTCAAATGCTGATAACCACTCTGGGATGTCTATAATGTTAGAAGAAAAAATGGGCTTGACTTCACACAGAAAAAAGAAAAATATCTCGGTTTCATTTACATAAGCCTAGTGACATCTGAAGTGATGAACAATAAGTAGTGTTTATGAACTGCTACCATTTCCTACATTAGCCACGTTTTACAACTTTCCAAAAAATATCTAAAATATGTTTAAACATCTTGGCACTCCTACAAACAGCAGAGTTTTACATTTCAGGGTTTTACATGCCAGATGGGCAAGGCAGACTCTGTAGCAGAGCCATGGGGCAAGGGAATCCTGATCTCTATCTGGAATGGCAGGACATCACAATGGATAAATCAGGCACATTTAGCAGAGAACAGAATAGCATCCGCTTGAGTTTTACTGAACGTTGTGTGTCATTTGCCAGCACGATGAGATGGCAAATAGGTTCTTTAGCACAGCTCTCTAGGGTGTAAATACTTTGTATTGTATCAGGATTCGTTGCAGCCACAGACAATCCAAACGCATATAAAGGAAACCTCAAATAACAGATTAATGCATGTAAGGCGTTACTCTCCTGCACAAAGAAGTTGAGATGTACAGGCCTAGACTCCTTTCATCTTTCTCCTCTGCCATCCTCAGCATGAAATTTGTTCTCAATATCCTCTCCCTGCCCAGCTGGTGGCTGCAGCAAGAAGAAGGAAATCTACAAAGAATGTGATGACCAACTGATCACCCAGTGTATTAGTCCATGTTCATGCTGCTGATAAAAGACATACACAAGACTGGGCAATTTACAAAAGAAAGAGATTTGTTGGACTTACACTTTCATGTGGCTGGGGAAGCCTCACAGTCATGGCGGAAGGCAAGGAAGAGCAAGTCACATCTTACATGGATGGCAGCAGGCAAAAACAGAGAGCTTGTGCAGGGGAACTCCTCATTTAAAAACCATCAGATCTCATGAGACTTATTCACTATCACAAGAACAGCACAGGAAAGACCTCCCCCATGATTCAATTACCTCCCACAGGGTCCCTCCCACAACACGTAGGAATTCAAGATGAGATTTGGGTGGGGACACAGCCAAACCATATCACCGAGCTATAAGGAATCTTCCAAGAAGCCCACATAACACAGTAGCTAGAATTTAGTCAAATGTCTACACCTCCTGCAAAGGAAAATGAGAAATGTATTCTTTTAGCTGGGTACATTGTTGCACCAAATAAAAGTACTCATATAAAGAGGAATAAGTGAAAATATTTCCACTTAATTCTATTATTAATACAGAGATAAGAATTTTATTGTATTACTTGAAGAAACAAAAGGCATTTTATTTTATTTTATTTTATTTTATTTTATTTTATTTTATTTTATTTTATTTTATTTTATTTTTTGAGACAGGGTCTTACTCTGTTGCCCAGACTGGAGTGCAGTGGCGCAATCTTGTCTCACCACAACCTTTGCCTCCCAGGCTCAAGTGAGATGTGGCTTCACCATGTTAGCCAGGCTTGTCTTGAACTCCTGACCTCAAATGATCCACCTGCCTCAGCCTCTCAAAGTCCTGGGATTACAGGCATGAGCCACCATGCCAGGCCCAAAGGTTTTTTAGATCCAAGCAATTTGTTTAATAATTTCATGTAATCAACAGCTAATTTCTTAAAGATTCATTTCTGATTTCATATTTTTTTACAAAGAAGATGTGTGAACTTTGTACTCAAGATCCTGATTCTGGCCCTAATTGGAACAAAATTAATACTTGTGCCTTGCTTTAGGGAATACATTCTACCTTTTGACCCATAACCTTTATAGTTCTGTCAGGTCTCAGTGAGGTCAGGGTGACACGATCTGTACCACTGACCCACTCTGTGACCTCTCTGAATTCCAAGTTCCTTCTTGAAGGCAAACTCTCAGATGGTCTCAGTAATCCCTGCCTCCAGTAATCATACTCTGTGTAATTTCCTCCCTTTGAGTGGGGCTGGGACTTCTGACTTGCTTCTCTAACTCACAGATTGCAGCAAAAGTCACTTCTGTGATTCCATGGGATTGCAGCTTCCATCTTGCTAGCAGAATCTCTCTATTCCCTTCTCAGCAGGTGCACTTGGATGGTGCACATAGTCATGTTGGAGACACCCACATGGCAAGCAATCAAGACTGAGGGCAGACTCTCCTGAACAGCCAGCTAGAAACTTCAGCCCTCAGTCCAACAGCCTGCAAGAAATAAAGGCTTGCCAATAGCCATGTGAGCTTCAAAGTCCTATCCTTCCCCAGTGGAGCCTTCAGATGAGGCCCTAGCCCTCACCAGTGCCTTGATTGAAGTCTCGCAAGAAACCCTGAACAAAGGACCAACAAGTTGTGCCCAGACACCTGACTCACACCTAATAAACGTGTGATGTTTTAAGCTGCTTTTGCGGCAATTTGTTACATAGCAATAGATAACTAATGCATTTTTATAGGTAAAATGAGAATAATTCACCTATAAGGAAAAACAAGGTTAATAATACTATCTACCTCACATAGCTTTGTGAGGACTACACATATGCTTATTTGTGTTGTTGATGCTTTTGGTGATGTTGATTATGTCACATAGTAAATCATTCCAAGCTTTAAGAGCAATTATCAGAAGTCCCTGCTTTGGGGAAGCTTGTATTCTAGCAGAGAAAACAGACAAGTAAATGAATAGATAAATATATGTAAGGTGGTAGAAAGTGTTATGAAGACAAATAAGGTAGCATACAAAAGACAGAGGTAGCATACAGATAAGGTAGCATACAAAAGATACAAGGGATGAAATTTTAGTTAAATATTGTTGGTGTCGTTAGGTATATCAGACAGGATAGGCCAGCTTCTGTTTGGTAACAATCCCAAAATACTGGGGGCTTAATACAACCAAAGTTTATTTTTTACTCACATAGCATTGGTGGGTGAGGGAATTCTGCTCATCTTACTCAGACACTCAGGTTGGTAGAAGCTTCATCCTAAAACTGCTGCTGTAGGGACAGAAATGTGACAAACATGGGCTGCTCTTAAAGTTTCCCCCATAATATTTCTGCTCATATTTCAGTGTCCAAATCAAATCACATGGCAACAGCTTACTTCAACGGGGCAGAGAAGGTCATGTGCCTGGAAGGAGGAAAACCCGACGATTGGTGACAGCATGACTGAGGGTGCATTGAGTACAGCACTTGTCATGGTCTCACACTCCTGCCTTGCTCTGAGCCCTAATAAAGTGCTCTTCCCTTTGTCTCTTTTTTGTAGACCTACCATAGGCAAGCTTCTTTCACTAGCTTCCCTTTCCACTCAGTCAGTGCTTTCTAAAAACATATCTTTACAACTGATCTATATCAGAAGTCAGCTAGCCACAGCCCATGGGCAAAGTCCCACCTGGCATCCATTTTGTGTAAAGTTCCATCAGACAGAGTCATGCCTACTCACTCACATATTGTCTGTGGCTGCTTTTGTACTCAACAACTGTACTGAGGAGTTGTGACGGAGACAAAGGGACCACAAAGCTGAAAATATTTACTACCTGGCAATTTACAAAGTAAGTGTGCTCACCTTGACCCATATAACTCAGAATTTTTTTAATGGGTATGACCTTTCATTCAGTTATAGTACAGGAGAACAGTGTTCATGATAAATAGGCAGGTAGATGGATGGATGGGTGGATGGGTGGAATGGAAGGATGGATGGAAAGAAGAAAGGATAAATGGAAAAATGAATGGATGGGTGGGTGGAAGGAAGGAAGGAAGGAAGGAAGGAAGGAAGGAAGGAAGGAAGGAAGGAAGGGACAGATGGCCAGGTTTGGTGTCATCATGGCCAGGCTCTAGTCCCCAATTATTCAATCAAACACTAATAAGGGTGTTTCTGGGAAGGCATTCTGTAGATGTGATTAACATTAATTTGATTTGAAGTAAAAGAGATTATCCAGATAGTCTGAGTGGGCTTGATCCAATCAGTTGAACAGCTTTAAGAGCAGAAAGGAGGCTTCCCAGAAAAAGCAGGACTTCCGCCTGAACTTGCACTGGTGCCGAGTTCCAGCACCCCTTCTTGGTTTTCTGTTTTACAGATTTCAGAATTGCCTGGGTGGAACGATTGCTTTCCTGTGCCAGGTACTTTGTAGGGGGCTGTACCTACAGTCTCATTCAATCAGCCTTACAATGATAAGAGGTGGGTATTATTATACTCACTTTACCGGGACTAAACGGAAGCTATAAAGATCTCACGATATTGCCAAGAGTCATGCTATTGCTATTGGGAGGCCACGAGTTTTGTCTTTAACATTGACTTCAGAGTCTCCCTGTATTCTTCTCACTCTACTGTGTCATCTTTTAATTCAAATATTTATGATAAAGTTTATAAGATGCTTCACTAATTTAATCTCCCATTTGGAAAACTTTTCTTTCAATGAAAGATATGGTTTAAAATGTCTCGTTCTACAGGTTAAGTTACTTCCACCTGCAGTTCAATCCACCAGCCACGTGACATAAGGCTGTGTTCTCTTTGGGTGGCTGTGGTTGGTTTTGTTTGTTTTGTTTTGAAGTATCTGATTTTTTGTTGTTGTTAAATAAAATTATTTTAGAGTAGTTTTAGATTCACAAAAAAAGTAATATGATCATACAGAGAATTCCCATGTACCCCCACTCACAGTTCCCCTGTTATTAACATCTTACCTTAGTATGGTAAACATGTCACAATTGATGAGAACCAATATTGACACATGAATATTAACCAAAGTCCATACTTTATTCAGATTTATTCGCTCAGTTTTTCCCTAATGCCCTTTTCCTCTCTTGAATTCCATCCAGGACACCACATTAGACTAGTCATCATGTCTTCTTATGCTCTACTTGGCTGTAACTTCTCTGGCCTTTTTGTTTCTGGCCACTAGGACAGTTATGAGCAGTACTGGTCAAGTTTCCTGTTGAATGTTTCTCAATTGAGATTTGTCTGATGTTTTTCACGTACCATACTTATGTAAGATGTTAATTATGGGGGAAATTGGGTATGGAGTATATGGGAACCTTCTATTCCAGGGGTCCCCAACCCCTGGGCCATAAACTGGTCCTGGTCTGTGGCCCGTTAGGAACTGCTCTTCACAGCAGGAGGTGAGTGGCTGGTGAATAAGCAAAGCTTCATCTGTATTTATAGCCACTCCACATTGCTCACATTACTGCCTGAGCTCAGCCTCCTGTCAGATCAGTGGTGGCATCAGACTCTCATAGAAGTGTGAACCCTATTGTGAACTGTGCGTGAGAGGCATCTAGGTTGTGTGCTTCTTATAAGAATCTAGTGCCTGATGATCTGAGGTGGAACAGTTTTATCCTGAAACCGTCTCCCTCACCTCAGGTCTGTGGAAAAATTGTCTTCCATGAAAATGATTCCTGGTGTCAAAAAGGTTGGGGACTGCTGATCTATACTATATTCACAATGTTTCTGTATGTATAAAACTATTCTAAAGGAAAAAGGTTATTTTTAAAAAGTCTAAGACAAAAAAAGTTTAATCAAAAGCTAAATCATGAAGATGTTTCCACATGTCGAATTGCCAAGGATTGCTTCGTGACTATGAGAATAACGCTTGGCCCAGGGTGTTGCCAGTGGAAATGACTCCCTATCAGCCTCACTAACCTCAGTGGCTGGAGCACAGAGCAGGCCCTATGGCATGGCGGGAAGAACACATGAACACCAAGCCAAATAGATTGTTTTATGTGGTCTACATGTAATACCTGTAGGAAAATATTTTAGGGACCAGTGACCCTTAGTGAGAGTGGTGTGATGTGCAGCAGTGTTAAGTCGTATTGGTGTATATTGCATGCACAGGAATCTATGGATTCTAGTTCCTGTCTGTTTCTTCTGTCTCTCCTCATATCAATTACTGCTGATCAATTATCAGCCTGAACAAGACCTGGAAGAGAACCTGCCACCACGCTGGCAAAGAGAGCCTAGGGATTCATCATATGCCTGACCTGATCCAGAGGAAGCCTCCAAGGAAATGAGGTCACCTCCAGAACATGATTTACAACACAGGCACCCCCTACACCCATTCACTCTTTCAACACACAGAGAGCACATATCATGTATCAGATACTGGTTTTGGTGCCTTGAGGATGTGAAACAGACATGGCTTCTGCCCTCATGGAGCTTACAGTCAGGTGGAAGAAAAGTGCAATAAAAAGCACACACCTGTAGCCCCAGCTACACGGGAGGCTGAGGCAGGAGGATTGCTTGAGCCCAGGAGTGCAAGACCAGCCTGGGCAACATAGCAAGAGCTTCTTTCAACACAAAAAGAAGGAAAGAAAGAAATACAGAAATTTTCATTTGACCTCTATGCACACAAACTAGAAAACCTAGAAGAGATGGATAAATTCCTGGACACATACACCCTCCCAAGATTGGGCCAGGAAGAAATGGATTCCGGGAACAGACCAATAAGGAGCTGCAAAACTGAATCAGTAATAAATAGCCTGCTAATCAAAAAAAGCCCAGGATGTGATGAATTCAGAGCCCAATTCTACCAGATGTACAAAGAAGAGCTGGTACCACTCCTACAGAAACTATTCCAAAAAATTGAGGAAGAAGATTTCTCCCCAACTCATTCTATGAGGCCAGCATCATATTGATACCAAAATCTGGCACAGACACAACAAAAAAAGAAAACTTCAGGCCAATACCCTTGATAAACATCCATGCAAAAATCTTCAACAAAGTACTTGCAAACCGAATCCAGCAGCACATCAAAAAGTTAATCCACCACAAACAAGTAGGCTTCATCCCCAGGATGCAAGCCTGGTTCAACATATGAAAATCAATAAATGTGATTCATCACATAAATAGAACTAAAGACAAAAACCATATGATTATCTCAACAAATGCAGAAAAGGCTTTTGATAAAATTCAACATCCATTTGTGTTAAAAACTCTCAATAAACGAGGTATTGAAGGAATATACCTCAAAATAATAAGAACCATCTATGACAAACCCACAGCCAACATTATACCGAATGGGCAAAAGCTGGAAGCATTCCCCTTGAAAATCAGCACAAGACAAGAATACCCTCTCTCACCACTTCCATTCAGCATAGTATTGGAAGTCCTAACCAGAGCAATCAGTCAAGAGAAAGAAAGAAAGGGTATCCAAATAGGAAGAGAGGAAGTCAAACTTATCTCTTTTTGTAGATGACATGGTTTTATACATAGAAAACCCTATAGTTTCAGCCCCAAAGCTTCTTCAGCTGATAAACAACTTCAGCAAAGTTGCAAGATATAAAATCAATGTACAAAAATCACTAGCATTCCTATACACCAGGAACAACCAAACTGAGAGCCAAATCAGAAAGGCAATCCCACTCTCAATTGTGACACACACAAAAAAAAAATACCCAGGAATACAGCTAACCAGGGATGTGAAAGATCTCTACAATGAGAATTATAAAAGAATTACTGCTCAAAGAAATCAGAACAGACACAAACAAATGGAAAAACACTGCATGCTCATGGATTAGATGAATCAATATCATTAAAATGGCTATACCACCCAAAGCAATTTACAGATTCAATGTTATTCCTATAAAAGTACCAATGACATTCTTCACAGAACTAGAAAAAAATATTTTAAAACTTATATGGAACCAAAAAAGAGCCCAAATAGTCAAGGCAATCTAAGCAAAAAGAACAAATCTGGAGGAATTATGTTACCTGATTTCAAACTATACTACAAGGCTACAGTGTCCAAAATAGCATGGTACTGGTACAAAAACAGGCATATAGACCAATGGAACAGAATAGAGAGCCCAGAAATAAGGCTGCACATCTACGACCATCTGATCTTTGACAAAGTTGACAAAAGCAAGCAATGCGGAAAAGACTCCCTACTCAATAAGTGGTGCTGGGACAACTGGCTAGCCATATGCAGAAGATTGAAGCTGGACCCCTTCCTTACACCATATACACAAATCAGCTCAAGATGGATTGAAGACTTAAATGTAAAACCCAAAACTATAAGAACCTTGGAAGACAACCTAGGCAATACCATCTTGGACCTAGGAACAGGCAGATTTCATGACAAAGACACCAAAAGCAATCACAACAAATGCAAAAATTGACAAATGGTATCTAATTAAACTTAAGACCTTCTGCACAGCAAAAGAAACTATCAACAGAGTAAACATACAGCCTGCAAAATGGGAAAAACTATTTGCAAACTATGCATCTGACAAAGGTCTAATATCCAGCATCTGTAAGGAACTTAAATTTACAAGAGAAAAACAATCCTATTAAAAAGTGGGCATAAGACATAAACAGACACTTCTCAACAGAAGACATACATGCGTCCAAGAAGCATATGAAAAAAAGCTCAATATCACTGATCATGAGAGAAATACAAATCAAAACCACAGTGAGATACCATCTCACACAAGTCAGAATGGCTATTACTAAAAAGTCAAAAAAATAACAGATAATGGCTAGGTTGCAGAGAAAAGGGAATTCTTATACACTGTTAGTGGGAGTGTAAATTAGTTCAACCATTGTGAAAAGCAGTGTGGTGATTCCTCAAAAAGCTAAAAGCAGAACTAGCATTTGACCAAGCAATCCCATTAATGGGTAAATACCCAGAGGAATATAAATAATTCTGCCATAAAGACGCATGCACATAAATGTTCATTGCAGCACTGTTCACCATAGCAAAGACATAGAATCAACCTAAATGCCCATCAGTGACAGACTGGATAAAGAAAATGTGGTACATATACACCATAGAATATTATGCAACCATAAAGAAGAACAAGATCATGTGTTTCGCTGGAACACAGATGGAGCTGGAGGCTATCATCCTTAGCAAACTAATGCAGGAACAGAAAACCAAATACTGCATTTTCTCACTTACAAGCGGGAGCTAAATGATAAGAACTTACGAACACAAAGAAGGAAACAGCAGACAGTGGGGTCTGCTTGAGCGGAGAGGGTGGGAGGAGAGAGAGGAGCAGAAAAGATAACTATTGGGTACTGGGCTTAATATCTGGGTGATGTAAAAATAGGTACAACAAGCCCCCATGACACGTGTTTATCTACGTAAAAAACCTTCACATGTACCCCCAAACCTAAAATAAATTTTTTTAAAAAAAGAAAAAAAAATTCTCGTTTTTAGAGTGGCTAGTAACAAAATGAAAATAAAATAAATCACACAAACAAATGAGTCTAAGCTGTGGTAAGGGGTGGGGACTTATGGTTGGACCCCACCTGTGCGGTGTTTGTATTAGGGGAGGGACGAGTCATGAGGGAGGGCACTTTCAGGCTGGATGATGCCTCCTCCGCAGTGGTGCAACTAAGCACTGAGACAGGTACTCACTGCGGGCTCTAGTGCACGACCCTCCTGACACCCTCTTGGGAAATGAGTGCATGGGAGCCCCCACAGTTTCCAGGTTCCTACAATTATCAGTGTGGATTGAAATGGTTTCCTTCATTGTAACCGCCAGGTGGCACTGCAGGGTGATATACTGAATGAGAAAGACTTCCTATAAAATTTTACTTTAATAACATCCCCGGGTTGGTTCCCTCCCCAGCCACCCCCCCACACACACCCACATTTCATTTGATTCAGTGAGGTTGGGTAACTCAGTAATCCGGTGAATTCTCACCCTAAAGTTGGAAGAAGACTGTAAATTATGCTAATTATAAAGCCCGTGAATGATCATCTTCCAGCCATATTTTCTTCTTGCATAAAATGAAATTGTATTTATACTTCCATAATCCAAGCTAAAATTAGCCATAACACTCTGTGTACTATACAAGAGCAAGGATCTATTTTCTTATTTGTTTACAACGTATCCTCAGAATCTAGGACACTACCTGTCATGGATAAGCACTCAATGGAAAATAAATGGATGAAGGAATGAAGGAGTGCTAGAGATGATTATTAAGAAAATAAATACGTGGACCTCCATAACTTGGACTAAAACTAAGTTGGAATGCTATGGCTCAGATGAAAACAAAAGCATGTATTTACATTTAGAAAGAGGCCTTTATAGCATAAGAAATTATTAACTGGGCTGGTCATGGTGGCTCATACCCACAATCCCATCACTTTGGGAGCTTGAGGCAGGAGGATTACTTGAGCCCAGGAGTCCAAGACCAGCCTGAGCAACATGGTGAAACCCCATCTCTACTAAAAATACAAAAAATTAGCTGGGCATGGTGGCATGCACCTGTAGTCCCAGCTACTTGCAAGGCTGAGGCAGGAGGATCACCTGAGCCAGGGAGGTGGAGTTTGCAGTTAGCTGAGATGACGCCACTGCATTCCAGCCTGGGTGACAGAGTGAGACTTCATATCAAAAGAAAGAAAAGAAAAGAAAGAAAGGAAGAGAAGGGAAGGGAGATGAGAAAGAAAGAAAAGAAAGAAAGAACGAAAGAAAGAAAAGGAAAGGAAAGGGAGAAAAAAGGAAGGAAGGAAGGAAGGAAGAGTCCTGGCCCAGGCCCATCAGGCCCGTAGACTCACCCAGTGGGTGCTTCCCCATCCACCATGTGTAATTGGGGTGGGCACACTTGACAGTTGGTAGAACCCACAAGTTATGGGCTGAATTGAGTCTTCCCCCAAACAAAATTATATATCGGAGTCCTGATGTTCAGTACCTCAGAATGTGAACTTATTTGAAAAAAGGGTCATTGCAGATGTAATGAGTTAAGATAAGGTCACTAGGGTGAGCCCTAACCCATGTGCCTGGTGTCCTTATAAAACAGAAATTTACACACAGACACACACACACAAGAAGGATACCACGTGAAGAAGAAGGCACAGACCCCAGTGATGCTTCTATAAGCCAAAGCTCACCAGCAGCTGCAGCAACCAGCAGAAGCTGTGGGAGAGCCTGGAGTAGATCTCCTCTTGTGACCTCAGAGGAGCCAGCCCTCAGGCTTCTGGCCTCCAGGACTGAGACAATACATTTCTTATGTTTAAGCCACCCAGTGTGTGATACTTATTATGTCAGCCCTAGTAAACAAATACACCATGTATAGATTCCTTGTTCTGCAGAGTAAGAGCTATCACAGTGGGGTAAGCCAAGCAAAAACTTATGTTTGCCTTCAGGCCAAGACAGTAAATCAAAAACAATATTGTATCCCAAGGGAAACAGTAGATGCAAGGGAAGCAAGGCCAATGGATTCCATCATATCCCTTTTTCATTCACTAATCAGGCTGCTTCCAAGCCACAGACATCTTAGAAGGTGAAAGTGAAGTACTGCAAACTCACCTAAGTGTAGTCCCAAGCACAGCTGCTGAGCCCATGTAGAACTTTTTCTAGAGCCAGTGACCATAGACAAGGCACACAGCCAAGCAACCGATGAATGCGGTTTCTCCTCTTTATCAGCAGAGAGGAGTAGGAGCAGCTCGCGCTCACGTGGGATGGATAGCAGTACTCATTCACAGCTCTTCCCAGGGCGATGTTAATTCTCCAGCTCTCTGTCAGGATACAGGCTGAAAAGACCGGGACCTTGTGGACATTCCACAGTGCATCATGTTGGTCCACTATGTGGACACATTAAGGCTGAATGAACAAAATGCAACAAGTATGTTGCCAGGAGGTGGGAAGAAAGATAAGAGAGAAACCCTATGAAGATCAGGAACCCCATAGATCAGTATGTTTGTAAGGATCCAGTGGTCTGGGGCTTGCTGGGACATTCCCTCTAAAGTAAAACATAAAATTATTGCACCTTACACCTCCCACCTTTAAGAAGGAAGCACAAGGCCCAGCAGACTTCTCTGGATTCTGGAGGCAGCATTTCCCACCCTTGGGAACATTGCTGAAACACACTTATCCTGCGACATGAAAGATGCCAGTTTTGCATGAGACCCAGAGAAGGAAGAGCAGGGCAGCAGGTCCAGGCTGAGGTGCAAGTGTCCCTGCTGTTGGGCCCATACAGCCCGGCAGGCCCTAGTGGGAAAAGACACCAGGTGGCAGTTAAGACAAGTCTCAACAGGAGAATCACAGCACAGACCCTTAGGTCTAGAGCAAGCTCACATCATTAGCAGCAGAAAAATATGCACTATTTGAAAAAAGCTTTGTCCTGCTACCTAACCATGGCAACAAGGACCATGCAGCCAGCCCACCATGACCTGGGTTCAGGTCAGGACCCCCTAACTCATAAGGTCAGACAAGCAATCTGCAAATAATTCTCATGATGGAGCACCAGTAGGGCCAGAAGGCACTTGTAAGTTGCAGTGGCAGGTGTCCGAGACACTCTCCCACACCCAGCCCTGCCTGTCATCCACCACTTCTAACCAGTGCTTTCCCTTCAGTTAACTCCTGTGACCACACGGTGGCAGGGAAAGGGGCTTGTCCCTTTTTACCTGCTGAGCAGGGAGGGAAATGCTTGGTTCACAGATGGCAGATGGGTAAACTTGCTACATGGTACTAGCTGAAAATGGACTATTCCTGCACTACAGCCCCTGATAATTCAGGGTGCCCCTGAAAGACGTAATGAGGGACTTCTTCCCAATGTCATCTACTTGGAGCGGAAACAAAAGTGGCCCGAGGTTAAAACACATATAGATTCACTGGCAGTGGTGAATGGCTTGGCTGGTTGTTGAGTGACTTACAAGAAGAAAAATTCAAAGTTTGGGACAAGGAGGCCTGTGAATGGTCCTGTCAGGATGAGCATTAAACATAAAGATGGTCATGTTCTATGTTAGTTTCCCCAAGACAGCATTCACCGTGGAAGAGACATCAAACAACAAGGAGGGAGAATGACTCAGCCAGCCGAGGTTCAGCCCTCCTCACTCACTGCTCACTCCAGTAGTGGCCCAATGAACCCATGAACGAAGCAGCTGTGGTGACAGGGAAGGAGGCTATGCATGGACCCAACAGCATGGTCTCCAACTCACCAAGGCTGATCTAGCTACTAAATACCCAACCTGCAAGCCACAGAGAACAACCCTGAGCCCCCAGTATGGCACAATCACTCAGAGACCAACCAGCCAGTCTGGAAGGGAATGATTCTGCTTGACAGGAATTAACTCATATCCTGGTGGGAGTTTGGCTTTCCTTTCCACAGAACTTCAGGCACCATCACTATCCGAGGGTTTACAAAACGTCTGGTCCACCCACGTGAATCCTGCACGACTTGCCTTTGGACCCAGGGACCCGCTTCACAGCAAAAGAAGTTTGACAGCGTGCAAGTGAGCATGGGTTCACCAGTCCTATCACATCCCGCACTGCCCTGGAGCTTCTGTCCTGATAGCTCAAAGAAGCTACCCTTTGAGGATACAGCTTGGAGATAATCTCCTGCAAGGATGGGGCACTACACTCCAAGATGCAATATTCTCTTGAAATCAATAACAAAGGCATGGTATTGTGTCCCCAGAAGGTCTACCATGAGTATGGGATTCAGTGGCTGGAAGGAGTGCTGCCCTACTTATGATTGCTCCCAGTGGCTCACTTAGAGAACTGTGCTTCCCATCGTTGCAGCTCCCCAGAGGGGGACTTTTCCCACTAAGGGACACAGCGAGAGTCTCATTACACATTAAGCTGGGACTGCCTCCCTGACACTTCAGGCTTCTTTTGCCATACAACCAGCAGCAAGAAAAGGTGTCACCATCTGAAAGGATTAATTGGCCCTAATCATTAAAAAAGAGGCTTCTGGTGGGGTGCAGTGGCTCACGCCTGTAATCTCAGCACTTTGGGAGACTGAGGTGGGCAGATCACAAGGTCGAGAGATCGAGACCATCTTGGCCAACATGGTGAAACTCTGCCTCTACTAAAAATACAAAAATCAGCTGGGCATGGTGGGGCGCACCTAAAGTCCCAGCTACTCGGGAGACTGAGACAGGAGAATCGCTTGAATCCGGGAGGTGGAAGTTCCAGTGAGCCGAGAGATCGCACCACTGCACTCCAGCCTGGCGACAGAGTGAGACCCGTCTCAAAAAAAAAAAAAAAAGAGCCTGCCGTTGCACATGGAAGGAAGGAAGAACACCTTCAGCACCCACATGATCCACGGAGGTGTTTATTAGTCCTTGCTGACTGAATATTGATAACAAATGGAGGGCACCTCAGTCGTGAACCAAGGAAGGTATGGTGAGCAGAGGAAGGAGACCCCGAGGGATGAGAGTCTGGGCAGCCCCCACCCTGGACCATCAAAGTCTAAGTCTAGCAGTGCTAGCTGGGGGTGAGGAGAATCAAGACTGGGTAGTAGATGCGGGAGGTCATGAGTATCTGTCATTGTCCCAAGATCACTTCAGCACAGAGACATCAGTTTGTCTCAATAACCTTTCCATTGTAGGTTTATCCAGGAAGAGACCAACCAAGTCCCAGACGAGCTCTGCCCACATCAAGCGAGCTTCTGGAACGTGGCGGAATGCTGCAGGTGGACTGCAGTGGTTCTGTGGTATGTTGGCCAACTCCTGCCCTCAGTTCAGGGTGCGCATTCCTCAGACGCCAGGGGTAGCCTGCATCCAGTGACTGCATCCAGTGATGCTAGGATACAAAGACCCAGTCCCAAAACTTTAATTCAAGGCATCTCTGAAATGCCACCCAAGCTTCAAAGCTCTCCGTGAGATCAGCTGAGGCCTCAGTTGCATCCCTATTGCACTTTAATTTCTCCTGCGGCATCCTGCTCCCTCCCTCCCACACAGGGGCTGTTCCTCAGAGCCATTCCCAGTCACCACCTGCATGCACATCTCCATCTCAGAGTCTGTTTCCTGGGAATCCTGACCCAGGGCAATGTCTGAAGCCCAGACTCTGGAGACATGGGGCTATGAAGGAGCATGAGGGTGAAAGTTCAGGCTCAGACCTGAGATACATTCTCTCTACCATAGGACCCAATGCATAAAGCTGATAGCTGGATGTCTAACTGACTCTACTTTGCAGTTTTCAGCCATTCAGAAGGGAAATGCACCTTAAAAATCCCAGCACTCCCGATTCCCTCATTTACTAGTTGTGCAATCTTAACGAAGCTACTTGACTTTTCTGAGCTTCTCATCTAAAACAATGAAATAACAATCATTAACCACCCATTCAGTTGTAATTATTAAACGGTCTAATCAGTGTCAGTTACTTAGCACAGTGCCTGGCATATTGCTAAAGTCCCTGAAGTGTCAATCCATTATCCTCGGGTGGGCAACAGATGGAACATCCCTTATTTTTACATGCTGAGTATGTCTGAATTTAATTTCTATCTCAAGCTCTCCTCACGTCTTCTTAGAAGAATGTTCAACATTGATAACTGAAGGTCAACTCCGTTCTCTGGGTCAATTCAGCCAACCAGGGGTTAATTGCCTCCTACCTCATGCTCAGGGTGGCATCCGGTTGCCATCGGCCTTAGATAGCATCTAGGTGTGAGAGGGATCGTCTGTGGCTCAGGTGTCATCACGAGCCAGTCTCCACTGGGACACATGATGCCTGTCTGGGTCTTGGCCAGCGTCACCTTGAGGCGTCTGCCTTCTCTCTGGTTTCTGATGGTTTTGTCAGAGGAGTTTGAAGCAGAGCACCTCCATCTTGAATAGAAGCTGGGTAAAATAAGGATGAGACCTACTGGGCTGCATTCCCCGGAGGTTAAGCCATTCTTAGTCACAGGATGACATAGGAGGTCAGCAGAAGATATAGGTCATAACAACCTTGCTGATAAAAGAGGTTGCAGTAAAGAAGCTGGCCAAACCCACCAAAACCAAGATGGCAACGGAAGAGACCTCTGGTCGTCCTCACTGCTACACTCCCATCAGCACCATGACAGTTTACAAATGTCATGGCAACGTCAAAAAGTTATCCTATATGGTCTAAAATGGGGAGGCATGAATAATGCACCCCTTGTTTGGCATATCATCAAGAAATAACCATAAACATGGGCAACCAGCAGCCCCTTTCACTTTACTGCATGGACTCGCCCTGAATTCCTTCTTGCACGAGATCCAAGAACCTTCTCTTGGGATCTGGATTGGGACTCCTTTCCAGTAACATCTTGGACTGTTGCTTCCCCAGAGTGGATTCCCTGGTAAAGAAACGAGGTTTTCAAGCTGATGAGCTCTGCCAGAGTAAACGTGATAAACATAGTAAACTGTGAGATTTGAACCACACTTTTAGGCTTCCTAGTTTTAGATTTTTCATTTGGTCAAGTGACTTCCTCCTCACAGGTTGTGTAGATGGAAGAGACAAGGAAGGAAGTCAGCCACCCTGTGGAGTAGCCAGGACTCACCATGTGTAAGCCATGACCCCATGCTGAGCTTCTGGCCCAAGGCAAGTGCTCCCAATATTTAGGGCCTGGCAACGCTCATTGCATTGTTTTGTATTAATAGATAAGCTTAGAAAAGTCAAGTTGTTTCCTTTACATTACTCAACTAGTAAATGGGGAAACTGGGTGCATTGGAATTGCTTAGATGCATTTCCCTTCTGAATTTTTAAAGACTGAAAACCAAAGAGTAGGGTCAGCTACTAGGTTTTGTTGATGTGGTTTATTTCAATTGACATTATTTCATTATGAATATTTCAAGACATATTGCTTTCCTAAGACCCTACACCTCCATCTGGCCACAGACACCAGATGGGAAGTGGACCTTTTCTACGTTAGAATGCAGGAGTGAATACACCTCAATTCTAAATGTGCACTTATGATGACACTGGGCTATGATGACACTGGTGTCTTAAAGTGATGCAAATTTCAGCATTAGCTACGAACCCCACCTGCCACCCAGCATCCTCTGTTGGCACTGCAGGTGGATGTGTGGTAGGGGCTTAGATATATCTCTTGGTGTCATAGAAGCGTGGCCAGCCAGCAATTAATTTAGTGTCCACCAGAGTTTTCCCTGGTCTTGCCATCTAGCTTGCCCATGTATTCTGAACCTGGGAACTGTGCAAATCATGCTTTATTTTTTTCACAGGGCACTTTAGTTCTTGGCTTCAACTGCTTTCTAGTTATGTTGATAAATTTCTCTTAAGACATGGACATCAATTTGTGATTTTTAAGGTAAACTTCTGCTCCTATTTTATGTCTCTCCAGGTCATTTGCATTATCAGTAAAGCAGTGAGTTTTAAGGGTTGATGTTACTCAACTAGCTGGTATTGAGCTTAGAACTTAAACCCACAGTGCAGACTTGTGAACACGTGTGAAGCACATTATGTTTAAATGGAGATGTTTCACTTCTTTTCCCTGAGCTGCCTTTCTTCCCCTTCTTTTCTTTAAACTTCTTGACAGAGTCATCTGCATTTCTACTTCTGTTACTTTATCTATTTATTTTTAAAATTATTATTATTAATTACACTTATAATACATTGAAAATACAGTCTCACGGTATAAAATTCAGACACTTTACATAAAACTGAAGTCGTTTTTGCTCACCACTCACAATATAATAGCTAACATTTGTGGAGTTTTTAGTCTATGCAAGCCTCCTAGAAGCACTTTCTGATTATTTTTTTTTTTACTTTGCTCAATGGTTTTATAACACATAGGTAATGTTATTTTATCCTTATGTTAGAGATGAGGAATTTAAGGCCCAAATAAATGAAATAACTTGCACGAAGTCACACAGTAGAAGGCAAAGCTTGGATTTGAGCCCCAGGAAGTTTATGACAAAGACTGTCCTTTTCAAAAAAAAAAAATTTCAACTTTTATTTTAGGTGCAGGGGGTACATGTGCAGGTTTGTTATATGGGTATATTGTGTGATGCTGACATTTGGGGCACAAATCCTATCACCCAGGTAGTGAGCATAGCAGCTGATTGCTTTTGAGCCCTTGCTCCCCTCCATCCCCCCTAAATAGTCCTGAAACTGCCTTTGCAAAAATTATATCAGGAGAGCAATTATAACAGTGAGCTGAGCTAACCCACCACCCATCTTGCCTTTCCCTTAATTATTCCTGGGCTACTGGGCTGAGCTAACTTTGAAAGACATTTAGGCTATCATTTAAATGATAAGAAGCCTTGCCCAGAACTCAATCACTTTTGTAAAGCTAATAGCAGGCCATTAGGCTGTGGGGAGGAAAGGAGCCTGAGACCTGCTAAGGTACAGACAGAAACGATTACCAGCCATTATTCCAGAGGTTAGAAACTATGCAACTTCCTCAATTACTCCTGCAAATAACATCACTATTGTAGCTTGGCCTTTTGAGATATCTTTTCAGATTTTTTGCAAGTCTGACACCCATGACACCACCTAGACCCACCAACCCCACTCCTGTGGCCCCCACACATAAGTGATTCAGCATGCAGGAGGACAGCTAGCAAGAGGCCAAGACCTACAGAACAACCACCACCAGTCCTCTGTCAGCAGGAAGCAGTTATAGAAGACTAACCATCTTTCCCCCAAAGAATTGGGATCTTGGACTCTTAAGGGGGGGATGTTTTATGGTAGGTAGTTAGTCACACATGAGCAGGGCAGGAGAGGGCCCCCACAACCAAGAATGTCAGGTGACCATCAGGTGATGGTTAGGTGGTTGTTAAACTGTCTCTCTAAAATAATATAATAATTAGTCACAACTGGCACCAGGGAAAGGCAGTCTCCCAACAGAAACACCTGAAACTGGTGATCAGCAGCTCCCCAGTAAGATCTCAGGAGTTGGGCAAGTGGGCTCAAGCATGCACAATAAGAGGAAAAATGGCAGAGCTTAATTGCTATATGACCTTCCTCTACGAACATTCAACTGGCAAAGGGAAAAATGCCTCAAGTGAACATGTGTACGACTTCAGTAAACACACTGCAAATACAGCCCCTCCCAAGGGCTGGGAGACCACTGCTCATGTGGACAGCACACCCCAAGTGAAGAACTAGGGGAGAAGGGACACAACACCCTGGAAGCATGCCAAGGTATAAAACCCCAAGTCAAAAGTCAAACAGTGCACTTGACCTCTCAAGTGACCTGTTTGCCTGTCTTCCAAGTGTACTTGACTTCCTTTCATTCCTGCTCTAAAACTGTTTAATGAGCTTTCATTCCTGCTCTAAAAAACTTGCCTTGGTCTCTCCCTCTGCCTTATGCCCCTCAGTCAAATTCTTTCTTCTGAGGAGTCAAGAACTGAAGTGGCTGCAGAACCATACAGATTCACTGCTGCTAACATTTCTTTATGCAGCAGGCAGGAAGATCCCATCAGGTGGTTACAGTCCTCAGTATCAAACGTTGCCATCTTTATGTCCATCTGTACCCAATGGGAAAATAAACCGTTATACCAAAAAGACATCATGCATTTGTATTTTCATCACAGCAGTATTCATAATAGCTGTGTCTTAACAAAAGAAGACATTTGACCCCCCGACTCCTGCCCCAAATCGTTGTCCCTTCCTTACAGGGTCACTTAAAATAATCACATGGTATGATTCTCTTCAGACCATTCCCTCCACATTTAGATAAATTTATAAAATATAGAGCTTTATTACAACTTACATTTTTTTTCTCCCAAGGGCATTCCATCTAATTCTTTGTAAATACTGCAGAGGGCTCCACAACACAGATGTACAATATCTGGGGTATTTAGTCTTCCCCTACTGATGGACATTTAAAACCTGTTTTTATCATTAAAAATAATGCTTTAGAATATCACTGCTCATACCTCCATGCACATGCACAGCATTTCAGCATTTCATGTGATATCAGGGTAGGCACCAAGGTCTGGAACTGCACATCAAAATGTGTCTAGTTTAATAGAGCCTTTTTTTTTTTTTTTTTTTTGCTTCCTGGGCATCTGCTTGGGACCCTGTCCTCTTCCCACTCCACTGTAGGGTAAGATTAAACTTTTCTAGGATTCTTATTAATGAAATTATATAGCATGGATACTTTTATATCTGGCTTCTTTTGGTTAGCATAATATTTTTGAGATTTATCCACGTTGCTTGTATCATTAGTTTGTTCATTTTGCATTGGTAAGCAGCATTTCATTGGGTGAACATAATAAAACTTTATTTTTCTGTGGATGGACATTTAAATTGTTTCCGATTTGGATAACTGTAAATAAAAACTGCTATGAACACATATGGTCAAGTCTTTATGTGGGCAGATAAATGCTATTTTTAAATTTAAGAAAACTAAACAACAGAAGTGAATTGATTAGCAAGTCACCCATATTTAAGTTGGAATCATCTGAAAAGATTATATATCTTGTTTAAGACTTAAAAACTAATAAAATCTTTATAAAATATAATTCTGCATCTGAAAAATCCTTTGAAGTATACTCATAGTTCTCATTCACACAATTTCGGGTGAAGTCACACCAATCCGGATTATAGAATAATCCGAAAAGAAGTCTAGCTTTGTTAGAATTGATTTTCTGCTGCTCTAACAGAATACCTGAGACAGGGTAATTTTTGATGAACAGAAGTTTATCTACCTTTGGTCTTTGATGTTGGTGACCTTCTGATGGGGTTTTTGCCTGGGCACCCTTTATGCTGATGTTGATCCTATTGCTTTCTGTTTCCGTCTAACAGTCAGGCCCCTCTTCTGCAGGTCTGCTGGAGTTTGCTGGAGGTCCACCCCAGACCCTGTTTGCCTGGGTATCACCAGAGGAGGTTGCAGAACAGCAAAGATTGCTGCCTGCTCCTTCCTCTGGAAGCTTTGTCCCAGAGGGGCACTCGCCAGATGCCAGCCAGAGCTGTCCTGTATGTGTCTGTCGACGACTGCTGGGAGGTGTCAGGAGGCACAAGGCTCTGAGACCCACTTGAGGAGGCAGTCTGTCCCTTGGCAGAACTCGAGCTCTGTGCTGGGAGATCTGCTGCTCTCTTCAGAGCCAGCAGGCAGGAACATTTAAATCTGCTGAAGCTACGCCCACAGCTGCCCCTTCCCCAGGTAGGGACTGCTGCCTTTCTTTCAGAGATGCCGTGCCCAGAGACGAGGAATCTAGAGAGGCAGTCTGGCTACAGTGGCTTTGCTGCGCTGTGGTAGGTTCAGCACCCAGTTAGAATGGCAATAATTAAAAAGTCAGGAACAAAAGATGCTAGAGAGGATGTGGAGAAATAGGAACAATTTTACACTGTTGGTGGGAGTGTAAATTAGTTCAACCATTGTGGAAGACAGTGTGGCGATTCCTCAAGGATCTAGAACCAGAAATACCATTTGACCCAGCAATCCCATTACTGGGTATATACCCAAAGGATTATAAATCATTCTACTATAAAGACACATGCACACATATGTTTATTGCAGCACTACTCACAATAGCAAAGACTTAGAACCAATCCAAATGCCAAGCAAGGATAGACTGGATAAAGAAAATGTGTCACATATTCACCATGGAATACTATGCAGCTATAAGAAAGAATGAGTTCATGTCCTTTGCAGGGACATGGATGAAGCTGGAAACCATCATTCTCAGCAAACTAACACAGGAACAGAAAACCAAACACCACATGTTCTCACTCATAAGTGGGAGTTGAACAATGAGAACATACGGGCACAGGGAGGGAACATCACACACTGGGGCCTGTCGGGTGATGGAGGGCAAGGGGAGGGATAGCATTAGGAGAAATACCTAATGGAGATGACGGGTTGATGGGTGCGGCAAACCACCATGGCACATGTATACCTATGTAACAAACCTGCATGTTCTGCACATGTATCTCAGAACTTAAAGTATAATAAAAAAGAAAAAAAAGAAAATTGAAACAAAAAATGTCGAATAAAGATAATAATTCCTGGAAAATAATGTATTTGGCTTATGGTTCTGGAGGCTGGGAAGTCCAAAAACATGGCAATATCATCTGGTATGGGCCTTTGTGCTGTGTCATCCCATGGTGGGACACAGAAGGGCAAGAGAGGGTGAGAGCAAGAGAGCAAGAGGGGGAAGGGGGCCAAACTTGCTTTTATAACAACCCACTTTCACAATAACTAACCACTCTCATGATAACAACATTAATCCACTCATGAGGGCAGATCCCTCAGGACCTAATCACCTCTTATTAGGCTCCATCTCCCAACACTTTGCAGTTGGGGGTTAAGTTTCTAACACATAAACTTTGGGGGAGCACATTTGTATTAGTCTGTTCTCACAATACTATAAAGAAATACTTGAAACTGGGTAATTTATAAAGAAAAGAGGTTTGATTGGCTCACAGTTCCACAGGCTGTACAGGAAGCATGGCTTAGGAGGCCTCAGGAAACTTGCAACCATGGCAGAAGTCAAAGGGTAAGCAGGCACATCTTACATGGCAGGAGGAAGAGAGCAAATGGGGAGGTGCTACATACTTTTAAACAGCCAGATTTTGTGAGAACACACTCACTATCAATGAGAACAGCAAGGGGGAACTCTGCTCCCATGATCCAATCACCTCCCACCAGGCTCCCCTCCGACACTGGAGATTACAATTTGACATGATATTTGGGCAGGGACACAAATCCAACCTATATCAAAACTCAAACCAAAGAAGGTCTTTATGATTTCTAGGTCTATCAAATATCTGAGATTATTTGCCTAAAAAGATGTTTCTCAGGAAAGATCCTATGCTATTTATCTAAATGATCAATTATATTCTATTGTATGTTATATTCTATTGTATGTTGCCTTTGGCTCTTAAGCATTCTCCCTGGGATCTTGATTACACTATTAATTTGCTTAGCAAACACTTCCCTCAGAGTATAACAAAAAGCGTGAGCTAAACACATTGAGGTATAACAAATCTCTAGTTATTGGGGCCTAATTAGTGAAGTTGTGACTTTATGTGAGCATAATCAGGCTCTCACCAGGTCAACCCATGAGGATAGGCAAGTTCTAAGATATCAAGCAGGTGGGTGGGATTGGGGAAGGTGAAGACCCACAGAGGGGAGGCACCCTAGTTAGCATCACTAAAAGTCTGCCTTTGGCAACACTGAGTGGCAGGCTTCTTATGGCTCAGATGCTCCCTGGTAAGAGAATTCTTTATACAAACTTCAGCAAAAGGAAATGTTATATTATTAATAGCTGATTAATGGTAGAAATAATTCATCTTAATTCTGAACACACCAGATCAGCCCAGGATTGATGATCCTGGATTGATGATCAAACATAACTCTATGAAAAAGAAAATGGATCTATTAAATTCCCCCCAAAATATAAATTAGAGTGAGGATGGTATGTCTCATAACCTGCATTACACACACACAAAAAAAGAAAATGGGAAAGCTATGGAGCTCTTGCCAAGACTTTTGGGGAATTCAAAGGAAAGAAAAGTCACTGACCTATGACCAAACCTGCTCACCTTCCTAGCTATTTGCCCTGGAGATGCATGTAGCCATCAGAAGACTTTTATCTCACAGTATATTTTGTTATACTCTGAGGGAAGTGTTTGCTAAGCAAATTAATAGTGTAATCAAGATCCCAAGGAGAATGGTTAAGAGCCAAAGGCAACATACAATAGATAAGCTATACTCTAAGGCTTACCCTTAAGAAAATGATTTTAGCAAGGGCCCTGGTCTGCTCTCTTGGGGCACTGTCTTCAGAGGGTAGTGCAGCCGGCTCCCAGGACTCCCAAGAACCAATTGAGAACATCTCTTCCTAAATCTCCCTTCAGCGAGGTCTCTGTTGGAGGCTCAACCATGGTGGGAGTGTTTACATCACAGAAATTGACAAATGCTCAAACCAGGTCTCCTTACCCTCAAGCATTTATCAGCATACCACTGCCAGTGATGCTGTGTGGCCAGCTCACTATGCTATGTCCAGAGCTCAGCTGATAATAAGTTCTCAGCAGGTTCTTTTAATGAGTGCAAGAGATTTATAAGAGGTAAAAGGAAAATGAGCTGCAGGAAATAAAAGACTTGTTAATTATCTTATTGCTGTTAAGAGTGCACCTTTGTTTCTAATGCATGAACTTAAAGCAGACTAGTTTAAGAACACTCTCCCAAGTGTGTGAGAGAGTATGGAGATATAAAGATATAAGGCTTTTTTCTTTTCTTTTTTTTCTTTCTTTTTTTTTTTGCAAAAACAGAAAACTTGACAAAGGATAGCTTCAACAAGTAACAAGGTTAATTTTCTCACATAACATCGAGTTTAAGGGTAAAAGTCCAAAGCCAACAAAGCTGCTCATAAGGTGTTTACTGTCTTCAGCTTCATCATCATCATCGTCATGTGATTCTAAAGGCGAAAAGATGACTGCTGCTCCTCCAGCTATTACATCTACATTTCAGGAAGACAGAAGAGGAAAAGCACAGGAGAATCCTCCCCCAGGGACTTCTGCCTATATCTCATCAGCCAGAATTGTGTGAAGAGCCCTTTAGCTGCAAAGGAGCTGGTGAAATGGAATATTTTTACCTGGTAGTCTTTAGAGTGGAGTAACAAAAGGGGAAAAGGGTATGGAAAGAATGTTCCAACACTGATTCAAATCCCATTGCCTCTAGAATTCAGGTTCAGAATAGACTATTTCATTTATTTCAAAGTCACAGGACATCCACAATAAAGAAAGACTTCCATCTCTTCTAAAAATACAAAAATTATCCCTGCGTGGTGGCATGCACCTGTAATCCCAGCTACATGGGAGGCTGAAGTAGGAGAATTGTTTGAACCCAGGAGGCGGAGGTTGCAGTGAGCCTAGATGGCGGCGGTGCACTCCAGCCGGGGTAACGGAGGGAGACTCCATTAAAAAAAAAAAAAAAAAAGGTTCTTCATCTGAACTACAGAATAAAGAATTATTTGAGCAGCTACTTCTCAATTCTCCCATGAGTGGAATTTCATTGCCATTCTAGATTCAGAGGAGGCAAGGTCGTTTATCATATGCAGTGGATGGGGCCCAAATCCATAAATATACGGAACGCAGGGCAGACTGTATTTCCTGGACATTAGCAATGTGCTGTGTTTGGCCAGGTGTGATGGCTCATGCTTGTAATCCCAGCACTTTGGGAGGCAGGAGGATCACTTGACCCCAGGAGTTTGAGACCAGCCAAGGCAACATAGTGACACCCTGCCTCTATTTTTTAAATACTAAAAAAAAAAAAATTTTAACACATGCTGTAAGGAAGTGGAGAAGGAAGAGATTTGTTACATAATTGAATGATCCAGGAAGCTTTCCCAGAGGTGTGGAGATCCGACTGGGTGTCGACAGAGGAGAGCTTCAACAGGAAGGTGCAGCAGGTTGATGAAAGGGGATCAGACCTGTGTACCTACAGGTGTGGGTGCATGGGGTGGGCAGAGCAAGGGGAGGTTGAGAAGGTGGGCAGAAACTGACCTTTGGAAAGTTTTGAACATCAGGGTTAGAGTTTAAATTAGGATATCAACAGGTCAGGACAAGCGAACAAGAATAGGGAGACTGGACATATGCAGATCAGTTAGGAAACTGTAGTGTGGAGGAGAGAGAATGAGGGAGGAAATGAGGACCATCAGCCCAGCAGTGCAGAGAAAGAGGCTGATTGCAGAGTGGAGGTTCTCAGCCTGGGCTGCACATCAGAATCACCTGGAGGACGTCTAAGGTATGAAGGCCCATGCTACACCCCCCAGAACAGAGTCTCTGGTGTCTGTGACTCCAAAGCTCTCCAGGGGCTTGAGCATGGGCTGAGGATGAGAACCACTATTCCTGAGATGAGGCGAGGGGTGAGTCTGGTGACTAATTGGGTGGAGGACAGGGAGATAGGAGCTGACAATGCAACCCAGTGGTCAATTCCATGAATCTTGAGGATTCCCTGATTTGAGGCGGGGGGTCTGAGGAAGAAGAGGAGCAGCTGCTGGAGGGAAGGAGTGCGCTATTTTGTACAAGTGACGTTGGAGAACCAGACAGGGTGCCCAGCTGCAGATGGATGCTAGCAGGGGGGCCAAGAGGCTCGCCTCCTGTTGAGGTCTGAATGTTTGTGTGCTCTCCCCGGTAATTCAGATGCTAAAACCTAGTCCCCAAGTTGATGGTATTAGGAGGTGGGGCCTATGGGAGGTAACTAGGATATGAGGGTCAAACCCTCATGCATGGGATTAGCGCCATATAAAGGGGACCCCCAGAAAGCTGCCTTGCCCCTTCCACCATGAGAAGCTACAGCAAGAAGGTGATAGTCTGCAACCTGGAAGAAATCCCTCATCAGAACCTGACCATGCCAGCATCCTGATCTCGGACTTCCATCCTCCAGAACTGTGAGAAACACGTTTCTCTTGTTTCTAAGCTCCCCAGTATATGCTAACTTTGTAATAAAAACCCCAGCTGACATTTCCCTCAGGGATTAGCAGAGGCCCCTTCCATCTGTACCCCTGTGGGACTTGCTGGCTTAGCAGTTTGCATAGGGAGTAGAAGACCCTTCTGAAATATTCTGTTTGTTTGTTTGAGACTGGGTCTTGCTCTGTTACCCAGGCCGGAGTACAGTAGCACAATCACAGCTCACTGCAGCCTCGACCTCCTGGGCTCAAGTGACCCTCCCACCTCAGCCCTCCAAGCAGCTGAGACTACAGATGCGTGCCAACCCGCCTGGCTAATTTTTGTATTTTTTTGTAGAGATGGGATTTTTCCATGTGACCCATTGCTGGTCTCGAACTCCTGGGCTCAAGCAATCCACCCATCTCAGCCTCCCAAAGTTCTAGATTACAGGCATGAGCCACTGCCCAGCCCTGAAATGTTTTCTTTGTGCCTCAGGTCTAAGTAGAGACCATCAGTTTGCATTAGGACTAGAAAAGAGCATTTGGTGGGCAGAACAATGGCGAACCTTGCTCTGTATTCCTGGCCTGATGTCAGGGCCAACTTGAGTAGTGAACAGGTTTCTCATATGCCATAACTGTCTCCTCTGCTCTGATTTTCCTGCTTTATCTAAATCATTTTGGCTTTTACGATCTCTGAGAGTTGATGAACTGATTAATTGTTCATTTTTTAGAAGTTTAGCAAAAGGCTGAGTTATATGGAGATCCTTTGAAGAACTTCAGTCTTTATCATAAGGCAGGCTTGCCACCCAAATTCTAATGACAGGCCAATATCAAAGCTCCAAGGGAGTCCAGAGAAAGAACTCATCCTCTCAATGCCAATAATTTCTCCCCTATGAGTTCCGTTTAGCCACTATCCCATCCAACTTGCATTTGCTTTCTCCTTAGCGAATGTCTGAGTAGTTCACAGGGAGCTTTTCCCAGGCACTCCTCATTCCTTATGGTATTTTTCCCTCCAGAGTATTGGTTTTATTTCAGACTTTTTTATTCATAAGTCACATGCAGAAAAGTTCACAAGTTGTAAGCACACAAACTGATATATTCTTACTAAGCAATCACACGTGGGTAACTGCCCAGATCACATCATGGAACGTGGTCAGCAGCCCAGAAGCCCTCCTCCCCACCTCGTCCCTGCAAGTTCCTCCAACTCACTTCCTCTCACAGGTTAGGGACAATGACCATAGTCAAGACTTCCAATACCATTGATTAGTTTTGCCTGTTTGGGGACTTTATGTAAACACATTTTATTCTCTCTGTTTGGTTTCCACTCTGAACCACGTTTGTGGGATTCACCCACGTTGGTGTATGTGATGCTGGTTCATTCCTTTTCTTTGCCGTGTGGTATCCCACTGAACAAATGACAATATATCCATTATATCATTTGGATTGTTTCCCATTTGGGGCTAGTATGAAATGTGCTGCCATGAACTTTTGGTGAACATGTCAATATATTGAGTTCTAATCATGTTTCTTGTATTTAGGTTAAAAAGACAATGTTTCACTTGCAGACAGAGGGACTGAGGGGAGGAACAGAACAGTATGTCTTGGGCAAATGAAAACAACAACTAGGCCAGGTGTGGTGGCTCATGCCTGTAATTGCAGCACTTTGGGAGGCAGAGGTGGGTGGATCACGAAGCCAGGAGTTCGAGACCAGCCTGGCCAACATGGCGAAACCCCGTCTCTACTAAAAATACAAACATTAGCCAGTTGTGGTGGCCCATGCCTGTAGTCTCAGCTACTCAGGAGGCTGAGGCAGGGGAATTGCTTGAACTTGGGAGGCAGAGTGCGTTGCAGTGAGCCAAGATCGTGCCACTGCACTCTAGCCTGGGCAACAGAGCGAGACACCGTCTCAAAAAAAAAAAAAAAAAAAAAACCAAAAACACTGATTATCCCTCGATGACAGTGTGGCCCTAAATTTGGACAGGGTGGTGTTATTTTCTGTACCCTGAAAGTTCTG
The DNA here is from genome assembly GCF_000001405.40 of Homo sapiens. NCBI lineage: Eukaryota > Metazoa > Chordata > Mammalia > Primates > Hominidae > Homo > Homo sapiens. Next base: position 39,697,473 of record NC_000021.9, on the reverse strand, counting down.
TTTAAAAAAAAAATCACAATGCTGGTGCTCTTCTTGTTCATTGGTGACACAGCTCATCTTGGATGAGAAATGCATTTGGTATTTGAATTGTAGGATAATGTCCACTAAAAACTATTGAAGAAACAGAGGGACAAAAGAATAGTGCTGGAAGAACATGGGGAAGAATATACTTACCCACCTCAGCTGATTCCAAAGCTGGTGGGAATTTTCTTTCCCCTGAAAATGTGCCCCCAACACACACACTTTTCATTTTAACAATTTAGGATAAAAGATATTTGTTGCAAGTGGCAGAAACCCAATTAAGGATCATTTATAACAGAAAATTAACTTGTTGAAAGGATACTAGCAGAGTTCAAAGAGCTGGAAGAACTAGAGAACCTGGCCAGTTCCGGGGGCCTCAGCGACGGGAACTGGGGACCAGACACCAGTGGGACCCCCTCTGCCATCACCCACACCTCTCGCCTCCCTGCTTGGTGTCCTTCTCTTCTCCTACTGAGAGGCCTTCTCCAAATGGCAAGGACTACAGGGTAAAGCAGCTGGCCCCCACTCTTGTGGCTCCCCGAGAGACGCATGTAGGGCCTCCTGAGATTCTGGTAAGAACAGCCTCAAAGAAGGACTCTGATCTGGGCTTGCTGCCATCCATGAACAATTCCAGGGTCAGGGAGCCGGGAGTGAGGCACTCTGATTGGCCAGCCCTGGATCACCCTGTCAACAGAGGTGAGCATTTGTTACCAGAGAAACAAGAAGGGAGGAGGCTGTAGCCAAGACAAAGCCAGCTGCTGTGATGCAAAGTGTAGGATCCTCCAGAATACTGGAGGAAATAATAATTCTGTGCTGTTTTTGATTTCCTAATAATTACAAGACAATGGCACCAAAATGGTTTCACCCAGAAAATCTTTTCTGTGCCATCGTAGTGCATGAAGTACAGTTCGAAGCTTGGTTCTGCAGAGTGGAACAAACACATGAGACAAAAACCCTGTCCTCAAGCTGTTTTCATCTCCCAGCAAGAAGCAACAGAGTTTTGTGAGACTATTAGGGGTAGACACTCTTGCTGCGGGACATGTCGTCGCCCTCCTCCACACACCTACTGCTGCCTGCAGCGGGTGAGAGGTGTGGAAGCAGCCAGCCAGGTGGAAAATTACTCCATTCATGTTTTTGTTGCTTTGCTTTTTTTATTCATCTAGATAAATATTTCTCTAAGACTAAGTACAGGGCTTACGTTGTTGAGGTTGGCCTTGGAATGACAAGCAAACTGTAGTTTATTGTATTAAAGTTTGTGACCAAAAAGATCCATAAAGTATGTATCTCTCCTATGCTTAAGTGACTCATCTTAAGAAACGGCATTCTACCTACTCATTATGGTGATACTTAAAACGACGTTTTTCCCCCAGTGCTTTGGGAGGCTGAGGTGGGAGGATCATTTGATCCCAGAAGTTCAAGGGTACAGTGAGCTATGACCATGCCACTGCACTCCAGCCTGGATGACAGAGCAAGACCATGTCTCTAAATAAATTAACTAATTAATAATTTTTTAATAAAACAAAAATTTTATGTTTTATATAAAGTATACAGCCTTACTATATGAATAGGAAATTTAAGTAAACCCAAAAATACCTCTATGTTTCACCAAGATTCTGGGAGCTGGGCTAGATGCATTGCAGACAGTTATCTGCTCAACCAAAGGAAATCTAAAGAATAAAAGCATTCTTGTTTCTGGTAACTGTTTATGGACTAGAGCTGCACTGTCCAATATGGTAGCCACAATCACATGTGGCTATGTAAATTTTAAATCAAGTAAAATAAAAAATTTAATTCATCAGGTGTGCTATCTACATTTTTGGTGCTCAATAGCCACAGAAGGCAGTGGCTACCATATTGGAAAGCTCAAATACAGAACATTTCCATCCCCACAGAACATACTCTTGAACAATACTGGGCTAAATTGTTGAGATCAATAATCTTCTGGAAATAATTTAAAATGCTGTCTAAATGTTTTTTACATTTTCTTATACGCATGAAGAGTTGACAACATAGTGATGAATGACCAAGCCTAGACCTAAAGGAAAGCAAGACCCCAGAGAAGTCAATGAAATGCTTGATCCCCTTTACCTTCAGCCAGTCCAGATTGCAAGATTAAGCTGTGTTTTGATAGATTCACAGAGTTGGGAGGGACAGAAATTAAAACTCAGGACCCACCAAAGTTTGTGAGTCTTTTAGGCTCCTAGCACATTCATTGCAACCATACACAGCTCCACAATAAGGGCTGGGGTGAGCCTGCTTCTTTCCTCTCACCCACAAACAGCTGTGAAGAATGCTGCCTTTGGTGCTTAGTGCAATATAAAAAAACAAGAAAGGAGAAAATATGTCCAAAAGTGGGCAGGTGCTTGGCAGATTTGAAGCCCAGATCCACCACACTGGAGCATTCCAAGAAACCTCAAGCTGTGAAGCTGAAGCGTACCAAAAGGTAGTGCACCTACATGTCTAGGGAGTGGACCTCAGAGCTGAAGGCAGGCACTTTCATCCTAGGCCTCAGGGAATCCCACAAATAATTTTAAGAGCAATGATCAGCGCCCAGTCAAAGGAAGTCAACCACACAAGGTCACAAGGCACTGTGGAGAAGAATAACAAATGACAAAACAGACTCGCAAGACTTCAGATACAGATTCCAAGACGCCCACGCTCCCTAAGTTCAAATTATAAAAGACAGCCTTGGAAGTATCAGCAATTCAAGAAGTCCAATGATTCCCACAAAGAGTAAATAAAAATAAATCCATATCTATAGTGAAAATGCAGAATACCAGACAAGGAAAAAAAATCTTAAAGCAAAGAAATGATAGTTAGACCAGTAGCTGGTTTCTCAGCAGCAACAATGGAAGCCAAAGGGTGGTTGGAATGAAATCTTCAATGTCCTAAAAGAAAACAACTGCTAACTCCCAATTCTATATTAATTTTCAAGGAGGTACTTTCCGCAGAAGGAAAACAATTCCAGATGGAAGGTCTGAGATGGGCAAAGATAAGTAAACATTACCTATAAAAGAATAATAATAACAATTAATGGTGTTAAAATGAGAGAGTTATAATATATGACAATATTAACTCGTGTCAGGAGGAGAATAATTATAATTAACATGTTTAAACTCTTTGTATTATCCAAGAAGAGGATAAAGGCATTGATTAATTCTAGATTCTTATCAAAGAAGTATGGCTGTGTGGTTTCAGAGTGACCACTAAAGCAATAGAATCAGAGTTCACAATTTCCAAACTATTAGAGGGAAAAAAATAATTAAACCCAAAATAAATCAAGATGGGAGAAAAAAAGGAAACAGAACAGGTAATACAAATACAAAGCTCAAAATAATGGAAAATCCAAATATGTCAATAATTATATTAAATGTAAATAAATTAAATACTCCAGCTAAAAGGCATAAAAACTGTTGGATTAGACAAAAATCTCGCTGTAAGCTATTTACAAAAGATACATGTAAAATATAGGGATATACTAAGGTTGAACATTGAAGGATGGGAAAAAGACAGCATGCAACAAGCAAGAAAGATAAAGCTGATATATTAAAATCAACAAGAGTGGAAGGCACAAAACATTACTTGAGTTAAAATGGGTCACTCACAATGATGCAACGCTCGGATGACCAAGGTGATATAACTCTTTTTAATTACTATATATCCAATAACTTGGCTTCAAACTATATGAAGCAAAATCCACAATACTTATGGGACAATTTTAACATTTTTCTGTCAGTAATTGATAGAACAGGCAGACCAAAAGACAGCAAAAATGAATATCATGAATAAACAAATGTGATCTAATGCACGTGCCTGAGAAATTATCATCAGTTAGATAATAAACATTACCTAACTGAAAGTGTATGGAAATGCTACATGTCAAAACTTGTAGGCTGCAGTTAAAGCTGTGTGTAGGAAGAAACACACAGCCCTGAATACACAGATAGAAAGGAAGAAGGGCTGAAATGAATGGGCCGAGAACACACCTCAAGGAGTAAGAAAAGGAACAGCAAATAAAACCCAAGAAACAGATGGTGAGCCAAGGCGATGTAACACAGTGCAACAGAAGCATTTGCTGCATATTCTGAGTCTCTTTATTAATTGAGGAAACTCAAATTAAAACTTCAAGGAAACACTGTTACCCACGCACCATACTGGTAAACACTACGGAACTGGGAATACCAGTGCTATGGAATATTTAAAGCAACGAGACCTCTCATATACTGTTTGTGGGGCTAAGTTAGTATAATCAATCTGGAAATCCATTTATATTTTGTATTAAAGTCGAAAATATGCATCATCCAGCAATGCCACACTAGGAACATATGCTCCAAGGAAATTAGTGCATTTGGGCACAGGGGACATCACTGAGACTGTTCAAAACACATCATTCGTAATAGCCAATAGATGCAAACAACAAAAATGTCCATCAACAATAGAGAGGGTCAATTATGTTATATTCACGCAATGGAACATCCTACAGTAATGAGTAAACTATAGCTACAAAGCTAAACAATTTTTAAATACAAGGAAACAACTGGATTGTTTAGGAATACATGCATAGGCAGAACTCTAAAGGCAAGAAATGGATTATCAAAAGAATCAGGAGTTATTTTTCAGGCGAGGCATGAAAGGAGCTTCTAAGTGCTGGTTGACCAGGTTATGGTTTCCTGCATTCGCCTTACAGTGATTCATTAAACTGTGCGGTTGTTTCAAGCTTCATGTATACTTCATTTTTTAATGTGAAAACGTAGACGAAAGACAAATAATACCAAAAACACAACACTACTTAAGTCTGGAGAGCATTTAGCATGTATTCTTTTTAAGTAGGAATTAAATCCAACAATGATTAAACACTGCTGGTGGGAATGTAAATTAGCTCAGCCATTGTGGAAAGCAATGTGGTGACCCCCGAAAGAACTTAAAACAGAATTACCATTTGGCCCAGCAATGCCATTACTGGCTATCTACCCAAAGGAATGTAAATCATTCTACCATAAAGACACATGCACACATACGATCATTGAAGCACTATTCACAATAGCAAAGACATGGAATCAAATCAGTGTAAATGCCCATGAATGGTAGACTGAATAAATAAAATGTGGTACATATAATATACACCATGGAATACTTTGCAGCCTTAAGAAGAAGGGGATCATGTCCTTTGCAGTGACGTGGATGGAGCTGGAGGTCATTATTCTCAGCAAACTAACACAGGAACAGAAAACCAAATACCACATGTTCTCACTTACAAGTGTGAGCTGAACACTGAGTACACACGGACACAAAGGAGGGAACAACAGACAATGGGCCTTACTTGAGGGTGGAGGGTGGGAGGAGGGTAACAATCAAAAAACTACCTATCAGGTACCATGCTTATTACCTAGGCGGTGAAATAATCTTTTTTTTTTTTTTTTTTATTGAGATGGAGTCTCGCTCTGTCGCCCAGGCTGGAGTGCAGTGGCGTGATCTCGGCTCACTGGCAATTCTCCTGCCACAGCCTCCTGAGTAGCTGGGATTACAGGCGCCCGCCACCACGCCCAGCTATTTTTTTTTTTTTTTGTATTTTTAGTAGAGATGGGGTTTCACCATGTTGGTCAGGCTGGTCTCGAACCCCTGACCTCGTGATCCACCCGCCTCAGCCTCCCAACATGCTGGGATTACAGGCGTGAGCCACCACGCCCAGCCAAAATAATCTTTACAGCAACTCCTTACAACAAGCAATTCACCTCTATAACAAACCTGCACATGTACCCCTGAATAAAATAAAAGTTTAAAAAATCCAACAAATAATAAATAAATAGTTAATAATACTACACACTTATTAGAAAGGTCAAAATCCAGAACACTGACAACACCAAATGCTGGTGGGAAAGTGGAGCAACGGGAACTTTTACTCACTGCTGGTGGGAATGCAAAATGGTGCAGCTACTTTGGAAGACAGTTTGGCAGTTTTGCACAAAACTAAACACACTTTTACCGTATGATCCAGCAATCACACTCCTTGGTGTCTTTCCAAAGGAACTGAAAAGTTAGATCCGCACAACAGCTGCACATAGATGTTTATAGCAGCTTTATTCGTAATTGTCAAGACTTAGAAGCAATAGGTGAATGGATAAACTGTGATACCTCAAAACAAGAAAATATTATTCAGCACTGAAAAGACAAGAAATGAGATAACAAGCTACAAAAATATGGGAAGGAAACTTAAATGCACATTTCTAAGTGAAAAAAGCCAATCTGAAGAGGCTGCATACAGTATGATTTCAACCATATGACATTCTGGAAAAGGCAAACTATGGAGACTATTAAAAAAATCAGTTGTTACCAGGGGCCAGAAGAGAGAGAAGGATAAATGGGCAGAGCACAGAAGATTTTTAAGGCAGTGAAACTATTCTGCATGATGTGATAAGGTGTATGCATATCATTATACATTTGTCCAAACCCACAGAATTTACAAAGCACCAAGAGTGAACCCTAATGTAAACTATGGACTCTGGGTGATAGCGACGTGTCAGTGTAGGTTCACTGATTGTAACAAATGCACCACCACTCTATTGGGGACCATCGATAGTAGGGGAGGCTATACATGGATAGGGAGAGGGGTATATGGGAAATCTCTGTACCTTCTCACTTTTGCTGTGAACTAAAACTGCTTTAAAAAATAAAGTCTATTAAATGGAAAAAAAACTGATGGAAAATCTGTATTGCTGAATAAATAAACATACGAAGACAAGAGTGTCTATGATCCGTCAGAGATAAACAATGACCTCTTTCACTTCCATCTCTAGAGGTCAGTATCCTCCCTAGAGCAGTGCTTCTCAGGCCTGGCCGCATTAGAATCACCTGGAGAGCTTTTAAAACTCCTGATGCTCAGGATGTAACCAGACCAATTAAATCAAAATCTCTCAGGAAAGACCCAAGCATCGGTATTTTTCAAGGTCCTTGGGTCATTACAGTGTTCAGCCTGAGTTGAGAACCACTCTCTAGATTAAGAACCACTCTGTCTCTAGATCATGGGAATTTACCTTTTGTCAACATTTTAAATTATTTTATGTATGTATCCACTGAAGGCCCCTCCTTGGCCATTTTCCCCTACAATTATCGGGAAAAGCAGGAAGGATTAGCAAAGATTATCTATATAATTTAAAATGCTCTTGGGCCAACCATGGCAGGGAGTAGGATAGACAGATAGATAGATGATAGATAGATAGATAGATAGATAGATAGATAGATAGATAGATAGATAATAGATAGATATATAGATGATAGATTAGATAGATAGATACATAGATAGATGATATATTAGGTAGACGGATAGATGATAGATAGATAGATAGATAGATAGATAGATAGATAAGGTAAATGGATAGATAGATAGATAGATAGATAGATAGATAGATAGATAGATAGATGGATAGGCAGATAGATGACAGATAGAGATGGAAGATAGATAGATAGATAGATAGATAGATAGATAGATAGATAGATAAGGTAGATAGATGATAGATAAGATAGATAGATAGATGTTTCTAAATGTTCTAATGCCTAAGGACAAGCCTGAGAGCTTTTTATAATAAGAAACATATCACATTAAAAACATAGTGTGTGTGTATATATATATATATATATATATATATATATATATACAGTGAAATACTGTGTGGCCATAAAAGAGAATGAAACTGTCATTTGCAGTAACATGGAGGGAACCAAAAGTCATCATGTTAAGTGAAATAAGCCAGGCACAGAAAGACAAATATTAGCTGTTCTCAATCATATGTGGGAGATAAGAAAGTTGATCTCATGGAGGTAGACAGTGGAATGATAGACACCAGAGGCTAGGAAAGGTTGTATGGGTGGGAGGGGGATGAAGAGAGGTTGGTTAGCAGATAAAAACATACAGTTACATAGAAGGAATAAGTTCTAATGTTCAACAGGAGAGTAGGAAGGCTATAATTAGCAACAGTGTACTGTATATTTCAAAGTAGCTGGAAGAGAGGCCTTGAAATGTTTCCAACGCATAGAAATGATAAATGCTTAAGGTGACAGATATGCCAAATACCCTGACTTGATCATTACACAGTCTGTGCATGCAGCACAATATCACAGGTACCCCATAAACATGTAAAATATTATGTAACAGCAAGAAGAGCATTTCACAGAAGATACAGGTTGAACCATGTCCCTCTCATATGCTCATTTAACTCTGAATTTTGTGTAACATGATGTAACTGTTGCAGGTAAGCCCTTAGCCAAATGTCAGCTTTCTTGTTTTGCATTGCCCATGGAGATGCCTACCTTTCTGCAGAGTTGCTATTTAGTCAAATGGGAAAGTCCAAGAAAGCCCACTTAAAGCAACCTGGTTTCTGTGGAAATGGTTTGGGGTGGCATTGTTAGGAAGAGTAATGGTAATGGTAATGGTAATGGTAATGATAATGGTAATGGCAGTAAGAATTTCAGGATACAGGACAACTGTTGGAGACCAATCTACTTCCATCTTTGATGCCCAAAATTTGGTTTACATGTGCTCCTTTTCCCTAAAATGTCCAAATCTTCACAAATTTTCTAAAAGCTCTGAGATAACAAGGTTATGAATTTCCATTATAACATGCAATTATGATCATGTTTGGGCTTGCACCATTTCTGGTCTATAGAAAACCCTTTCAATGCTAAAATTCTTGCATGGCAATAAATGCATTGCTCATAGGACTAAATATTAAATACAATGCAGCACATGGTAAACTGGGGGCAGTATATTCTCCATATTGCTCATGATTTCTGTTTACTAATGTCTATTTAAGTTTCGTAAAGCAGTGTCTACAAATGGTTTCTAAAAGTTGAATAGTACAAAAAGTTATATAGTGAAGTAAGTCTCGCTCCATCCCTAAGCTGTTTTCCTCCTCAAGGGCAACCACTCCCAGTGTGTGCTTCCAGAGATGGACTGGGAAGGAAATTATTTTCTACTCCATTTCCAAATCCAAACTGTCAAGCTATTCACAGCAATATCAGCAAACATTTTCACATTAGCAAGATATCAAAAGTTTCACCTGTCATGCACCTTTTCTCTGGAAACTCCAAAAGGGTGTGCTCCATTCACAAAAGAGTATAAACCAAAAGAAGGTAGACATGGACTCCAGGAAATGAGATCTGGGATGGCAGCTGGGGAGCAACCCAGCCAGATCCAACTGTGGGAGGAAGAGCAAGTGCCATGAGCACAGGCTCCAATCAGAAAATGATCCATGACCTTCAGCCATGTGGAAACTAGAACTGACGGTGCTTGAATGAAGGGGGAAGCATTACTGATACACAAGCTAAGCAAATAAAAAATAAAGAGGAACTTTCACAGAAAAAAAAATATATGTAATCAAAGCACACTACTTGTCCTAGCAGTCAGCAATATTTACATGGTTATAAATAATAAATAGTAAATTCAGATTTAGCCAAAAATTGTGATATAATGAGAAGATGGGGGAGGCGCAGTGGTGGTGAGGGGGAAAAGGTGGCTGAATCCTCATCTGCAGTAGTGGAAAGTCAATAGAAAACATCTGAAACAATAGAACATGACACAGCAGGATAAGTGTATTATTTACAAATATAGACATAAATGCCGGGGGAAACCGCAGAAAGGAATCAGACCTGGGAGAGAAGGGCTGGGGCAGAGAGCTGCTGCTGTCAGTACTCATAAGCCTGATAGCACTAGTAACATTTTACACTATGTAAATGTATGATTTTGATAAAAAAATAAATAAAATTCTGCCTATGGGAAAATTCATGTAAAGTTAAAAGTGGAAATGATACTGATTGTGTTCTGGAGTGTTTCCGCATTCCAATTTCAGAGCCCCAATTTCTAAGGATTCTTAGAAACATCTCTTAATGATACACTTAGAAGGTGTGGAGAGTAAGTAATTTTATTAATCAGGATAGGATGTGTTATGATGAAACCACAGAATAAACCCTGAAATGTCAGTGTCTTCACACAGGAAAGGCTAATTTCTGATTCCTAAGGCCGATGGAGGCCGTGGGCTACACTGTCAACTGGAATACACAGCCTCCAAGGTCAGCTCAGCGGGGAAAAGGTTGGACAGGGCACAGTGGCTTTTAATTGCCTTCTATCTTAAGTCAACGGCCAGTAGGAGTTGGTCCCAAACTAATTGCAAGGGCAGCTGGGGAATCTACAGGAGTTCATGAGTTACGAACTGAGCTTAACACACTCTGCGTGGAGAACAATTTGCCAAAGCGTTATGTGTAAATGAACAAACAAGGAAAAGAGTGTGGAGTGCTAAGTAAAGCCAGGAAGGGACATGAAGGCGAATCCTACGCACCCTCCCAGGAAATGGGGGTTTAATCGCTCTGCCCACCACCTCTCAGAGTAATCCTGAGGCACAAAAAGAAAAAATGCTTTGTAAATCATTAACAGTACACAAACATAAGATGTTAGATTATCTATTTTAATTTCAGTTTATTGCATTGTTGCTGGGAGAAAACTTCCTTACCATTCAACTTGTTTTCAAAGGTCTTAATCTAAGGTTTGTAAACTGAACGGCTGACTGAGCAGAGGTTCCCTAGAGTGACACAGTCCAAGGGCTGTAGGTCACCTGCCCCACCTTGTGCCCTTTGTGTCTGGCTGGGGTGGAAAGCCATGCTGCCATCCACAGTCAGAACGGGCCTACATCTCACCAATCTCACTGCAACAAGCACAATTTGCTCGCCTAAAGAGGCATAACTGCCCATGACAGCGCAAATCTCTAACACGCACTCTTATCTTTCTCATCCAGTTATATTATTATTTTGTCCTGTCTTTATAATTCTCACAAGCTACAAATATTGCTTAGTCTCTATTTATTTTCATCTTTGCCAAGCAATTTTTTTCTTTAATGGCAATAAGAATCCTTAATAAGAAAATAAGATATATTGATGTCAGACTGTAGAACAAAGAAATATTAACTTGAATACACACCCCTGCCCGCTACGAGAGTCTCAGATTTTGTAGCGGAAACACACGCTGTTTCATAATTGGTTAACTCTTAATTATGGTGTTAACATCTCTGATACTGGCGTTAAATAGTACCTCAGTGGTTCACTAAGACCTAAGCCACTTCCAACCTGGGGCTCTACCATGTCAACAAGTGACCTCAGAAATCACCACTAAGGGCGGAAAAAAAAAAGTAAGGAGAATTCACACTTGCTCTTCCATGTTTCAATCCAGAAGCCACGCCTGACTCTCTCCTTGCAACCTATTGGTTAGAACCAGTCACATGGCCTCAGCTTAATTGCAGGCATCGCTGGGAAACGCCATCTTCTATTGTACACGGAAAAGGAAACTTATGGGATTTAGTGATGCTATTTCTATTAATTGGGAAATAAAAAAGCTGCACTGGGAGTTCACAGTCAGAGTTCATAGGTTGATGTGAGAGCTGAGCAGGAAGGGCTGCTGGGGAGAATTCCCAATGTCAGTGACCATTAAACGGATACCTTAAATTTTATACCTGGTGTATCTAGTGTTTATGGAAAATTTAATATGGAGTTACACCCATCTTTTTCTTAATAAACAGAGTATTCGGAACACATCCCAGCGTTTCTCTGGTGGTTACCAAGGCAATTTGGTGCAGTGGAATCAAAAGAGCTGGGTCCCGCTCCTCATCTTGCCAGTTAACGGAGAAAAGTTAAAACAAATCCTTACTTCCAGAGTCTCAATTAACTTCTTCACCTACAAAAGGAAAAAAGTACACATATCCTGCCCAACAGAAGGGTTGTTGTGAAGCTGAATGAGAATGAGTACAAATGTTTTATAATGGTAAAGTGCTATTTTTAATTGACTTTTTCCTACCAATTAGCTTCTTTTTATATAATTCACCACCACGTTACAGTTTTGCTTTGAAAACAAGATAATAAATTAGGCAAACTAAATTTTATCTGTAGCATCATCCTATAATGGTTCCTCTTTCTATTCAATGCTTTAGATGCAATCTACATAGTGATGAGATTACAACATCTGCATTTTCCTCTTGGTGTCATAAATAGGGCAAAGTTAATATCCTTATTACCATGGACCATGTTCAACTTTTGCTCTAAACTTAATTGGTTGTGCAGACAATTAATAAACACAGTCTAAAGAAAAAAATGAAGGGTGTGCTTTTCCTCAGGTAACTTTTGTATATTGTTTTCTACATTCTATTGTGGAAAATGCCTAACATATAATGTAGCAGGCAGAATAATTCCATCCGCCACAGATATCTACACCCTAATTCCTAGACTTTGTGAATATGTTAGATTACATGGCAAAGGGAAATTAAGGTTGCTAATCATCTGACCTTGAGATGGGGAGATTATCCTGGACTAACCAGTGAGCCCAGTGTAACCACAGGAGGTTTTTAAAGCAGAGGATATTTCATGGCTGGTGAGAACCCAAAGAGATGGCAGCATAAGAAGGACTCAACCTGCCCTTGAGGCTTTGAAGGTGAAAGAAAGGGTCACAAGTTTAGGAATATGCAGCCTCTAAAAGCTGGAAAAGGCAGGGAAACATTCTCCCCAGAGCTTCCAGAAAGGAATGCAGCCCTGCCCACCGCTATCGCTAGACTATGTCCCCAAAAGGCATGTGTTGGAAACTTAATCCCCAGTGCAACAGTGTTAAGACGTAGGCCTTAAGCATTTAGGTAATGAGGGCTTCACCCTCATGAATGGATTAATGTTGATTATAAAAGGGCTTGAGTCTTTGAGTTTGATCTCTTGCTCTCTCTTACCCTTCCTTGCTCTTCTAACTTCTGCTATGGGATGACACAGCAAGAAGACCCTCACCAGATGCCAGCCCCTTGATCTCGGACTTTACCATCTCTAAAACTATTGGAAATAAGTTTCTGTTCATTATACATTACCCAGCCTCAGGTATTGTTACAGCAGCACAGAACAGACGAAGACACCTACTGACACCATGATTTTAGCACCATGAGACTCATGTTGGACTTCTGATCTACAGAACTGTAAGATAAATTTAACCTTGTTTTAAGTCACCAAGTTTGTGGTTATTTCTTACAACACCCACAGAAAACTAATACATATATAAAAGTGGAGAAAATAGTATGACAACCCTACATGTAACTATTAGCCAACTTCAATATTATCAACTTATCTGCTTCATTGACATACCCACCCACTTCCTTCCAATTATGTCAAATTATTTGGAAGCAAATACCAGATATTTTATTGTTCATAAATATTCCAGTATGCATCTGTAAAAGACAAGAACTCTTTTAAACACAGCCATAATACAACTATCACATCTAAAATTTAACAATAATTCTGTGATGTTATCAAATATCTAGAATGTGTTTAATTTCCCCACTTACAAATGTTTTATCAGAGTATTTGTGTTGTAATCAGAAAATAAGAAACAGCCATAAATTGCAATTGCCCACAATGTTGCTTTCTTTCTGTCTTAATCCATAAGCTCCTCCCCATCCCACCACTGCATTCTCTTTTCCTTACAATATATTTGTGGAAGAAACCCGGTTGTTTGTCCCATAGTTTCCCACCATCCGAGACTTTGCTGATTGCCTGTGTTGCTAGTCAAGAGATTCTTCTGTCCCCTGGATTTCCTGTAGATTGGTAGTTAGATATAAAAGTCTGACCTGATTTAGATTTGATTTTTTTTTGTTTTTGTTTTTGCAAGAATATTTCATAAGTGGTGATATGGTTTGGCTGTGTCCCCACCCAAATCTCTTCTTGAATTCCCATGTGCTGTGGGAAGGATCTGGTGGTAGGTCATTGAATCATGGGGGCAGGTCTTTCCCATGCTGTTCTCATGATAGTGAATAAGTCTCATGAGATTTGATGGTTTTATAAGGGGGAGTTTCCCTGCACAAGGCTTCTCTTTGCCTACTGCCATCCATGTAAGACATGATTTGCTCCTCCTTGCCTTCCACCATGATTGTGAGGCTTCCCCAGCGATGTGGAACTGTAAGCTCAATTAAACCTCTTTCTTTTATAAATTGCCAGTTTCAGGTATGTCTTTATCAGCAGCATGAAAACGGACTAATGCAGGTGGTATCATGCAATTCTATCAGAAAGCCTTTAGTATCTGGTTGTCTCTCTTCAATAATATTAGCAACCATTTATAATTATTAATTTGTTCCCCTATTTGTATTAATAGTTGCAAGCTGGTGATATTCTATCACTCCTTTTTTATTTATTATCTTCAATACAGCTATTAAAAGATAGCTCCCTTTATATCAAAATATCTCATGTACCCGATAAATATATATGCCTACTATGTGCCCACAAAAATTAAAAATAAAAATTATTTTTTAAAAAAGGATAGCTCCCCTCGTCAAATATATAGATACCCTAAGGCAGGGTTCAACCTACATTAGGGCCCAATGATAAATATGTTTGGCTTTCTGGGCCATATGGTCTTTTTGGCAACTACTTAGCTCTACTGCCATAGTGTGAGAGAGGCCACAGACAAACCCACTGTGTTCCAATAAAACTTTATTCACAAAAACAGAGCAGCAGGCCCAATTTGACTCTCAAGCTCTGGTTCTCCAACCCCTGATATGCAGTATATTTTATACAGAAAAATCAGGATACATGTTATACCCTTTCTCTTTGTTTATACTTCCAAAAATAGTGAATTGGTCCCCTGATATTTTCTAAATATGACTGATGTGTGTGTGTGTTTTAGTATCATTAGACAACTAATGGGATTCCAATGCAGTGATGTTTGTTTGTTTGTTTGTTTGTTTGTTTTTGAGACAGGGTCTTACTCTGCTGCCCAGCATAGAGTACCGTGGCCCAATCATGGCTCACTGCAGCCTTGACCTGTCAGGCTCAAGTGAGCTTCCTGCCTCAGCCTTTCAAGTAGCTGGGACCACAGCTGCATGCCACCATCCTGGGCTAATTTTTTTTTTATTTTTGTAGAATTGGGGTCTCACTACATTGCCTAGGCTGGTCTTGAACCCCCAGACTCAAGTGATCCTCCTGCCTTGGGCTCCCAAATTGTTGGGATTACAGGCATGAGCCACCACACCTAGTCTAATTATTCTTATTACAACTAATTGTAATGAGACTACAGGCTTGTTATATAGACTACAGGCTCCTGAGTCTTTGTGACATGATCCCATAGTGCTTGCTGGCTTGCCTGCTTTCTGGTAGGATAACATATTTCAAGCTTATCTTCTACAATTTCTACCTCAATTCTGAAATCAGCCATTTTTTCAAGGATCTCTAGATTGTGTGTTTTGTTTGTGGGTTTTTTTTTTTTTTTTAGCACAATATGGACAGTGAGAGTCTTCATTGCTGAAGGATTATTCATTGTCTCTAGTCCTGTAGCCTAGACAAAAATAAGGAAATGTTTTTAAGACAGAAAGAAATTACATCATGAGTGTAGCTTGATATTGCCAAATCAAGTTCGGAGCAACAGAGTGTTTATTTAACCTCATAGATCTTACATTCGCATCTCCTCTCAGCAACACTGAACATTCTGGTTCTCAATGTAATTACTCACTTGCTTCATTTCACATTACAGATATAATTGTCTAGGAATGACCACATCAACTCTACCACCACAGACAAGATCCCTGAAAGGAGTTTAAAGTATTTTTTTTTTTGCCATTCTTTTTGTTTTTAGGGTTTATCCTACTGAGGGTAGGCAAGGTACCATGTTTTAAAGTCACTTGAAATACTGTGAAACCATATGTTACCATACTACAAAGTCAATACACAGCGAAGTTCATTTGTTTTATTTTGTTTTTTTCAATAAACTTTGGAAATTACTTTTTTATTTTGGTGTATAATCATAAAAATATTCATATTGTTACAAAGTCAAATTTACAAAACAAGATGTTCTCAGAGAGGTTTAGATTCTAACTCGTCTATCCAACTCATTCCTTTGTACCATCTACGGGTAGTCATTTTTGAATTACACAATCACCACTATTATCTCACAGGCAGTGTGCTACAAATGTAGAACAAATTCATTTCTCAAGGTACAGACAAAACATTTCTAAAGCACTGGCCTTGTGTTGCATTGTAAATAGAGTCGTGTTGCATAACAACAGGGACATATTCAAAGAAATGTGTTCTTAGGCAATTTTGTCGTGAGAACATCATAGAGTGTACTTACACTTAGCCTACCCTAAACTTATAAAAATATTTTTCTTTCTTCAGTAATAAATTCACCCCTGCTTGCTGTAACATTTTTACTATATAAGCTTTTTAATTTTTTAACTTTTTGAATCATTCGTAATAACACTTAGCTTAAAACATAAAACATATACAGAAATGCAAAAATATATTCTTTCTTTATATCTTTATTCTATAAGCCTTTTATATTTTTATTTTTTTATTTTTTATTTTTTGAGACAGAGTCTCACTCTGTCACCCAGGCTGGAGTGCAGTGGCGTGATCTCGGCTCACTGCAACCTCCAACTCCCGGGTTCAAGAAATTCTCCTGCCTCAGCCTCCCGAGTAGCTGGGACTACAGGCGCATGCCACCACACCCGGCTAATTTTTTGTATTTTTAGTAGAGACAGGGTTTCACCGTGTTAGCCAGGATGGTCTCGATCTCCTGACCTCGTGATCTACCTGCCTTGGCCTCCCAAATTATTAATTTTTAATTTTGCTTTTTTACTTTTTAAATTTTTTGTTAAAAACGAAGACTCAAACATACACATTAGCCTAGGCCTACACAAGGTCAGAATCATCCATATCACTGTCTTCCACCTGCACATCTTGTCCCACTGGCATGGAGCAGCCATCTCCGATGATAACAATGCCTTCTTCTGGATACCTCCTGAAGGACCTGCCTGAGGCTGTTTTATCGTTACCTTTCTTAATATAAGTAAAAGAGTACACTCTAAGAGATAAAAAGTATAGCGTAGTAAATATATAAACCAGTAATATCGCTGTTTATTATCATTAGCAAGTATTATATATCTTACATAATTGTGTGTGCTAGACTTTTATACAACCAGCAGCCCAGCAGGTTACACCAGCATCACCACAAACTCAGTGAGCTACAATGTTACAACAGCTATGATGTCACTAGGCCATGGGAATTTTTCAGCTACATTATAATCTTATGGAACCACCATCATATAGGCAGTTCATCGTGATCAAAACATTGTTACATGGTGCATGACTGTAGGCTCAAATAAAGCCTTGCATCTGACCAGTACAAAATGCGTAATAGATTAATACATAGATGATAGATGACAAGACAGATTAGATAGATTGGTAGGCAGATAGATAGATGACACATAGATGATGATGATGAAGATAGATAACACATAGATGATGATGAAGATAGATAACACATAGATGATGATGATGAAGATAGATGATAGATAGATGATAGATAGATGATAGATACATAGATGATAGATAGATATAGATAGATGATAGATAGATGATTGATAGATAGATAGATGATAGGTAGATGATAGATAGATAGATGATAGATGATAGATAGATGATAGATAGATAGATGATAGATAGATAGAAAATAGATAGATAGATGATAGACAATATATAGAAAGAAAAATAAGCCCAATGCAAACCTACTACGATCAGCAGCACCTCCTTCTCTCTCTCTCTCTCTCTCTCTCTCTCTCTCTCTCTCTCTCTCTCTCTCTCTCTCTCTCTCCCCCCTGTCTATCCCCAGGTTCTGTCTGTTTTAGTTGCCATTTAGCCAAGATTTCATTCTTGCCTGGTCCCCCCCAATATTATAAAGTCGTTTTATGCCCTCTCAGTCCCCTATGTTACTATAATCATTTACATTAGGTGAGCCATTTTTGTAGGTGAAAAATAAACAATTTCCTGTGGTTCTAGCTAATATTTACATACAGGCTCACACAATTATTTCACACATATCATCTCAGATACTTTCCCCAGAAATGACTGAGTAGGGCCACTGTGATTGCAGACTTCTACTCACGGCCCTGAAGCAAACCTGTCCCCCTGAGTAGGGGTGGGACCAGGAGATTTACTTCTAATGAACAGAATCCAACAAGAGAAACAAGAGGTCATTGCATCTTACATGGTCAGGCTACAGAAGATTGTGATGTGGGCCTTGCATGGACTCACCACCTGCTGTGTTGTGAGCTGAGTGTGGGGAGCTACCTGACAGGGAACTGAGGGTGGACTCTGTTGACAGCCAGTAAGGAACTGAGACCCTCAGTTTCACACCCGCAAAGAAACGAACTTGTAATGATCAGGCTGGTGTGTCCTTATGGCCAGGCTACAGTCCCCATGATTTGATATGACCCTAGCTTAAGTGTTGCTGTGAAGCTATTCTGTAGATGTGGTTAACATCTACAATCAGTTGACTTTATACAAGAGAGGTTATCCTGGATAATGTGGGTGGGCCTAAGCCAATCAACCAGAAGTTCTTAAAAAACAGAATTGCAGCTCCTTTGAGAAATAAGAAATTCTACCTGCAGACTGCAGCATCGAAAGGATTCCAGCCTGCCCTTCCTGATGGCCTGCCCTGTGGGTTTCAGACCTGTCAGGCCAATAACTATAATTGCACAAGCCAATTCCTTGCAATAAAGACATCGAGGTAGAGCTACAAATACAGATATGGATAGAAATACATCTCCTGCTGGTGCTGTCTCTCTCTGGTAGAGAGAGACAACTAATACAGAACTAAGTCCTGCCAACAACACTGGGTGTGCTGGGAAGAGGACCCATCCCCAGTCAAGCCTTCAGATGAGCCACCAGCCAACACTTTGTCTGCAGCCTTGTGAAAAACCCCGTGCCAGAGACACCCAGCTAACCATGCCTAGAGTCTCAAAGAAATTCTGCAATGATAAATGTTGGTTTCAGCTACTGGAGTGGTAATTCATTACATAGCATTAGCTAACTCATGCAGCCATCACTGAAGCTCATGCAGGAGGTCCCCTTCCCAAGGACACCCAGCTGAAGAGCCAGAAGAAAGGGATGCTTTTCTTTTTTATGCACAGGTGGTTTTATGGGACAACAGTATCGCTGGGTGAATGGTAAGGAAAGGATAGTTATCTTTATTTTGCTGATTAAAAAAAAAAAAATTTGTAGACACCCAGTCTTAGAGAGACTAAGTCTCTTGCTTAAAGTGCGAGGTCCAGAGCTAAGACTAAAACCAATAGTCAGTTTGCAGCCTGGATTTCTGCCACCAGATTTTTTGCCCTGTGTCCTTAGTATTCTCTATAGCATGCCATGGTCCCCACTCTTCCTGGTTTGCAGATAGTCACCTTTTTGGCCTTCTTGCCCTGCCCTCATATGGCAGGGAGAGAGGTCATTTCTCTTGCGTTTCTTCTTATAAAGGCACCTATTGCATTTATGAGGGCTCCACCCCCATAACTGAATTAACTCCCAAAGGCCCCATCTCCTAATACCATTACACTACTGATTAGGGCTTCAACATACGAATCTGAGAGGGGCACATTCAGTCCACAACAGGCCTCATCTCTGCATCCTACCACTTTGGACTCAGTGCTCCTGCTGTGTTGAACCTCATGCCTTCCCCCGCCCCCTGCTTCAGCTCCCCACCCCCTTGCTTCTTTTCACACGCTGGCCTCTCTCCATGGAGCCCCCTTCTCCTCCCATGTGACTAGGTCTTACTTAGGTTTCAGGTTAGACTTCACTTTCTCTGGAAAGCTTTCCTGGCCTCTCAAGAACACTGTTGGAGGCCTGGGGGGTGACTCATTTCTTTAATCCCAGCACTTTGGGAGGCCGAGGTGGGTGGATCATCTGAGGTCAGGAGTTCGAGACCAGCCTGGCCAACATGGCGAAACCCCGTCTCCACTAAAAGTACAAAAATTAGCCAGGCACAGTGGCACGTGCCTGTAGTCCCAGCTACTTGGGAGGCTGAGGCAGGAGAATCACTTGAACCTGGGAGGCAGAGATTGAAGTGAGCCAAGATCGCACCATTGCACTCCAGCCTGGGGGATAGAGCAAGATTCTGTCTCAAAAACAAACAAACAAACAAAAAACATTGTCGGTGCCCTCTCTGTGTGCACCCACTTGCACCCGGCAATATCACGTGGCATTGTAAAGGCCTGTTTACAAACCACTTTCTTAAACAGAAAAGAAGTTCATGACACCAGGAGCTGTGATGCATGATAGGCATCCAACTAAAATGCGTTGATGAATGCTTAGCAAGTGCAAGTCAGTACGCGACTGGAAGTCTGAGCATAGAATTACAGCGTGCCTCCTTTAAGATGTACACCTTTGGGTCTATTTTTGAATTCTAGGCTGTAATGCAGTAAAGTTGAAGTTAAAACTCCAGGGTCAATTTCTAGCTGTATGACTTGGGCAAAAAAGTAAACTTTCTGAGCCTCTGGATAGAATGGTTTTCTCTGCTCTTATATACAGTCTTAACTACGGTCTTCTCTGACATATGGCAGGATCAGCAAATAACACAGAAAGGATTTTGTTGTTGTTTCTTTTTTCGAGACAGAGTCTCACTCTGTTGCCCAGGCTGGAGTGCAGTGGTGCGATCTCAGCTCACTGTAACCTCCGCCTCCCGGGTTTAAGTGATTCTTCTGCCTCAGCCTCCCGAGTAGCTAGGATCACAGGCATGCACCATCATACCCGGCTAATTTTTGTATTTTTGGTAGAGACTGAGTTTCACCATGTTGGCCAGGCTGGTCTCGAACTTCTGACCTCAGGTGATCCGCCCGCCTCGGCCTCCCAAGTGCTGGGATTACAGGCGTGAGCCACCGCGCCTGGCCAAGGTTTTGTTTTTCAATGTAACATCTTACGTGCTATTTATTGTGGCATTCAATATCTAGAAACAGCTAAAATTACAGAGACATGAGTAGGAAGGCTTTGTTTCTGACACCGTTTCCTGTGGACAAGGCAGCTGTGAGTGCTTTTCGTCCTCTGTACAATAGAGAGGTTGGGCCAGGGGATCTCCAGGGTTCCTCCCCTGTCTGACGCTCTTGTTTCTTTCCTGAGATGAGCAAGCATTACCCAAAGCATCGCTGCTAAAAGCACTGATCAGAAATATTCTCTGAACTGAAGTGCAGCCAGGTTCTCATCACTGAAGGGAATCTAATTGTTGAGCTCCAGTCTCCATCTGCACTGACAAAGGACAGTGCCCCAGAAAAGCCTGCAGGGCCGCAGCACTGTTCAAACAACCAGAGAATAAACAGACGCATCTGTCATCTGAGAGCTGGGAGAGGCCTGCCAGAGACAATGTTCCTGGCCACGGATGCCTGACGAAAAGAATGTTTCGTCGTGGTTCAGAGGCGCTGTAAGTCTGAACATGCAAACCGCAATTACCTAGAAACCTAAAGACAGTCAGAAGTGTGTTGTCTTGCGGTTTTCTGCCAAAGTGATTCCTTCCTGTACCTACCTGGTGGTTCTTCACAGGATAGCACAATTGCATAAGGACCTCATGACAATGAGGGCATTTCTTTGTTCGATCATTATGCTGTATGGCTAGAGAAAGTCATCAGGCCATGTAGAGGGAATGGCTGATGTCACGGTTTATTTCTCCTTTGGCGTCCTTAATAATCTAATGCAGGCCACTTGTGTCTGTTGTAAAGTGGGGATAATTCTAGTAGCTATTCAAATGGCATGAAATGAAATACGTCCCCACATTCATTCTTCCAAGACACTGCGTGACGGGAGGCAGGTACCGCTGCCCTCTTTCCTTACACCCTCTCCTGGCTGGGCCCACTCAGCAGCCCCTCCACCAGGTAGTCCTCGCCAGTGCAGTCACAGACCCACCCTCCAGCTCCTAAAGTCAAACGCTCTCAGACTCAAGTCCTTCAAACCACAGGCTCATCCATTTGTTCAGAAAAATGGATTGCTGGGTGGGAGGCGCCGCTGTAAATGCCGTGTAAATGCCGTGGAGTGTGGGCAGGAAGGCAGTGTTTGCACTCATGGAGCTTACAGTCCATAGGGAGAGACAAGAGATGCATAAGTGTCCAGTAAAATGTGGGCAGGGATGAGTGACATGAAGAAAATAGAGCACACTGAAGGAACAAGGCGAGGGTGCAAGAGGTACTCACAGAGGGGGGGGCGGTGTTAGCAGTGGACTTGAATCCCCCCAAGATCCATATGTTGAAGTCCTGACCCCCAGCACCTCAGAATGTGACTGTATTTGGACATCGGGCATTTAAAGAAGTAATCAAGGTAAAATGAGGTCGTCAGGTTGGGCCCTGACCCTATCAGACAGGTGTCCTTGTAAGGACAGGAGATGAGGACACAGACAAAGAAGGATGGCCCCATGAGGACACAAGGGGAAGATGTCATCTGCAAGCCCAGGAGAGGGGTCTCAGGAGGAACCAGCCCTGTGACGGCTTGATCTGGGACGCCAGCCTCCAGGACTGTGAGAGAACCGAGGTCTGTTGTTGAAGCCGACTCGTCTGTGGTGCCCTGTTATGGCATGAGAGGCACCCACGGGAAGGTCCTGGGGAAACACGTGACACTGACGGGGCTGAAGGGGCTGGGCTGCCTGGAGGAAAGTGCAAGGACCGTGTGCTGGCCCAGGGGTGAAAGGCAGGGCATGGTGGGGAGTTGCAGGGGCATTCAGGAGCCAGAGGTCATCTTGTGAGTCATGGTAAGGACTTCACAGTCACATTGAAGGTAAATAAAAACTTCTAGAACAATGAGCAGCAGTGGTCCACGATCTTATTCATGCATTTCAGAGACCACTCTGTGTAGATGAGGCCACACACATGTCAAAGAACGCACAGGGAGCTCACTGGGAGACCCCCGCAGAAGTGTAGGTGACGGATGACAGCGGCCTGGGTGGGGGGCTGAGGGCAGTGAAAACGGCCCGATTTAGGCTCTTCTCCCCTGAGGAGGCTCGGGACCTGCTGCTGCAGGATGTTCAGGAAAGACAGGAGCCAAAGCAAACTCCTGAGCGTGAGGCACTGGCAGCAGAAATACTGAGATAGCAGAGAGGCCAGTCTGAAGGGGAAAAGTGAGAGTTCAGCTTTGCCCATTTTACATCAAAGTGATGCTGCTGAACAGGAACTGGAATATCTGGGTTTGGGGTTCAGTGAAAAGTCAGAGGTCATGACCCATATTTGGGAGCCATCAACATAGAGATGGAATTGAAACCCATGATGTTACAGGTTGAATCATGACCCCTGTCAAAAAAATTCATCTGCTGATGTTCCAACCTCCAGTAGCCAGAGACGGGGTCTCTAAAGAGGTAATCAAGTTAAAATGAGGTCAAGAGGGTGGGCCCAGATCCAATGTGACTGGTGTCCTTATAAAATATAAAAGGAAATGGAGACAGACACACACAAAGGAGAGGCCATGTGCAGAGACAGGAGGAAGGCGCCATCCACACCCCAAGGAGAGAGGCCTCAGGAGGAGCCAGCCCTGACGACACCTTTATCTTGGACACCTGGCCTCCAAGACGACGGGAAGAGAAACACCTGTTGCGTTTCTTTCCAGCTGGATGGCTTGTGTTCTGTTTCCATGGCCCTGAGACAAACGAACACATGGGGAGACAGGTGCTCTGACTGGCAGGCAGTACTGATGGCGAGCGGGAGGCCTGGGGTCTCAGCCAGGGCCCTCCACCATGAGAGGGCGGGACAAGGAGGTGGAGTGAGCCAAAAAGAGTGGAGGGAGCTGCTGGGAGGGGAGGAAAGGCAACAGGCTGAGATGTCCTGGAGCCAGGAGGGTGCGGGAGGGAGCAGGGCAGGCTCCAGTGCCAGGCACTGCCAAGACCTGGCCAGGCAAGCGCCCAGAGTGACACGGTGCTGACCCAACCCAAGTGCTGGTGCGGCCGCAACAGCTAATTCAGGGCCATGGTGGGGGAAAGGAGAGGGGAGCTGAGGTGGCAGCAGAGGGGAAGGCCACTCTTGGGAGGAGCTTTAGCCTTAAGGGAAAAAAGAGAGAGAAAGGCACTACTAGAAAAGGGGAAAGTCCAGCAAGTCATCTTTGAGTGGGCAGTGAGAGCAGGCTTGTGTGCTGAGGAAGGTTCTGGAAGGGAGAAGTGGCCATTGTGGGAGAGGAGATGATGGTGGGCATGGAGTCCCGGAGGAGGGAGCAGCCAGCGAGAAAGGACCAGCCTTCCAGGGTCCAGGGACAGCCCCCACCTTGCCACAGGGGGATGGCAAGGCCGGCTGGTGGGGAGGGAGCAGGAGGGACCCTCATCCTCTGAAGCTGCACCACCCCCCGCCCACCTTCAGGATCCACCACTTCCCCACACACAGTGCTGCACCCCTCCCTCCCTGCCGCCTCCAACTCCAGATTCGTTTCTGAGCGGGTCCTGGATGCAGCCTGCCAGGAGCATCGGTGGGCAGAGATTTCCAGGCCTGCAGTACTGCAGGAACGGTGACCCATGCATGATTAAGTCAGAAACACACATCTGTTTCAGACATTTATTTCCATTTAAATGACACTTTGAAAGATCGAGGAGCCAATCTGTACCGCAAAGACAACTTATCATCAAAGACTCTAGAAGTACAATCGTATCAATTCACAAGACTTGATTTCTTCAACTTAAATGATAGCTTTTAGTTAAAATATACCTGAGAGAAGAACTCCAAAGGATGCCTGCCTCATAATCTGCCCTGGACTTGTCATTCCCGACAGGACACCTCAATGGACACTGCCCCACCCCATTAAGACTCTGAAGCGTAGGGTCCCATTGCTTTGCTTCCGAAATCCAAGGGGAACAAGAAGTACCCATCTCTTACAAAAATAAGCATGTCAACATTGTTCAGTACATTTTTCTACACATATAAAATCAAAATAAATTGTAAAAATATTTTTCCAGGTACAAAATAAATATAGAAAACATCAATGTAAAAACAAAAGGATTGTCCGATTCAGACCATTACCTTGCCAATTTTTCGGGAAGAGTGAATTATCACATCAATCGACAACCTAAAACTCACCTAGTTAAGTGCATTATTTTCATAATTTAATTTTCATTAAAAATAAATATGATTATTAACCAATAATAAGGACATATACCCATTTCCAAAATACAATGACATAAGAGTCTAGCAGATCCCCCTAATATACAAGGAAATGACAGTTTCAAATAGCATTCAGTGACATGTAAATTTAATTTCGTGTCTTTTAGGAAAAGCAAAATTTGACTGCGAAGTCTCCTCTGGTTGCATTAAGTAATTTCCAGTCATGGTAGATTTTAGTGATGTCTTATTTGACCAGGTAAAACAAGTCATCTATTTCCCATCTGATACTCTCTGGAGCCGAATTGAACCAAGTATCACTATGTCTTTGGCTTACCTCTTCGGGGACCCAGGGACTGGACCCCTGAGCCAACAGACCTCACGCTGGCTTCGCTGGCAGGAGGGTCTGCGCCTGGCTGTGTCCACGCCACACTGGCCAACTTAACTCTGCGCTTCTTTGACCAGTGAATGGAGGTAGAATAGATGATGTAAAGCAGTATGACACAAAATGTTGCATTTGGCTATGGAGTTCGTTTTTCTGCTCATATTTAAAAGTGATTGTGTCTGATAAGTAGGAAGATCATTTTTTAAATTAATTAAAAACTAATTTTTTGTTTGTCAGTCTTCCGATTGGCAGGTGCCAGGATGCACTCCAACTTCCTCCTGTTGGCGTGGCTCTTGCCCTGTGCAGAGGGTGGACAGGTTCCCTTCAGCTTCAAGGCCAATCTGAGAGCAAGAGGTCCGTTCCTAGCACTCAGATTTCAACAGCAGGAAAACAGACAGAAATTCATGCCTCTACATTCCCAGGGGCCACACACTGCAAATCCTTCTCTCTACATTCCCAACAGAGAATGTAAGCACCTTTCATATCCCAGAGACATAGTTAAGAGTTTACTTCAAATACACCTCAGCCCATGATAAAGTTCCTAGTGTTCACATACAGATTTTGGGGTCACGTAGAACGAAACAGAAATAAAAACAAGTCCCAACAATAATGAATAAAAGAGGCTTCAGGAACTGATGTTTGAAGGAACCTTACAGCTCACTCCCAGGCCACCATTCTTTCTTGTGATGGGAGTTGCCTTGTGGGTGCCTGAATACCACCTTTGAGAGATCCCCTGAGAACCCAATAGATAATTATCAAGTATCTACTCTCCAGCAGGCACCATGCCAGAGACCCAAACAGAGAGAGGAATCAGGCTGGAAGAACTTTAAAATCTGCCAGGAGCGACACAGCCATGGAAATTGCTATAATGTCCATTCTGATATAACAAACGCTGAAAATTAATTAATTAAAAAAATGTTATGAGAAAGCAAATAATTCCTGCTACAGTTTGAATGTGTCCCCCAAAGTGCATGTGTAAGGAAACTTAATCCCCAGTGCAACAGCGTTGAGAGGTGGGACCTTTTAAGAGGTGACTGGGTCAGGAGGGTTCTGCTGTCATGAATGAATTAATGTTATTATAAGAGGAGGGTCAGTTATTGCCAAGAGTGATTTTATCAAAGCAAGTTTTGCTCTTTTGCCCACAATGACACAGCATGAAGGCCCTCACCAGAGGCCAGTGCCAAGCTCTTGGACTTCCTAGCCTCTAGAACCATGAGCCAGATTAATTTCTATTGTCTATAAATCGCCCAGTCTGTGGTATTCTGTTACAGCAACACAAAACAAACTAAGACACTTCCAAATGGAGGACATGGAGAAAATGTAAACATTGCCTCATCTGTTTTTAAAATGAGGGTGCATGGCAGCTGTTAGATTAAATAATTAACAAGCCTGATTTAATATATCACAGAGCCATAGACTCTTGGCACGGAGGGCCCATGAGAGTCACCAAAGCCTGTTTTTTTTTTTCTTTTGGAACTGTTTATCAAGGATTCTAAATAGTATTGCCTCCTCAGTTCTTGCCTGTAAAAAAAACACGTAGATACTCAATAGGCTGGTTGATCTGTTTCACTTTATTTCACTCTTTCTAAATGTTCTGCCTGAAAGTTGGTGTCACATCCTTCAGAGATGTCTGGAACTGTGGACCACGCCTGCAGCTGGCTTCCACCTTACTGAACATGGGTGTGTGGCACATAGCTGTCATATAACAAATGTGTGACTGATTGTGCAAAGGTGAAAACGAGTGAGGCCCTCAACTCCACCCTGCCACCCCAACAGCTGAGGAGGGCAGTGGGGGTGCCTGCTGTTTTACATCCCAGGTAATTAAACCGCCCCTTGCTCTTCCACTGCCCTTCATGGACACGGGTGGGGCAGTTAACATTGTTCAGAACCAGCTTCCACTGAGCATGGTATCTCTAATTAGAGCCTCAGATCTGTCTGTCTGTCTCTCTCTCTCTCATAGATACACACACACACACACACACACACAGTCTGAGTGTGGCGCCCCCGGGCTTGTTTTGCAAGGGCATTAGATAGGGAGACAGGGAAAGTGGGCTGGACTGAAGAGTTTATTTTCTGAAGCCAGACATTTGTTTGGGCTGCCATTGGACACTTGAGTAACCTCAAGAGAGGGCTGGCCAGGGCAGGACAGGTCAGGGGATCCAGCTAAACGGGAGGTCCTTGGGAATGACACAGATAACTAAGTGCCGAATCCCAGGAGGTCAAACAGGCCCAGGAAGGGGCAGACTGAAACTCATATCAACACTTGGAAAAAAAAAAGTGACAGAAGACAGGAAAAGGGGTCAGGTGGCACACTCCTTGGGCAGGGCTGGTCCCAAGCTTCCTATGAAAGCAGATACATCGGAGGACTCACCACTGTGCCAAGTGGAGAAAAGCAAGGCTGCTCGCGGGAGGCAGCATTTGGAGGCCGAGGGCCTGTGTCTCCACCACGTCTGAGCCCCCGGGGAAGTCACTGAGTCACCTGCCCCTCAGTTTCCTCCTCTTAAATCCAGGGGCATAATTATAAGAATGGTGCCCTCCAGAGGCTGCTGTGGGGTTTCAGTGAAACAGCAGGTATGGATGGACATGGCTTACGATGCCCACAGAGAAGGCACTGGAACGCTTCTTTATTCAGCTGTCAAGGGATCAGGTGCCCCTGATAATCTTCTCAGCATTGTGTATTTACCCAGTGAAAGCTCTGTATGCAAAACCCACGGCCTCGAACCTCAGCTTGACCCTCATTCAGGATGCCCGGTCAAAGCACTGAGCACTCAACAGATGAATAAATAAACGAATGAATGTCTGACATGGGATTTCTGATGCCAGCTTTTAATCCTGGATGTGCCACTCGCTGAAGGACCTGGCAAAGTCACTCCATTTTTCTGAGCTTTGGCTTTCCTAACTGTAAAAGGTTTTATCTTAAAAAAAAAAATACTGTAGATAATTTCTAAGGCATCTTCCAGCTCCAACTTCTTTTACCTCATTCAGATTTTCACATATTCTGAATTAAGAGGGTCAAGAACACAGTGCTCTGATTGTGAAGAATGTCACGAACAGAAGAACTTCTCCAAGAGTTCCAGGAAAGATTCAAATGAAGAAAAAGAACAAGAGCTGAAACAAAGCCCTACAGACTCAATCTGAAGAGTTTTTGATTTGCACAGAGATCACCAGACACTGACAGGTACACTGATAGATAGTGCTGTATACACCACCATAGAATCCACCAAAATTCACAGCCCAAACACTGACTATAATCATAAGCACCTGCATTTACTGAGCACCTACCATGGGATGTTGAGCAGTTTATACTCATCCTCTCATTTAACCCACATGATCATCCCATGAGGCGGGAACTACTATGGTCCCATTCTTCAGATAACAAAACGGAGACAATGAGAAGATAAGTAACTTGCCACTCAAGGGACTTGGCGAGGAAGGTAAAATTCAAACCCAGGCAGCCTGACTCCAGAGCGCAGACCCTGCCCCAGCGAACAGAGCCCGGGGGTGAAGGGTATGCCCAAGGTCACACTGGAGGGCTGAGGCCGAGTTCTAAATGTACCACAGCTGGGTGCCATGCAAGCTTGTCCCTCCCGCATGCATATCTCACTCGCATTGATTCAGAGCAGGAGGGGGAAAAAATGCCTAACACTGAGCACGTGTGAGGATGATGTCATGGGAGGAGGAGGCTACAACTTCCATTGAGACAACCATTTCACACCTGGGCACTCCACACCACGCCATCTTAACAAGACCTCCTTCTTCATATCGTTACTCTGCAAATCACACACAGACCTTGCCCCCCAAATCAGGGATATTTGGAATATATATCCTGAGTTTGCAGAGGCTAGCTTAGAGCCTGGGTCTGCAATGGTGGTCTTGGAGTCTCAGGTCACAGAGGCTGGCCTGGTACCAAGATCTACTAGGATAAGCCTAGATCCTGGGTCTACTTGAGCAAGTTGTAACCTGGGTCCTCTGCAGCCTGGGGCCATGGAGACCTCTCTGGTACTTGGGGTCAGCCCGGTGCTGGGGATAACATGGAGCCTTGGTCTCTGGATCTATTTACCCCAAATCAGGAAATAACCAAGCAAACCCATTGCTGCTAAGCAACCACTGCAGGCCATTAGATACAACATCGCGATAGCAGCCCATGCATTCAGCCTGCACCCAGTGCTAGGCACAGCCGTGCCAAGAACTCAATGTGAATTATCTTAATTTCCACACCTCTGACAACCTTCTGAGGTGAACACTATTATCATCCCATTTTATAGAGATGCAGAGACTGAGGTGCAGAGAGAATGACCACCTGGGGCCACAGCTAGCAAATTGCAGAGCCAGGGCTGGAACCCGGAGGCGGAGGCTTGAGCGGAGATGTAAATGGAATGGGGCCTCCGTAAGTGGGTCGCCCAGCCCTGGAAGCAAGGTCTCCTCTTCCCCAGTTAGTATCCTCCCATGGGCCCTTTTCCCCAGCTTCCCCACCAGGTAGACAGTAACCTGGTGTCCCAGTTACCTCCTTACCGGGTGGGTCTCTATTTTCCATGGCTCCTGCCACCATGGAAGCTGGAGGCTCTGCAAGGCTGTACGTCAGTACAGTTTCTACAGGTGCACAGGGCTAGCTGTGCCCTAAAGAGCGGACGGAATCCACATTCTGCACTTCTAGCTGCACAACCTTGGGGTGTGCACACACACACACAATGCTTCCTTGTTCTTACCATTCCCAGAGGCCATGCTCATATTTGTTAGCTGAAATTTAAAGCTTAGGAAGGAATTTTAATAAATTACTTATGAAACCAAAGTAAACATCGGGATAATTTTTTGCACAAAAATAACCACACTCAAGGGGATCAAAAACTCGCATGAAAATTAATTATTTGGCTTTCCAAGTCCATTTCAGCCCTCTGTGCCAGCCTGTTGGGATAACCGGTGCAGCACCCGGTGCCCGGCGGGAGTTGGAAATCACCAGTCTGACCTCTCACGGACGGCGTGGCCAAAGTTAACTTAGCAAATTGAGGGCACTGCGAAGCTCGTTAAATAGGCAATGACACATGAAACAATGAAAATTGCTGCTCTTGACCACGCTCACCCTCCTGCAGCCTCCAGGGAGGTGGCCTCGGGGCTCACTGACCCTGTGCCAGGAAGCTCTACCCTCAGGACAGGGTGCCAGAGGGCAAGTCACTGGCTTCCCTGGGCCTCTGAGTTTCCTAATCAGATTTGCTGTTTTAAAAAATTACTCCAAATGTCAAGTGGAGGACAGATTGGAAAGTGGCAGGGACAGGCCCGTGGGACCAGTTAGGAGGAGGTGGCTCGAGTCGGGATGAATCCAGACAGGTGTGGGCGGCAAGCCAGAGGTTAGCACAGCGGGCGTGGGATATGGGGCTCAAGGAAAGAAGGCCTGGCAAGTTATTGTTGACTTGGATTTTTCTTTCCTCTCTTTTCACACAGTGTATTATGTGGTTACAATGGTGTGTTTGAAGAGGAGCAGGAATTAAATACATTTAGGGTTTTGTTTTGTTTTTTAAGGCATGGTGGATGCCAGCAGGCTGAAGGGTCAGGAGGTCTGGTCTTCCCACTGCCACTAAGTGCTGAGCTGAAGCACAAATTCTTGAAACATGGCTGGGTGTGGTGGCTCACACCTATAATCCCAGCACTCTGGGAGGCTGAGGCACGTAGATTACCTGAGGTCAGGAGCTCAAGACCAGCCTGGCCAACATGGTGAAACCCCGTCTCTACTAACAATACAAAAATTAGCTGGTTGGTGGTGCATGCCTATAATCCTAGCTACTCGGGAGGCTGAGGCACAAGAACCCAGGAGGTGGAGGTTGCAGTGATCCAAGACTGCACCACTGCACTTCAGCCTAGGTGACAGAGTGAGACTCTGTCTCAAAAACAAACAAACAAAAACAAGAGTTTGCATGACAGTGTAGATGAGACAGGACTGGCCAGGTGTCGGGCTGGAGGACAGGCGCACAGACTGCACCGTGTGATTCTGTCCACCCTGCATTGTGTGAGGTTTTCCGTTTTGGAAGAAAAGGGGTGAAGAGCATGGCTGTGGAGCATTTCTAGGTTTTCAGGTCACAGAGTCGCACCCATTTCCTACTTACTGACTCAAGTGAAACCACAGTGTTGGCTTACTTTGAAAAATATTTCTTTTTTTTCAGTCCTGGTTCACCCATTCCCTTCTAAAACCCACCTACCATACCAATACATTCAGTTCCACTCAACAAATGTTTATTGAGCATCTACTATGTGCTGGGACCATGCTAAGAATCCAAGGTGCGTCAGTGAAGGAAACAGAGAAAGACCCACGGCCCACACAAAGGTTACATTCAAGTTGCGTGAAACATAAACCATAAAATATAGATATGTTATAATAAACAGATATTACATGCTTTGTTAGAAATTGGTAAGTGCAAGGAAAACAATATAAGGTACGGGGCATGGGAGTGAGGTGAGTTGCATTTTCCTACAGGGAGGTCAGGGTAGGCCTCACTGAGAAGGTGACATTGACCAAATGTCAACAAGGCAAAGAAGCGAAGCATGAGAGCATCTGAAGAAAGGGCACTCCCAGCAGAGAGGACAGCCAGTGCCAAGGCTGACGGGGATGGGCACATAGGGCAAAGGGGCTGCTGTGGCTGGAACAGACTGCTGTTCAGGGAACAGCAAGAGGCCAGAGGGAGTGAGCAAAGGGACACGATTAGGGAATCACAGGTAGACAATGGTATGAAGGATGTGGTTTTTATCCTTAATATCCTTGGTGATGGGAAACCTCAGGAGGGTTTTGAGCAGAGAAATGAGATTTTCAAAGGATCACTCTGGATGCTGCTGGGAAGAGACCAAAGGATGCAATAATGGAAGCTGAGGGAGGGTCTGGAGGTAGCTGCACGAATGCAGGTGAGAGGCAATGCAGGCTTGAACAAGGGTGGTCGCAGTGGAGGGGCAGGAGGTGGTTGGCTCCTGGAGAGAATTTGAAGGTAGTTCCCACAGTCTTTCCTGATGCACCAGATGGGAGAGGAGTCGGAATGGCTCCAGGGCTTCCCACTTGAGCTGCAGGAAGATGGAGTGGCCATTACCTGAGACGGGAATGGCTGCAGATGGGCTGGATGTGGGGCAGTTAACCAGAAGGTCAGTGTTGGATTGTTCACTATGGGAAATCAGGTAGGCAGTGGATTGAAGAGCAAGAAAGAGTTCTAGGCTGGAGATAAATGGAAACATCATCAACATATTTAAAGCCATGAGACAAGGTGGGCCCCTCGGAGGACTGGGTATAACCAGGGAAGAAAGGGGGCCCCACGCAGAGCCCAGGATCCTCCAGCACGACACTGTCAGAGCAAAGAGAAGGAGCAAGCAGGGGAGATGGAAAAGGCGAGCAGCAAGGAGGAGGGAGACCAAGAGCACCCGGTGTCCTGGAAGCTGGTGATGAGGACTCGCCACGTCAAGCAGGAGGAGAACAAGAACTGCCCACAGGACCCAGCCACAGGGGGTGGTGGGTGCCCTGAGAAGGGCCATGTGGGTGGAGTGGGGGTGCAGAAGTCTGATGAGACGGCATTTGGGAAAGAAGGGAAGGATTAGGACGAGGCAACAGACAAGTAAAACTCTCGTGCGGGGTTCCACCAGAAACGCAACAGGATGGGGCAGCGGGACGGGGAAGGGGGTCAGGGAAGGGGTCGGGGAAGGTGGTGGCCATTTCTGGTCAGGTGGAAAATGGCAGCGTGTCTGTGTGCTAATGGGGTGATCCAGCAGAGGGGACAGCAGGTGGTAGGACGAGAGTGAGGCCACATCAGGAGCTGTGGAAGAAGAGCTGGAGTCAGTCCAATACCAGGGGTTCTGGCACCACGGGGGCCAAGTGGCTTCTGCCACAGTCACAGTAGAAGGCAGAGTACGGAGGTTTGGGGGCTGGGTGTAGGCGTGTATGGTTGGGGGAGTCTGAGGAGGCACCCCAGAGAGGCAGTGGGAGCAGCCAATGCAATGTGCTCCCACAGCTCCGTCAGCAGGTGGCTGGGGAGGCCACAGGGCAGCTTAGGGTCACCCCGTTTCCACCACTTTTCACCTATGTAACCTTGAATGAGTTGTTCACCCTCTCTCTCTCTGCCTCAGTTTCCTAATCTGTAAACCTGAGCAACTGCAGGTCTCTGCCCCCGGAAAACTCATTGAGAGCATGTAGATGAGGCAATACCTACACAGCCCCTAGCTCAGCACCTGCCCATCGGAATCCTTCCTCTCTGGGTGCCTGCGGTGAAGCCCCGGCCCGGCCAACCTGGACCTCTCCATTCCCACTCTGGAGCTAGCGCTGGGTGTTCCTGGGGAAGCACTGCTTGGCCTCCTCACTCATGCTTTCACATTGTTTCTCACTCTCACATCCAGACAAGACAGCACCAGGAAACCCACGCTGAGCTGGAACCCTCCTTCTGCAACAAACAAGCTGGGAAGGTCCTGGGCAAGTTGTTACGTCTCTCTGAGCCTCGTTTGCATCCCACATAAAAGAGGAGGCAGGATTGAATGAGCTCTAAGGTTCCTTCAAGTTCTAGATTCATGAAATAATGTTTTTTCCTCAAGAAAAAGAATTATTCATTGTATAAAGAAATACACACCTGTAATCCCAACTACCCACTGGCTGAGGCAGGAGGCTCGTTTGAGGCTCGTTGAGTTCAAGGCTGCAGCGAGATCAGGCCACTACGCTCCAGCTTGGGTGACAGGGTGAGACCCTGTCAGAAAAAAAGAAAAGAAAAGAAGAGGGAAGGGGATGGGAGGGGAGGGGAGGGGAGGGGAAACAATGGGTCTCAAAGAAAATCCTTTAAGAACACACAGAAGCAGTAGGGAGAGCCCACGCCTGTCCTCATTTGTCCCTGGAGCTGTGGGCTGTGAGCTGATGCTGTGAAGGCCAGACCCAAAGCCAGTCACACAGAGGCAGCAGCTGGACCGGCCTCGCCGACTGAGACCAGTGGCCACACAGACACACACCTGACAAGGTAGACCACGAAACACAGACGCAGGCCTACTGCCAAACAGACGACTTCTCCCTCAAAGCACAGTCATCTTCAGAATGAGAGGCGGCCCATCCTATGGAACCGAGAGGCGTGGCTCTTAAATTTGGGCTTCAAAAGACAAGCTCAGTCCCTGATTTTTTCCACCTGAGAAGGAGGCTTTTCTGAACATGACCCAGTGCGTTCAGAGCAGCCAGGATGAGGAAACACATCTACAAAGAAGCAGCTTAATCCAAACACAAGAAATGGTATGCAAAATAGGATATCAGACGTACTTTTGCAATTGAACATGGTCAAAACCATTTTGCAGCAAGTAACTTTTCCTGAGTTCAAGTAAGAGTTTAGTCCAACATTTATATGTGACACAGCCATGTGAGGCCTCTTCTCTGAGTACAAAGTAAAGTCTGGTAAAGTAAAAAATTAAAAGAAAAATCATTTCTATAATTAGGAGCAAGATTACTTTGCATGTCACGTGACCATGGCTGAATGGGCAAAACTAACGAAGTACCTTGGTTTTATACAACCCTGCAACACAGGCTCGCACAAACCTCTGGGTAGGAGGCAGCGGAGCAAACTGAAGGCTAAACAGCAAACCACAAAGTTCAGTTGTTCCTCGGCCAAATGAGACATTCAATGAAGATGAGCTTGGCTCAGGCTTGGGAAGTGGACGCAGGACCACCCTGCTTCACCAGGGCCCACTTTAGGGCTCTGAGCCCGAGGGGTCCTTGAGAGCATCCTGACTTGACTCCAACTGAATTCCCAGAAAGCTCCCAGAATCCCACATGAACCCCATCTGAGTTCAACTGTCCTTCAGTTTGAACTGAGAGCCCTAAAGTGCTCCTGGGGCAGTGGCTGGTCCCCATTGATCAAAAACAAGGGACAGTTGGGGTGATGAAATGAGAGAGCAGCAGATGGCTCAGAAGGGATGTCCTGCTCGCTAGGCAGGTCAGCAGTGTGGGCAGTCTGTACAGCAGGTCAGAATGCAGTGGTTTCTGAGCCTAATTTATACATTTATAAGAACTCTGTCCAGAGCTGGGTGTTCCTCAGCATGTGAGCTGCATCCACTGCGGGGACATTTCCTCGGATGAAACTTGGGTTGTGTTGAGTACCGAGCCGATAACATGGACTCAATCCCAGCTACATCCAGCCCTGTGAATGAAGGAGCTGGGGTGAATTTGGTCATCCCAGGCTTAGCTCCAAAAAGCACAAGGACTGGGAGCTGAGGTGGAGGGGACTCGACAGGGATGGAAGGATGCCGGCTCCGAGACCTCATCATCAGTGTCCCCTCCTAAGGGAGGCAGCACGTGGGAGTGGTTCAAGTCAGGGGCTGCCCACCAGATTCTGACAGTGCTCGATTTTCATTCCCGCTCCTATGCCTACTGGCTGTGAGCCTTGGGACAAGTTTCTGTACCTCTCGCAGCTGCTGTGTCCTTGCCTGTAAAATTAGGATGGTAACACCCATCATGTCATAGGATACTGACCCCTGAAATGCAAAAATCCAGGTGTATGTCAAACACTTAGTATGAAGAGTGTGCGTGCCCAAGAGACGGGCCTATTATTGCCTGGGGCACCAAGTGGGAACTAATCAGTGACTTCATGAACACCGACATTCTGGCGTGGATTTCAGCACTGAAGAACAGCATCCTCTGTCCCGCCCCCTCTTCCAAAATCTAGCAAAAACTATCCCCACGGGTTATCTGAAACTTGTCCGGATGTGCCTCTGGGCTCCCCTCAGACAGGCGGACAATCTTCCCCCCGGGAATTCTCTAGAGCCTGCCAGTAGTCCAAGAGAGTCCGAGGCTTGATGAAGTGGCAGGCCACGATCCTCCTGAAGAGGCATACGGAGAAGCGTAAGCCCCCTGGAAAAAAGGTCGGCTGGGAGTGGAGCTCCTCCAATCTGATGTTCAGCCTTTCGAGGCAGAGCCCCACAAACACGTCTTCCAGTTTAATGTATGGGACGCTCTTGGAGACATTGTACACCTGACTCGCCACGTCGCCAGAAAACACGTAGCCGGTGCCGGAGCAGAATGGTGGGTACCTGTCCCACGGATATTCAGATTTACTGACAAACCACTTGCTGAATGGCTGCCTGATGGGAAACTCATTGAGTTTCAAGAAGCCAGTGAAAAACCTGGTTGTTCTGTTTTTCTTCAGAAGCAGTTCAGTCAGATAGTCAACATTGATGAACATGTCTGAGTCTGTTTTCATCACAAACGCCGCCTGAGGACAAAAGCGATGGACCCATTCTATGCCCATCATGGTCTTCAGGGTCAGATTGTAATAGACGTCTAGGAAATCCTTCTGGATAATGTCCCCGTGTCGCTGGCTCTCCTGGTCCACCTCTTTCGTTTCCGCTGCACTGCTGGTGGTCCCCAGGAGGAAGAATGTCTTCAGCTGCTTTCCCTTCACCATCCTCTCTTTCCCCCACGTCTGCCGGATGGCCATGCGCTCAGCCAACTGTTTGTGGGATGAGGTCACCAGCAGGACGAGGAAGGGAGGTGTCTGCCTGCAGTCTGTATCTGGGAGCTTAAGGAAGTTCCCGTCTTTCTTGTAAACAAAGGACTGTTCTTTGAAAGGATTTAGACTGTACATGCTAAAATACAAACAAAGAGCCCCCAGAACCAGAAGGCAAATATACATCAATCTCATCTTCGGGAAAGCCATCTGAAAGGAACAAAATCCAATGATTAGACCTCAAAAGCATGAGGATGTGTCTAGTTTTATGCTAGGAGGCTGAGGTGGGAGAGGAGACCCGTGTTTTGGAAACTCTAGAACCTCGCTGCATACAGAAGTCGGGTGCTGTGTGGTTAAACAGTTAAGCACAAAGGTCTAACATCTGCCAGCATCTGTCACTTCATGGTGTAAGATAAAAAGCTCAGAGATTCTGGGCATTGGTCCAGGCTCTGCAGCCCTTAACCTACGGGAGTCTCCAATTGCCTGTCTGTAGGGATATGGCACCAGGTCCCTCACTCGGTCCTCCAGCTCTGCCCTTCTATGACTCCATGATGAAGCGCAGCAAAACAAGCTGCAGGTCTGGAAACCACGCATTGTAGATCTAAATGTATGGACCACTTGCATTCTTCTCTGATCTAATTAAGCAGCATTCCTGCTCCCAGAAAAAAGCAAGTCCAGTGTTCTGATGTGCACAAGTACCTTCAAATTCTGTCTCTGCCAGAATTATTTTTTTTTAAGTTACTTTTTACAGTCTCTGATCTGATTCTTTCCTGTTCTGCCCACCCGTCTCTGCTATCCTCGGCAAGTTCAGGATCATCCATGGTAACGTTATAACATTAAGAAAGCGTATAACTCACTTTTTGCTGGGTAAGAGGAACCTCTGGTTTGAAAGCTAAAGCCACAGTGTAAATGCCAAGAGGAAATTTGTCTCAAAGAACTGTCAGTGTAGAATGCTCCATAATTATCAGGTTCTGGGCTTGGTTTGTTTACCAAAAATGGTGATTCTGACAGGAATCACTAGGAAAAAAAAAAAAAGAGTGTCATTCAAATCACTCGTGCCTTACCAGCAGGCCTTCACAATTTACCGTGTCTGTAGCGTCACCTTCCAACCTACTTATGTGACTCTGAGCACGCATTTGAGCCCCAATCCCAGCCTCACTTTTCTCATCTGTAAAATGGGTATGATCAAGGCAAACAAAGTCCACAACAGTAACAATATGCCAATCCCCCAGAATCCTTCAAGCCTAATAAGTTAGGATAGCACCTAGCAGCTTTTTAAAGAGACATGATAAACTCATAAATTAGAGTCTCACTTCTCATCCTGATAATTTACCTTATTTACATAACAGAGTCTGTAGTTAATGCTGAGAGAATTTAACACAGAGAATAAATCCAATTCTTAACACAATAGCGGCACTTTAAAAATGTTACCCTGGGTGAGAGGACAGAGAGGACAGCAAGAAATGAAACTGAAAGAGTGAAAAGCAGAGTTGGTTTGGGCTTTTTAATTTTAATATTTCAGAGACCTGATGTCACTCTGTCTCCCAGGCTGGAGCACAGTAGCACAATCATAGCTCACTACAGCCCTGAACTCCTGGGCTCAAGCGATCCTCCTGTGACTTGGGTCACAGCTTCCCAAGTAGCTGTGACCACAGGCGCATGCCACCATACTCTTCTAACTTTGTATTTTTTGTAGAGATGGGGTTTCACTATGTTGCCCAGGCTAGTCTCAAACTCCTGGGCTCACGCAGTCCCCTGCCTTGGCCTCCCAAAACACTGGAATTACAAGGGCAAGCCACTGTGCCCAGCCAAGAGCTGGTTATTTTGATGGCCAAAAGAGCACCTGAAAATTTCATTGTCAAAATTCTGTTCTACATATATTCGCCAAAAGCAATAGGAATATAATAATGGAGCTTTCTAGAACCAGCTCGCTCTCCAGGGACTTCTTTCCTGGAGGCAAACTTAGCCAACTACCTGCTCTGCTTGGCACCCCTGGGGAGTTCCTGCCCAGCTCCTGCCCCCAGCAACTTCAGAGAAATCACAGCAGAAGGCAAGCAGGAGACCAGAACTTGTCTGAACTGGTGCTCCAGGATGCTGCAAAGTTTCTTTCTTTCTTTTCTTTCTTTCCTTCCTTCTCTCCTTCCTTCCTTTACTTTTCTTTCTCTTTCTCTCCTTCTTTCTCTCTTTCATTATTTATTTGCATGGCTAAGATATGCAGCTGATTAGGGGGGTTGGGGGACTGCTTTCTCCCCCACAATACATTTTA
The DNA here is from genome assembly GCF_000001405.40 of Homo sapiens. Lineage (NCBI taxonomy): Eukaryota > Metazoa > Chordata > Mammalia > Primates > Hominidae > Homo > Homo sapiens. Next base: position 39,658,503 of record NC_000021.9, on the reverse strand, counting down.
GAGAGAAACATAAAAACCAAGTGCAAGGGAAAGAAGATATTTTTCTACTTTGTTTCCTTGCTTGAATAATTCTGCTCCTTTTCTATGGGTTGCTTTAACAGTAAACCTTAAATTCTCATTCTCTCTGATGTGCCTCTCCTCAGGACCCTTCACAGGGCTCTAAATTCCCAGGGATGGGCGCTCACCTCATGCAGTGCATTGGCCAAACTGTTTCCCAGGAGGCAGAGCAGGTGCCAAACCCAACTGGCAGAGCAGGTGCCAAACCCAAATGACCCGGGGTCATTTGTTTTCATGGGCAGTTGAACATTTTTCCTGCCTAAAGTGGAGTTACCACCAGAAGTCACAGCTCAGAATCCTCATATATGAGACATCTGCATCTTTGGCTGAGTCTGTATTGGGCCTAAAGAGGACCTGGGGGCCAGCCTTCCACTGAAGGAGGAGGTAGGGGCACCTGCAGCACCAGCAGACAGAGCCTGGAAAGGGCAGCCTGTGTCCCCAGATCCTAGCCACCCCAGGCCAGCTGCAAAGCAGAAGCCCTCAGCACAAGCTAGCTCTGCCTTACCTGGGACAGAGCCATGAACAGGCACTATCTGTGCTACAGAAGCCCTACCTCCAAACACATCTAGACCACCAGGCTGTATGGCCTGACCAGCCAGTCAATAACGGAATGGCAGTTTCTCCAGCAGATTCTGCACTCCAGGTGTATTAGTCAGGGTTCTCTAGAGAGATCGAATCAACAGGTTATGGATAGATAGAAAGATTGATAGGTAGATTAATCAAAAGATAGATAGGCAGGTAGGTAGGTAAGTCGGTAGGTAGACAGATAGATAGATAGACAGACAGATAGATGAGAAGAAATTTCTTAGAAGAATTGGCTAGCGTGATTACGGAGGTTGGGAAATACCGTGACAGGCCATGCAAGCTGGAGACGCTGGGATGCCAGGAGTGTGGCTCAGTCCAAGACCAAGAGCCTCAGAACCAGATATGCCAATGGTGTAACTATCAGTCCAAGGCCAAAGGCCTGAGAACCCAGAAACCTGCTTGGTATAAATCCTCGGGTCCAAAGGCCAGAGAGCCTGCAGCTCTGATGTCCAAGGGCAGGAGAAGAAGAATATCCCAGCTCCAGCAGAGAAAGAGGAATTCACATTTCTTCTGCCTTCTTGTTCTATCTGGGCCCAGTCAATGGATGGTGCCTGCCCACATGGAGGGCAGCTCCTCCCCACTCAGCCCACTGACTCACAGCCAATCTCCTCTGGAAACACCTTCACAAACACACCCAGAAATAATGCTTTACCAGTTCTCTAGGTATTTATTAATCCAGCCAAGTTGACACCTAAAAGTAACCATCACACCAGGCTTTGCTCTGTAACTCATGAGCAATATAGATGCCAGGAGAGAACCTTGGAACTGAAGGAGATAAATACAGTGCAGAACGTGTAGACCTCCCTTCTCCTCTGCCTCTGCCTGCTGCAGGCTCCTCTGAGTGTATCCCATCTGCTGGCTCCCGCCCTCTGCCTAGGTCACTGCCCCCCTTCTGGCCATAGTGCCTGAAGGGCAAGGGGTATGTCTTACATCCCTCCTGAAACCCCAGAGAACTGTGCACAAGCTGGTTGCTGGGTACATTTTGAATTAAAGTGGAACAAGTAAGTAACACACAAAGCTAGAGCCGTCAGGATAGGGAAAGGCTCTCTAACGGGAAATCTGGGCATCAGCATCCTACCCGCACAGGCACGTGCAGCGTCCTGGGACTCTCCCCAGGCCAGGTGAGGAGACCTTGCCTTAAGCCTGACCTGAGGCTACAGGGCACAGAGACAAAGGAATCAGAAGTCCACCTCTCTAAGGACTGGAAAACTGAAGGGGGGGTCTGGAAAGTTAAGTTCAAGATGCACTTCCTGGACCTGAAAGGAGAGATCTGGAGTGAAGGGACAATGGCCAAGCCCCACTATGAGGCCAGAAAGAGTATGCAAGGACAAAGCACTCAGCTCAAGGGGTCTCCAGGGGCTGTGGCCCTCGGTGGAGAGGAAGCTGGTGAGCATTCTGAGCCCCGTGAAGGACGTGGCATCTGCACTGGTCCTTGAAGGGGAGGTGTGATGTAACAGGTGGAACCAGGGGATGGGAATTCCAGACCAAGGAAACCCGGGGAGGGTGTTGGCAGTCCTGAGTGCTAGAGTCTGCTTTCAGGACACTCGCTCCAGATCACTGTCTTGTATCCTTGGAGATTCTCACCACCGCATAGGCCTTGGGAGAACAGAACAGCATCACCAGGAACGCAGAAGGAACAACATCAACGTCCCTGCTGTCTGAACAACCCCACGGTTCTCAAATCCAGTGAGTGTCAGAATCACCCGGGAGGCTTGTTTAAAACCCAGGTTGAAAGGTTCCATCTCACAGAGATTCTGGCAGGTCTGGGGCCCAGGAATCTATATTTTAACATGCGGTCATTCTACTCTAGGCTGGCCTGGTAAAAAACGCCAGTGGAAACTGCCTGTACAGACCCGACCAGTAACAGGCACCACGTATAAACAAGGTCGAAGACCCCAGACCACTGTGCCCACCTTAACATTTCAGTGGATTCGTTGTACAGACTGAAAATATCCCTTCCCCTGGAGAAGGTGGAAAAGAGCATGACGGGGGTGGACGAGAACGATGCTTCTCCACTGGAAACTGGGATGGGGTAAACTCCCGTGTCACACATGGCCTGGAGCCTCCCCGCAGCTGACCCCAGACTGACGCCAGCCTGGCTGGGCCTTTGGAGGCCTGGGCTTTCTCAGAGGAAAGACATTTTAGGAGGCAAATTTTCCACGAGACTAGTGAAGCTAAGCTGCAGGACGACTCACCTCTGCTGTTTTCTTTTCCTTAAAGAGGAATGCCCCCCACCCCAATTGTATAAGCTTCAGACCCCATCAGACCTGGACCTACCCCTGGCCTCAAGCAGAGAGAATCTCCCAAGTGAGCTGAAGTGAGCAACCAGGGTGACCCTCTAAGTAATTAAGAAGTCACAGGGCGGAGGGAGATTCTCAGCAACTGTCCAGGCCCACACTGGGCTGGCAACCCCAAGTCCTCCCGGCACCCAGCTCCCTGCCCACTGGAGGTGGGCTGAGCATCAGTGTTAGAAGCAGAGAGGGTTTTGCAGCTCTTGCAGCACGATGGTGAATGTTATGTGCCAGCTTTTCTGGGTCACTCAGTTGACAGCCTGAACAGAACAAAATGCTGACCCTCTCGTGAGTAAAAGGAAAGTTCTCCTGCCTGACTGCCTGGAGCTGGGCCTTCAGTCTTTTCCTGCCTTCGGACTTGAACTGAAACATCAGCTCTTCCTGGGTCCAGAGCTTGCCAGCTTTTGGCTCTCCTGGTTCTCAGGCCTTCAAACACAGACTGGGGCCACACCATCGACTCTCATGGGTCTCCAACTTGCTGACTGCAGATCTTGGGACTTTCCAGCCTCCATCATTGCATGAGCATTTCCTCATGATAAATTTCTTTCTGTATACAGGTGTACCCAAGAGATAATGTAGTTTCCATTACAGACTACTGCAATAAAGCAAATATCATAAAAGAGCAAATACTTTTATCTCCCAGTGCATTTAAAGTTATGTTTACAATATACTGGAGTCTATTAAATGCATAATAGCATTATGCCTAAAAAATAACATACATATCTTACGTAAAAATACTTTATTGCTTAAAAAAATGCTAATGTTCATCTGATCCTTTAGAGAATCATAATCTTTTTACTGCTGGAGGTTCTCGCCTCAATGTGGATGGCTCCTGACTGATCAGGGTCATGGTTGTTGAAGGTTGGGGTGGTCGTGACAATTTCTTAAAATACGACAACAATGAAGTTTGCCACATCAATTGACTCTTCCTTTCATGATAGATTTCTCTGTAGCATGCGACGCCATTTGATAGCATTTTACCCACAGAAGAACTTATTTTGAAATTGGAATCGATCCTCTCGAATCCTGCTACTGCTTCATCAACTAACTCTATGTAACACTGTAAATTCTTTCTTGTCATTTCAACAATGTTCACAGCATCTTCACCAGGAGTAGATTCCATTTCAAGAAACCACCTTCTTTGTTCATCATAAGAGGCAGCTCCTCATCCACTGAAGTTTTATCATGAAGTCGACCATGGTGGCTCATCCCTGTAATCCTAGCACTTTGGGAGCCCAAGGCAGGCAGATCACTTGAGGCCAGCAGTTCAAGACTAGCCTGGCCAACATGGCAAAACCCTATCTCTACAAAAAATTAGCCAGGAGTGGTGGCACACACCTGTAATCCCAGCTACTTGGGAAGCAACTGTATTTCTCCTACCTTGCTAGCAGGCATGTAAATTAACACACTTTGGAAAGCTGTATATACCTTGGCAGTTTCTGCTACAGATAAACGTATGTGCTATGATCTAGCAAATCATTCCTGCACACAGACCCAGCAGCAATTATTGCTTATGTCCACTAAGACATGATCAAGAATGTTCACAGCAGCATTGCTCATAATTGCAAAAAATTATTGTATCAATCTAGATCCAAACAGGAGAGAAAAACCACTTAGTACCTTGACCAGGGAAAGTCAAATACAAAGAATCATTTACTATAATAAGGGAGTGGAGTAATGAGAGACTAACAGTAATAAAATCAAGACAGTTCCAAAGAATATACAAACAACCATATATAAGGAATGGTCACTGCCCCTAGGGCTGAGATTGAGCAACTGAGAAAATGCCCCCAATCCCAGGGCTGAGATCTAGACCCCACTAAAAGGGCACAGCTATGCCCACTGAATGGCAGAGACATCACTGCAGATCCACATTAGAGGAACATGTTTGGAATCCACCCTCTGGAACTTGCCAGAAATCTGCCCTCTAGGTTGCAAGGAAAGCAGTTCACCAGTTGTCTCACAGATGCACTCTGCTACAAAACACCTAGCGGGTGTACCCGGGGAAACTGCTGTCTTGCCAAGTACTCCTGTAACACCACAGGGGCTACCAAACCAGCGTCCCTGAACCAGGAAGGAAAAACTGTTTCCCCTGCAATGCCCCTCCAGGACCCTCCACTGATAAGCTTCAAGAGCCAGATTGCAAAGGGAAAATATTTAGAGGGCCCAGACCCATTTCCAGAGACCAGGCAAAAAGGGTGAATTTGGAGCCAAGAGGCAATAAATTGATAACACAACTCTAGTCAAGAAATTTCCATCAACAGCAGAATGAATGAATGAAATGCTACACAGCCATAAAAACTACAAACTATTGACATGCGATGTATTAATCTGACAGATGTTATGTTGAGTGAAAAGAGCTAGACATGAAATGATTCCATTTATATGAAGTTCAAAACCAGGAAAAACTTATCAATGATGAAGGAAGTCAGCAGAATGTTTATCTTTGGTGGAGAATTATTGACTGCAAGGGAACAGAGGAACCTCTGGAGAGACGAATACATTCTATTCTAGATCTCGGTGGTGATTACATGGGTGGAAATATATGTAAAAACTCATTGAGCCATGTAGCGAAGATTTGCACACTTCACTATATGCAAATTGTACCATGTTAATATTTTTAAATAAGTTTAATTAAAAATAAATCTCTGAAAAAGACACATGTTCTGTAGAATTGCCCAAATTTATTTGACCACAAATCCGACTATTTCTGGGAGAGCATTTCATGGGCCAGTGTCTCACAAAACAGATTCCAGGAAATAAAGTCTGGAGTTTGCTTTTTTTGTCAGCTCTGAAGTTCTTGCAGCTGCTTTTACACATCAGTTGGCCAGATATTGAAGGCAGGATCCTTGATCAAACTGTGAAGTTTGCTATGATGATTCTCATAATATTTCACTAATTGCCAAATCAATATCTACTCTGTTTTCCATTATAAATCAGCTGAAGAAGCTGCAGAGCAGATACAGGAGTCCCCTTCTGCTAACCGCAGGCAGCCTGCTAGGATGAAAGGAATGAGGAATTTGGAATCAGAAGGCCCTGGTTCACATCTCAGCTCAAACACAGTGGTGGTGTAGCACGGCCCAGGGCACTTACGTGTTCTACACCTGTGCCCTTGTGCCAAACTGGCAATAACACTGCCTGCCTCACAGAACGGTTGGGAAGTGCTGCATGCCCAGCAGTAATTATTTCCGTCCTAACAAACCTCAACTCAGTTTTGCCTTCAAGGTCTACCTTGCCAGAGGCGTTCTGCCCACCACCCATCCAGTTATATGACAAACAGGGTGTACACTTTCCATAGCCTGACTTGAACCCCAGGGAGAGTGGGAAGTGTGGTCGAAGGTGCTGAGTGCCTCAATCCTGGCTCACCACTCACATCCAGGTCATACCTACTGAGAGCCCGCTGGCACCTGCAGTGAGAACCCAGCTTGGGGGGGCACCTGCTGCTACAAGGACAATGACCTTCTCTTGGAGCTCCAGGGGGAGGAACAGAATTGGACCTCACAGGGTTCACTATGGGAAGTAGGCTCTTTCCAGAGCCAGTTAAGGAGCCACAAGCACCCCCCACAACAAACATCCTTACATCATGGGTCCTTTCAACACAGTCGGGTGAAGCCTGTGAACTCCTCTGAATAACGTTTTTACATGTATAATACAAAACATACAGAATCACAGGGGAAATCAATTATGTTGAAATAAATGGATCAAAATATTTTTAAAAGTGAGCCAGAATAATATACACACTTCCTCATCGCCTCATTTAACAATGATTTCCAGCTCTAGATCTGATAAAAAAAACTGCCTTAACTTTGCAGGCAGGACTAGCTTCGCCGGTATTTGGAGATGTCCACTGCTACTACGGTGCGATGTGAAAATAAGTGATTTCTTTTGGTGACAAAGTCACAAGTTCTACTACTGTGGGTGAGGGCCTCCTCCCAAAAAACTCCCATGTTAAAGTCCTCACCACCAATACCTCAGAATGTGACCTTATTTGGAGACAGGCTCCACATTAAGTTTCAGTGAGGTCATTGGGGGATCCCTAACCCATATGATGGGTATTTCTCCAGGGAAATTTGGACACAGACTCACAAACAGAGAAAACACAGTGTGAAGAGGAAGGCAGGGCTCAAGGCTTTGTGTCTCCCAGCCAAGGAATGCCAAAGGCAGCCAGCCACTCCCAGAGCCTGCGGGAGGGCCTGGAGTAGATTCTCCCTGACAGCCTCAGAAGAACCAACCCCAGTGACACTCTGGTCTCAGACTTCCAGCCTCCAGAGCCCTGAGACAGCAAATGTCTGTGTTTTAAGCCACCCAGTTTGAGGCGCTTTGTTACCACAGCCGCAGGGAACTAAGACAGTGCCTATATTCATAAAGAAAGGAAGGGCTCAATTTCAGTTAGAGGTTCCTGAAAATAAGGATGTCATGTTTTGGGGTGCTCAGGGTCTTCTTCCACCAAGGGTGAATAGTGGTGGACAGGCTCACATAGCGAGGACTCCTGAGCTGAGTGACCGTCACACTTCAAAACCACGATGGCACCGATTCAGGGGAAGACATCACGGTGACCTCATTCCCAGCCACTCTAGAAGAAGGTTTTTTTTTTCTTTATGGTTGTTTTATCTGACCTTGTCTTCTGGCTGGACCACGGCTGAGTGAGGGTGTTGGCGCTGGGGTGGAAGAAGTGGGACATGGTGAGCTGCTCATTTTTACCTTTTTTTTTTTGTAAAATACATTTTTTAATCTTATTTTAAAAATGGTGATAGTAGCTGACAATTTTTTAATTTTTTTCTACTAAGCAAAACAAACTGTCAAGTCTATTTCAACGGCTCCCCCATCTAAATGATGTTTGAATCATCTCTCCAGTATCCTGTGGACGTTCCACCAGAGCCACAGGAGAGCACCCCGGCTCAGCTGGGACCCTTGCTGGTCACCAACGAGCCAGGCGCTGGCATCTGCACGCAGGTATGAACGGGGTGCTTGTGGCGTCCCCTTGGTTGAAAGGGAATTTCAAGCGTCCCCACCCAGGGAGGAATGGTTTCTTTCTCAGCCTTTCCCATCTGCTTGTGGCAGCTCAACCAAGAACTGTGGACAAAAGTCTCACTCATCATCCCCTTTCAAGCTCACAGATGCTGCTGCTGCTGTGGCCACAGGAAGCTCCGTGAGGTATTGCCCTGGCCACACAGCCTCAGGAGCAGCCTGTGCCCGCCTTTTGCAGCTGACCAGTGAAGGCAGGAACACGCCCTGTTGGAAGGGCTCTCGTGTCACCTGCAGCTGTCACCTACAAATAAGGTCACATTCTGAGGCAGGACTTTAACAAAGGAATTTTTGAGGAGGGGGCCCTGACCCACAGGAGTAGAACTTGTGACTTGGCTACCAAGAGAAATCACCTGTATTTATTTTATTTTGTCTCTCAGTGGAGAAGCAGAGCCCTGCACCTTCATCCCAGGCCCTTCCACTGCCTCGGGAAGCCTCTTCTGATCACCTCCCCTGGGGCAGGCAGGGGTCCAGGTGCTGGGGGTTCCACGACAAAGACGACAAATCTTTGCGGGGTTCAGGATTCACAGCATGAGCCAAGCAGTAACTGGGATCTGACACAGCAGGGTGGTGCGTGAGGTCTGGCAGAGACTCCAGTTGGGTGCCTCTGGATCCTCATCCCAACCAGGCCTCCACCTTTACATTTCCATGTCTGTCTCTGCACTGCCCAGTTTTAGCAAGAATCCTGCAAAGTTGGTTTTGCCAGGATCCCACACCATCACTATCTGATCAGTTCCTTGTCTTCTACCCTCAGTGTCTGGCCACCTTGGACTCTGCCTCCAGATCCCCAACGTCACTATCTGATCGGTTCCTCGTCCCCCACCCTTGATGTCTGGTCACCCTGGTCTGCCTCCAGCAAGGTGGGTTTAGCCAGAATCCCCCTCGCCCCTGGGGTCTCCTCTTAGTAACTTTCCACCCACTGAGCCTTCCACCCTGTTTCTGGGCTGCACCTCCCCACTTGTCCATGCTGTATTCAGAATTAAGCCCGGCTCTATACTGAGGTCTCTTTCCCCTACTGCAATAGTTCCTGAATAGAAACTGTCTTCACCTCCTACCTCCAGCTCTGGCTTTTCTTTAACGGGGCAGGGGAGAGAACAGAGGTCCTGCCTGTGGATATTCAGGGAGACCTGGCCAGGGAGGCTGGCAGGCAGAGGCAGGGAATCCGGAAGGGCCTGTGGGTTCCAGAAACAGCACGGTGTGCAGAGGGAAAGCTGAGAAAGGAGGCTGGAGGCAGGCAGGGCAGCTCAGAATGGCCTAGAGGAGCAAATGAGCAGTCTGGGCTCTGGCCAAGCACATCAGGGGGCCCATGGTCCTTCTCAGGGTTTTACGGGCCCATGAGTCTAGAGTCCAGCAGGGCCTCTCTGTCCCATTCATCAATACAACAGAGAAGCCTCCAATCAATCAAGTGACTGGGGAGAAAAGCCACAGGGATTTGTACACATGATCACTGGTCTCAGGACTGATGAATTTAGAGCTGGAAGGCATTTTAAGGATTGTCTTAGTCACCTCGGGCAGCCACGACAAAATGCCACACACTGGGTGGCTTAAAGATCAGAAATGTCTTTTCTCATGGTACTGGAGACAGGAGTCTAAGATCAGGGTCCCAGCACAGCCGGGTTCTGGCGAGGGCCTCCTCCTGGCTTGCAGATGGTCGGCTTCCTGTTGTGTCCCCACAACGGCAGAGACAGCCCTGGTGCCTCTTTCTACAGGGACGCTCATCTCATCACGAGCGCTCCACCCTCGGGACCTCACTGAACCTACTCAGCTCCCAATGTCCTCCTCTCCAATCACCATCCCTTTGGGGGTGAGGCCTTCAACACAGGAATTGTAAGGAGACACAATTCAGTCCATAGCAAAGATCATCTCCCAGCGTTTATTGAGCACCTGCTGTATACAGCATGGCACTGGTCATGGGGAGTGGCCATGGGGGTCTCCTCAGATTTCCCTCAACTGCATGGAGGGCCAAACTTGTCCCCCAGAATGCACAACCAGAGGGAAGTGCTGCTCTCTTCCAACCTATCCACTGTGCTTCATGCTAGGAAGCATCACTTAACCCCCTAGACTCTTATTCTCTCCTAAACATAGAGAAGACGACCTCACCTGGCCTTGGGACTCAGACTCAGGACAGTGAGAAAGAGAAGGTGCACATGCTAGGAGGGTCTGGCCCCCATTCAGGCTCTGTCCTGTCCCCTCCCCTCACTCTACAATCTACCGCCTGCTGAAGCTCTATTTTTTTTTTAACTTAAGTACCTTTACTTGCAGCTCCAAATCTCTAAGCAGCCAAAAGCACAGTCAATATTTTTATAACCCAATTCTTTTAAATCTGATGCATTCTTTTCTGATTAATAACCCAAATAACACTGAATGATTTTATTTGAACAATTTCGTCCACAGTGTCAAATATGTTGTCTATAGATTCAGGAAGGCCAATCTACAATGGACTTTTTTTTAAAAAGTAAGATTTGATTACACAATAAGCTAAGAATCAAAGCAATGAGGTCTTTCTTCTGACCCAAAACTAAACTAAACAAATTAATACCATAGCAAAAGAGGATCATCAGAACATCATTAATAGGGCTGCCAATTATTCTGTGCAACCAACCACATTAGAAAATTCCGAAAATTTTGTAAAAGCTTTTTAACTGTCTACATCTAGTGAGATAACAGGAGGATGGTATCTTTAACCCCATATAAAACACCTTGAAAACAAAGACAAGTGCTTTCTCCCAAAGAACATCTTCTCCCAGATTATTCTGGAAGCTTGTTGCCCTAATGGTAAAGCCATAGACTCTAGGCTGCTTGAGTAAGGTCTCCATGAAGAATTTGACAGTGATAGGAATTCAGCATGCAAACCACAGACAAAGGGTTGGGGAAGGAAGAGGAAGACTTTAAACAAGGGGCCGGACATGGTGACTCACGCCCATAATCCCAGCACTTGGGAGGCTGAAGTCAGTGGATCGCTTGAGCTCAGGAGTTAAAGACCAGCGTGGACCAGCGTGGCCAGCAAGGTGAAACCCTGTCTCTACAAAAAATACAAAAATTCCCCGGGCATGGTGGCACACACCTGTAATCCCAGCCACTCAGGAGACTGAGGCCCGAGAACCAAAAACTTAATTAATTAATTAAAACAAGGGAGTATGATCATTCTAGAAACTGGCCTGCTGGATTTCAATTTATATGAGGCACCCTAAACCACAGGCAATGGAAGCAATTTCCAGCGCTCAGATTTAATTGTGCTACACGAAGCCATCTTAACTCTACAAGGCTTGAGAATTTGTTCTTGACAAACAAGTTTGGCCGTCCTCAAGGTGAGAACCAAAGACTCCTTCAGTTGGCTGGCAATGTCCTGTTGTTCCAAGGGACTTCCTCTGCCTCTCGGCCATCAGGACATCCTTGTTCCCTTTCAGCTGTGTGGAGTTTTTGGTTTTTTTTGTTTTGCTTTTTTGAGACAGGGTCTCACTCTGTCACCCAGGCTGGAGTGCGGAGGCGCCATCTTGGTTCACTGCCACCTCCACCTCCCAGGGTTAAGCGATCCTCCTGTCTCAGCCTCCCAAGTAGCTGGGACTACAGGCATGCACCACCACACCCAGGGAATTTTTGTATTTTTTCTAGAGATGGGGTTTTGCTATATTACCCAGGCTGGTCTCGAACTTCTGAGTTCAAGGGATCCACCTACCTCCGTCTCCCAAAGTGCTGAAAATAGAGCCATGAGCCACTGCACCCAACCCCCTTTCAGTTCTTGACCCTCCTGCTCTTTCCCAGTTTTGCTTTCCTCTTTCTCTCTCTGCTCAGCTAACTCTTCCTTACCTTTAATCCTCATTTCCTTATTCACTACTCACAGCACCCCATTTTGTACTGTATCACTTTAATTATTGGGATTGTATTTTATTAATTCTTGGTACAAACCTTGGAATACCACCCACCTTTCTTACTAGCCAATAACTCCAGAAGGTCAGCAGGCACCATTTTCTGTATCTTTCATCATTCTGGACAGGATGTGGCACTCAGAAGCCCAGTGGAGACTTTCGAATGAACAAATGAGAAATGAAGCTGCTCATGTCTCCAAAAGCCAAATTATGTTTCTTTGTGACTTGGATACATTTTCTTACTTGAACACAAATGCTTGGTTTCAATGGCCTCTCTTCCAGATGAAACTGTTGTATGAAAAATTTAAGAGCGTTAGGTAATTTTGCTTACGTACACTGCAAAAGACTTCAATTATTCCTCAGAAGAAAGAGAATCTGGCTTATTCAATGGAGGAAGAAGTAACATCAAGAGTTTCACCCGTGCTGTTCATACAGAGGAGGCCGGTGGGTGATTACAGCCAAAGGCAACTCCTCAGGAGTGTTGAGAAGCAGTAGTCCGGGGCACCAGCTTCCGGGCAAAGCTGCAGAGGCAGCCTGCCACCTTTCCACACCAGCAGGAGACCTTCGGTCGCACCACGCATTCTCTGTTCTCGATCTTGAAAATGGAATTTTAAAAAGCATGTAGAATCAATAAAAGAGATGTTTTCATAAGCACTTTACTCCAGCCGTGCAAGGGGAGAGAATAAATGCATCCGAGATATCCCACCTGTGCTGGGAGGCAGAGGGCGGCTGCGGGATCAGTGTCCGAGCCTAACATTTCACTGAGAACAGGTTTTAATGTGGGGACCTTTGTTTAACAGAGTAAAAACTATTATACTAACAAAGCGATCTGCCCCGGGTCGGGACAGTTTGGCTAACAGGGATGCTGACAGTGAATTATTCTCCCCTTTTGACCACTGCCTGCCCTTGGGGTGTGGTGTTTCTCAAAGGTTGTCCCAACTGGAACAGGGACAACAGGTCTCTATTCCAAGTCCAGTATGACTCCCCCCAATTTGCCTCTTAGCCAGCAGAGACTCTGGCAGGAGCTAGTCCAGGAGGTGCTGCTGGTCTCCAGCACCTCAGTGTGTCCAAGCCACCTCACACAGATGTGAAATGGGGAGACACCACGTGGTGTCAGCCACAGAGAGGCTCCACACACACCAAACCACTGCTGGGGCAGTCCCCACTGGTTATTTTCCAGATGTGAGGAAACCAACGCATCCATCATGAACCCCTACCTCCTGCTGGGAAAATTCTGATAAGGAAGAACTTAAGAAAAAGAAGCCATCTCTGGCTGAGTCCACCAGGATAGGAGAATTTCCTGCCTCCCTCCAAAGGCAAAGAAAAGCTTGCACACTCAGGGCGAGACCTGAGGGTCAGATTCCCAGAAAAGGAGAAAAGAAAACAAAAACATCAGCTGAGAAAGTTGTCTCTGATCCTGGACCAAACCTCATGGTAGGAAGAGGGCAACTGTGCCTTTATATGCCCGCTGCCTGTGGTTACCAAGTAAGACTCCGGGAACGGTCAGGAAAGTGTGATTTTGGACACAATAGGGATGTCAGCAGCAGGGTGAGTAGATACAGGCCAGCAGAGAAATACGTGGTGTCTTCCAGCCATGACTTAGGGAGCACGTTGCTAACCAGGTCATGCCTGACGCCTCCATTCCCTGGGGCTCATGCTCTTGATTATGACTGCATCATAATTTGGGCCAATCATCTGACAACACAACCCACCCCTGGCAGTATAAGAAGAGTGAGAAGAAAGGGGGGTGAGCCAGTCAACACACATCCATCCCCCCAAGACAGTCAGTGCAGCATGGTGGGGAGGTAGAAGCCTGTGACCCTGGGGAGGCCAGTGCTGGGGTCTTCCAGTCACTCCTGGATAATCTTAGCAAATCATTTTTTCTCTCCCAACCCAAGCTCTCATTTTTAAAAGGTCACAATGCCCAATCTGAAGGTTGATGTGAGAATTAAATGAAAGCATTCATGGCACACAGTAGGAGTTTAATAAATACTAGCTCCCTTTCCCTCCTTGTGCATAACAAGAACACAAGACATTCCTTCACTCTCTCTAGGGATACACGCCATCGTTTCGAAGGTCAGACAATGGTTCTGTAAGCCGCTGAAGCTGTACCTTCTCTATGTTTCCCATCACTGTGAACTTCGCACTTTTTGCAATGGAACTGTGAGAGGAAAATAAATCTTGGGACCCCAGACTCACTAAGCCAAAGGGAAGAGTGAAGCTGGCAGCTGGGTCATGCAAGCCTGCCTCCCATTTGGGTTCCTAAATAAAATGGCGACAAAGATGAAAAGCTACATACCTCCCTCATATTTTGCCCACAAGGAAACTCCTTGTGAGTCCCAAGCTTTTTACCCTACAGCATTTCTGTTAAAGTTCAACATGGTAATGTAAACAAATACCTTATCTTCACAGGTGTTGGGGACGTAGGACAGAACTCAAAGTCGTTTCTCTGCCTACCTGAAACAAATGCATATCTGATTGTTTCCTCTGCCCTACTGTCTACGTTACCTTATGTACAAATGCAGATTCACCGAGCCAGACAAAGGCATGAATGACCATTTACCCACCTCTCACATGAAAATTGCCTATTTCTTAATATCCTGCCCTTTCCCCTGTAAATACTAAAGACCTCAAAATCATCTTAGGAGAAAGGCATAGACCTGTCTCCCAGGCGCCCATCCTTAACTTTAGCAAGTAAACCTCCTGAAATGATTGAGACTTTCTTTGGTCATTTTCCTTGATTGACAGAACTATCAGTGTCAATCACTTCCACAAGAACGCAAGATTTTACTACAAAATAAGCCACAGAGGGGAGCAGGCAAAACTCATACTCCCCCTGCACACCAGCCTCGAGGAGCTGCGGGAAGGTAGGGAGAGAAGGCATGATCTCCTCTTGCCAAATGCTAAGCACCTTTCCCTCATCAAGGAGCATCTCTCCCCCCTCTTTAAGCACACATAATAAAAAGCTTTAAAAATTTCAGCTGTCTCCTAGCAATCTGTGGCATGCTTCAAAACTTGGGAAGGAAGATGCTGACAGAGCAGAGAATGTGGGTACACTTCTTTTCAAACAATAACCCACAAATGAAAGAGGAAACGCAAATTCAACCAGAAGAAAAAGCTCAATTGTTCTCCTGTCCGCCTGTCACCTACATAAAACAGCTGCGAAAGCAGAGGCAGGCAAGGCAGCTGTTGCTGCCAGGAGAGCTAATGCTAAGGCTTTTCACACAGGCTTTGCTTTTCTTTTTCTTTTTTTTTTTTTTTTGAGCTAGAGTCTCGCTCTGTTGCCCAGGCTGGAGTGCAGTGGCGCAATCTTGGCTCACTGCAGCCTCCACCTCCCAGGTCCAAGTGACTCTCCTGCCTCAGCCTCCCAAGTGGCTGGGATTACAGGCGTGAGCCACTGTGCCCGGCCCAGGCTTTTATTTTCACCAACATGAAACTGCACTGATGGGCTTTTCAATCCTGCGATGCTGCCCATCTCCGTCAGCATCTCCACAAGGCCCTCGCCAATGGCCCCATTGAGTCCAGTTTAGTACTCATTCCATTTCATTCATGTAACAGACTCAAGCTACCCCTCCCCACTGTGTCTATCCCATTAGTAAAGAACATTTACAAAAATTTTTTTTTTTTTGAGACAAGTTCTCACTCTTTCGCCCAGGCTGGAGTGCAGTGCCACGATCTTGGCTCACTGCAGCCTTGACCTCTCGGGCTCAAGCAATCCTCCTGCCTCAGCCTCCCAAGTAGCTGGGATCGAAGGCACACACCACCATGCCCAGCTTTCTTTTCTTTTCTTTTTTTTTTTTTTTTTTGTGGCAATGGGAGTCTCGTTATGTTGCCCAGTCTGTTCTCTAACTCCTGGCTTCCAGCCATGATCCTGCCTCAGCCTCCCAATGTGCTGGGATTACAGGCGTGAGCCACCATGCCCAGCCAACAAAATATTTAAAATAGGCTATTTTGACTAAGACAAAATCAAAATTATCCCACTTCCTCCATATGTTAATCCATTTTAAAAAGTGAGGAAAATGTTCTTGTCTGTATTTTCTAACGTCTTCAAAAACAGCTGATCCTACAAGTACTTTCCAAAGAAAGAGACAGAGCAAACAGAAACATCCAAAAACAAACAAACAAAAAAGAAACTTGAAAATCCAGATAGGAGGTATATAAGAAGAGGAACCTCAATGTGTGTAACTCCTTAAGTTACCGTACCTCAACTGCTTTGTCTATGCAGGTCCCTGGGTCTCCAATGCCCTTCCATGCCTTCTCAGCTCAGCCATTCCTACATTCTTCAAATGAAATGTCCCATCCTCTCGGTTTCCCCAGAGCAGAGATCAGTAATTTATTACCATTTATTACTAACTTTATATATGCTTCTTTATAGCAGTCATTACACTGTAATATAAAGGACACTATTTTATGAACATCTCTGAAGCTGACCTTTGCTTTCTTCAATTAATAATTCTCGTGCCTAGCTCAGAGCCCATGAATCCAAGTGCAATGTACACTTGATGAATGAATGGACGTGATGGAAAACTAGCCAAAGGAGAAATTAATTATTTAAGCTTGAAGCTTGTAGCCTGTTATAGGGAAGATTTTCCTACGGAAAGCAACAGTTACGGAGCAAGGTACTACAGGACAGACAAGTCAAGCTGGTATGCTGTTGTAAAGAACTGGTGCCTCTTTACTTTTCATATGTAAAATGGAGATCATTAATTCTACTTGAAGCTGTGGGATTTGCTACCAAAACAGCAAAAGTCCTCTTAGTCTGGCTATCAAAGCATAGCGTTTAGAACATGAATCAAAAAAACTCCTGGACAGTTAGTTTTACATGTCTCACTTTTACCAGGGACTTATAAGCCTGAATGACATTCAGAAGAGAGAGACCAGGAGAAAGAGAGCATGTATTATATGATAGAATATATGAAGAATTATATGATGGAATATGAAGAATTTTCAATGTCACTTATAATGCTTAACATTTAGAAAACATGTCTCAGAGAAAGAAAAGACTAGAACAAGAACCAGTGGGTAGAAAATACTGAGATCAGATTCAATCGAAGACTTAACAATGGTTATGCAAACAATTAGTAAAATCTAAAGGTGGAATGAGCTATTCCAGAAAATAGTTAATTATTTACCATGAAGATATTAAAAAACGCGGTAAAGGGAATTCAAGCATTACATGGACTATAAGACTAGCTTAATTTTAAGAACTTTTTTTTCATCTAAATTCCATAATGCTAATATTCTAGTAAACAAAGTTAGAGTAAGAATTTAGGGCATCAATTTCATATCACATTTCAGCTTTTAAAATTTTTTTATTTATTTTAATGCTTTAAAGAGACATCACTGACACTTATTTTCATAAAACCAGTTTAACTGTGGAAATCCCAGGCATAAACACAGTTCTGTAGTGTCGGAAGCTAAAATACAACTGCTATGGATTTTAACTTCATGTTTTTAGTAATGTGAGATTTATCATGTTTGTAGTAGTGCATAACTCTAGCTAATATCCCGAACTTTCTTTACAAATGGCAAACTACTTTTTGGCATCTTCCAACCTTGAAATATCTGTTCTCACCACTATATTATACTGGAAGTCTTCACCATTCAACACCACAAGAAAAGGAAATAAGAATGCAGCTGGGTGCAGTGGTTCACACCTATAATCCCAGCACTCTGGGAGCCTGAAGCAGGTAGATCGCTTGAGCCCAGGAGTTCGAGACGACACCAGCCTGGGCAACATAGTGAGACTCCATCTCTACAAAAAATAGAAAAAATAGCCAGGCATGGTGGCATGTGCCCATTGTTCCAGCTACTCAGGGGGCTGAGGCAGGAGGATCGCTTGATCCCAGGAGGTCAAGGCTACAGTGAGCCATGATCATAGCACTGTACTCCAACCAGAGCAAGACTCTGTCTTGAAAAACAAACAAAAAAAGCATCCAGGTTGGAAAGGCAATATTAAAACTGTCTTCATTCTCAAAAAAAAAAAAATAGAATGGATTTCATCTTTCTTGATGGAATCCACTTTATCATCAAATAATTCATTTTTACAAGACCTCATAGTTTTGAAGTTCAGTACAGGCTGGGCAAATAATTGTTTAATTCCTTCGAAACGTGTCTGAGAACTTTTAAGGATAGGCCCAAATACTGACTGCCTTACAGGTACTCTTAAGGTGTTTTCCTATGTTGAGACACATAGATCCTGAAAAGAGCTGGACTTCTCACCCATGGGGCGAGAGCAACTGTTGACCTGGGGAAGAGGGTCTGAACCAGGGAGCATGAGGGAGAAAGGGGTCTCAGGAGCAGGGAAGGATGCAACTAGGCTCCTAAGCAGCCACTCTCTAGGGTGACAAGCCAACCAAGACAGGAGGCGCAGGGCTGGTGGGACCCTGCTTATCAACCACAAGACACCGCCCACCACCTAGAGTCATGGTCGGTGGTTCAAAGCATGTGCTCCACAGTGGGTTTGAATCAAACACAGGCAGCCTGGTTGCAAGGCTGTTTCTGCCTGTCACTAAGAGTGAGAGCTCAGGCGAGTTATTTACCTTCTCAGACCTCCGCTTTCCTCATCTATCAAATGGGAATAACACCGTTTTAAAGCCCACCCCCACCCTCTACCATGGCAGCAACTACAGGAGCTTCAGGTATCCTTGTCCACGCCAGAGGCTTGCTAATGAGCCCTCCAGGTACATTTTACAGTTATTTATTTACATTTTACAGTTACATCATTTACATTTTACAGTTATTGATTGACAGCTTGTTATTTAGCCCTTTATAGACATTCTCTTCACGTGCATGAAGAGAGGAGGCTCTAACAAGCCCTGCATCCCATAGTTTCAGATTAGCCGCTAGGAGAGCTACAGGATGCAGGGGCCAGTGACTTAGAAAATGCCAGATGCGTGCTGGGCTGGGCGCAGTGGTTCACCCCTGTAATCCCAGCGCTTTGGGAGGCCGAGGCAGGTGGATCATGAGGTCAGGAGTTCAAGACCAGCCTGACCAATATGGTGAAACCCCATCTCTACTAAAAATACAAAAATTAGCCAGGCGTGGTGGCACCCGCCTGTAATCCCAGCTACTCAGGAGGCTGAGGCAGGAGAATTGCTTGAACCCAGGAGGTGGAGGTTGCAGTGAGCAGAGATCGCGCCACTGCACTCTAGCCTGGGTGACAGAGGGAGTCTCTGTCAAAAAAAAAGAAAGAAAGAAAGAGAGAGAGAGAGAGAAAGAAAAAAAGAAAGAAAGAAAGAAAGAAAGAAAGAAAGAAAGAAAGAAAGAAAGAAAGAAAAAGAAAGAAGGAAGGAAGGAAGGAAGGAAGGAAGGAAGGAAGGAAGGAAGGAAAGAAAGAAAGAAAGAAAGAAAGAAAGAAAGAAAGAAAGAAAGAAAGAAAGAAAGAAAGAGCCAGATGCCTGAAGCTGCTTGCAAGGGAAACAGAATCACAATTCTGGAACATGTTACAACTTATCTTTCATGCTAGGCAAAGTCAGGTGACCTAAAAGAAGAGAGGTGGCACCTCACCTACAAACTCCATGGAGTATGACCTGTTCTGTTAGTTTAATAAGTGGCTTCCGTCTACATGGCAGAAATTAACGTGGACCTTCCTTTCGTGGTAATATGGGAGCGAGGCTGTGGGAAAGAGGTCCACCCAGCCCAATGTCCCATTAGCAGTTTTGTCATCTACTGTTAAGATTGAAGAGCTGTACACGGGAAACTGGCTTCAGTCAGCATGCAATCCACCTATCGCTCACTTCTCGCAAACACAATCCCTCTCCTAGTCACACACTCCACCTCTGTGTCAACATGAAACAGAAGAAGTTCCCTTGTCCTCCTCCCAGGGCGTGTGATGGGGGAGTGACTCGCTTCTTCCATGCCCCGCTGCTCAAACCTCTAGGGGAGCATAAAGACGGGCAGGCTGTGGGGCTCTGACCCCACGGCAGTGTCTAGGGGTGAATGTTTACTGCTGCGGCCCCAGTGGGCGTGTGTTCCAGGGTGTTCTTTTAGTTTAGCCATCCGTAGGCAGCTTGTGTTAGCTCAGTTAGACCCCTGCCTTATCTCAAGGACAGAGGGCTTTCTGTATCCCGGGGTTCTTGCCTTGCTGTACCTGAAGAATCAGATCACATGTGGGCTTGGAGAATGAGTGCAAGGTTTTATTGAATGGAAGAAACTCTCAGCAGATGGGGGAGCCAGGAGGGAGATGGTTTTCCCCTGGAGTCAGGCTGCTCAACGGCCTGGGCTCTCCCCCGACTGCCCTAGCCCGCCTCCGCATCCTTCTGCCAGTCGGTGGCCTGCAGCCTGCTGGTGCCTGTCAGTGCCTGTCTGTGCTTTTCTCTTGACGTCCAGCCGCCCATGTGTTCCTCCGCTGATGTGCTCCTCTCGACGTCCCGCCACCTGTGTGTCTGCCTGCTAGGGTCTTGGGGTTTTTACAGGCACAGTATGGGGGTGTGGCAGGCCAGGGTGGTCTTGGGAAATGCAACATTTGGGCAGGAAAACAAAAATGCCTGTCCTCACCTAGGTTCGTGGGCACAGGCCTAGGGATGGAGCCCTAACCAGGGACCACGCCCTTCCCCCTTCAGTATCATTTAAAGGGACCGTGCCCTTCCCTTGCCAGCACTTCTCTTCCCCTCTTCCGTATCAAACAGACATAAAAGTGAGAAATGGCCCGGTGTGGCAAGGACATTATGACAAGTGGACCCAAAAGGCAACACCCTGACCCTGACTTGCTCCAGAAAACATCCAGCCACAGAAAGCTTCCTGCTCCCCGCCCCTAACAGTAAATAATCCTTCCTCTTTCAAAATGTCCCCAAAGGGCTCACTTGCTCCCTTGCAGCCAAACCATGGACTGCCCAATGTACCCTAAGACCAATTAAGTCTCCTTGCTTCTAAAACTGACACCTTAAGAGAAGACTTGTCAAGTATTCCCTTTTGACTCTAGAAAAACCATTGTCTCTCTAGCACCTCTGAATCCTGCTGCAAGAAAAGCCACGGCAGGTGGGTTCCCTGGTGGCAAGTTAATCAATCAATGGCCTTTGTTCCTTTTGTCTCTGCAACCACAGCTGGGAGCAGTCCTGCTAGGTGTTCCCAGGAAAGAAGCCCTGGGCGGGGTAGCCATCAAGGACACTGGGACACACAGAACACAGCAGGACTGACAAACACCCAGGCAGCTGTTTCCGCATACAACAGGGAAGCAGCAAAGATTTTTCAGTTGAAAACGTCGTAAGCCTTAGCTGACTGACATGACAAGAGTTTACACAGTGGTTTCATGCCAGCAAGGGTTGGACTGGGTGTTACCTCGTACCTGATGGGCTTTGGCATGCAATGCCTGGTCTCTACCCTCCAGAGAGGGAACGCACACAGATCCTCCATCTTTAGGATTCCCTGTAATGCCCATCAGAGTGGCAATGGCCCTGCTGGGAGGAAGGGGGCTTTTCTCCTCTCATGGAGCTGCAAGTGCAGGAACAGACATCTGCCACAATGCCCCTAGAAAGGAAAAGGGAGGAACCAACAGTGCTCCTCTGTTTTAGGACTCGGAAAACGTCACAGCTTTCCAGGTAATCCTTGTGAAATTTAATTCAGAAAGTATGTGCTGGCCCCGTGTGCTCGGCCCTAATAGTAAATGTCCCAGGGGATCAAGAGGAGCACAGCACAGGTCCCCTGTTCTCAAGGGCAGGGTCCCTCCAAAAACACAGACACTAAGAGGAAGACACTTGCAAGAAACAGTCCCATGAATGAGAAAGACAACACATGGCTCAGTGTAAAAACATGGTGCCGCTGTAAAGGCTAAAAGTCATGAGAAACAGCGGATCCCTTCCACCACCACGTTCTGAGCATGCTCTGTGTGCTCTGCTCCCCAGCAGACTCTGGCAACACCAATAAAAAGAACCCCATTTGACCGCCACCAAAGCCACACAGGAGACAACCTTGATCTTCCCTCCGTATGAAGAGACTGGGTGAGGAGAGTGATCACAGGATCCTTTCCAGTCCCAGGATCCTGCAATCCTGTACAGAAGGAAGCACTGGTCAGGCCAAGGACTCGTGGAAAACAGGGAATTCGTGGGCAACAATAAGGTGTGTGCACAGCCCCTCAAGAAGATGTGCCAGTCCTTATCTAAGCCACAGGAGCCTGTCTCCTGTGAATGCCATCATCTGGGGCTGCCTTGTTGGCCAGTGTCCTCCGGATTTGGTCATTGGGAAGCAACAACAGGGGGGTTGGATTTGGTCACTGGGAAGCAACAACAAGGAAAGGCGTCGGGGTTTCTCTTCCCAGGATCCCTCCCTGGCTTCTCCTGGCTAAAGTCACATTTCTCTGCTCAGCTCCTTCCTCACAGCCCCTCCCAGCACAGCTGCAGTTCCACACCTTCTCTCCAGGCCACAGCATGGTCTCACTGTTGTGATCCTGGTTCATTCTGTTAATTTCTTGAGGAAGTTAGTATATCAATAATGGAGTGATGTCTCTATGTGTCAAGCACTGCATTAAATTCTTTACATGCATTTTCTCAATTAACTTCACAATGATTCCATGTGATACTACCATCCCTGCTCTAAAGATGAGAAACTGAGGCTTAGAGATAATGAGCAAATTGCCCGATAGTAAACATTCCAGTACTTAACTTCTGTGGTTTATGGTGGATCATGTCCACGGATGGAAATTTCAGAAACTTGTCAGTTCCACAACATAAAATGTCCTATCTTAGTTGCTGGGACAAGAGAATGCAAAAGATATAGTCCTGGCCCTAGCAAAGATTCTAATCTTGGAGTATCAAAGGGAATAAAAAAGCTATGCAGAGAAGAGGGAAAAGGAAACTAAGAGCACATGCACAGAACTGACAATTGGAGGTGAATAAACACAGATCCCAGCATTTAGCCAGTTGGTCCCAGGAGATAGGAATGTGAGGATTAACAGCACGGAAGAGGCCAGGTGCGGTGGCTCACACCTGTAATCCCAACAGTTTGGGAGGCCGAGGTGGGTGGATCACTTGAGGTCAGGAGTTCGAGACCAGCCTGACCAACATGGCAAAACCCTGTCTTTACTAAAAAAATACAAAATTAGCTGGGTGTGGTGGCACAGGCCTGTAATCCCAGCTACTTGGGAGGCTGAGGCAGAAGAATTGCTTGAACCCAGGAGGCAGAGGTTGCAGTGAGCTGAGATCGCACCATTGCACTCCAGCCTGGGCAACAAGAGCAAAACTCCATGTCAAAAAAACAAAAAAAAGAGCATGGAAGATAATCCCTATTCAGAAAGTAGTACAGACACAATAACAAACCATGGGTGTCCAGACAGGAAACTCAAACGCATCCGTGATTTGTTAATATGGCAGAAGAGACTCTCAGAAGCAGGCATCCCACCATAGGATCATCCCTTGACTCACACACCTTCACTCTCCATGGCACATCTTGCCCTCAACCTCCTATTTCCTCTAGCTGTGGGAAAAATCCACGGATTTCACCACACACAGCTACCTCCCAACACTAACAAAAGATGACCCCAAAATCTACAAACAAGCAAAAATCCAAATCCAAATATCAACACGGGTCCCGCAGGCATGCCCACTCTTGAGAGACTGCCATTGTTAATTGCAATCATTGCCATTTATCTTATGCTACCATGTCTTTTGGATGGTGGGCTTTGCGGGGGCCCTCAGTTTTGTTGCAGATGGCATGGTAGAACATTCTGATTTCACAGTGGGACATTCTTGTAAAAAGTGGGTGATTTCTGCCTTGAGATGACAAATGCTTTCTTACGCCTGCTGTTTTCCTCTCTAGGGTGATCACAGAGCTTCCTCTGGCCTGCCATTACGCGTTGTCTCTGGGAAAATGGGAAGATTCTACTGCCCCGACATGAATAGGGAATGTGCTTTGAGCTGTTTTCCTGATAGACATAGAGCAAACGTGATGACTTCTGTTCCTCGGGTTCAAGATCACCTGGCCTGGCCTGAAGCAGATTCCCACATCCAGACTCCAGGCAACACTTTGAGAACCAATATGCTTGGCCAGGATCAGAGAACCAGGCACTGATCGGGGAGGGTTAAGGCCCCCTGCAGCCCCTGCAGGGATGCAAATGCTGGCCTGCACAGCTGCCAAAAGACTCCACTTGAACCTCCGAGACTGTACAACCTAGACCGTCATTTATAGATGTGAGCGACCCGCAGTAAAAGAGTAGACATATGAAGAGAA
Organism: Homo sapiens; assembly: GCF_000001405.40. Lineage (NCBI taxonomy): Eukaryota > Metazoa > Chordata > Mammalia > Primates > Hominidae > Homo > Homo sapiens. The sequence continues at coordinate 39,634,517 of NC_000021.9, read as the reverse complement.
CTGGCAACCAGAAGGAAGAATTGGGCAGAGTGAGCCAACCAGCACAACAAACGATGGCCACAAAAGTGGACTGAATGCCAGAAACGAGAGGTGTGGCAGACAGTGATTTTCCCCACCCACCTCACCAGCTCCCAACGTTTTCCCACCTCTGAAGTCGGATCGGGACATGGGAGCAGTTCTGACAAGTGGGCTGTGAGAGGCCATTTCCCTCCCACCCTATTCTGGAAAAACACACACCCCATTCCTTCCCCACCATCCTCCATTTCTGACCTTCCTCTACTTCTTGGGGAAGGAACTGAGTGTAATTTTTTCAAATTCTGCATCATGACCCATTAGTGCATCACCAAGTCAATTTAATAAGACCCGACGTTGAAAAGAAAACAGAATTGGGTAGAATAAAATATTAGAAGGCATGGGGAATGGTCAAGGCAAGTACTGTTTGGTGGGTCATATGTGTGTACTGAGTCATGAGGTAAAAGGAATTTACTGTGGTTCCAAAGAGCTTAAAAGCCACTGACTCAGAAGGAGAGCTGTGTAGTCAGTCATGCACAAATATTACAGACGCCAACACCCAATGCTTAGAGCTCCATCATTTACCCCATCCTTGCCATTTGACTTTAATCAGCTTTCTTAAACCACTAAGCCTCCGTTTCTTCAAACAGAAAATAAGTTACTCAATAATGAAGCCCAGGACTGTCCGGAGGGCAAAATAAACCAAATATATATGAAAGCAATTTTCACAATAGAAAGAACTTTGCCAATGTTAATAGCTGTCACCTTAAATCCATGCCTTTGCACAATCTGAACATTGGTTCTAGAATTAAAAGCTTCATTCTCTGTGGAAGGAATTTCAAGCACTGTTAGAAGGAGAAACCTGAGCCACTGAAAAGCTCTGGATTCATCCATGGGGATACAAGGGTTTCTGGTAAGTTTACAAAGAAAGAGTTTAGGAGATGTCTTTGTAGTCAGTGCTCTTAAGAAAGCAAATTATAATATCGCCCCTTAGAAACCCATTTCACAGTGGCCATTCATGTATAAGTATTGTGCCGGTTACAAATATTCTCACCCAGATGGTGGTTCAGGACTTGTCAAAGTGCCTCCATAGCACTATTCTGTTAACCATCTTGTACATCCAGGTGTCATATAAGCAAAGAACCAAGGAAATGAATGTCATTACAAAAAATAACCATTTCACTGAGTTAAACTGACTCTTCCCTTTGAACTCAGAAACACCTCATCACAGTGGTGATGAGTCACCCCTAGTTTTATGATTTCCTTGTTACCAAGGGATTGCAGTATAAGACCAGGGGTCCACAGAAACCTTTGTGGCCCTCATGCATTGGATGAAACTACCTGTCTACATCCTCTTCCCCCTCTAGAAGAACCACAGCCACCATTTCCCTGCCCCCAGATCTAAATCACTTAGCCTTCTATTAGAAGAGTGCAATCATCATTTTCCAATGGAAATCTTCAGGTCAGGAAAAAATTAGCATGAGAATGATGAGATATTGCAACTGCCTGACTACAGCCCCAGGACTCACAGGAACCCCAGGACCTACCTAGCTCAGTGGGAAAGAAGTAGGAAGAGATACACAAAGGTTTGTTGAATAAATCATCTGAAACATATAAACTGGATAGAGTGCATAACCATAAAACAAAGGCCACTTTCTCCCTGCATCCCCGGGCTCCATCCCTCTTGGCTCATTCCTTCCTCTCAAGGAGCACCCACATTTATACCCCCATCCCTACCACCAGAATGATCCTAGGGGATTTTCAAGCCACTCTAGTAGGAAATGTCCACATTCCAACATCCAGGCTTCCAGCCTGGTGAGACGGTGACTGCCTTCTTCACCAGGTCCAATGGATGAAGTTCCAATGCATATTAATAATGAGGGATGCAAATGGTATTGATTTTTCTGTTAAAATGGGGGCCATTTCCTTTGTAAATTTCTACTTTGTTAACACAAAATAAAATTTCATCCCCAAAAAACATTCAACAGACCCTACCTCAATTACGTGGCGTCTCCTTGTCAGCCTCTTATTTTCTTTCCCTTCCAAATCAAGCTTCTGCAACAGACAGCCTGTACTCACCACTCGCACCACTTCATCCATCACGTAATTAACCTCAACCCACTGTACTCCGGCCTCCATTCCCACTGCTTATCTGAACATACCAAAGGTCACCAATAGCCTACTTGGGGCCAGAAAATAGTTAACACAGGAATATTTGTATTCCTTTCCCCAGTCTCCCAAAAGTGCTTTTACCAGCTTGTTCCTTCTGCAGAATCACCATAAAGGGTAAGGGAAGACTTGGGAAATGCTGGAAAAGACAGACAGTTACTAGTAGAATAGAACAGAATGGACATGGAAAATAAGAGCTACCTGACAGCCCAGCTCCATGCCAGCCACCAGGCTGTCAGGCAGAACTTCTCAAAACCACAAGTCCAATAGTTCCGCTCCGACACTTGAAACTTCACAGTGGCAATCCATCACCTCCCAGTGGACACTACACTCCCATATGAGATGGCTTAAAGTCCTGCGAACACACCCTTTCGTGTCAGACCTCCACGCTGTGCTTTCTGTCCAGACTGCCCTGGAGCTCCTCTTAATGCTTTCATATGCAGCCCAAATGTAGCCCCCTCAGTGACATTTCCCTGACATCTCCCCTAAAAAGTAGGCTTCACCAGCATCCCCTTTCTTGGTACCAGCACTATTCCTCGTGCATACCTTCATATAGCTCTGCCGTATTCTAGTTATTAATTTATGTCTCTCTACTTCTTTACTGAAAGTGACTTGGATACAGGAAAATATTTAAGCGTATCTGTTTAAATCTCAATACCTCATGCATGTCACATCATAGATGCTCAATAAACATTTACTTCCTAAATAAATATCAGCTTCCTAAAGTGAGTTAATAGATCTTTACTGTTATGGGTTGATTTATGTTCCCCTAAAATTCATGTGCTGAAGTCCTAACCCCAATTACCTCAGAATGTGACCTTATTTGGAAATAGGATCTTTGCAGATACAATTCAGTAAGAAGAGGTCATACTGAAGTAGGCTGGGCCCCTAATACAATATCCCTGCTGTCCTTATAATTAGGGGAAATTTGGACACAGACAGGCACACACAGAGAACACCAAGTAACGATGAAGGCGGAGATGAGGGAGATGCTCCACAGGCCACAGAACATCAAATATTGCCATTAACCAGCAGAAACCTGGAGAGATGCACCTAACAGATTCTCCTTCAGCGCCCTCAGAAGAACCCACCCTGCTGAGACCTTCATTTCAGACTTCAGCCTCCAGAACTGTGAGATCATAAGTTTTTGTTATTTAAGGCTTTCAGTTTGTGCTACTTTGCTATGCCAGCCCAAGCAAACTAATACATTTACTACATGAAAACAATTACTTAACACAGCTAATACCTGAATATTTGCAATGTGCCTTCTATGTACTTTGCTAAGCAGCAAATGCAATAATAGCAACATTAGATGGCACTGTGCCCCAAGAACATTTCATTCATTCTATCCATGCGTGCTTCCTCTCCTCTCCAGGAATATTTTGAAAGGAAAATTTTTTTTCCATATAATTTTTCCCCCAATCGATTTTTATTTCTGTCTGGCAAACACTCTTAAAGCAGAGACACTTATCAGAGGAGAGAAATGATGGGATGAAAGGCCTGAAGGCTGCTGGGGAAACATCGCCACTGAGCTGAGCCCTGCCCCACCCTCTAGTATTCCTGCCTCACCTTACCTCCCCATGGCCTTCTCTCTTCTGGTCACCACTCTCAGCAATCCCAGCTTTTCAGTGAATGCATGGAAACTACCTTCACTGAAACCAAATGAGTTTAGCTCCACTCAATTTAATGTGAAAGAAAACGCTGACATGCAAACACCATCCCAGAGTCAAGTGCAAGCCATCCCCTTGTGTATTTCACCATTTCTCACTTGAAAGCATAAACCCAGCACAGATGCTATGGGTTGATGGAGGAAGCCGGCAATATGTGAAAGAGATATTGCACTCACCCAAGTCACTGATTCCCAAGCAGTTCCGAGTGAGTCACTGTAATGGGCATGGCGGAAGAGTGTGGCCACGAGTGTCAAAGGGGGTATTGAGAGACCTAAGACTCTGACGCTTGGAAAACCCCCCTCCAACATTTGGGTTTCTTGCAGAATCTGCTTCCAGCTTCACTCACATTCACTTCACTCCAAATCTAGCTGCCAATACATCGCGTTTACTAAAGATAACTTTGGCAGGAAAACCACAGATTTTAACGTGAAGTGATTCACAGCTAAAATATGACACTTTTTTAAAGCTCATTAAGATTGTTAAACATTGATGGGTTTGTTGGAGAGGTCTCCTGTTCCATTTAAAACATGTCAGTTTTTTCACAGGTATCTGGCTTTGAGTGTTGGTTGTTAGAGAATACGCTAGGACCGTTTTCCCACAAAAACCAAAACTAGTCATTTACTCTAAAAATTTTATTGAGAATATATATTCTATTTAAATTTTCAAAATCAGTTGGAAAAAATTCAAACTTATGCTAAAATAAGTGACTTATAAGCACCACTTTTAAATACTAAACATTTTCATTTTAAACCAGCATTACTGGTATTATAACTATATGTGCTTCTGCACATCAGTGTAACTGTACACAGATTTAAGAGAAAAATGATAGCCTACTTATACTAGTCACGAAACAATAAAACCAGGAATTAACAGTAAGTTTGATAAAGTTCATTTTAAAATTCCAACCACTTAAAGAAAATTAACTATGAGGTCAAAGGAAAAATTACATCTGCAATAACAGATTATTTATAAAACAAAACTAATAAGAACACTAGATATGATTCCTTTAACACATTCAAAGTTGCTTTCAGAGGCAGCTTTAGCCTTAAGCATGTTCATTATGAAAGAAAGAAAAAGACTAAGCTCTCAAAGAATTTAGAAAACAAATTCTAAAAAGTTACAGAAAGTTATAAAAAGTTTTATAGAAAATAGCAGGAATAATAAAATTAAAAGCAGGATTGAATTAATTCAAATATTAAAACAATATTACTGATAAATATGCACTATGCACTCACACTCTAAAATGGATTAAGCTCCAGTGTATCTAATCAACATAGAAAAGAAAAAAGAACAAGAAAAATGAGAAATAGACCATGTGAAATGGCACGTATAGAATACAATCAAGATGTTAAGGCTCGGCATGGTGGCTCACGCCTATAATCCCAGCACTTTGGAGGGCTGAGGCGGGCAGATCACTTAAGATCAGGAGTTCGAGACCAGCCTGGCCAACATGGTGAAACCTCGTCTCTACTAAAAATATGGAAATTAGCCGGGTGCAGTGGCGTGGGCCTGTAGACCCAGCTACTCAGGAGGCTGAGGCAGGGAGAATTGCTTGAACCCAGGAGGCAGAGGTTGCAGTAAGCCAAGATCAGGCACCACTGCACTCCAACCTGGGCGACAGAGCGAGACTCCATCTCAAAAAAAAAAAGGATGTTAAGAGGATGTTAAGAGTTCTGCATGTGGAATCCAAGGGAACTGGGTGGAATCTCAAGTCAACCACTTTTTAGTTACAAGACTCTGGGCACAGTTAACCTCTTAAGACTTGATTTTCTCTAAAAATAAGAATGGAAAAGTAAAATGAGAGAATAGCACTAACTACTTCTTAAAGATCTTGTGAAAATCAAACAAGTACTTCATAGAATCCAGAGACCAGTAAGCACTCAGGTCATAATCTAGACCATTCTAAAGACTTACATCTGCTCAAGATATAATCACTCGACATGGTCCCATTAGGTCCCCTGTACAGGACGACATTTGTGATTTCATCTTCAAAGCAATGTATTTCACAGAAACTGGTGAAAGGTCAAATTCTTCCATCTCTGACACAGCACTGACATGGTTGTGTATGAGCCAGTGGCAGCTGATATGGAGTCATGTGACAAAGGTCGAAACGTCCTCCAGGAAATATGTCCTTAGGCACCGTTTTGTGCTACAAGAAGCCTCCCACTAAAATGTTGAGACAGTATCCCTAAGTGGGTGCTAAAACGTGTGCACACGGATGTAGAGAGTGGAATGAGAGATAACAAAGACTCGGAAGGGTGAGGGGATGGATGAGAAATTACTTAACGGGTACAATACACGTTACTCGGGTGATGGATACCCACCCTAAGGGCCCTGACTAGACCACTACACAATCTACGCATGTAACCAAATTGCAGGTGTACCCCGTAAGTTTAGATAAACTTTAAAAAGAGATTACATTTTTATGTTGATTTCTCCATATTTTCACCCATTTGGTTCATCATTTCCCCTAATTTACTTACCGTATTTATAATAACGATTTTAAAGTCTTTGTCTATCATGTCTAGTGTTCTCATTGGTTTTGTTTTATAAATAATCTGTTATTGCACACGTAATTTCTCCCTTGACCTCATAGTTAATTTTCTTATTTCTAAGTGGTTAGAATTATAAATGATCTTTATTAAACTTAGTGTTCATCCCTGGTTTTATTGTTTTGTGACTAGTATAAATGCCTATCATTTCCTCTTAAATCTGTGTACAGTTACACTGATGTGCAGAAGTACATATAGTTATAATACCAGTAATGCTGGTTTAAAATGAAAATGTTTAGTATTTTAAAGTGGTGCTTGTACGTCACTTATTTTAAAGTGTGTTTAAAGTCCAAAAGACTACCTGTCAAGTAGCTAGGAAGATGTATCATCTTCTAGCATTTAGACATCCTAGCACCTCTCCACCTTATGCTTTCTTACATCTTAAATAAACAAACATACATAAGTAATAAATGAATAAATAAAAGGTAGAGAGAGGACTTGATTGGAATCTCCTGTGTAAAGAGGAATATTGAAATGGAAAGAATGGGAAAATGTCCAGGAGCAGAAAAATGAATAGCAAAGAACAGAATTTAGAAAAAAAAAAGGTTGGGGGGAAATGGAGGTGAAAGGGGATCGACTGAATACATGAGCAAAACCAGCTTAATGCCCCAACAGTGGCACCTTGTTAACACTTCCTCTCTGCCAGCAACTGTTCTAAGTACTTTTCATGTGATTTCCCAATGAATCCTCACCACCAGCTGCAAGGTAGGTGTTAATGTGCTCTTTCACTAAGGAGAAACCCCACAGGGTGACTTTACCAAGAGTGAGTTCATGGGCAAAGATAGCATCTGAAGCCAGGTGATGCACCCCAAAGTCTGCACCCTAAACTTCCTGCTCGTTCCCCTTCATGGCATCACAGGAAAGTGTCCCAGAGATCAAAGGAGCCTCAAGAACAAAGGATAGTCACCAGTGTCAGTTCTACAGGAAATCTGGGAGCCAGAAGCCTCGAACTTCCAAAATGCAACCTCAGCCAAGCTACTGTGGCTAAAATCAGAAAGCAGATGACAATCCTTTAGGAAGGAAAAGGAAGGTGATCATGGCAGTTGGCTTCAATAAAATCCCCCCCTCCACAGTACCAACAGCTGAAAAGAAGAAAGTCCATGATATGGAATGTGGGAAGAGATGGGAGGGAATGAGCTCTTAGGTCCAGCCTGAGAACAGGACAAGCGAGGAACGTAAGAAATGATGACTGCTGGAGAATAATGATTGGCCTAGGAAAGTAGAAGAGAAATGAATGCAGCCAGTATCTTCCCAGAAGTCAAGTTCATCACAGTGAGAGCATCATATCTGTTAAGAATTAGGAGTCTGTCAACAACAAAAAACAAAAACGCCAGTTTAAAAAGGGGCAAAGGACTTGAATAGACATTCTCCAAAGAAGATATACAGATGGCCAATAAGCTCATGAAAAGATGCTCAACATCACCAACCACTGGCAAATGCAAATCTCAGTCACAATGAGACAGCACTTCGCACCTACCAGGATAGCAATTAATGAAAAAAAGAAAAAAAAACAGAAAATAACGAATGTTGGCAAGGAAATCTGGAAAATCTGGAACCCCTGTGCTCTGCTGGTGGGAATATAAAATGGTGCAGCCAGTGTGGAAAATGATATCACAGCTCCTCAAAAAACTTAAAACAGAATTACTATATAATCCAGCAATTCCACTCCCATGCATATGCCCAAAAGAAATGAAAGCAAAGACTCAAACAAATATTTGTACAACCATATTCATAGTGGCATTATTCACAATAGCCAAAAGGTGAAAACAACCCGAGCGTTCACTGGTAGATGAATAGACAAACAAAATGCTATATATATACACACAGTGAAATACTATTCTGCCCTAAAAAGCAAGGAAATTCTGTCACATGCTCCAACATGGATGAACCTTGAAGACATGCTACATAAAATAAACCAGACACAACAGGACAAATACTGTATGGTTTCACTTACATGGGCTACCTAGAGTAGCAAAATCCATAGAAACAGGAAATAGAATGGGGGTTCCCAGGGGCTGGGGGTAGGGAGGAGAAATGACTGATAATGGGTACAAGATTTCCTCTGGGGTAATGAAAATGTCCTGGGGCTAGACAGTAGTGAAGGTCACACAATACCGTGTATGGACAAAATGCCACAAAACTGTCGTTAAAATGGTACATTTACATTATGTCTATTTTACCACAATTTTAAAAGAGTTAGGGGTTCACTGAATTGTAAACTTTACAGATAACATGCATAATATTGATTATACCCCCCCAAAAAAACTATGAATAAAAGAAAGAAAAAAATCAAGGGCTTGAAGGGAAGCCAAGACTAGGGCTAGAGGGAACGTGGAGTTCTCTCTGTAGGTGGAGGCAGAGTTTCCCTAACCATGCCCCTTCAGACATCAGGAGTCCCTGTGTGCGCCCCTGCGGGGGTGAGAGGAAGGTAGAATTGCAAACTGGGAAACCACTGGGTTAAACCAAATGAAAACAGGTTTCTTTATTGAGGACTTTTTGGAAATCTTCCAAAATTAATATGCATAATGAATCTCAAAAAGGAGACTCACAGGCAAGATTACCCAAATTTATTTGAAACTAATAAATTGCTGCAAATGCCTGCACATAGTTGGGAGCGGGGAAAGGAAAAACAAAGTGAGCAACCCCTAGTGCAGCTAGGTGAGGCGAAAAGAATTCAAGCTTGCGAGGAACACACCCCATGGACTAATGAGGAAATCAGATAAATAAAAGATGGACCGAGTGGGGTTGCAGCCGGGTCAACCGAGGTGGTTAGCAGGCGTGGTAGAGCCATCAGGCTCAGAACGACTGATCACACACGAAAACTGCTTTCTAACTCCATCACTCTTCACTAACCATTTAGCATCATCATGTTTCATTAGCCTGGAAAAACTCCTCCCTCTACCTGATGGAATAACATGCGACAAACCCCCTGGCTTTTTGTGCCATAGGTGGCTACAGACATCAGTGAAAGAGCTTCCTTTAGACATGTGTAAGTGGCATGTATGAAAAGTCACCAAAACAGGAAACTGAAAAAGTGTGTGTGTAATATTGGACATAAGTGTTACACCATAGTCTACAATGTGGAGTTGAGAGCCAGCCGTCAAAGAAGAACCCAGAGGAAAATCCTCATTTTCCATGTAGTTTGGTTATCCTTCCTGCAAATGATCTTCTCCCTCGGAGGGAGTCAGATGGTAAACTGAGTCTCAGAGTAGAAGCACAAACAGGATTTTCAAGAGAGTGAGGATGGAAAGAAAAAAAAAAAACTATCGCCTTGGACGAGGTGATTTTATTTTTGCACTTTTTTTTTTTAGGTAAACTGATTAGCTAACAACTAGCAAAGAGGTAATTTGCACATTTTTATCCTTGAAGAAGCCAAATTCTGAAAAATCCAAATTCAGTTATTTATGGATTCTCCAGAAAACCTTTGAGAGTTCGCTGTGCAGCATTGTCTATGGAATGTCCACCACCATCCTTCCATCAGCACCTCCACCTCAGTAAAACCAGCACTCCACCATTTGCCTCATTCAATTTCCTCAATTCCTTCATTTATATCCAATTATAATAGGCACCTGTTTCTCTTCAAAGCTTCCAGACACCTGGGAATTATGCCAGACTCCCTACAAAACCAAGCCATTGAACACCCACTCTGAGCAACTGCTGATGAGTTGAATAATATTCACAACTATTATTGCTCAAATGTGTAGTAGGGCCTGGGGGCATTTGTTTCTCTACTTTGCCCACACTGAAATGAAAAAAGTAAGTTCAAATTGGCCAAAAATATACAAGCAGCACCCAAACAAAGGGACACAACTTTTGGAATACTCCTTGAAAGTGGTGGCCAGGGAAAAACACCAAAAACACCAGAATTTTACATGTATGTTTTATGGGGGGAGCGAATGCAGAAAAGGGGTGAGGAACTGAAATTCATCAAAGTTTCATTAATAGTTTCCCTTCCCAGATTGGAGAAAGGTAAACAGAGGTGGTGAAGAGGAGACTTAAGAGAAATGATCCTCTGGAGATAAATGAGAAAGAAACCTTCAGACTTGCCATTCCACTTTTCACAGAGAGAAGGAAGGTTGTGACTGAAAGGAGAATCATTCTCCTTCCCCAGAGATAACTGTCTCCAGTAACAATCAGGACTTATTGGACAGACAAAGGAGATGTAGCAGATACATGAAGAGGGTTGGCTTACTCTGATAAGGGTTCCTGAAGAAAGGAATGGAGGAAAAGCAGAGGAAAAAATATGTGAAGACATATCAGCTGAGAATTTTCCAGAATTGAAAATATGAGATCTCAAATCAAAACTGGACTCTAGGTACTCACCATGATAAAGATAAACCTATCTTCCACATCATAGTGAGTCCACAGAACGTCGAAAATGAGAAAGTCCTAAAAGCTAATGTGGAGAAAGGCAAATTATCAACAAAACAGTCACAATTAAGCTGATAGCCATTTCCCATGACCAATAATACATATAGAAGATACCAAAATGCTGGAAAGAAGTAACTGCCCATCTAAAATTTTATACCCAGTTAAACTAATACACAAAAGCAAAGCCATAATTAAAATATTTTCAAACACAGAAATAGTAAGAAAGCTTATCACCCATGTAGCCTCAATAATATTAATTATTAATGAATGTAGTTCAGCAAGAAGTTGCATAAACTCATGTGTATGTCAAGGGATACAGGACACAAAAATGAGCACAGAAATTGATCAAATATATCATTAAATTTAACTAATTTATGCCCATAAAAATAACTACATTTTCATGTTTAAAACATCCAAAAATATAGGAAATTACCCAAGAAAAGAGAAACAGAGGAAGGAAGGAAGGAAGGAAGGAAGGAAGGAAGGAAGGAAGGAAGGAAGGGAGGGAGGGAGGGAGGGAGGGAGGGAGGGAGGGAGGGAGGAAGGAGGGAGGGATGGATGGAAAAGAGAGAGAGAGAGAAAGAAAGAGAAAGGGAGGAAGGGAGGGAGGAAGGAAGGAAAGAAGGAACGAAGGAAGGAGGGAGGGAAGGAAGGATGGAGGGAGGGAGGGAGGAAAAGAAAAGAAAAGAAAAGAAAATTTACAAGTTCAAACTAAGGAATAGTTACAAAATAAGGGAACAAGGTTGTTAGTTAAATTGTGCTGAGGTCCTTGTCATGATAGAGAAAATACCAGGAATACCAAAAATGTTTATATATCGTTAAAATACATGATTCAAGATTAAATATAATCATTAAAAATATATATACAGTCTACAGTCTGAAAACCAGCAAAAGAAGTAAAATGGGAATGTAGAAAACTGTATCAATCCAACAGGAGACGAAAAAATGAAGAAAAGAGAACTAAAGAAAAAAGGTATGAAAAAGAAAACACATAATGAGATAAAAGAATTAAATCCAAAGGCCTCAGAAATTATGTATATTATAAATGGATTAAGTTCACTTGCTTAGAAACACAATAAGCAGGTTGGAAAAAATCTACCTATATGCGAGTTCAAATGACACACCCAAAGTAAAGCTACAACGATAGGCAGGAAAGATACTTGCTATTAGTTAGGGGGAGAAAAGAAAAAGAAACCAACCCCTAATGCAGCTATGTAAGGCAAAAAGAATTCAAGCCAAAAGTATCAACACTACATAGCAATTCACCATAAATTATTATAATATAGATAGTATAATATAGATCTTTAGAACTTGTAAGCTTCAACAACACAGCATCAAAACATATAACAAAAAATTGATAGCATTCTAAGAATAAATTTTATTTTTACACATTTCTTTTAGAAACGTGTAACCAAATAGAACAAAAATTAGTAATAATGATTTGACAATGAAAATTAATAAACTTCATTTATTAAACCATACAGAAACAGAAAGTAAACATTCTTTTCAATTGCACACATACCACTTATGGGGATTAAAAATCAACAATAAAAACATACTGGAGAAAAATGTGTGTTTTGAAACTTTCAAAAGTAGGCCTCAAAAAAACTTATGGCTTAAAGAGGAAATCATAATAGATATTTTAAACCAAATAAAAATGAAAGACCAACATATCAAAACCTGTGGACAGCAATTAAAAATTATTTAGAAATAAAGTTATAGGTCAAAAGAATAAATATGTAGAATACATTAAGCATATACTTCAAGAAGCTACGAAAAAAGAGCAATAAACATTTGAAAGGTGAGAAAAAGAAAAAGACGAGGATATAACTATCAAGTCATTGATACACAGAATAAAACAACCAAAGAAATTATCTACATACTCAAAAACTGTTTCTTTCAGAAAAACTAATAAAGCAAATAAAACTTTACCAAGATTTAACAAGAAAAAAAGAGACAGAAATAAATCATATTTAAAGTCAAAAAGGTCTGCAACAGAGAAATTTTTAAAATGTTAAATCATAAGAAAATACTATGAACAATTTTATGCCAATAAATTTCAAAACTTTGAAATAATTTTCCAGCAAATCATGAATTAATGTAGTTCATTGAAAAGGAATAGAACCTGAATAAACAAAAGGAAATAGAACCTAAATAAACAATGAATCTGTCATCAGAAGTCCACTGCCTCCACTCTACGATGCAACAACCCAGAAAGATTTAGAGGTGAGCTTTACCAAATTTTAAAGGAACAACAAAAAAAAAAAACCTTTTTGTGCAAGCCATTTCCAAGAGACAGAGAAAAAATACACAACTTCAGACAAGGATAGTAAAAGAAAAGAAAATTATGAACAATATCTCTTTTGAATACAAATGGAAAGGTCCTAAATAAAACACAAGAAATGCACTAATAAATTATACCAGTAAATTAAAGGAAGAAAAAGTCTATGATTATTTCAAAAGCTACATCAAAAAAGAATCAATAAAATTCAGCACCAATTCATAATAAAAAAGAGATCTTTCTTAATTTGACAAAGGGTGTCCATCAAATATCTAAAATAGACATATTTGATAGTGAAACTTAAAAGCATTCCCATTAAGGTGAAGGTGAAGACAAGGATGTCCATTATCACTTTTTTTTCTCAGAGAAAGGGTCTCACTATGTTGCCCAGGCTAGTCTTGAACTTCTGGCCTCAAGCAATCCTCCTGCTTTGGTCTCCCAAAATGTTGGGACTACAGGCATGAGCCATTGTACCTAACCTGTCACTGCTTTTATTAAACATTGCCCTTGAGGTCCCAGCCAATGGAATAAGACCAGAAAAGATGTATATAAGAAATAAAAGAGAAGAAACTAAGCTATTCTTGTTTATAGACAATATGATTATTATGTCAGACCACATAGGCTAGGTTATGCCACAAACAACCCCAAAATCTCGGGGTCTTAACACTGCAAGTTTATCTTCTCATAAGCAAAATCAATTGCTAATTCAGGCTACTCTTGAAGGCAAGCATACAAAGGTCGGTTTATTATCATATGCTATTTTGATCTAATGGTATGCTCATATCAACATTTGCTTTAAACAAGCAGAGCAAAGACAGCTGGGAAATCATGCACCTGCAATTCAATGTCTCAGCACACATCCCTTTAGCTCCCTTTTCATTGGCCAGGGAAAGCCACATGCTTTGCGTAACTTCAAGAGGTGGGAGAAGCAAAATCCTCCCATGTGCTAGAAAGACACAAATAACCAAAATATCTAATACAATTATCTACATAAAACATCCAAGAGACTCTACATGTAAACTATCAGAACCAATAGAAAATGCATCACATTTATCAAATTTCCGTGGTATTATTACCAAAAATGCATAACTTCAGTCTGCATATAAGAAAATATCAGGCAACTCCAAATTGAGGAATACTCTACAAATAACTACCCTGAACTCTTCTGAGATGTCAAGTTTACAAAAGAGAAGACTGAGGAACTATTACAGATTGAACATGAATAAAGCAACATGAAAACCCAATGCAATATGGGATTCTGGCTGGGATCCTGGACCAGAAAAAGGACATTACAGGAAAATTGGAAAAATTCAAACAAGGTCTGAAGATTAGGAATATTATGGCCGGGCAGGCTCACGCCTGTAATCCCAGCACTCTGGGAGGCTGAAGCAGGAGGATCACTTGAGGCCAGGGGTTCGAGACCAGCCTGGCCAACATAGTGAATACTGTCTCTACCAAAAATACCGTCTCTACCAAAAAATATAAAAATTGGCCACACATGGTGGCACACGCCTGTAATCCCAGCTACTTGGGAGGCTGAGGCACGAGAATTGCTTGAACCCGGGAGGCAGAGGTTGCAGTGAGACGAAATCACACCACTGCACTCCAGCCTGGGTGACAGAGCAAGACTCTGCCTAAAAAAAATAAAAGAAAGAAAGAAAAGAAAAAGAATGGCTGAAAAGAACAAAGTGGTAACTTACCTTCCCAGACCAAGACATATTATAAAGTCACAGCAATTAAAACTTGTGGTGTTTGGGCAGAAACAAACAAAATACATCATGACAAAACAGAACAGAGATCTCAAAAATAAACCTACAAATTTTGGAAATGAACTTGACAACTGAACCTCAGATTCGTACATAGACTAAAAGGCAAAAAATAGCTAAATACATTATAAAGCAAAACAAGATGGGAAAACTTGACCTAACTTGATCTAGTATATATAAAAACTTATTACATCAATAAGATACTTGTGATTTATAAACCAATGCTATGGACGGAATTGTGTCCACCCAAAGTTCATGTGTTAAAGCTCTAACCCCAATGTGACTGTATTTGGAGACAAAGCTTTGAGGAAGTAATTAAGGTTAAATGAGGTCATAGGGTGGGATCCTAATTCAATAGGGTTGGTGGCCTCATAAGAAGAAAGGAATCTCTTTCTGCATGTAAGGACACAGACAGAATCTTTAGGATGTATCTGCATCCCTGAAGAGGGTCCTCACCAGAACCTGATCAGGCTGGCACCTTTGATCTCAGACTTCCAGCCTCCAGAACCGTGAGAAAATAATTTTATGTTGTTTAGCCATCCAGTCTATGGTATCTCATTATGGCAGCCCAAGCAGACCATAAAATAGAATAAATAGCCTCAAAACAGATCTACACAAGTATGGTATTACAAATGGTATTACAAATCACCAGAAAAAGGAGTACTGAATTAACAACCTAGGACTGACTATTCATTTGAAAAAATTGAATTTGAATCCCTAACTCACAACATATCAAAAATAAATCCAAGGAGGATTAAAAACCTAAATGTGAAAAGCAAAACTTGAAGGCTTTTAGCAAGAAATACAGTATATGAGACAATCTTTATAGCCTTAGAGTGGGGAAGAATTTCATAAGATGAAAAGCTTCTTCTTAAGAGAAAGCACAAACCATTAAAAAAAAGTGGTAAATTTCACCAAATTAAAAATGAAAACCTATTGTTCAATAAAATGTAAAAATACAAGACACAGACGGAGTAGATATTTGCAATGTATATTACTAAAATTAAGGATCTAGAATTTCTAAATGAGCTTCTATAGATCTATAAGAAAAAGACATTCCAAATGAAAAATGATCAAAATACATGAACAGGCCATTCACAGAAGAGGAAATCCAAATGGCTGAGATACATAATATACAAACAGATGATTAGTTTTACTAGAATCAGGAAAATGCATCTTAAAACACTGAGATTCTACTTCATACTCATGACAATAACAAAAATTTAAAAATCCAATAATTCTAAGGGTTGGGGAAGCTGTGGAAAAACAGGAACTGAGTTAGAGGTATAGTATGTAGGAGCATAAATTGGTACAAATCCCTTGGAAAACATTCTTCAGTATCTAGGAAAGATGCTTTTTCACCCAATGCATCTTTTCTAGGTATGTACTCTAAAGTACACTCTAACATGTATGCAAAGGAGATATGTATAAGAATGTTTATTATAGCATTTTTATATGAAAAATGAAAATCATCTAAACGTCCATTAACAAAACAATAGCTGAGCCAATTGTAGTACAATCCTACAATATAATTTTTTTTAAGAGACAAGGTCTTGCTCTGTTGCCCATGCTAGAGTGCATTGGATTGATCATGGCTCACTGCATCCCCAAACTCCTGGACCCAAGCAATCCTCCCATCTCAGCCTCCCAAGTATCTAGGACTACAGGTGCATGCCACCACGCTTGGGGTAATTTTTTATTTTTTATTTATTTATTTTTTTCATAGAGATGAGGATTCGCTATGTTGCCCAGGCTGGTATCAAACTCTTGGGCTCAAGAGATCCTCCCACCTCAGCCTACCATTTTACATAGCAATGAAAATGAATGAACTACACCCACAGAGGTATCCGATCTTCTGGCTTCCCTGGGCCACATTAGAAGAAGAATTGTCTTGGGCCACACATAAACTACGCTAACACTAACGATAGCTGATGAGCTTTTAAAAAAATCTCAAAGTTTTTAAAAAGTTTATGAATTTGTTTGGGGCCACATTCAAAGCCGTCCTGGGCTGCAGGTTGGACAAGCTTGAACTACAGCTGTGATATGGTTTAGCTCTGTGTCCCCACCCAAATCTCATCTCCGGCTGTAATCCTCAAGTGTCGAGGGAGGGAAGTGATTGGATTAAAAGGCAGTTCCCCCATGTTGTTCTCCTGATAGTGAGAGAATTCTCATGAGATCTGATGGTTTTATAAATGGTAGTTTTTCCCACACGCTCACATGTTCTCTCACTTGCTCTCTCAGGCCATGTAAGACATGCCTGCCTCCCCTTCCGCCATGATTGTAAGTTTCCTGAGGCCTCCCCAGCCATGCAGAACTGTGAATCAATTAAACCTCTTTCCTTTATAAATTACCCAGTCTCTGGAAGTTCTTTATAGCAGTGTGAAAATGGAGTAATACAAGCTATGTCTCAACATGGATAAATATTGAAAACAATGAATCAAAAAGAGCTTCAGTAGGACCATACGAAACCATTTTAGAGAGCTTGAAATATTGAAGTCAATACCATAATTAATCACAGATTTATACATAGAAGTGATGTGGAAACACACATGGAAAAGACAGTAATAATTCAGGATAGTGAGAAGGGATGAAAGGAGATGGGGAGAACTAGGGAGGGGACAGAGGGAGCTTCAACAATGCTTTCCTATTGTCTTCTACATCTAAGCAAGTATGGCCAAGTGTTAGGACACAATAGAGCTGGGATGTGGACTCACACATGCTTTTTCTATTATTATTTCACTTCTGCATGTTTGAAATACTTCAAAATTTGAAAAATAAAAAATGTAATGCCTCCAAGTTACATCCTGAATTTGGGGGCAATCCAAAACCTGAGTGTATCCTGAGAGCAACTTTTAATAAAACTATAAATTTTAATAAATTTAATCAAAATGAATAGAGACTAAATCCACCAATCATGATTATCCATCATTCCCACTGCTTCTGCTCCTTCATATCCTCAGGCCACAGAAAAGCTGATAAACTGTATCTCCAGGACACCAAAGGAAGCTCTGGGAAGGAAACGATGTTCACATAGGAGAGAAGCAATCGAGGACAATTCAAAAAATTGTTATCTAAAGGTTCAGCTGAACCTGCCCTTGTTAAATATGCTTGACAAATAAAGAAATGGCAGAGCAAATATGCATAAATACCACAGAAAGGAAGGAGGAAATGAAACAAAAGGAAATGTGCAAAAGACAAGTGAAGAAGCCACAGTCTGGAAGAAAATATACTCCCAGCAGTGGATTAAAAGTTTTCACAGTAAATGATTTATTGCTACAAGAAACTAAGAACAGGAAATCAACAAAACAGAGCCACAAGCAATGACAAGGAGACGGAACGAGATTAAAAAGGGAACTTGCAGAGTTTAGGAAGCACAGTGATCACCAAAACACCTCTATGGAAAAATGAATAAATTAGAAACAGTAAGAAAAAGAGAGAGAGCATTGCAAACGTGAATAGGAACACTGAGGAATGGTTTCCAATAATTATAAAAAATCAGAGCTCTTTCATTTTCAGAGACGGGGTCTTGCTATGTTGTCCAGGCTGGTCTCAAACTTCTGGACTCAAGCAATGCTCCTGCCTGTGTCTACAGCTTAAACAAAAAAAAAGACAGGGACCAAAATTTAAATAACAAACTAAATATTGTTCCCCTGATGTTAGTCATCTTATAAAAATAATTCTGCCCTTGCTCACAATATTCTTCTCACAACTTTTTGGGAATTACTTTTCAAATCATGTTATTTTTTAAAATTCAATAAGAAACAACTAGTTTTGTTTCCTTCTTTCCATACCTCATTCTTGATCCAAAACAATTATTACTCAGCATGGTAAAGTGCTTGGCACACAACAAGAAGTCATAATAACAACAATAGCTATAACTTAAGTAGCATGTATATACCTGGCACTGTTCTATTGTTCTTTATTATATACAGAACCACGTAATCCTCACAACCACCCCTATGAAATAAGTACTATTATTCTCTTCAATTTCAATTAACGAAACTGAGGCATAGGGAAATTAAGTAACTTGCCGAAGGTCATATAACAAGTACCTGTCAAAGCTGGGATTTGCAACCAGTCATCTGGCTGCAGAGCCTGAGCTATTTATCTCTGCAAGAATATTTATTCAATGCGTGAATGAATGATCAGCCACTCTGTTTACCCAACTTGGTCCCAAACGACTTCTGGCTCCGATGTCTTCTATTAAGGATGTGGGGATGATGTTCAAAATTAGATATAAAAATTCCGGTTGTTTTGTTTTTCAAATGAATCTCACTGCACCTGCACGATACTCAGAGCTCCTAATTCTGGTTTTCAACTGAAGGCCATGTTAGTTCTCAAAATCTCTATAAATCATCTTACCCACCCCTTCACCTTTCATCTTCAGACACAGGGTCAGTTAACTCCCTCCTTCCACGGGCAAAGAAGTGTTGTCAAAACTCGGAAGAGGTCAGCCACAAAGCTTGATGGAACCCTATCCTCAGGCCAAGGCAAAAGAGAAGAAACTGGAATTAACAAGGAATACGGGAGCCCTCACCAAGTCCAAGGACTTACCTGGGAGCAGGAAGGGGCAGCAGAGGAAAGTAAGCAGTAGGAGGAGAAAGGTCGACAGAAGAGCAATGAACACAGGCTGCAAACCTGGGTTTATGCAGGGCCACGAAGCTTGGGTGGGACCCAGGAACAAGGCTGTTATAGTCAGGGAGACAGACGTCTGTCAGGTACAAGGAGGGACTCCATCCTCATCAGTATCCCGGTCACCCGGGGAGAGAGGCTGATAAAGCCCAGGCAGCTTTTCAAAGTCACTGTAACCAGGATTCAGGATCAGGCTCTAGGCCTGGCAGAAAACCAAGCAGAAATCTGATCAGACGCCCAGTTAAATGGACAAGCATGCATGGGGGGCATCCCCTGGGATGCCAGTACTGGGCTCAGTTCCATGCCCAGGAAGGACAAGATGGAGACCCTGAAACTCTTCTTGGACCCGTCTGAACTGGCCTGAATCTGTAGCTGTCCAGGGACAGAGGAGGGAGGGCTACACCTTCGTGTCCTCTGCTGCATGGATGAAGGTTACCATCCGTGTGGAGAAGTTTGGCCATGGTGAGGTATGCAGAATCTCATAAAACCAACTATTAAAGGTGGCCCTTGTTTATTCAAAGTACCTACTTAGAAATCCTACAAAAGAAGGGATGCCCTTGTCTGGAAGAACCTTTGCAAAGACAACCTTGTCCTTGTCAATCTTCTGAGGTGACAGCATAGTGAAACATCTCTTTCCGATTTGCATCTCCAGGAGGTAACGTCCATGGGCCTCACACTGAGCTCCTTCCTGAACACGTCAGATTTTTATTATTATTAAATTTACCTAACAAAGAAACTACTTAAGACGAACTGACTTTAAAAGAGAAGGAAAAAATGAAAGGAGATAGGAAACAAGACTTAATACACATGCAATCATTCCTTAAAAGATATAAAATTCTCCCTTTGAAACCAAATTTGCATATTACACGCACCTGTTTTAAAGAGGAAACACCACAAAAGGTACATGTAAAGATGGGCAGAATCAGCATGCATTTACCTAGAAATGCCCCTCCGAAGACTTCCTACATCTGTAAAATACTCTCAACAGCAGCCACTGCCTACCCCAAGCACCCAACGAAACATGACACTTCCCCAGATCTGTATCTTCATTAAATTCTACTCCTCCTCCATCTCCATCTCTTTGAAAAAGACAAAAATAGTAAATGAGGAAGATGTGGAGATGAGAAGTAATGTTAATATTTACAATAGGTGGCCACATATAACAAAGACTTAAGTTTGCTATGCTAACATAAAGGACCAGTGAAAAATAATTTTCCAACATCTGATTACTGCAGATTCAGTTGCTATTATTTGGAAGCTGTATTTATCCCTCAAGAGTCAGAAACCTAAACAAAAAACGAAACAAAACCACGAAGGAAAATTATGGTGCGGTGTGTGTGAGAACACACGTGCACATGCGCACACATACGCGCGCACACACACACGCACTCACACACACACACACGGTACAGATATTGTTTTTAAAATAATGTTCATTACTGAGTCTTAAGGTACCTCACTGTATTTAGCAATGACCTACAGACTCCCTTCTGGTCCTCCCAAAGTCAAAACCCCTGGTGTCATCTCTTAATGAAAAGCTGTCTTTCTCATGATCCTGCCCATCAGCCCCTTCCACAACCCCCACGATGCAGAAGCTGCCTGCCGCAGGGTGCTTCAGAGTTTGTTTTGTTGTTGTTGCTTAAGATTAGGCCATTCTTTTTAATTGTGCGATGTTTCCATCCAGTGCTGATTCCCTAAGTCTTGTGTCCGCACCGTGCCCACCCAGGAACACAACTTCCTCGGGGCGTGGCGTGAGTAGCGATAAGACTTTATAAATGAGTATGTTTTCACACCAAGTTTGATGACATTTGGTCTGTAACAATTTTCTTTCCCTTCATTTAAAAGGAACGAAGGAGAAAACAGAAGAGCACGCCTGCAGTGCGCGGCCGCGCCGCGGTCCCCTGCGCCCGGCACCCACGCCCCCGCGCGCCGCAGGACCCGGCCCCCCGCTCCCGGCCAGCGCTCCCCGCGCCCCGCGCCCCAGCCCCGGGCCTTACCGTGCGCGGGGCAGCCCCGGCAGGCCCAGTCGGGCTGGAAGCCGCCGCTGGCTCAGAGCCGCATCCCGGCCCGCGGACGCAGGGGGCGCGCGGCCGGTCCCCGGAGGCGCTGGGTCCAGGCCGAGGATGGTTTTGCTCCCCGCTCCGCTCCGCATTTAGGAGGTGGGAGGAGCGCGCGGCGATGCGCACAGGAAATCTGATAGGTGAGGAGGCCGGCGGGCCGCGCAGGGCGGCGCGGGCTGGGGGACGCGGCGGGCGGCTCCGGGAGGCGACGGGACCCCCAGGCCGGCAGCCGAGTGAAGAGGCAGGAACTGTCTACAAATGCTCCGGCTCCGAAGCCCCGAGGGAAAGAGCATCTTTCACGGAGCACCAGGAATTGACGACGGTGGAATTTGCTCAGATCCCCTGAGGCCGGTTCTTTGAGTTTCTGTCTGGCCCTCCGGGAGAACCGTCCCAAAGTTAACTTTGAAAACACTCACAGGAGAGGGAAGGCTGTGGGGTCCTTCGCTTCTCAAACCCCAGATGCCCCCGGAAAGAACACCGCCCCCGACCACCACCACAACCAGATGTTTTTAAAAAGAGATGCTAAGCAAAAGGCCTGATTATGAGGAATGAGCCAAAGTCATGCAAGGCGTGGGGCGCTATGGGACTGCGCAGTGACGACCCAGTGAAGTAGATGCCTTGACGATTCCCATTTCACGGATGAGACGACTCCGGCACAGAGAAGTCAGAGGGCCTGTCCTGGGTCACACAGCCACAGGCGGCCCCCAGGTAAATGAATACTGATGTACCACAGCCATAGTGCGGGGGTGGGGGAGGGGTCGCAGGAGCTGAAGCCAGTGGGACCCCACCTTTCTCTGGCAGGAAAAATAGATATATATTTATGTAGACAAATATACATTTTTTAAGGGATTGAGAACATATCATTCAATTCAGTGATCTTCAACCCTGGCTGCAGTAAAATCTCTTGGGAAACTCTTAAAAGTCCCAATGCTCAGGCGCCTACCCCAAGCCCAATGAAGCTGGCTTATTTTCCTTAATGTCATAACTTCAGCAGCTTCAGAGCAGTGCCAGCCCTTTCTTCCCCACGGCTGACATGTGATCCTTCTTGCACAAAGATGACGTGAGCTAATAGGGAAGTGAGGAGAGACCCCCCGCTCCAAAAACAAATTAGGAACATGGAGTCCAGAGCCTAAAAGGTGTAGAATCGCTTCAGAGAACGGACAGGCCTCGGAAGCTTGAGCGTCGGGTTGGAGGGAAGCCTATGAGGGGTCTGATGGAGAGGAACGCAGCCGTGGGGCAGCAATCACCAGCCGGGATTATTAAACTCCCACGCGATTCTGCACGTGGCTTTGTGCAGCTCCCGTTTCCTGGGGTAACCATACGGGCCTGGCACACTCACAGCTGAGCAGGGCCAGACAGGATGCCGCCTCAGGCAGCATCAAGTGGGGTGGGTACCAGCCCAGAGGGGACAGGAGGTGAGCCTGCCTGCCTTCCGGGGTGCCCCCTGCCCTCTCCCTCCCAGTCCCCGGTTGCTGTTCCCCCCACTCCCTTCCCACCCTTTCCTCCTTTCCCACCCAGCACGTCCTGCACCAAGAAGCACATCAGACCTCTGTCCAGCTACGGACACCTCAATTGAGCCGGCACCTGAGGGGCTATGACATGGGGCAGGTGTTTTTTTAATAAAGGTGGTGGGGGAGGAGGGTGCAGGACCCAGAGAAAGGGCCCTGGGAGACTGAGACTTAGAGCTCTGCTCTGAGGGGCAGGGGGCCAGTCTCAGCAGGGGCCACAGAAGCCAAGCCTGGATACATGTCAATACCGACATATAAATTACATTTATATGTTAAATGTAAACAGTTAAAATACACTTATTGCGCTCCAAGTATAAAAATCAGGGAATCGTTCAGGTAGAATTTCAGCTTTGGGTGCTGGTGGTGGAGCTGGAAGCTTCTTCCCTGAAATTGTCCTTGGGAGGAGGGTCCTCCATTTTTTGTTTCCAAGACCAGAGTAATTTAATTATACTACAATGACTTCTTCATTTGAGCAGCTTGTTTTCAATTAGGCTAGTAAGTGGTATAAAAACAAGGATAAGGGAAACGAATTGGAGGGCTAAGGGCCTCTGCATGGGGACAGTGTTCCAGCTGAGACCCCCCATGGTGAAAGGGCAGAAATGAGGAGGGAGCATTCCAGGCAGATGAGATCACAGCAAAGGCAAACACCCTGCACCAGGAACGTACCTGCTCACTGCTTAGCACTACCATGTAGAAAATAGGCTGTAGCAGAGGGCAGATCATAAGTCAATGTGCGCAAATTGCTTAGCCCAGTGAGCACCACTGTGAGATGGGCTAGCCATGGCCTTGGGTCTTGGAGATACCTGTCAAGAAAGTGAAAGCATCCATCCATCCATCCTAGGCCAGAGCTCATGGTCTCAGGCTCTGAAATTGGTCTTTGCTAAACTGTACGAGAGGCCGAGGCAGTGGCCCAGGCAGTGGTCTGCTCTGTCCCGGTCACTGTGGGGATGGGTCTCACCTGTGAGCCATGCAAACTTCTCTCCCATGGGAGAAGGATTTGCAGAGGCCGAGCACCTCTTCCCCATATACCTTCCATCACCCCACAAGGCCCTCCAGAGCCTGGTACCAGTGACTGTCAGTCAAAACGTGCAACCTTCCCTGTGCTCGCTGACACTCCTGTTTGGTTTCAGGGTTCTTAACCTCAGCACACTTGAAATTGTGGGTTGGATAATTCCTTGTTGTGAGACTGTCCTGTGCACTGTGGTATGCTTAACAGGACCCTTGGCCTCTATCCACTGGATGCGCACCCCTGCACACACACACAAGTTGTGACAACGTCTCCAAACTTGCCAAATATCCCATAGGGAGCAAAGTCACACCCAATTGGGAACGGCCGCTCTCGTAGAAAGGAACGGGACCCAGTGCTCCACAAATAGCTACAGAAAACATTTATCCATGACAGCTCCACGGAAAAGGGCCGCTTATCAGAGATTAGAAGATTGTGCCCCATGATGGAGCTGCCGGTCAAAGTCCCCTGCTGCCAGTCCTGCGCCACACGAAGGAGCCGCTGGTCAAATTTCCCTGCGGCCAGTCCCTCCCTCCATGCCAGCCTTCAGGTGCTCCTTCCACAGGCCAGGCCCACGTCATTTCAGGACCTGCTCCTTCCCTGCCCTCTGCCTGGACCAAGCCTCTCACGGATATTCATGGGTCTCTCCTGGACTTCACCAGATCTCTGCTCAGAGACTACTTCCCCTTCCCTGATGCCCTGTTTAGCACACACACCCCCCACACACACCTCAGTCCCCTGCTGTTGATCCTTCTGGCTCAGCATTGCTACCTGACATTTCGGGGTCCACCTGCTCATTTGTCCATGCTCTGTCTCCCCTGCCAGAACGGGACTTCAGGGTGCACCACTGCACCCCAGCAGAGACCTCCGCCTGGCACACAGGGAATGCTGGAGCAATACTTAAATAGGTAAGTGGAGGGATCAACCGGTGGCATCCATGGGCAGTGGCTGGGGAAATGGAGCAAGCGAGGACTCTTTTTTTTTTTTCCTTTCATCTATCTTAAGACCCACTACGAGGGCCCTTTTCTACCATGGGGTTTGGTTGCAAAATGTGCAAGCAAGTTCCTTCTCCCCTCCTGATCCAGGCTGGTGATGGTGGGAGGCGGGAGAGTTCACTTGCTCTTCACTCATCTCAAGGAAGCTCCAGCCACTACCAGCGGAAAATTCCTGCATTTCTGATTCAAAAACCTAAGTGGAACAAGCTTCATGGCTGAGATGTCCCAGGGACCCTCATGAAAAGTTAGAGAATCATCAGAGGTTCTTTGAGGCCTGGAAAATGATTTTCCCAGAGAAGTCACAATACTAATTAGAATGCCTCTGCCTGGAAGGCTTTCCAGGCCCACAGCAGTTTTCTGAAGCATGAAACAAAGCTTTCTCTTGGAGCAAAGTGAAGGGTGAGAGAACAGAGTGGGCCGGGGAACTGGGAGCTGAACCCTGGAGGTAGCAGCTGCTGCCTGGAGTCTGAGGTGTGTGCCGGCAGTGTGGCTACTGTCCTGGGGCCCCTGGGAGCCGCACCACTGCCTCATTGAGGGGATATCCTGCCCATGTGGGCTATTCTTGCCCCAACAAACAGGCTGACTTTTCCCCAACTGGGGGGGAGCCTTCATTGGGATTGCAGAACATGATTATGACCACCACCCCTCCCAGGGGGCTGAGGAAACATGGCCCAAGCCAGGGTGGCCCACGTGGTTATAACATGACAATTGTGCATTATACGGATAGGCAAGGCTGTGGCCAGTTGCACCCTATGGGTTAGGATGAAGGTGGCCCCTCATTGCTATAAGTAGGTGGGACCACGCCTTCCCAGATAATGAAGGAATTCACTCTCTGAATGGGACCAGAAGAGTCTACGCTGGTTAAGAGAAGTGCGGAAGGAGGCTGTGTTTGGATGGTCCCTGGTCACCTCTGAAAAAACACAGCCCTCCAGCCCTGAGGCCACAGAGAAAGTACAGTAACCAGTTTATAAGCATGCATCAGTAAGCTTTCCATTTCATATTTTCATAGAAGTTTTTAATTTGATTTTGGGATTATTCCTGAATAGTGCAATTTTATGACACATGAAAAACCAAGAACACTTGAAAATGATCATCACCTTTCACTGTTGAGCTGGCTTCTTAAGCAAAATTCTTGGCACAGTGCACCCCCTTCCCCATGGCTGTGCCTTCCCTGACATTTCTAGTGAGCTCTGGAGCATGTAAACCTAAGCCAGTTCTAAGGTCTCTAAAATAAAGGTCCATCTGGAACCTTCAGCATGGAAGTTCCAAGCCAGGAAGGAGATGGAGTGGTAAGAACATGTAGAGTTTGGTCAACTTGGCTTTGCAAACTCTTACTCCGTAAGTAAGCTCCACCCCTCAGTTTCCCCATCTACACAGTGGGCATGATAACAGCGTTGTTGTAAAGCTTATAGAAAGATGGTGCAGCCAAATGCTGGAGGACTCCTGTGGCACTCTGTGCTTTCTTTTTGGTAACATAACAATTCTCAGGCTTTTTTTTTTGTTTGTTTGAGACTGAGTCTCGCTGTGTCACCCAGGCTGGAGTGCAGTGGTGCGATCTGGGCTCACTGCAACCTCTGTCTCCCAGTTTCAAGCGATTCTCCTGCCTCAGCCTCCGGAGTAGCTGGGATTACAGGCACCTGCCACCATGCCCGGCCAATTTTTGTATTTTTAGTAGAGTTGGGGTTTTTATCATGTTGGCCAGGCTGGTCTCGAACTCCTGACCTCAAATGATCCACCCACCTCGGCCTCCCAAAGTGCTGGGATTACAGGTATGAGCCACAGGGCCTGGCGAATTCTCAGGCATTTTTGTGTTTGTTTGTCTTAATTTCTGTCTTTACTACTAGCCTCCTTCATGTATCTCACTGACTTCTATTTCCACCAATGTCTATCACAGTTCCTGAGATATAGCAGGCACTCAAGACAGGTGTTAAGTGAATAAAC
Source organism: Homo sapiens (assembly GCF_000001405.40). Lineage (NCBI taxonomy): Eukaryota > Metazoa > Chordata > Mammalia > Primates > Hominidae > Homo > Homo sapiens. The sequence continues at coordinate 39,607,554 of NC_000021.9, read as the reverse complement.
AAAGTGATGCATTAACAAATAAATTGTTTAAATGAGTGACTGAGTAAAACTCAACACAGAACCTACACATAGTGAGCATCCACATAATAACAATGGCACCATTCCTCTTTAAAACATACGATTTGATCTTTTGCTTTTAGAACACAAGGCCTTTAGATAGTGCGGTAAGCTTGGTAGGAAAGTTGGTCACTTTAAAGTCAGTTTAATTTATAGTAATATTGGGAAAGAGGATCTATAAGGCAATCTCACTTCCAAAATGCAAACAAACAAGTGAAAACCACTTTGCTTTGGTCCTTTTCATATTTCTTCCAGAGAAGGGAATAAAAATTTCTATTTAAAAATTTGGGATAAACTAGGCTAGGTGGTGTGCACCTGTAATCCTAGCTACTTGGGAGGCTGAGGCAGGAGAATCGCTTGAGACCAAGAGTTCCAGAGCAGCCCGGGCAACATACTGAGACACAGACCCTTAAAAAAAAAAAAAGGCCAGGGGCAGTGGCTAGCCCCTGTAATCCCAGCACTTTGGGAGGCTGAGGCAGGTGGATCACTTGAGGCCAGGAGTTTAAGACCAGCCTGACCAACATGGTGAAATTCCGTCTCTACTACAAATATAAAAACTAGCCGGGTGTGGTGGTGCATGCCTGTAATCCCAGCTACCTAGGAGGCTGAGGCAGGAGAATCACTTGAATCTGGGAGGCGGAGGTTGCAGTGAGCCAAGATCATGCCACTGCATTCCAGCCTGGGTGACAGAGACTGTGTCTCAAAAAAAAAAAACGGACGGGGGGGATCTCCTTTGTAGAAACAGAGTCTCACTATGTTGCCCAGCGTGGTCTTTTTTAATTTAATTTTTTTGTATAGACAGGGGTCTTTCTGTGTTGTCCAAGTTGGTCTCAAACTCCTGGACTTGGGTGATCCCTCCCAAAGTGCTGGGATTACAGGCATGAGCCATCACACCCAGGGTCTCTTTGTATCTGTTGCTAGTGATCCTGACTTCAGAATGCAGCATCCGTGAACGTGCCATGTTGCATGCAGCTAACCAGTGCTTGGAGAGACTGGACTTAAGCTCTTGTCTTCAACCCAGACCCAAGGACTGCCTGTTCCTTTGCAGAACTGCCTAGTACACAGAGTTAAACGTCGTGTAGCTTGTATGATTGGGAAGGAAGCAGAAAGTAGAATTCTGAAATAACATAACTGATTTTTTTTCAACCAGCATGGCAGCTTTTCGTGTTTGGAAGCCTTCAGAATCATTTCCTACCCTCTCAAGGAACCCATTCTTTAGAGGTACACACCGTTCCTGTCAGAGAGGCTATCTTCCTAGTGCTAAATGATTTTTTGATGCACTGAAAATTAAATTCACACTCAAATTTCTGCATTTGAGGAGATTTTCCTGTACGCTGAGCTCTGTCAAAAGAGGTATATTGAAGAGAGGGTAGTTCTGGGACCATTTGCAAGACAGCGCATTGATTGGAAGCCTATACATTCTGGAGTGTTGGCTTAATATGTTGATCATCCTTTGAGGTGGGGCACAAGGAAAAATAAACTATTTCTCCTTCAGGAACATACAGTGGCATAAGAGAGACCAACTTGGTGATAACTGATCATAGGATTAGACCAAGGTGCAGAAGCAAACAGAACCTCCATAAAATGTAATGATGTCTTGTGCCTGCAATCCTAGTGCTTTCAGAGGCCAAGGTGGGAAGATTCCTTGAGCTCAGGAGTTCGAGACCAGCCTGAACAACACAACAAGACCTCGTATCTATGAAAAAATAAAAATAATAAAATTAGCTGCACACCTATTTGGTGGCACACACCTGTGGTCCCAGGTACTCGGGAGGCTGAGATGAGATCATTTGAGCCCAGGAGATCAAGGCTGCAATCAGCTGTGATCATGCCACTGCCCTCCAGCCTGGACAACTGAGCGAGACCCTGTCTCCAAAAAAAGTAAAATTAAAAAAAAAATTAAAATGTGATGGAGTGCAGAGGAAAGGTCAGTTGATTCTCACTAAGGGTTGGACTTCATTGGTGATTTTCTGTCTTTTTAAGAGTTAGAAACTCCTTTTTCAAATGAAACGTGTATGGACCTCCAATGTCTTCAGCCAGGTCAGAGATGTTTTGTTGGGGACGGGGGCTTCCAGCCCACTGAACACCCCTGTCCTGCCATAGCCCCAGAGGTACCACCTTGGGCTCTGCCCAGTGCTGCTTCAACACCTCCAGATGGGAGGAGAGGGACCTTTCCTTCCAGTTCTAACCCCCACATCAGTCAAGGGAACCCTGTACAAAATGCTGAGAAAGCCAAAGAAAGTCAGAGTGCAGGCAGCTTCTTGTGACTTACTGCGGGGGCTCCTTGTGTCTCCCCTCCTCCTGCCTGTTAGACTTCTCCTTGCTGGCTGGGCCCACGCGTGGATGCACGGGTGCGGAGGATGGGAACCCAGGATCACTCAGCAACGTGCTTCTTGTCAGCTTCCTGCAAAGGGGAGAAATCACGCGTCAACCAGAAGCTTTTAAGTGAAAATCTGAGGACCTCCTACCTTCATCCACCAGAATGCTGCAGCTTTCAAAGTACTTTCTAGACAATGTCATTCAAGCTTGTGATAATCCCACTGGGTGGGATGAGTGGGAGGTGTTATTATTTCACAGATGAAATTGAGGTTCGTTGGTGACTGAGCACCTCTTGTCACCTCACTGTCCCATGTCCACAATGGAGATGCAGGAAAGGTGCTTTGAACTTTGGTCAGCACCTAGTAAGCCCTCAGTGCACGTTAGCACTGGTCATTCGGTAGTGACCCAGGAGCTCATCACTAGGAAGTGGCGGACTGGGAAGCAGAATCAGACCTCCAAATTCCCCCCAGGACCTGTCGCTCACTCTGCTATTTGAGTGTCCAGCCCAGAAGCATTTTCGGATCTCCAAAATAAAGTCAAAAGTGCTAGCAATGCTTGGTGAATTAATAACATGTGATGTTGGCCAGGCACAGCGGCTCACGCCTATAATCCCAGCACTTTGGGAGGCCGAGGCGGGTGGATCACGAAGTAAGGAGATCGAGACCTTCTTGGCTAACACGGTGAAACCCCGTCTCTACTAAAAATACAAAAAATTAGCCGGGCGCGGTGGCGGGCGCCTGTAGTCCCAGCTACTGGGGAGGCTGAGGCAGGAGAATGGCGTGAACCTGGGAGGCGGAGCTTGCAGTGAGCTGAGATGGCACCACTGCAGTCCGGCCTGGGCGAAAGAGTGAGACTCCATCTCAAAAATTAATTAATTAATTAATTAATTAAAAAATAAAACAACACTGTGATGTTAAGGCCCTATTTTCCAGGATTTATCATGATTGGTTTTATTGAGTAAAGCCTGGGCAAAAGACTTAGGTGTCAATTTCGAAAGACTCATTTAAGTATCTTTTTAGAAGTAACATTATGTATTATTATTGTTGTTATTATTATTAAAGTTCTGTGCCAATCATTATTCTAAATGTTTGACATTTCTTTCTCACTACAATTTTGTGAGGTAGATGCTGTTATTCTCCCATTTTACAGATGAGAAAACTGAGCCACAGAGGAACCAAATAATTGGCCCTGGTAAAGCAATCTCCTGACAAACAGAAATAGCCTGAAGTTATAACATGCGCATATTCCTTGTTAGTGCACCTAATTTCTCCCCCACTTTTTGGGCTGACTTAGGACTTCGTTGGGTTTTGTTTTGGTTTTCGTTTTGAGACAGAGTCTCACTCCATCACCCAAGCTGGAGTGCAGTGGCACAATCTCAGCAGACTACAGCCTCCACCTCCAGGGCTCAAGCAATCCTCCCACCTCAGCCCCCCGAGTAGCTGGGATTACTGGTGTGTGCCACCACACCTGGCTAATTTTTGCCTCTTTTCTGTAGAGATGGGGTTTTGCCGCATTGACCAGGCTGGTCTTGAACTCCTGGCCTCAAGTGATCTGCCCACCTTGGCCTCCCAAAGTACTGGGATTACAGGCATGAGCCACCACACCCAGCCTCCTCTCCCCCTTTTTATCATTAACAGTATGAATCTACAGGGAAGGGAGAGAATTAGGCCTACAGAGCTTCCCACTTTAGCCTGAAGTGAATGAGAAGCTGGCAGTATTTAGCATAGATGTATTTCAAAGAAGGAAATCCATAAAGCCATAATTAGCCCCTGAGCTGGAAGCCAGATGAAATTCCTTTAAAACAGAGATAAGGAACTAATTATCCTACTTTCATCTCAGGCAAAACACCAAGAAATAGGGTGAAGAGCAATAAGAAAAATTAATTAGAGGCAAAGTAAATATGGAAAAGGGAGATCGATGCAAAAAGGAGGGAGCTCTTCTCTTGAGGGCCAGGAAAAGCCTGCCGCCCATTTCCCAAATTTCCTCCTCTTTTACAGACTCAACAACATGACTTAGAAAGGCTTGTGTGGTTTGTGCATTCTAGGGTGGTCTTCACGGAAGTCTGTACCCTGGCTGTTCAAAATGCATTTAGAAAAAAACCAAAAACCACTAAACAGAGTCCGGGATCTCACGTGTGACAACTTGGGGAGACCCTGTCTGCACAGTTTTATAATGCAGGCCTTCTCAGAGCCTTTATTGTGAGCTGACAATTGATGTGCAAGAGGAGCATAGGGAATGCAATATTTCCCAAGCATCTGAAAATGAAACCCATTTTTCAAAGATTGTGTTGTAGGACTAGAGTTTCAAGAGCTCTGCTTTGGGTCATGGTGTTCTAAAGTAAAATAAATGCAAGGGAAATAAATCCATAAATGTGTGATACATGCGTTATTTCTGCCATTACCTAATACTCATTTGACAACATGAAGTTTAAGTCCATGAACACAGATGAGGGGAAGCTTGTTGAGGCCTTTGGAGCCTGAGAAGTGAAAGTCTTTGCATTAACTTGAGTTTTTGACATCTGTGGAGCGGCCACACTGTCACCAATGCCCAGAGGACGGAAAATAACTGCTATGCTAGGAAAGCAATGAGGAGTGTTTTAAGAAAAGCCAAGTGTTCACGTCACGTTTTTCAGGCACCAGATCCCTCTCTCCCTGAACCAGGAGATCTCCGCACTTTGTGCTTTGCCACACCCGCCAGAAGCAGCTGGGGAAGGACTGCGTTCACCATATGCCTTGTCTAAAGAAAAGCAAGAGGAAAGCGGGAAGCTCCAAATTTCCTTGCTCGGATGAGACCCAGCCACTGGCCCGTGGACTGGCACAGGCTAATAGAATGCACAAGCAGGGGAACACCAGCCCAAGCCACTGCTGGCACCCACAGAAGGAGGCGCGGGCAGGCTTCTCCAGGCTACACTCCTCCTGTGCACCCCCTCCAAGCTGGGGCCATGGCTCTGCCCCTCCCGGTGAAGTTCCCCAGTGCTCACCAAGGCTCACAAGACTGACAAGGGCAGGGCAAGGGGTGAAAAGCAGAGAAGGCAGGCAGATGCCTCAAGGGCCTTTCCACCACCTTCCCCACCAACCCGCTGGACCTTCTATCACTGCCTTTCTGGGTGCACGGTGTCACTGTCCACTCGACACTCCCGTCAGAAGCTGCAGGTCTCCGATCTCACTCCCTCACAAATCTCAGTCACTTCTCCCTAAGCGTGTCTTTTGGGTCCAGCTCCCCCTTCCACCCCAGCCCAGGCCTCACCATTTCTGGCAGGTGCTTTGCAGCCACCCCATGCCTGGTCTCCCTCCTGAGCTCCACGTTAGAAGAATCTGATCTATTTAAATCAAATCCTTGCTTGAAAACCATGACTGTGCCTGGCCAGAGCCACACACACTAGAAAGCCCACTCATAGTCTGGCCCTGAGCTGCCCGCCCAGCCTTGCTGCTGACTGGGTGCTGCACGGCCCCTCCCACCAGCCGTGCTGACAGTCCACCGTTTGTGACACAGAACTCTGGCATTATTTATTTCTGTCCTGCCCACTCTTCCCTTCTGCAGGTCCCTAGGAAACTCCTGTTCAGCCACTGTTCTCTCTCTTCCCCACTCCCAGTTAGTGGCTTCATCCTCAGGCATGTCTGTCCCTCCTTCTGCAGGAGCACACAGCACGCTGCACTGTGGGGACCGCTGTCCTTTGGTCTGCATGCTGCTCATCGCATCTGGGGGAGAGGACCCGATATCGTTTGTTTTTACGTCCGCGAACTTCACATGGTGTTACCATGTAAGTGTTAAGTCGCACAAGAGTGGGTGCTGAAGCCGTCCTGGCCTGCTTGCTCCTCCTCTAGGAGCTGACCTTCTGCATCATGCTGGCTGAGGAGGGAGAAAAGAGGAAGAAGCAGCAGCTCTTTTTTTTTTTCTCTAGGTGCTCTCTCCCATCGCTGAATACAACCAGCATCAGCCATTCGGGTTAAAATACAGAAGAGCTATGTTGAAACTAGAGTGATATTTGCAGAAGGAGTAGCACATTAGGCTGTGTGCTGAGACACAAGACAGGTCTGTCCCATGAACAGGCAGTATCTATGGCTGCAGCACTGCCAGGGACAGCAGCCTCCAGCCACAATAAAGCTCCAGGAGCCAGGGTGGGGGTAGTTTGGGGTGGGGAGGGTTGCTCCGTATTTGGAGGGTGGCATTTTTGTTTACTTTGCCACTTACTTTAATCCCTGGTCACAATGAAAGGACTTTAGGAAACGATCCTCTGAACTATTATTTCTTGCTTATCCACTAAATTACAATTAAAATTTCAACAATACAACCTCATTGGGAGCCTCGTGCAAACAAGTCAGGATCCCTCATATTACCCAAGTTCTACCTACAGAACTATAAACAGGACACGTTCATGTATTCCTATTGATGGTTGACAATAATTCCACTGTCAGCCATCAAAGAACTCCCTTGTGTAAGAAAGCGCAGTGCCATGCAGTTAGTGAATAAATTTCTGGAATAAATTGAACCACTAGAGTTAAATCAGTAAATTTAGAAAACCTAGGAAACCCAATAAATGGGAAGGTAGAACTTTGCAGTGGACACAGGGATCTGTCACAGACACAGAAGGTAAGGTAATTCATCCAGGCCTCGAAATAGCAACAGCAATGAACATTTTCCACATCAAAGATTTTAATCTTAAAAAAGGGATCATTAAAAAAGACACATCATTAATCTTATTTTACAGCATTAGAAAATGGCTTAACGCCTAGATCTTCCAATCTCTAAATGAAGCACTATAAATTTTATGACGTCTATTTTTTTAGTGATAATAATACCTGTCCTGAGATGTTCAGCTTCCCACTGGTTAAAAAAAAAAAAGGAAATGAAAGAAAAAGTTGCTATTCAATAATTTACTCAGCCAATTCTTCCTTGTAGAGTTCTACAGGACAAGCCATCATTTCACAGTTTTCATGCCTGACCTGCCTCCAGAGCTCTTGAAAACTTTGGAACCAAGAATATTTTTATCAGCCATCCTCCAGACTCACTCACGGGTTACCTGACCGCACTAAATCCAAAATGAGGGTAAAAATCCCTGCTGCAAATTCCTCCTGGCTTTGCCATCTTGGCCAGTCATTCCACCAAACCGATTGTGCCTTGCAGATAAAAGTCGTAAAACTGAAAGGCAAGTGGCAGATGCAAACTGATTTCCTAATTGATCCCTTGGTTCAACCTGCATCTACAGGGAAGTTACTGTGTCTGGCACAGTGCTGGACACTGGGATACAAACAAAGGGTGCATCCAGGAGGTCCTTAAGAAGAAGCAGTCCCAGACTGTAGAAGCCTCCCAGAAGAAGAAGGGGGAGAAGTGTGTGAATCATGACTCTGAAGAGCATGAAGAAAGATGTCACCGCAGCTGGGGGAGTCTCCTCCCAGGTTTCCCAGCCCAGCTGCCTCACCTCTGGCCAGCAAGGTCCACTGCACACAGAGGTAACCACTGGAACAAGCAGCTGGAAACCTCAGCTTCTTTCCCTGTAGGCTCCAGGAGCTTCTAATTCATGTCTGTTGTCCACATGCTGAGGCTTCTATCCATCCCTCAACCCCTGCTGCACAGGAAACCCTTCCTGCCTCTTCTCTGGCGTTGAGCCCCTGACTCTCCCATCCAGCTTCCAGCTCAGCCCCACATATGTCTCTCTGTGTCTGTGTTTATCACTGGTGAATCTTCAGCATTGGGGCTACCCTATGCCAGCTCAAGGCCCAGCTGAGCCCGCCTGGCCCCCAACTTGCACCGTGGAGATGGGGACTTGGTCACAGAGATTAAAGTAGACACTGGGGGCAGAGAGGCCAGGGATGGAAGGGAACTTAAATAAGGCCACAGGTAAGTGGATTCATTTGCTTGGGCTGCTATAAGACCCACAGACTGGGCAGCTTCACTAACAGGCATTTATCTGCCCACAGTTCTGGAGGCTAGAAGTCTGCAATCGAGGGGTCAGCAGGGTGGATTTCTTCTGAGGCCTCTGTTAAATGGTAAACTGAGGCACCATAAAAGTTGAGATTTTATTTGTTAAAACCCCAGTCCAAACAGCTTCAAGCCAGAAGTGGTTGGGTACACTACTGAGCAAACACAGACAAAGCCAGTTAGGCCTCATAAGAGATGTAGATCTTGCTTGATTTCCAAACATAAGCAAAACTTAGCTTCAGCTGTTTCTTGTAAATGGCTACATTGAAGAACAAGGCCAGCCCATTAGCCCTGAAACTAGGGACTTTTCAGCAGGAAAGACTAAATAAAACAGCTATACAATTGTAATCAATCGCATGTTTTCTTCGCTTTACTTGCGTGTGCACCCTAGGTTTATCATAAGGTTAAATGTCATGGCGAATGTGAAAAAAGCCTTTTGGAAACGATGTGTGTAAATATCATTGCAGTCACCTTATAAAAAGGAAGTTTGAGGAGAAAAGGGAAAGCAGCACTCTCTTACGCCCCAGGCAAATCGTGGCTGAACCAAATACAACCCTGCGATGAGCATTCCTGGTGCCCCACAGCTTCCCGCAGATGGCAGATGGTCCATGCTGTGGGAGGAAGACTCGTGTGTGCATATATATGAGGCTGCCCTGACAGACCAGGCCAATCCTGCTTCCCGGTGACTGTGGCTTCCTTGTCTCTAGGAGGCCTCGGTTCAATTAACTTAGCAGATGTTTATGAGGCACTGAATATGTGTAGCCTAGAAGGTCCATGAGAGAATGAAGGGCCCTGGGTCTGATTTAGGCAACCCCGTATACCTAGCCCCTACGACACATCTGTGTGGCACCAACATAGCCTCCCAATAAATATCTGATTGACAGCAGACTATCAGGCACTGGGCTAGGGACAAGGGTCAGAGTGCAGCAAAAGGCGACCATCGCGTAGATGCTAACCACTCACCGCATGCACTTTGTTGAGATAGAAGCAAAATTCTCTAAGCACAGAGAAGAATGTGATTCATTCTGCTCTGTCATTAAGGGCAGGGAAGTGCTGCTCAGGGATGGCCGTGGAAGCTGGGCCTTCCAGGACAGGTGAGATTTTAACGTAATGGCGAGCTAAAGAACAGGTGTTCCCAGCAGCAGCAGCAGCACACAAGAAAGCATGCAAATGAGGACATGTGCGGGGGCAATGTTTCCTGTGGCTGCTGGAATAAACTGCGACTAACATAGTTTAAAACAATACAAGCGTATTATCTTACACTTCCTAGGGGAGGTCAGAAATCTCACGGGCTCTGCTGGCTTCTGTGCTTCGTCTCTCAAGGCCAAAATCAAGATGTCATCAGTGCTGAGCTCTGGTGCAGGATCCACGTCCAGGCTCACTGGGGCTGCTGGCAGAATTCAGCTGTGTGGGGTTGTAGGAATGAAGTCCTTGTTTCCTTGCTGGCTGTTGGCCAGGGGCTGCCCTCAGCTTCTGGAGGCCGCCTGCCCTCCCTGGTTCATGGCCCATCTCATCCTGACAGCCAGCACCCGCGGGAAGTCCCTCTTGCACTGTGACTCTCTCCCGCCTCTTCCATTCTCTATGGCTTGTCTGCCTCCCTCTTTCATCTTTAAGAGTGCATGTGAGTATATTGGACCTACCTGAATCAGCCAGGCTAACCTCCCCATTTTAAGGTCTGCAGCCTTAATTCTACCTGCAAAGTCCCTTTTGCCATGTAATGTGCCATATTCACAGGTGTCAGGAATCAGAGGGCAGGTATATTGGGGGACCATTATTCTGCCAACTACACAGGGCCTTATATGGTCTGGCTCTGTGTCCCCATTCAAATCTCATCTTGAATTGTAATCCGAATTGTAACCCCCACGTGTTGGGGGGAGGGACCTTGTGGGAGGTAATTAAATCATGGGGGCGGTTACCCTCATGCTGTTCTTGTGATAGTGAGTGAGTTCTCACGAGATCTGAAGGTTTTGCAAGGAGCTTTTCCCCCTTTTGCTCAGGACTCTCCTTCCTGCAGCCAAGTGAAGGACAAGTTTGCTTCCCCTTCCACAATGATTGTAAGTTTCTTGAGGCCTCTCCAGAACTATGAGTCAATTAAACCTCTTTCCTTTATAAATTACCTAGTCTTGTGTATTTCTTCATAGCGGCATGAAAACGGATTAATACAGGGCCCATGTACTAGAAGACAGAGGACATAGAGTGGAAAGTGATGTGGGAAGAGAAGGAGCTTGGGGCTTTAATGTGAAAGCCTTTTTTTTTTAATTGAGACAGAGTCTTACTCTGCCACCCAGGCTGGAGTGCAGTGGTAAGATCTTGGCTCACTGCAACCTCCGTGTCCCAGGTTCAAGCGATTCTCATGCCTCAGCCTCCCAAATAGCTTGGACTACAGGCGTGCACCACCACACTGGCTAATTTTTGTATTTTTAGTAGAGACAGGGTTTTGTCATGTTGGCCAGGCTAGTCTTGAACTCCCAGCCTCAAGAGATTCTCCCACCTCAGCCTCCCAAAGTGCTGGGATTACAGGTGTGAGCCACCATTCCTGGCCACATAATGTGAAGATTTTTGAATGACTTTCTGAAGAATTAGAATGTGATCATGCAGCCACTGAGAAAACCCCAAAAGACTTAAAGCCAGGGCGTGGCAGACTCTACATTTTACAAGAAAACACAAGTAAAGGATGGAGTCAATGTGTCTTTGGCCTGGTGTCACCTTCCACTGAGCAAAACTATTAGATCAGAGAAGCCAAGTTGACTCCCCTCAATCAGTGGTCCAAAGGAGAGATTGTCTCAGCATCTTAGTCTGCGTGGGCTGCCATAGCAAAATTCCACATGCTGGGTGACTTAAACAACAAGCATTTATTTTCTCACAGTTCTGAAGACTAAAGTCCAAGATCAAAGTGCTGGCGAATTTGGTTCCCAGCGAGGGCTCTCTTCCTGACTTTCAGACAGCCACATTCTTGCTGTGTCTTCACATGGCCTTTTACACAGCAGAAAGAGATAGAGGTCTCTGATGCCTCTTCCTCTTCTTCTAGGGACACCAATCCTATTAGATTAGAGTCTCATCTTTCTGATCTCATTTATATTTTATTACCCCCTTATAAGCCCTACCTCCAAATACAGTCACATTGGGGGTTAAGGCTTCAACATAAGAATTTGGGGCAGAGAGCACAAGTCAGTCCCTAACACTCAGGTTTCTCGATGGAGGATTCAGGAAGTATGAACAAGACCCAAATTCTAACCCTTCATGCCTCAAAGGTCTCTGGCCATGGCTGACATTAAAATACATCAGTGCACTGAGGGAAAAGGGTGAAAAATCTTATTTCATTTCTTTAATATTTACTTCTTGCCTTCCTTTTGCTCTAGCCTTATTTCCTTGGTGTGGCAATTTATGGCTATTGAATCTTAAAAGAAAAAAGAAAACACAATTTTTATTGAGAACTCATGTATGCTGAGTATACATTAGTCAGAAGAAAATCTTGATGGGAAATTAGAGGAAAGAAAATCTTCCCACTGACGGCAGCACTTGCCAACTCATTATCAAAATGGATGTTGTGCTTTGTCTCGGCTGGCTCCAACTAGCTGCAGTACGAGTATCTGGGACCTGGGATGTCAGAACCCATTGGACTTCACAGAAGACAATTTCCTGAACAATGAGCAGTGGGAATTATTTTGACAGACTGCATAAAGATCCAAGGAATAATTTCATCCTGTCTAGAAGACAAAAGTCAATGCTTAATTAGCATAATCACTGTGAACTTCCCCATTCCAGCAGTTAAAACCCCCAGAGTTTTCTATTTGGCAAACTAGTTGTATTATCCAACGTCCTCCAGAGAAACAGAAACAATAGGCTATGAAAAGAATGAGAGAGACAGATTTTAAGGATTGATTCACAGTTTTAGGGGCTGGCAAGTCCAAGATCTGCAGGGTTGGCCATCAAGAGTAGAGACCCAGGAAAGAGTTGTATTGAAAGGCAGTCTGGGCCGGGCATGGTGGCTCATGCCTGTAATTCCAGCACTTTGGAAGGCTAAGGTGGGAAGGTCACTTGAGCTCAGGAGTTTGACACCAGCCTGGGCAACATAGCAAGACCCCAGCTCTACAAAAAAAATTAAAAATTAGCTGGACATGGTGGCACATGCCTGTAGTCCCAGCTACTCAGGGGACTGAGGTGGGAGGATCGCTTTAGCCCAGAAGGTTAGGAGGCTCCAGTGAGCCATGATCACACCACTGCACTCCAGCCTAGGGGACAGAGCAAGACCCTGTCTCAAAAAACAAACAAACAAACAAACAAGTAAATAAAAGCAATCTGGCAGCAGAATTTCTTCTTGCTCAGGGGAGGTCAGTCTTTTTCTCTTAAGGCCTTCAGCTGATTGGAGGAGGCCCACCCACATTATGGAGTCTGCTTAACTCAAAATCTGTTGACCTAAATGTTAATGACATCTAAAAAATATCTTTATATTGTTGAAACAAAGAACAGGGCACCATGACCTAGGCAAGTAGACACATAAAATTAATCATTACACCACTCAGCAAATTTCTTCACTGGCATATGTTCCTTTCCCTGTCAAAATAATAAAGATGGCTTTGTATTATTTAGCACCGGTGGTCTTTGTTTTATTCTTGGACGGTCTGGTGAGTCCACCGAGATTGTCCAGCTGGAACCTGTAAAGCAGAAAGGCACAGCTCCTGGAACCCTCAAGTGCTGAGGCTTGGTCTTCCAACTCTCCTGCAGCCTGGGTGCCTTGCAGAGGCAACTGAGCTCAGAGTGCTCCTGGATTTCTCACTGAAACTGCAATTTGTTTTGTTGAAGCTAAGCTGTCCAAGTACCATAGCTCATGCCTTGTGTTGTAACTGATCGGTAGTCTCCCGTGAGACTTCATTTTTTATTTTTTTTTAATTTTGTATTTCCATTGGTTATTGGGGAACAGGTGGTGTTCGGTTACATGAGTACGTTCTTTAGTGGTGATTTGTGAGATTTTGGTGTACCCATCACCCAAGCAGTATATACTACATCCACTCTAGAGTTTTGTCCTCTGAAGTTCCAGTCTCAGTTTGTTTTTGTTGTGTCTGTGATATGTCAGAAGATGAAAAATTGCCACCTTTCCCAGGACTTGGGCTGTAGAGGGAAATTCTTCTATGTCCCTGATGTGCTCAGCCTAGAACAGCTGAGCTTGAAATGGTTAACGCCACCCCCACCACTCCTTAAGAAAGTCTTTCAATTCTGCAATGACCATTATCTGCAAACTCTAGAATTATCTAGTTCAGATAGATAGAGTTAACACTAAATAGAAGAAAATTAACATATCAGATTACAAAGTTTCTTGTAATAAATGCTTTATACAGACTTGTAAGCACTTATATAAATTTTAAATAGAATAAATCCAAAAGGAAAAAATATGAACTCCTAATGCTTCAAATGTTTTGGTTCCTTTAAGTAAAACATTCTTATTGAGACTGCAGTTCTGAAAGCAAAAAGAAAGGTTTAGCCAGAGTTGATTTAATAGCCTTGGCTAATCATATTTAGGTCATAAGAAGGGTCACAGCTGAATCACCACTGTTAACAATTTAAAGAGAGAGAGTTATACACACATATCTGTATAGACAGAAATTTCTCAAACAATTAAACAATGTTTAATCAAGATGAATCATTCAAAATTAGACCATTTTGAGGCCAGATATGGTGGCTTACACCTGTGATCCCAGAACTTTGGGAGGCCAAGGAGGATCACTTGAGGCCAGGAGTTCAAGGTCAGATTAGGCAATATAGTGAGACCTTGTCTCTGCAAAAAACTAGCCAGGCAAGGTGGCATGTGCCTATAATCCCACCTACACGGGATGCTGAGACAGGAGGATCCATCGAGCACAGGAGTGCAAGGCTGCAGTGAGTAATGATCACACCACTGTACTCCAGCCTGGGCAATACAGCAAGACTCTGTCTCAAAAAAAAATTAAACCACTTTGATAATCTGCCTTCTCTTGGATTTAGTAACAGTATAAATACAATAGTAGTATAATATTCTAATTTATGTACATGTAGTTTATTTACTTCCTCATAGAAAGCTTAATCTGAACTTCTTAAATTTCCTATATTAATTTCACCTGATCTTAAACTAACGTTGCTTTTATACATTTTAAGATTACAAAAATGTGTTCAACTAAATTGAATTTGGGCCAGGTATGGTGACTCATGACTGTAATCCCAACACTTTGGGAGGCCAAGGCAGGAGGATCACTTGAGCCCAGGAGTTTCAGACCAGCCTGGGCAATACAGTAAGACCCCATCTCTACAGGGGAAAAAAAAATCAAAAAAATTAACTGAGTGTGGTGGCTCATGCCCATGGTCCCAGCTACTTGGGGAGCTGAGGTGGGAGGATCACTTGAGCCCAGGAGGTCAAGGCTACAGTGAGCCATGATTGCGCCTCTGCACTCTAGCCTGGGTAATAGAGTGAGACTCTGTCTCAAAAAACTAAATCATAAATTGAATTTGAATAGATATTTCTTTAAGAGGGATTAATTCTTATAACTGTTTTCCAGGGTGTCTGCACCATTTTACATTCCCACAACAACACGTGAGTGACCCCGTGTCCCCACATCATTGCAGGCATTTGGTGGTGTTATTCTATTTTGGCCATTGTGATAGGTGTGTTGTGATAGCCCACTGTGAATTTCCAGAAAAGCTAATGAGCACCTTTCCATGTGTTTATTTACCATCTGAATATCCTCTTCAGTGAAATGTCTCTTTATACCATTGATCCATTTCTAATTCAGTTGCTTATGTGTGTTTTGAGAGTTCTTTATATAAATACGCATATGTATGTACACATACATAATATACTAGGATTTTAACTTCATGTACATTAGTTATTTGTCAGATACGTGGCTTTAAAATATTCTCTTCCTGTGTGTAGCTTGTCTTTTCACCCTCTTAACAGGGCCTTTCACTGAGGGAAAGTTTTTAATTTTGACAAAGTCCAGTTTACCAATTTTTCCATTTATGGATTGTGCCTTTGGTGTCAAGTCCAAGAATACTCTGCGTAGCCTTAGATTTCAAAGACTTTCTCCTATATTTCTTTCTAAATGTTTTAGAGTTTTACAGTTTTACATTTTACATTTAAAGCCACAATCCATTTTGAGTTAATTTTTAAATAAATTGTGAGTCTTAAACCAAGCCTTACTTTTGTACCTATCGATGTCCAATTGTTTAAACTGTTTACCTAAATGACGATCTTTCTTTCATTCATTGAATTGCTTGTGCATCTTTGTCAAAAATCAATAAGTCATGTTGTTTATGTACCACATTTTCTTGTACATATACACCATGGAATACAGCCATAAAAAAGAATGAGATCATGTTTGCGGGGACATGGATGGAGCTGGAGGCCATTATCCTTAGCAAACTAACACAGGAACAGAAAACCAGATAGATACTGCATGTTCTCACTTTTGTAAGTGGGAGCTAAATGATGAGAACACACGGACATATAGAGGCGAACAACATACACTGGGGCCTTTCAGAGAATGGAGGGTGACAGGAAGGAGAGGATCAGGAAAAATAACTAATGGGTACTAGGCTTAATTCGTGCGTGATGAAATAATCTGTACAACAAAACTCCATGACACAAGTGTACCTATGTAATAAACCTGCACTTGTACTCCTGAATTTAAAAGTTAAAAAAAAAAAAATCCATACACCATACTTGTGTGGGTCTATTTCTGGGTTATCTATTCTATTCCCATTGATCTATGTGTCTACCCCTCTCCTTATAATATACTCTCTTGATTACCACAGCTATAAAATAAATCTTGAAATTGGATAGACTGGCTCTTCCTACTTTATTCTTTTTTTTTTCTGACACAGCGTCTCACTCTGTCGCCCAGGCTGGTGTACAGTGGCACGATCTCAGCTCACTGCAGCCTCGACCTCCCAGGCTCAGCTGGGACTACAGACACATGCCACTGTGCCCAGCTAAGTTTTGTATTTTTTGTAGAGACGAGGTTTCACCTTATTTGCCAAGGCTGATCTCAAACTCCTGGATTCATGCAATCCACCCTCCTCTGCCTCCCAAAGTGCTGGGATTACAGGCATGAGCCACCACCCCCGGCCCTACTTTATTCTTTTTCAAAATTGTTTTGGCATTATAATTCCTTTGCCTTTCCAAATAAACTTTAGAATACTCTATATTTTCTATTTGTTTTTGGCTTAATATATTTGTTTAGTTTCTTACGGCGGAAGCTTAGATTGATTTGAGACCTTTTATTCTTTGTAATAAAAGCACTTAATGCTTTAAAATTTCCTCTAACTACAGCTTTATCAGAATTCTACAAATTTTAATAGATTTTGTTTCTTTCTACACTCAGTTCAAGCAAAATTGTCTAATTTCCCTTGTCACTCCCTCTTTGACTTATGGATTATTTATAATTTCCAAGTATTAAAGGATTTTCTAGATATCTTTCTGTATGGATCTCTGGCTTAATTCTCTTATGGTCAGAGAATACTTTTCAACATTTCAATTATTTTAAATGTGTTAAGGTTTGTTCTATGGGCCAGAATATGGTCTATCTTGTTCAATGCTGTGTGTATGTTTGGAAACCATATGTATTCTGCTGCTGTAGGGTGGAATGTTTTATAAATGTCAATTACATCAAATTGGTTCATAATGTCATTCAAGCCGTCTATAGTTTGTTGACTTATTTGCTCTCTCAATTACTAAGAGGAATGTTGAAGTGTCCAAGCAGAATCATAGATTTGTCTATGTCTACTTTTAACTCTATCCATTTTAGATTCATATTTTAAAATTTACATGTATACACATTTAGATGATTCTTCTTCTTGGTAAGCTGACCATTTTATCATTGTCAAATGCCCCTCTTTATTCCTGGTAAGTTTTGTATGCTCTGAAGTCTACTTTGTGTGATGTTAATGTAGTCACTCCAGGTTACCACTGATTGATACTTTCATCCTTTTATTTTTAACCTGTCATTATAATTAGAAATTGATTTTTTTGTACTCAGCATATAATTAGGTCTTGTTTTCTTGTCCCAACTGACAATCTCTGATTTTTAATTTGTATTTTTAGACCACTTGTATTTCACATAATTATTAATATGGTCAGGTAAGTCTTCCATGTTATTTGTTTTCTGTTCATTTCTTTGTTTTTTATTCCAGTGTTTCTGCCTCCCAGGCTTCAATGTGTTTAGATTTCCATTTTAATTCATCTATAGGCTTTTTAACAACATCACATAGTACTTTGATTTTTAGTCGTCATTCTAGGGCTTACAATATAAATGAATACATACATATATTATATATAAATGTGTGTATATATGTATATGTATAGACCCTATGTATATTTCACAGTCTACCTGGAATTCATATTTTATACTACTTCAAGTAAAATGTAGAAGACTTACAACCATATAGGTTCTTTTGCCTTTCTCACTTTTTATTATAGTTGTAATATGTATCATTTCTTCACATATTAAAAACTCTACCAGTGTTATAATTTTTGCTTTTAACAGCCATATATATTTTTAAATACCTAAAAACAAAAAATCATCTTACTATGTCTACCCAGATATTTACCATTTCTGTTGCTCTTCTTTCACTCCTGAAGTTTTTTGTTTTTTTTTTTTTTTATTTTATTTATTTATTTATTTTTTTTGAGATGGAGTCTCACTCCGTCACCAAGATGGAGTGCAGTAGCACTATCTAGGCTCCCTGCAACCTCTGCCTCCTGGGTTCCAGTGATTCTCCTGCCTCAGCCTCCTGAGTAGCTGGAATTACAGGCATGTACCACCATGCCCAGCTAATTTTTGTATTTTTAGTAGAGACGGGGTTTCACCAGGTTGGCCAGGATGGTCTCGATCTCTTGACCTCGTGATCCACCCACCTCAGCCTCCCAAAGTGCTGGGATTACAGGCATGAGCTACCAGGCCCGGCCCACTCCTGAAGTTTTAAGTATCCCTCTGATATCATTTTTTCTCAGCCTAAAGAATTTCCCTTAGCATTTCTTTTAGAGCAGGTATGCTGGTGACAAACTCTTTAGTTTTCATTTATCTGATAATTCCTTAATTTGCCATCAATCCTGAAGAATATTTTCACTAGCTATCAAATTCTGGGTTGACTGTTTTTTTCTTTTGGCACTTTAATGATGTTGTTCCACTGTCCTCTCTACTCCATGGTTTCATATGAGGAATCTGCAGTCATGTGAAAAGTTGTTCTCCCATTTGTAGTTTCATTTTTCTGTGACTGCTTTCAAGATTGTTTCCTCTTCTTTGGTTTTCACCAATTTTATTGTTCCGTGTTTATATGTTCTTTTCCTTGATTTTATCCTGTTTAGGGTTTACTGGGTTTCTTGAGCCTATACAGCTGTGTCTTACCAAACTTGGGAAGTTTTTGGCCAGAATTTATTGAAATATTTTTTTCTGCTCCATTATTTCTCTATATTTCTTCTGAGATTCCAATGGCATAAATGTTAGATATTTTGGTATTGTTCCAAAAGTCTCTGAAGCTTTGTTACTATGGAATGAGTGTTTGTGTTCCCCCAAAATTCATATTGAAATCCTAACCCCCAAGGTGATGGTATTAGGAGGTGGGGCCTTTGAGAGGTGATTAGTTCATGAAGGTGGAGCCCTCTTGAATAGGATTAGTTGCCTTTTAAAAGATATTCTTTAATAAACATTGGAGACTATAAAAGATGGGAGGGTGGGAGGTGGGTGAGGGCTGAAAATTACCTATTGGGTACAATGTTCACTGTTTGGGTTATGGGTTCACAGAAAGCCCAGACTTCACCATTACATAATATATACACGTAAGAAATCTGCACTTGTACTTTCTAAATACATACTTTTTAATTTTTTAATAAAATAAAAGATATCCCAGAGAGCTCTCTCACTCTTTCCACCATCTGAGATTATAATAATAAGATGGCTATCTGTAACCTGGAAGAGGTTCCTCACCATAACCTGACCATGGTAGCACCCTGATCTCAGACTTTCAGCCTCCAAACTGTGAGGAATAAATTTCTGTTGTTTACAATCCACTCAGTCTACGGTACTTTCTTATAGTAGCACAAACTGACTAAGAGATTTCTTCATCTTCTTTCTAATTTATTCTTTCTATTCTTCAAATCTACTTATCTTTCTTCAAATTCACTGACTCTTTGTTTTGTCATCTTCATTCTGCTATTGAGCCCATCCAGTAATTTCTCTTTTAATTTCAGATGAGGGTATTTTTCAGTCCTAAACTTTCTATTTGCTGACAATGTCTAACTTTCTACTCATTTCAAGAGTGTTTACCTTTATTTCATGAGTGTTTACCTTTACTTCATGGAGTATAATTATAATAGTTGCTTTAATGTCTTTGTCTGATAATTCCAACATTTGAGTAATCTCAGGGTTGGCATCTGTTGATTGTGTTTTCCCTTGAGAATTGGCTACATTTTTCTGGTTCTTTGTATGTTGAGCAAATATGCATTGTATCCTGGATAGCTTGCATATTATGTTATAATATGACCCTGGGTCACATTAAAATCTTCTGAAGAACGTTGTTTTTTTTTTATTCTTAACATTGTTATTTAAGCAGTCAACCTGGTTACATTCAGACCGTAAGTTTTTTCTCACCTTCTCTGGCAGTAGTTTCAAGGTCAGTTCAGTTTTCAACGTCAGACTTATCTCTACATTCCCAGGTCCCAAGAGGCCCCTTATCTATTCTTCTGTCCTGAAAAATAAATCTATCAGAGTTCTAGCTGCTGCCATTGCTGCCATGCAGTTCTATGCAAATGGGGCTCTATTTAACGTAAAGCAGTAAGAGAAAGGAGAAAGAAAAAAATCACTTTTTGGAACACAGAGGTCTCTTTCTCCAGTTTCTTCTCCCTGCCAGAGAGACAAAGCTGTCAATGTTGTTTCCGGATCGTTCCACACTAGAGCCACATCTTGGGACATGGTCAGAAGAGAAAATGAAAACATGGAGATTCATTCTACACTCTCAGGCTTGCAGAGCCCCCCTTTTTTCAGACAGAGATAGAAAAATGGGGCTTTTCATCAGGTTCTTGTTGCCCACAGCTTCTGCATAGTTCCATGACTAGGACCACCCACAGGTCAAAGATAAAAGGTGAAAGAGGGCAGGCGCGGTGGCTCACGCCTGTAATCCCAACACTTTGGGAAGCCAAGGTGGGTGGATCACGAGGTCAGGAGTTTGAGACCAGCCTGTCCAACATGATGAAACCTCTTCTCTACTAAAAATACAAAAATTAGCTTGGCATGGTGGCATGTGCCTATAATCCCAGCTACTCAGGAGGCTGAGGCAGGAGAATAGCTTGAACCCAGGAGGCGGAGGTTGCAGTGAGCTGAAATCGCACCACTGCACTCCAGCCTCAGGGACACAGCAAGACTGTCTCAGAAAAAAAAAAAAAGGTGAAAGGAAGAAAGAAAACAGAGAACTTACCTTATTTGGGTCACTTCTTCAGGCTTTGATTCCTCTCCTGAATTTGCCTACTATTTTTACTTTTCAGAGCCATCAGGTAATTGCTTTTTTTTTTTCTTTTTCTTTTTAGTTGACATGTGGTAATCGTACATATTTATAGGATATAGAGAGATATTTTGATACATGTATGCAATTTATAATGATCAAATCAGGATAATTCACATATCAATCACCTCAAAGATTTATCATGTATTTGTGTGGTGAACATTCAAAACCCTCTCTTCCAGCTTTTTTAGACAAAACTTACTGTTAACCATGTTCATCCTACAGTGCTGCAGAAAACTAGAACTTATTCTTCCCATGTAGCTGTAACTTTATATCATTAGCCAACCTCTCCCTATCATCCCTTACCTCCTACCCTTCTTATCCTCTGATAACTAAAATTCTACTCTCTGCTTTTATGAGCTTAATTTTTTTTAGTTCCCACAAATGAGTGAGAACATACAAAGTTTGTCTTTCTGTGCCTGGCTTATTTCACTTAATATAATGACCTCCAGTTCCATCCATGTTGCTGCAAATGACATGATTTCATTCTTTTTAATTGATGAATAGTATATATATACACATACACACATACACACATATATATATACACACATATATATATACACCATATACCATATATATGCCAGATTTCCTTTATCCATTCTTCCATTGGTGAAGCCTTAGGTTGATTTCATATATTTGCTATTGTAAATAGCATTGCAATAAATGGAAGTGCAGGTACCCTTTGACATACTGAGATCTTTTCCTTTGGGTAAATATCTGGTAGTGGGATTGCTAGATCATATGGCAGTTCTCTTTCTAGTTTTTTGAGATACCTCTATACTGTTTTCCATAGTGACTATACTAATTTGCATCCCACCAGTAGTATATGAGTTCCCTTTTCTGCTGACCCTTGCCAGCATCTGTTATTTTTTGTCTTTTTGATGACAGCTATTGTAACTGGGGTGAGATGATAGCTCATTATGGTTTTGATTTGCATTTCCCTAATGATTGCTAATGTTGAGCATGTTTTCATATGTTGTTGGCATTTCTACATCTTCTTTTGAGAAATGTTTATTCAGATCTTTTGCCCATTCTTTAATCAGATTATTTGTTTTTCTGCTGTTGAGTTGTTTGAGTTTCTTGTATATTCTGGAAATTAGTTCCTTCCCAGATGAATAGTTTACAAATATTTTCCCCCATTCAACAGGTCATCTCGTCACTCTGTTGATTGTTTTCTTTGCTGTGCAGAAGCTTTTTGGTTTTATATAGTCCCATTTGCCTATTTTTCATTTTGTTGCCTGTGCTTTTGAAGTCTTACCCATAAAATCTTTGCCTAGACTCGTGTCCTGAAGTATTTCTGCTGTTTTCTTCTAGTAGTTTTATCATTTCTGGTTTTATGCTTAAATCTTCAATCTATTTTGAGTTGATTTTTTATATGGTGAGAGATAGGGGTCTAGTTTCATTCTTTTTCATATGGCTATTCAGCTTTCCCAGCACCATTATTGAAGAATACATCCTTTCCTCAATGTATGTTCTTGATGTCTGTGTCGGAAATCAGTTGGCTATAGATACATGGATTTATCTCTGGGTCCTCTATTCTGTTCCATTGGTCAATGTGTCTGTTTTTATACTGATACCATGTTGTTTTTATTACTATTGCTTTGTAGTATATTATGAAGTCAGGTAGTGTGAGGCCTCCAGCTTTATTCTTTTGGCTCAATGTTACTTTAGCTATTTGGGGTCTTTTGTGGTCTCATGTAAATTTTAGGGTTGTTTTTTCTATTTCTGTGAAGAATATCATTAGTATATTGACAGTGATTGAATTGAATCTGTAGATTGCTTTGGGTAGCATCAGGTATTTGCTTTTTGTGTTTGCCTGGAGTTATTAGTTGTAATCTGTGGTAGAAATGAGCTATACTGGGCTTAACTCATATTGGCCAGCACCAGAAGTATGTGTCTTAGGTTATGTTAGATGAGGCAATACAGACGCATCTTTAGAAAGAATTACAATTCTTAATTATTATTATGTTAACTTTCATCATGCTAATTTTTAAATGTGTATTTTCACTCATGCTAATGTGGACACCAATATAACAACTATTTCTTATTCTGTGACCAATCTATCCTGACTAATCATTTTAATATTGTTTTTGCCCAAATTTAGTCTCCAAATTTAGAATCATAAACTAAGATGTCTTTTACACCTAAAATGTCTTTGGGGTTTCCTAAGTAGCCACTAATACATGTGTATATTGGCTACTTCATCGTGTAAAAGGAAAAATAACAAAAATAATTGAGTTTATTTGGCATTCTCCAGATTTTGATTAAGCAAAACTATCTTGAGAGCTCTTCTGCTTATCAAACTCAGGATATAAGAAAATCCTGGCTGGGCGCGGTGGCTCACGCCTGTAATCTCAGCACTTTGGGAGGCCGAGGTGGGCAGATCACAAGGTCAAGAGATCAAGACCATCCTGGCCAACATGGTGAAACCCCGTCTGTACTAAAAATCCAAAACATCAGCTGGGCATGGTGGCACGCATCTGTAGTCCCAGGTACTCAGGAGGCTGAAGCAGGAGAATGGCTTGAACCCGGGAGGCAGAGGTTGCAGTGAGCCAAGATCGTGCCACTGCACTCCAGCCTGGCCACAGAGTGAGACTCTGTCAAAAAAAAAAAGGGAAGGGAAGGGAAGGGAAGGGAAGGGAAGGGAAGGGAAGGGAAGGGAAGGGAAGGGAAGGGAAGGGAAGGGAAGGGAAGGGAAGGGAAGGGAAGGGAAGGGAAGGGAAGGGAAGGGAAGGGAAGGGAAGGGAAGGGAAGGGAAGGGAAGGGAAGGGAAGGGAAGGGAAGGGAAGGGAAGGGAAGGGAAGGGAAGGGAAGGGAAGGGAAGGGAAGGGAAGGGAAGGGAAGGGAAGGGAAGGGAAGGGAAGGGAAGGGAAGGGAAGGGAAGGGAAGGGAAGGGAAGGGAAGGGAAGGGAAGGGAGAAAATCCTAACTAATTAAAAGAGAAATTTAATCTTCCTAGCTTAATTATATAGAAGCAATATATTGTTAACATAGCTATGTCTTTGTGAATACACACTTTTCAGGTTAAGAAGAAGGATACATATTTTCACGCACAAAAACTGATATGTTAATAGTCTACCAATTCACTTGTTGTAAGAGAGATTTTGTTCCTACGTTTAACTATCCTTCTCTTTTGGGGATAATTATAATTCACTTTATGTTTTAAAATAGAACACTGGAGGTCTGTCAATGCTCTGTCTATAATAAGTTTCTACTCTAAAGTGATTATTTATAATATTCCTATAAATTTACATATATTATACCTTAAAGGAGGATATTTTTCTTTATTCTGATACTATTTATTATTACAATAACTCTAAATAGTAATATGGTTTACATTTAATTTGCTTACCATTGTTTAGTCATGAGGCTTTTATTTCTTACTGACCATTCTAATTCCATGACAAACTGAAACCAAGATGATAGTGCCAACCTGAAAATGTGATCATTTGCCTTCCCAAAAGGAGGGATTCGAAGAGTTGAATTTCCATTTATAGCATCATTTGAATCATCAAAACTGCCTGTTGTTTCCTGACAGCGAACAACTAGTCTTCTTTTGACAGACTGGGAACATTTACGGACTCATCCCATCCTGTGTAGAAGGCAGTTTTTAAGGCTTAACTATCATAATCACCATGAACTCCTCATTTCTAGCAGTTAAAAAACCCTGACCTTTCCCACTAGCAAATACAGTCATGCGTCGCTTACCAAAAGGGATACATTTTGAGAAATGCGTTCTTAGGCAATTTCATCATTGTGTGAACATCATAAGTGACATAGCCTACTGCATAGCATACTACACACCTGGAGTAGATGGTACAGCCTATTGCTATGGGCTACTCGATGACACAACTAGCTACACACCTAGGCTACAAACATGTGCAGCATGTTACTCTACTGAATACTGTAGGCAATTGTAATGCAATGGTAAGTATTTGTTTATCTAAACATATCCTAACTCACAAAAGGCACACAAAAATATATTATAATCTGATGGGACACTGTTGTACATGCATTCTGTCATTGACAGAAATGTTATGTGGCACATGACGGTAACTGACTCTTAACTGACTCTGTTTTGTAATTGTTTATTTGTTCTCTGACATGTACATTTCCCCATTTAACTCTCATAAAAGTTGTAAAATAGAGAAAATATTATATGTTCCTTGGAACTTGAGAGAAGTTCTGTTTTTTTTACCCAAGAATAAGCAGCTGGTTAAGACAAAACCAAGATGCAAACCCAGGCCTGTCTGATTTCTGAGTTCACGCTCTTGTCTACTGTATTAATGTATTAGTGTCCTGTGGCTGCGGTGACAAATGACCACAAATTCAGTGGCTTAAAACAACACAAATTTATTATCTTATAGTTCTGGAGGGCAGAAGTGTCTCATGGTCTCATGGGGCTAAAATCAAGACAGCAGCAGGGCTACTTTCCTTTCTGGACGCTCTAGGGGAGAATTCATTTTCTTGCCGTTTCTGGCTTCCGGAGACCACCCTCATGCCTTGGCTTTTGACCCCCTCCTGCATCTTCAAAGCCAGCAACAGCCAGTTGAGTCCTCCCTACACTGTCATCGTTCTGGTCCTTCTGCCTCCCTCCTCCACTTTTAAAAACCCTCATGATTCTAATTGGCCTACCTAGATAATCCAAGATAACCTCCCTAATTTAACGTTAGTTGATTACCAAACCTAATTCCATCTGCAATTTCAATCTGCCTTTCCATGTGACCTAACATAGTCACAGGTTCCAGGGATGAAGACGTGGACCTCTTTGCAGGGCCATTATTCTGCCAGCACACCTATGTGATAGACTGTCTCATTTCCGAACACCCTTGAGCTGCCCTGTGATTAGTTACAAAGTTACCTAAAGATGGAGAATTTGCCATTTCTTTAAAGTATGGCTTTACTAAGTGACCACATCAAAGGTTACCACCTGCGTTGCCAATGTCGTATAATAAATGACAAAACCAGAGTAGCCAGGGCATCCCGACTGCTCTCTACAGGCCCCTTGGCAGGACAGCCTCATATCTACCCACACACATTTCTCATAGACTTAACCCACAATATCCCCATTTCCAGGGACTCCCACCTGTTGGTGGTGTAGGGATCTGTTCATAGCTCTTGGCCTAGACCTTGCCCCACT